>NC_000020.11:60016002-60632883 GCF_000001405.40 Homo sapiens | reverse complement strand
TTAACCATCTCTCACCCACCTGCTGCATGTACAGGATGGCTGACTTGAGAGCCAGTGATCTGGGCTTGGAGCAAATGGTTCCACGGATGGCTTGTCAAAGTAAAAGTAAAAGTAAAAACTGTACAGGACAAAGTTAAACAGGCCAGGAAGACTTCTCTAAAGACTATTGCAATAGAGGAGAGAACCTGAGCTCAACTTCCATGATACAAAAGGTGGGAGGGTTTCCCAATGCTGGCATGAGCTGGTGGAAAGGATGGGAGGATGTCAGTGGAGGGGAGGTTGCTCAATGGGATGTGACCAGCAGGCCGAGTTATTCCTGAGCTTGCAAACGTTCTTCTCCGATTAGGCCGCCTGTGTTTTCTAATGTGCATCCATCAGAGGAGTCAGGGGAGGCTCCTAGTCTCAGAAACTGGGAGCTTGGAGTGCCAACTCCTTCACCATTTACATTTCACAGAGACGATTTCCAGGTCCTTGAGAAAGGCATTTTCTGGGTTGTAAAATGAGCCAGAATCTGGGGGAAGATTTGTAGCTCCAAAGGATTTATAATTGCACATTTTCTAAAGTAAATGCTCTATGAAAAGGGAGGTGAGGGGCTGATAGTCAGGATGGAATCTGTCTAAAGTTTCACCAAGCCGAGGGGAACGTGATGCTGTCGTGGTCACATATGAGTGGGCTGTGGGCTGGTGGCTCTGGGATAACACTAGTTGCTCATCCTCCCATGCTCTGCTCTGCAGCACCAAAGATGAAATTTATCTTTCAAACAATCAATCCCCCAGCCCTAAATGCCTGAGCCCTAAATTCTGAGCAGTCATCAACAGCGTGTGCTGGTTCTGTTCCTGTTAATAGCTGTCTCTTAATAACCTTAGGGTCAGGGGTGTTATTGATGCTCCAGCTTAATTCAAATTATAATAGGATAAATCATCTGCCATCTCCAATCCTTGTTTATTGAATTTTGTATGATCCATTTAATTTAGACCCTCCCATCTCTGAAGGTCGAAGCCTATTGAAAATCCGTCTCTTTATCCTCTCATGACCTAATTTGTTTTTCCCTTTAACTTCTCCACCTACCTTATTGCTGTCACAGCCTCAGAGACTCCATGAGGCAGAGGCGGGACTGAGAATATTAACATTTTTATTGCTTTACTTGGTGTCCTATCAAAGACAAGCAGATGCAAACAGACACAGACATTTTTAGATCCTTTGCAGTGTCCCTCTCCAGGACTTTCTATTCTGCCCAGAAAAACGTAGGTACTCATGTTCACCCAATAACAATTTTCCGAGCATTGACTCTAGATATTTTAAAAATATTTTTAATGTAGCATACTTTTTAAAAAGCATGGGGCCACAAATAGGAACCAAGCACAGACATTTGCCTTTCGAACAGCAGGTCACCCAGTTGGATTCCAGTGGTCCCTGGGCAGGGTGTGTTCAGTTCTGGATGGAGGTGAAATAGACAGAGAGCAGCTAAGGAGTGATGGATGGGGAGACAGAGGGTGAGGAAGGAGCCACGTGAAGGATTTGAAGTGGCCCTATTCCCCCAATATGTGGGTTCTATTGGAAATAAGGAGCCCGATGGAGGTAAGTGATGGTGGTGAAGGGATTTCTTGGGAAAAGGTAGAACTGGTTTTGGAAGGGAAAACAGACTACAGGAAGAGATCTCAGACAGAAATACTCATCATCAAACACCAGCTGGGCAATCTGAGTGGGCATGGGCTATCAAGAGGCAGGATAGTGAAGAAATTCAAAAAACAAGAAAACCTTTGCCATTCAAAGGCGACCAATCTTTCATAGCTGATGGTAAGGGTTTGCTTATTAATCATTGAAATCTGAGCCCAACCTTGGAAACATGGACATCAAGTAAGGGCTATTTGGAAGTTTTTTCCAGCACATGATTTGATGATGCTAAAACAAAGTGCTGTTGTTTGGAGAAAGCAAGTGCTTCGGATGGGTGTTGATGGAAGGATCTGGGAGTGCTTACCGTGTGTCGCTTGCTCGTCACTGGTAAGCCTCGCAGTCCCGGGTCCCCAGTTCACAATGGATGAAGCAGGCTCATCACTGGGCCAATGCCCAGCTCTGCTGACTCACGCCATTTAATCACAGGCAATTAGTGTGACTGACAGCTCTAATTAAGCTCTTACCTGAACAGGCGCCTTCCAGCTGCAACCTTGCAGGGAGCAGCTGCCCTACCTTTGATGCCTTTGATTCAGTCCCCTCTTATCAGGGCTGTTTTAGGTCTCATCCAAATTTCTTCATCACCTTTAATGAACATTTTCATCCCATTTCTTCTAACGATTTTAAGATGCTGGTGCAAGACGTTCACTTGAGAAAAAAAAGTTACTGTATTGTCAGTCAAGCAGGCTCATCAGTACAGAAAGAGGGCTTTACATCAAAATTGGCAGATGCTTGGAACAGACTTTGATTCATCAGTGTTTTCATATCTGACAGTATTGGTGTTTGGCCATAGAGCCTTCTGAAGGCAATCCTGCCATTTCTCCATTCTTTAAAAGTGAGACCTAATTTCTTGAGCCTTTGAAAGTAGACTTTTTGGAAGGGATTAATGAAGTAAAATTGAAGAAAAAAATTACTTCACATTTTAAAATATTTGAGCTTTTCTGACTTCTATGATGGAATGCATTTAAAGCACAAATGGACAGTGAAATCTTACATAACTCCATTTGAGTTGTGGTTCCCTTCAGTTGTGTTGTAAGATTTGGAGCAAAGTTCATGAGCATCTTGAAGGGTTTTCTCCATCAGTTGCGTCAGCCAAACGTATTTTCTATACTGGCGATCTTTTTGGTGATAGTCAAGGTACTCTTGTATATGTCTGCTTTGGGGACAAAACAAATATGCAAAGGCTTCTTTCGTTGATGTTCCGTACTTCACAGAGGTTTTCAATTGAGGTTCATTCTTCTGCTCACTGCCTTAGCTCTTGGGCCTTTCCCTCCTCTCACATCTTGCTTTCCTGGACCAGCCTTGAGCCCCTGGTTTGTGGTTTACTGTAATGGCCTCCTAACTAGTCTCTCTTGCCTGTCCCCATGACAATATTTATTTATTTATTTGTTCATTAATTAACGAGACAGGGTCTTGCTCTGTATCCCAGGCTGGAGTGCAGTGGTGCAATCACGGATCACTGCAGCCTTGACCTTCTGGGCTCAATGAATCCTCTCACCTCAGCTTCCTGAGTAGTTGAGACTATTTTTCTTTCTTTCTTTTTTTTTTTTTTTAAGAGAGAGACAGGATCTCATTATCTTGCCCAGGCTGGTCTCAGGCCCTTGGCCTCAAGTGATCCTCCCACCTCTGTCTCTCAAAGTGCTGGGACTACAAGCATACCCCACCTTGCCCGGCTCCCATGCCAAAGTCTTCATCCTGCATTTGAAGGCCTCCTTCTCTGGTGACCTTGCTTCATACTACCCATCCAGCCATCTTCCACTTGTCTTCCATTGGACTCCTACCCAGCTTCTCACGGAGGCTGGCCTCACCACCTCCCCTTGCTATCCTTACTGTATAATCCTTGTGTTCCCATTCCACTGCCACAGGATGTCCCTCTACATTCTTCAAGGCTGTCAAAGGCTCACAGGGTCCTGGGGCCCACTGGGATCTCCTGTGCTTCTGGCCGCAAACAGAGTAACAACCAGCATGCATTGAGCCTACTTGTGCTGGGCATCGAACCTCACAGAGCTCATTCATCCAATGCAGGCTACGGCCCTAGGAGTGAAGAACTCTAAACTCTTCACAGAGGAGGACACTGAGACCAGAAAAGTCCACACGTCCAACGTCAGGCAGCCACTCAGTGGTGAAGGTGGCTAATGTGCAGGGGTCCCCGGGCCGAGAGAGCATGCTCCTCCCTGCCATGCTGTCCCTGCCGGCTGAGTCCCACATGCTGACATCATTCATGCTCTGCAGAGTTGTCACATGGCATCTCCGCCTCAGTAATGGCCTGATCTGCTCATTAGGGCTGGAAAATCTGCAAAGCAAAGAGGGTGGTCCCCATCCCCGACTTGCCTGAATGAGGGCTTTACAGATGGAAAAGAGTGATTTAATGACCATGGAAATAATTAGTTAACTTATGAGCACTGTAGGAATTAGCCAACCACATACACTGCTGTCTCCACTGGCTACTTGGATTTCAGATGGAAAAGAATAAAATGACCATGTCCGGGTAAGAGTCTGCAAACTGGACTTGTCTAATCATTTTCACGAATGTGGTTTCTCACTCGTGTGAGATGGAGGGCGAGGGAAGGCTGTGCTGTGGATTTCTGTGATGATACAGCCTGATCCATGCCTTACTCTCCTTTAGAGTAGAATTCCACAAGCCTCCTCGGTGGGTGTCTTTCAGCCATGCTTATGTTGCCACTATCATAGCTGTCAGCAGTGGCTTTTGCTGACAGGTCCAAGCCAGAGTGCTGTTCACCACCTCTTTGCCTCCTGAAGTAGTTTTTTTTGGGGTTTAATTGATACACTGGTATGGGGAGACCATGGTAGCTGTGGCTTCCTTTTCTATAGGGGAGAACATTCAGAGTGTTTATTCCTCAGATATGCTGTGCAGGCTATGGAAGAGACTGTCCTCCAACTTCCCACCTTGAGCCTGCAGTGGGAGAATGCACCGCCATACAGGCATGAATGAGTTAAAGCCACTTTCACAGAGCACAGGCAAGTGCCCCTGGTGGAGGGTTTTTAGAAGTTGCACAAGTGCACAAGCCAGAGATTCAGCCAGGAAATCCATCCTTTAAAGGAAAAGCATAACATCATCTCACAAACCATATTTACAACACATGGGCCTCACCACCTAGTGCTAATATGAACTCTCATGCACATTTGTTGAACACTTACTATGTGCCAGGCACTGTGCTAAGGGCTGAACATACATTATTTCATTGCATCTGCATAGTAACCTCATGAGGAAAACTTCATGCTCACTAGTTAAGTATGACAAAACTGAAGTTCCAAGAACCTAAGTAATTTACTGTGATATTGTGAAATATGTATTTGTTTTTTGTTTAGGTTTCTGGCATGCAATTCCTAAAATCCTTGGAGTCTTCAACATACTATCTTTTTATATGCTAAGGCAAATCTTGTGGTATGTGTATCTGTGTATAGTTTGTATGCTAATGCATACTATATATCGCATATATATCATTGTATGCTCTGTGTATACAGAGAGCATACAATGATATAAGCACCTAAGCACATAACTATATATATATTATTATATATGATATATATGTATATATATTATATATGATATATAGCACATGATGATATAATGCATTATATGCTATATATCTATATGATATAATAAGCATATAACATATATGATTATATACGATATATATATAACCATATATAGTTTTTTATAATATAATGTACATAACTATATATAGATAGATAAGCTATAATGATATAAGCACATAAGCATGTAACGGTAGCTTCAAGAGGGAGCTGGTTGCTGAAGACCAAGACATAATTCAAGGGTTGGGACTTTAAGCCTCATCCCCAACCTCTAGGGAGGGGAGAGAGACTAAAGATCAGGTTGATGACCAATGACCAATGGTTTAATTGATCATGTCGATGTATGAAGCCTCTGTAAAATCCTAAGAGGACTGGGTTTGGAGAGCTTTTGGGTAGCTGAACACATGGAGGGTCCTGAAGAGTGGCACTCAGGGAGGGCATGGAAGCTCTGTGCCCCTTCCCCCATACCTCATCCTACACATCGCTTCATCTGTATCCTTTGCAATATCCTTTATAATATTAATAAACCAGTAAACCTAAGTGTTTCTTTGAGTTCTGTGATTCAGTCTAGCAAATTAATTGACCACAAAAGAGAGGGTCCTAGAAATCCCAACTTGGGGCCAGTGGTCAGAAGTTCCAAAGGCCTGGACTTATGACTGATTCTGAAGGAGTCAGGGAAGTTTTAGCAGCTGAGTCCTCACCTGGTGGGGTCTGACGCTATCTCCGGGTAGACGGTGTCGTAATTGAACTGGAGGACACCCACCTGGTGTCTGCTGAAGAATCAGTTGATTGCTTGTGGTCGGGAGAAACCCTCACACATTGGGCACATAAGTCTTCTGTGTTAATGATTGCGGTGTTGAATGAGAGGATAGAAAAAAGATTTGACTTTTTCCAGACACTTACCTAAAGCCATTGGCTCATAACTGGCAAAACCACATTTTGAACCAAGGTCTTATGGACTCCAGAGCCTGCACTCAGAATCACAACCCTGCTTGGCCCCACTTCTATAAGTTTGGCTTTGGAAACTTTATGCCAAGAGGCTTTTGAATTCCTTGTAGATACATTTACTGCAACTAGGGCATGCTTATCTGCACTTCTCTGAAACATGCACCCCAACTCCTGTGCAGGCTGACACAGTAACGGGCTTTCCCTTCCCCTCTTTTTGAAAATGAAAATTGATTTTTTCTATAGATACTCATTTTAAACACCCACTCATTTCTAAATACATATTCTAAAAAACTGAACAATGAAGAAAAGCATAAAGTAAAATTTTCTGTAGAATCTTATCATGAATTGGCAATTGCTTTTAGCATTTCAGTAAAGTGGATTGTTACATTTCTCACCCTCTGCAAATAACTGCTGCACACAAACATGAGCACACAGTCACGCGTGAACCCATTCAAGTGTATGTAATTGGGCTTGGGAGACAGGTGTGCAATTTGGAATCTAAATTTTCACCTGATAATCTGTCAGAAGTATTTGTCCATGTTGACAGTCGCAGAGCTACACATTACTGTGAGTGACATAGAGCATTCAGGTATATAATTGTATCATAATTTATCAATCTAGCCTCTTATTCATTAACATTTAAGTTGTTTCTAGTTCTTTACTATTATAATGACTTTTAATGAACAACTTTCTACATATATTTTCAGCATTTGTCCACTTAAGTTCTCTAGTACTGACATTTCTAGACTAAAGATGTGCTTTGTTTACAAAAAAGGTAGAGTGGTGCTGGTTTCAGTTTGAAGTTGTGGAGAGCTGGAATAAGCATCACTCCCATTTTTATAAGAAATAAAACTGGACACAATACAAGTGCATGCCTTTTAGTGAACCCTTCAGAGAACTGAGGTCGAAAGGCAAACAGCCTGGCGTGGTGGCTCAAGCCTATAATCCCAACACTTGGGAGGCCTAGGTTGGCGGATCACTTCAGGTCAGGAGTTCGAGACCAGCCTGGCCAAGATGGTGAAACCCTGTCTCTACTAAAAATACAAAAATTAGCTGGGCATGGTGGTGCACGCCTGTAGTCCCAGCTACTCGGGAGGGTGAAGCAGGAGAATTGCTTGAACCCAGGAGGTGGAGGTTGCAGTGAGCTGAGATCACGCCACTGCACTCCAGCCTGGGCAACAGAGCGAGACTTTGTCTCAAAAAACAAACAAACCAAAAAACAAACAAACAAAGCAAGTAACCAATCTGAAGTTTGGAGAGACAGGTGCCTTCAGGGAGAAAACTACATGAACATTTGCTTACCTGGGGCAAACAATGTCTGTAAAAGCTGGTAGGAAGAAGGCTCTTCCTGGTTTTTTCAGTTTCTTTTTTTTTTTTTTTTTTTTTTTTGACATGGAGTCTCGCTCTGTCACCCAGGCTGGAGTGCAGTGGTGTGATCTCGGCTCACTGCAACTTCTGCCTCCCAGGTTCAAGTGATTCTTCTGCCTCAGCCTTCCTAGTAGCTGGGACTACAGGCAAGCACCACCACGCCCAGCTAACTTTTGTATTTTTAGTAGACACAGGGTTTCACCATATTGGCCAGGCTTGTCTCAAACTCCGACCTCAGGTGATCCGCCTGCCTTGGCCTCCCGAAGCATTGGGATTACAGGTGTGAGCCACTGTGCCCAGCCCTGGTTTTTTTCTCCAGAAACCCACCACATGCCACAGAGCAGAGGGAAAGAATCCAGAGACAAAGGAGCTATGAGGATTACCAGTAAAGTGGGACACTCAACTGCATCCTGGAGCAGGAAAGGGCATTACTGGAAAAACTGGTGAAATCTGGCCAAAGCCTGGGTAATGTACCAATATCATTGTCTTAGTTTTCATCAGCATACCCCTGGCATATAGGTGCTGCCACTGTAGGAGCCTGGGTGTAGATAAACAAGAACCCTCTGTACTGTCTTTGCAACTTTTCATTAAATCTACAATTACACTAAAATTAAAAGTTTATTTTAGAATATAGGGCTCTTTTTATCGAGAAGAGAACCCTTATGACAAACTCATCAATTAGCGAAAGATAAAACACCTGGGTATAATTTGGTATCTTTCTTGGTCACCCACATCCATTGGATTTTAATTTAAATTTCAAGGTTCTTGATATATGGATGTTGGGAACTGGAAGAGAACCACAAGGTTTTCCGTCTTTTAATTTTTTCCTTTTTAATGTATCCTGGCAAATATAGTTTAAGCTACAAAACATTTCCCAAATTCAGGGCTAGGCTCTGGGTGTTTGGCTTTCCAATGTCTGGTTTTCCTGATTTGCCAGTGACTTAATTCCTCCATGAGAACATCCCTTGTATTTCAAAGAGTCCAAGGGAGAGGTTGCCGTGTGTTCCAGCAGTTGTCCTGCCCTGCTTCAAAGGACAGGCTGGTGGCTCAGATGGTGGATGTGACACCCTTCAGCCTGTGTGACGATAACGGCTCTGCCACTGGCTACCCTCCATGCCCTAGCCTCCTCATCTCCAAGATACAAATAGTAACAGAGCTGCTGTGAGGATTAAGCGAATTAATACAGATACAGAAAACACACTGGAAAGAATATCTGGTTCAATACAAATTAATGTTATTGTTCTATTGGTTTCCTTTCAGCTATGCTGTGGTGACAAACACCTCCAGCATCTGTGCCCACTAGTGATAAGGCTCAGCTCTCACTCATGTCGCCAGGGACCTTCTGCGGCTTGGCTCTTTCTCTGGCTAGTGGTGTGTGCGGAAAAGTGCAATAAGACCCAGGGCCTGGCATAGGATTGGGGCATCCCGTTGGACTCTGTAGCGTGGTTAGGAGGATGGCGCTCACAATTTCCACTCAGATTTTATTAAGCCACGCAAGTCCAGTGGATAAGCTTGGTGTTAGTAAGGGCAGGAAAGTGTAATCCCACTACAGGGAGGGCAGTGAATAATTGGGAGCAATAAAACAATCGACCGCAACTCTTATGATTAAATATTATCATGATTAGACTTACAAGTGCAAATCCCCAAAGCCGGTTCTTTGCAATCAAAGAATATGGTAATTCTCTTTTTATTTTTTTTTCCTTTTTACAAAGGACGTCCCTTTCCCTTAAGTCCTATTAGTAGAGATTGCAATTTGCATAAAACAGCTTTCCTCTTCTGCATGAATTTTTCCATCCAATCACTAAAGAAGGTACACAATATTTGAATAAGACAGCTTCTCAGAACTGATTTTTAAAACAACAGGTATCAGCCAGGCACAGTGGCTCATACCTGTAATCCCAGCACTTTAGGAGGCCAAGACAGGTGAATCACCTGAGGTCAGGAGTTGGAGACCAGCCTGGCCAACATGGTGAAACCCCGTCTCTACTAAAAATACAAAAACTAGCCAGCCGTAGTGGTGGGCGCCTGTAATCCCAGCTACTCGGGAGGCTGAGGCAGGATAATCGCTTGAACTCAGGAGGCGGAGGTTGCAGTGAGCCGAGATCATGCCACTGCACTCCAGTCTGGGGGAGAGCGAGATTCCGTCTCAAAAATAAAAATTAAAAAAATTACAGACATCACTGAGACAAAATGTTGGAAAAGATCGTCATACAACAGTTTCATGACAAGGTGTGATGGCATTTGTTTCAGAAGGGGAGGGGCTAGAATAGAGCCCAGTGTGCATGTTTACTCGACAATTGTTTGAGTGCGGGGGAGCCTGTCTTGTCTTGCCCAGTTAAAGACAAATCAAATGGAATAGTTCTGAAGTTTTGTGGATCCTCAATCACTTTTTGCACAGGGAGAACATCAAGTCCTCTCAAATCCTAATTCTGGGCCATATCCCAATGAGTCAGTACCTTCATCTGAAATATAACTACATTGCACTTCAGGTCTTATAGGTGGAATAGACTGAGGGGAAAGGAAAGAGTTCCAAAAGTATTTAAATCTGAAAATTCCAGATCCAGAACAAAACACCACAAAAATGACTTCAGGAAAAACAATTTAACTGTACATTTAAGGGAACAAATAATTAAGAATTAGTTCTCTGATGCATAAAGCTTGTTGTCAGAGGACTCGTATGTCCTGATTCACTGACAATAACTATAATAAAAAATCCCTGATTTCAAGTTAGCCATTATGAGCATTTGAAGTACTAATTTTTCTGAAAGTGTGATAAGGTAGAGGCCATTTGGTAGTTATAATCACATTCCATGTAGAACTCTAGAAGGCATTGATATTCATTCTTAGTGGTTATCAATTTGACCTCTACTGAATAGCCCAGGTTTATGGGAAACTCATTAAGGAGTCAGGCGATGTCTCTGGTACTCCATCCTATCTGATAATTAATGGATTTACCCTAGGAGAGAGCTTAAGACTCCAAAATGAACTAACTCAAAAGCTCTCTACTTACCAGAGACAGCATGTTGGGGGTAGAATTTAATATCCATTTATTCATCTAAAAGCTGGGAAGATGCTTTGGCCATTAACAAGTTAGACACAATTTATTGGAGATATATATCTCCATACATGCATAAACAAAAAAATGTGTATACATATGGAAATTTAAAAGTATATATGTATATATGTATGTGGATGTGTTTGTTATATATACATATATATATACACACACACACACATACACACACATACATTTCTCAGAAGTTTCTCTCTTCTTGTCTCCAGCTGCCATTTCTCAGCTTCCTGAGAAAGAGCAGATGGGAAATTAGAGCCCACTCTTAGATACCGACCACCTTCTGATACCAGTGAGCAAGGCTGTCAAGAAAGATCCCAAGAAGCAAGGACCCAAAGTGATGCAAGGTCATCAAAACCAGGTAACTTAAAGCTATTAGGATATACTAACTTCCAAATGCCTAGCCTTGAACTTCCACAAACATTGACTTTTAAATCGTTACAATTCTTTGGAATAGACATTATTATGCACACTTTACTGATAGAGAAGTGGAAACTCAGGCAGGTAAATTTGAGGTTTTACATGATTCTTCCATAGCTTTTTGTACTATGGAAAACTACATAACAGGCACATACTCATCTACATATCTATATATCCATATAAACATCATCTTTACATAGTTGATGAAGTCCAAGAAAACTCAAATGGAACTCAGTAATTCCTAAGAATTGTTATGACTAAGGCTGTTATGACTTGTTGTATCTGGTGGTCCTTGAAATTATGAAATAGTACTTCTTAATATACATATCAATGCATATTTACTACGTGGCCCTGTTTGGGAAAGTTCTTATCAGTGGTGAGCTATTTTCATTTAGTTTTTAAAGAAAGCGTTTTCAAGGATTTCTGGGAACAGAGGATACTTGTCACTTACATGAACTTACCTGGCGAAGTCTCAATTGGTCAAATCCAATCTTTATTTCCACCTCCACATTAACAGCTGAAAGTAGTTGGAGGAAAACACAGCCAGCCTACCTGGATACAACCAGAAATCATAAGTTCCCCTTAAGGGAGCCCTCATTAAGCCTGGTGGGTCTCTGCAGCCCTTTATCCCAGTGGTTCTCCAGGGGAAGTCCCCTGGCCACAGTATGGGCATCACCTATGGAATCAGAAACTCGGGGGCTGAAACCCCACAATTTCACCTTTAACCAGCGTGCCAGGTGATTCTGATGTGTGCTGAAGTTTGAGACTCACTGCAAATTCTTTGACTCCCCCATTGCTTCAAGAGGATTAGTCCACTGTTGCTTTTCTCTCCTTAAAGCGGTGATGCCCCTTCCTCCATTCCCCCTCACAGAAAATCTTGTTTCCTTTTCCCGTAAGAATGCAGAAGCAGAAAGGAGAGGACTGTCACATTCTGCCATCCCCACCCCTGCCAGCCTGTGTGCAGCTTGACCGTATGCTCTTCCTTCCCTGTTGTTACTCCTGTTTTCGTCCAGGGCCATCCCCTCCACTCTGGCCCTAGTTTCTCTCCTTTGAAATGCTCAAGGACAACATGACCCCAGCAGTTCACCAATTTCTCTCCTTCCTTTGCATCCTACTGCAGCGTAATCCCCATCTAAATCCAAGAAACAGACCCAAATCCAAACTCTGTGGATGCTACATCCCCTCCAGCCCATTTCTTTGTTCCCCTTTATATTAATTTTTTTCAAAAAGTTGTCTATACTTCTGTCAAGTTCCTCTGTTCTATTTTCCGGTTGAACTTATCCAATCAAGTCTTTATCCCTACCACTCACCAAAACGGTTCTTGTGAAGGAAGCTATCAATACCCCCATTGCTAAATCCAATGGTCTGGTTTTAGTTCTCATTTTATATCTTTGCCCCCAGCATCTTCAACAGCTGATGGCGCCCTCCTTTCTTCACTCAGCTTCTGGGACACCAGTGTTTCTCGTCCTCGCTCCTCACTGATGCTCCTTCTCAGTCTCTTTGCTGGTTACTCCTCATCTCTCTAACCTAAAAATGTTGGATTGCCTGTGGCCCAGAGCTGAGATCTGTTTACTTCTCCATTTCTATTGAGTCCCAAAGGCAGTGATTCTCAACTTTGGCTGCACTTCAGAATCACTTGGGCAGCCTTGAAAACTCTCAGTGCACTGCAGATCAGTGCAGTCAGTCTCCCGGGTGGGACAGAGGCCTCAGTCTGTTTTCACTGCAGATCAGTGCAGTCAGTCTCCTGGGTGGGACAGAGGCCTCAGTCTGTTTTCATAGCTTCCCAGGTGATTGCTACATGCAGCCAAGTTTGTGAACCATTTCCCTGAGGGATCTCATCCAGTTTATTGGCAAATCATCCACATACTAACTACCCCAATTTTATAGCTATGGCAAGTCCTTCTCCCTTACAATCCAGATGCCTACTCATTGCTCACAATCAGGTAGCTAAGAAGCAACTCAAACTTAAAATGTTCCAATTGAGCTATGATTGCAGCTAAAAAATTCAATCATAGACTTCTTTGTCTTAGCAAATGGAAACTCCACATTTCCAAGTTCTTAAGGCAGAGATCCTAGGTGCCCCCAACTCCACTCTCCCTCTGAAGCCTCACATTCAATTTGCAGCCAATCCTACACTTCAAACCATCCCCATCACCTGCCTGCTTCTCACCACTTCCCTGCTCCCTCCCCTGGACCGAGCTGCCATCCTCTCCTGCCTCAGTGGTTGTTGCCGCCTCCCTTGTGCTTGGACGTGCCCTCCCACATGCCCTTCCAACACAGCCAGAGGTCTCTTTCAAAACATAAGTCAGCCCTTGTTTCTCCCCTGCCCAAACCTTCCAGTGGCTTCTGATCTACCTAAGGGTAAAACCCAAGGGCATCATTTTCTTTGGAGGGAGTTTTCTTAATCATTTTTATATCTATGGGGCATTTCATGCCATTGGTAGCCAGACATCATCAAAACAGATGGTGGAATTGTTCTCAGCTAACAAAAATTTTACCTCTTTTTTACAAGGCAAGAAAACATTTTTAGATAGTTCTAGATCAGCATTTTCTAAACCTACTTGACCATGAAACATTTTAAAAT
This sequence comes from Homo sapiens, assembly GCF_000001405.40. Classification (NCBI taxonomy): domain Eukaryota; kingdom Metazoa; phylum Chordata; class Mammalia; order Primates; family Hominidae; genus Homo; species Homo sapiens. Next base: position 60,619,264 of record NC_000020.11, on the reverse strand, counting down.
TATGATATATGGATAGAACACCAAGAGGAGCTCATGAAATATAAATGTGGGCTTAGATTATAGTAGACAGCACCAAAAAAGTTCTCAAAGGTGAATTAATTACTTAAATAAATGGTAAAAATTTGATTTATATGCACTTTGCTTTATTACAGAACAAAAAAACGAATTAGAGAAATCTGCTTATGCCTAAGTTAGTGAGAATAAAATATATCAACATAAAGTAATATTTTAGGTTTTGCATTTTTGTTATAAAAGAGGACATGCTCCAAAAATGTTTTATTAAGCGTTGCTTTTGGGGTTCTCTTCTAAAACACATAGCTCCTTAAAATTAGAAATGATGTTGCTTACCAGAATCTCTGGGACGCATTCAAAGCAGTGTGTAGAGGGAAATTTATAGCACTAAATGCCCACAAGAGAAAGCAGGAAAGATCCAAAATTGACACCCTAACATCACAATTAAAAGAACTAGAAAAGCAAGAGCAAACACATTCAAAAGCTAGCAGAAGGCAAGAAATAACTAAAATCAGAGCAGAACTGAAGGAAATAGAGACACAAAAACCCTTCAAAAAAGTAATGAATCCAGGAGCTGGTTTTTTGAAAGGATCAACAAAATTGATAGACCGCTAGCAAGACTAATAAAGAAAAAAAGAGAGAAGAATCAAATAGACACAATAAAAAATGATAAAGGGGATATCACCACCGATCCCACAGAAATACAAACTACCATCAGAGAATACTACAAACACCTCTACACAAATAAACTAGAAAATCTAGAAGAAATGGATAAATTCCTCGACACATACACTCTCCCAAGACTAAACCAGGAAGAAGTTGAATCTCTGAATAGACCAATAACAGGAGCTGAAATTGTGGCAATAATCAATAGTTTACCAACCAAAAAGAGTCCAGGACCAGATGGATTCACAGCCAAATTCTACCAGAGGTACAAGGAGGAACTGGTACCATTCCTTCTGAAACTATTCCAATCAATAGAAAAAGAGGGAATCCTCCCTAACTCATTTTATGAGGCCAGCATCATTCTGATACCAAAGCCTGGCAGAGACACAACCAAAAAAGAGAATTTTAGACCAATATCCTTGATGAACATTGATGCAAAAATCCTCAATAAAATTCTGGCAAAACGAATCCAGCAGCACATCAAAAAGCTTATCCACCATGATCAAGTGGGCTTCATCCCTGGGATGCAAGGCTGGTTCAATATACGCAAATCAATAAATGTAATCCAGCATATAAACAGAGCCAAAGACAAAAACCACATGATTATCTCAATAGATGCAGAAAAAGCCTTTGACAAAATTCAACAACCCTTCATGCTAAAAACTCTCAATAAATTAGGTATTGATGGGATGTATTTCAAAATAATAAGAGCTATCTATGACAAACCCACAGCCAATATCATACTGAATGAGCAAAAACTGGAAGCATTCCCTATGAAAACTGGCACAAGAAAGGGATGCCCTCTCTCACCACTACTATTCAACATAGTGTTGGAAGTTCTGGCCAGGGCAATTAGGCAGGAGAAGGAAATAAAGGGTATTCAATTAGGAAAAGAGGAAGTCAAATTGTCCCTGTTTGCAGACGACATGATTGTATATCTGGAAAACCCCATTGTCTCAGCCCAAAATCTCCTTAAGCAGATTGGCAACTTCAGCAAAGTCTCAGGATACAAAATCAATGTACAAAAGTCACAAGCATTCTTATACACCAACAACAGACAAACAGAGAGCCAAATCATGAGTGAACTCCCATTCACAATTGCTTCAAAGAGAATAAAATACCTAGGAATCCAACTTACAAGGGATGTGAAGGACCTCTTCAAGGAGAACTACAAACCACTGCTCAAGGAAATAAAAGAGGATACAAACAAATGGAAGAACATTCCATGCTCATGGGTAGGAAGAATCAATATCGTGAAAATGGCCATACTGCCCAAGGTAATTTACAGATTCAATGCCATCCCCATCAAGCTACCAATGACTTTCTTCACAGAATTGGAAAAAACTACTTTAAAGTTCATATGGAACCAAAAAAGAGCCCGCATCGCCAAGGCAATCCTAAGCCAAAAGAACAAAGCTGGAGGCGTCACACTACCTGACTTCAAACTATACTATAAGGCTACGGTAACCAAAACAGCATGGTACTGGTACCAAAACAGAGATATAGATCAATGGAACAGAACAGAGCCCTCAGAAATAGCGGCGCATATCTACAACTATCTGATCTTTGACAAACCTGAGAAAAACAAGCAATGGGGAAAGGATTCCCTATTTAATAAATGGTGCTGGGAAAACTGGCTAGCCATATGTAGAAAGCTGAAACTGGATCCCTTCCTTACATCTTATACAAAAATCAATTCAAGATGGATTAAAGACTTAAACGTTAGACCTAAAACCATAAAAACCCTAGAAGAAAACCTAGGCATTACCATTCAGGGCATAGGCATGGGCAAGGACTTCATGTCTAAAACACCAAAAGCAATAGCAACAAAAGCCAAAATTGACAAATGGGATCTAATTAAACTAAAGAGCTTCTGCACAGCAAAAGAAACTACCATCAGAGTGAACAGGCAACCTACAAAATGGGAGAAAATTTTCGCAACCTACTCATCTGACAAAGGGCTAATATCCAGAATCTACAATGAACTCCAACAAATTTACAAGAAAAAAACAAACAACCCCATCAAAAAGTGGGCGAAGGACATGAACAGACACTTCTCAAAAGAAGACATTTATGCAGCCAAAAAAACACATGAAAAAATGCTCATCATCACTGGCCATCAGAGAAATGCAAATCAAAACCACAATGAGATACCATCTCACACCAGTTAGAATGGCAATCATTAAAAAGTCAGGAAACGACAGGTGCTGGAGAGGATGTGGAGAAATAGGAACACTTTTACACTGTTGGTGGGACTGTCAACTAGTTCAACCATTGTGGAAGTCAGTGTGGAGATTCCTCAGGGATCTAGAACTAGAAATACCATTTGACCCAGCCATCCCATTACTGGGTATATACCCAAAGGACTATAAATCATGCTGCTATAAAGACACATGCACACATATGTTTATTGCGGCATTATTCACAATAGCAAAGACTTGGAACCAACCCAAATGTCCAACAATGATAGACTGGATTAAGAAAATGTGGCACATATACACCATGGAATACTATGCAGCCATAAAAAATGATGAGTTCGTGTCCTTTGTAGGGACATGGATGAAATTGGAAATCATCATTCTCAGTAAACTATTGCAAGAACAAAAAACCAAACACCGCATATTCTCACTCATAGGTGGGAATTGAACAATGAGAACACATGGACACAGGAAGGGGAATATCACACTCTGGGGACTGTGGTGGGGTGGGGGGAGGGGGGAGGGATAGCATTGGGAGATATACCTAATGCTAGATGACGAGTTGGTGGGTGCAGCGTACCAGCATGGCACATGTATACATATGTAACTAACCTGCACAATGTGCACATGTACCCTAAAACTTAAAGTATAATAAATAAATAAATAAATAAATAAATAAATAAAGAAGGTTATCTAAAGTTATTTGGAACTTAGTAGTCTGTTTGGCTAAGTTCCTCTTGTATTTGCACAATTAAATTCTATTTCTCAGTGGCAGAATTTGCAGGTTGGTTCATTCTGGCATAGCTAGCAAAATGATCATTCTGGCATAGCTAGCAAAATGGGGCTGACCACACTAATAATTGTTTCAAAGCTCTCTATATTTAATAACAGTGATGCACCTCTTTCCCAAGACCTCTTGTCAAGTGCACACATATACAAATGAGCCATGGTTAAAAAAAAAAAAAAGAAAAAAGAAATGATGTTGCTAAGTGTTATTCTCATATGCATTACAGGATGAAATAAATCTATTTCTAAATTTTGTTTTAATTTGAGAAGACTATAAACATTCTGCCTCTCCATGACAGACTCTATATGACTGTCTCTATATGACAAAAAGCATGTAAACTATACTTTTCACAATATTCAGGAGCAAAATTAAGCTCCTCCAAAACAGCCTTTACCTTGGATGTTGCTTATTCATCGATCTTCTCTTGATATTTTTGAAAATGAACCTGTACATAATTCTCTTCACTTAGAAGTTTTCACTGTAGATGTTCCAGAGAACCTCAAGAATTTTTGTCATTTGCAATTGCTGTTGTTTAGATAAAACTGCCTCCCTCCAGCCTTAGGTCTGTGGGGAACCAATTTGTGCAGTATAAATATTTAAGACACCATAAATGTTGAATAATGCCACAAACATATGTTGAAATATTCAGACAAAACACACAATGCAGAGCAGTGGTCAATCAGCAGGCAGCATCCACTTGAGGGTCATTGGTCAATGCCGTCTGGAATCCATGAGGTTCGCTGCTGGGCAACTGAGATGTAATGGAGTGTGGTGGGCATGAGCTGGATGCCTCTATCCAAATCTTGGCTCTGTCATGTAGTGTCTGTGTGCCAGGGAAAACGCTTTAACAACTCTGTACCTCAACCGTTTTATCTGTAAGATGGGAACAATAGTAGTCCTAAAGGATTAAATATATAAAGCATTTGAATAGAACCTGGCAAATAGCCTTCTGTGAGCATTCGATTATTTTTCTAATATAGGTTGTCATGTAGTGACAGGAACAACTACATTTGGTGTCAGTTTACAAACATGTGTAAAATACATTTTAAAAAGTGAAAGCTGGAATTATAATTCTCCCAGTGCCCCAAGGCAACAGCCCTTAACATGTTCCATGGATCGCATTTGGGGAAACATCTTCCTGGAATAGTTGATACAGTCAGACTTGCTTCTAGCATTGGGCACTGTATTGAACTTCCCAAGGGACATTCATCCGGAAATAGTGATCATAACAATAAATATGACTTATCATCCAAGCACTATGCTTTATCTCCAATTCCTAAAACAGTCCTGCAAAGCAACACCATATCCCCATTTCCCTGGTGACGAAAATGTGTAGCAGAGATTAATTGACCTTGACATCCTGGGGCTGGTGACAGGGGACGTGGCATGGGTTCAGGCTGCCCTGTCCCAAGCCCAATTCCTTCCCCTGGGTCCTGCCATCCCTAGACATTTAGGGGACTATAAACAACAAGGCACAAAACGTGTTGACAAGAAAGAGGGCAAGAAAAGATGGTCATTTAGGGATGAACAAAGATGCCATTAAAACGAGTTCAAAGGAAAGGGCTTATGAGGGTTGGGGTCAGAGACAGGCAAGAGGGCAGAAGCAGCTCTGGTCTTCTGCTTGAGGATTTCTATGGCCAATACCAAGGACAGGAGTCTCGCTGCTCCTGGTGAAGGGACAGAAGGACCTCTGGACCAGAAAGAGGGCTCCTGGGCTGGAGTAACTGGCAAGAGTCTCATGAGAGAAACCTCAGGTTTGGGAGCCATCCTGAAGATTCAGTCTATCTTTTGAAAGGCCTTCATTCCTTACCTATTACTCCAGATTCCATCATCCTTATCTCCTGGTATCTCTGAAACTAGAGAAAGTAAATCTTGTCTTTTTTTCTTCTCCAGCCCTTAACTGAAACATATTATGCACCAAATTGTACATATGCCTATAATTCCCACTCACAAGCAGCCCCACATACACACTGCAAAATTAAAAGGAGGACGACCCTAGGTGTCTCAGAGGTGTGGAGCATTCTCTTGGATTCTCTGAGGCTGGGGCTCCTCTCATCCCCCTGTTCCTCCCTGCTCAGCACCAGGACTTTCCTTGGGGTAAATGAGCTAAAGCCAGCCTGGGTGACACCTGTGGGGAAGCTTGATGACTAAGAAGGTTGATTTCTGCTTCCTAGTTTGTTTTGAAATTTTATACTTTTATCCTGAATGCAAATATTATATTTGTATTCAGAGGCCACAAACAGTAAAATAGAAGCCACCCATGATCCCTTTCCCTATAGATGACCATGGATTACTAATAGATTATCCTACTACTTCAGCTCTATAGCTCTTTTCTTTAAAAAAAAATACTGTATGCATTTTCCAATGTAATACATATTTCTTATATTATCCCTAATGATTTATAGTGTAGTATTTAATCATAATATAATGCCATTGTGTGTTTAACCAACTTAATAAAGAATATTCGGTAGTTCCCATTTGTTTCTATTATAAATAATAATGCAGCATATATCTTCTAACATAAATCTTTGTACATGTTATATTCTATAATTATTTCTTAGGCTCTAATCTTAGAAGATAAATTTCTGGGAGGAAAGCTATGGGCATTTTTAAACATTTTAATTTGTATTTCTACGTGGCCCGGCAGGTATATGGTATCCATTTAAATTTTCACAAACAATTGTTAAACGTCCTTCTCCCTACCACAACTGCCTCAAACTTTTACAAGTTATAAATATATTTAATTATACGTATATATTATATTAACATATAAATACAAATATATTTTAGCCTTTGTTCAGTCATATTTTTAAATATCTTCATTTACATTTTTTAACTAGTGTTGTTTTTTGATTTTTAAGAAATAATTTTTATTTCTTCTTTTCTGAATTATTAGCAATAGTCCATTAGCCACCTCTCTATAAATTTATTTATTTTTAAACTTACACAGTAATACATTCGTGCTCAGGATAGAAGTTCTCAACATCATGAAAAGCAGAGCATAAAATGTATTCTTTCTTCATTCTCTTCTATTCATTTTTCTCTTCCAGCAAATAATTGCTATTGAGAACATAAAGTATCTTCCTTCAGAGGCTTTCTAGGGATTGGATGGCTGGGTTGGAGCATACATACACTTCAATCTGCAACATGTCAATAATCTGTCCTGCACACATGTGTGCCAATTTAACTAACCCTGAACGGCACTGGACACTGCCCTATGCTCAAATGCTCCCCGCTCTCAGAGACGTCCATCTTCAATTCTCGTTGTCAGTATCGTGCGCCAAAATTACTGTTTTCACCTGTGGGTCCCTGACTACTTCTGAGATGGAGCAACCATTTTTTGCAGTTGCTGACTGTTTAGATTTCTTTTCTGAATTTCCTGACCACATCCTTTGCCCATGTAGGGTATGGAGCAGAAACAATAGAGATGGTAGAAAAGTGAATGGAGAATTGCTTTAATGACAAAAATTGCTAGAGGTAAGAAATAGAAGTAGACTGCAGCGTGTATAGAAGCATATCTATATACATCCCTTACATTATATATGTAATATATAATATTATATATTATTATTATTATTTTTGAGATGGAGTCTTGCTCCGTCGCCCAGACTGGAGTGCAGTGGCCTGATCTCAACGCACTGCAACCTCTGCCTCCCAGGTTCAGTGATTCTCCTGCCTCAGCCTCCCGAGTAGCAGGCCACTACGCCCAGCTAACTTTTTTGTATCTTTGGTAGAGACGGGGTTTCACCATGTTGGCCAGGATGGTCTCAAACTCCTGACCTCATGATCCGCCTCCCTCGGCCTCCCAAAGTGCTGGGATTACAGGCTTGGGCCACCGTGTGCCCGGCCATATATCATATTATTATATAAATTATATTATCTATGACACTATTATAGAAATTATATATATAATATATTATTGTTGCAAAATTAATATAATGATATATAGAACTTAATGGAATGTAAGGAATGCAAACAATTAATATATAAGTATATATGTATATTTCAATTTTTTTACATTTTATTCAATTATAAATATATATATAATTGATATAATATGGCACATCATATCCATTAAATAAAATTGAATATATCAAAATTGTACAGACTATACATACATGGATCTATAATTTGTCTGATATTGTCCATCTATACTATACATAAAATTTAATGGTATGGAATACAAGGAATGAAAAGAAAGGCAAGGGATGGCCTTAATGAGAAAATAGTGCTAAGCCCAAGGAGGTAGCTCTTGGATGGAAGACCTGCAGGAGCTCTCAGTAGTGTGTGTGTTGGGGTCCTCAGGGCATCCTAGTGAAGATGTACATAACCGCTAATCACAACCATGGAAAGAATGATCTTAACCTTGACAACGGACTCACTAGGCAACATTAGACAGAATCAAGACCCCACGAGGTCCCTATGACAGGCAGAAGAGGAGGCGCTGAGTAAAGCAAAGCGAGAAAGTCCATTTGATCAATCCCCTGCTCTGTGCAATAATGCTGTATGGAGCTTTGGTGTAGGGCAGGGATTCTTCCACTGGACTGCACGTTCGAACTGCTTCTCAGTCTGCAAAAACGCTGATGCGCAGGTGACCCTGGTGGCCAATGACGTCTGCATCTCTCAAGGTGAGAACCTGGCATCACCACGTTTCGTAACTTGCTGAGTGAGTCCAATGTGCAGCCAAGTTTGAGAACCACTGCTGTAGGCCACAGTGATTCTGACCCTGACAGAAAAATGAAATCTCCTGGGATTTTAATTTTAAAAATATCTTTTTAACATCCCCATTCCAGGCCATTGAAACATGCTCCAAGGTTGGGTTAAGAAACTTTTACTCGGCCGGGCGTGGTGGCTCATGCCTGTAATCCTAGCACTTTGGGAGGCCTTGGCGGGCAGATGAACTGAGGTCAGGAGTTTGAGACCAGCCTGGCCAACAGAAACCCCCATCTCTACTAAAAATACAAAAATTACCCGGGCTTGGTGACGGGCGCCTGTAGTCCCAGCTACTCAGGAGGCTGAGGCATGAGAATCGCTTGAATCCAGGAGGAGAAGTTTGCAGTGAGCCGAGATCGTGCCACTGCACTCCATCCAGCCTGGGTGACAGAGTGAGATTTCATCTCAAAAAAAAAAAAAGAAAGAAAGAAAGAAAATTTTAATCTTAAGAAAACCTCCCCTATTAGTACTGAGTCAGCCTACCAGTCGGAAAGTGGGGATTTTGAGCTCGAGGGCATGGGGACGTGTAAATACAAAAGAAGGAGCTCCCCTTGGTGGGACAGACTTCACGCGCCAGGCGACTTGCACAAGAGAAGGCCGCCTTTCCATCCCACACACAACCCGGATGAGGGGGAGTTGACAATGTCTATTAAAATCAAATATATATTTTTCCCTTGACCCAGCTATTCCACTTCTAGGAATTTATCCTCGAGATATACCTTCACAATATAAAACAATGTGTGCCCAGGCATTTGTATGTTATTTGACAATTTTATGTTTAGAAATAACTAACCCAGATGCCCACCCAGAGGAGACTGGATGAATAAATTATGATATATCTGCTACCACACAGTACTAGGCAAATTAACATAATAAGATTCTTTTTACCATCAATTTAGGTTCAGGTATGTTAATTTACCTATATAAACTGGTCTGTTTACCTATATACCAGTGTGTCAGTTTGTTATACAGGTAAATTGCATGTCACAGGGATTTGGTGATCAGATATTTTGCCACACAGGTAATAAGCACAGTCACCCTCTTCCCCCTCTTCACCCTCAAGTAGATTCTGGTGTCTGTTGTTCCCTTCCTAGGTTCGTATGTACTCAGTGTTTAGCTCCCACTTATAAGTGAGAACATGCAGTATTTGGTTTTCTGTTCCTGTGATAGTTCACTTAGGATAATGGCCTTCAGCTCCACGCATGTTGCTACAAAGAACATAATCTCATTATTTTATATGGCTGCATGGTATTTCCATGGTGTATACACACCACACCACATTGCCTTTATCCAGTCTACTGTTAATGGGCATTTAGGTTGATTCCATGTCTTTGCTATTACAAACAGTACTATAATGAACTTACATGTGCATGTGTCTTTATGGTAGAATGATTTATATTCCTTTGAGTATATACCCAATAATGGATTGCTGGGTTCTTTAAGAAATCACTAAACTGATTTCCACAATGGCTGAACTAATTTACATTCCCACCAGCAGTGTATAAGTGTTCCCTTTTCTCTGCAACCTCAATCTCACCAGCAACTTTTGTTTTTGTTTTTGTTTTGACTTTAATAATAGCCATTCTGTCTGGTATGAGGTGGTATCTCATTCTGGTTTTGATGTGCATTTCTATAACAATTAGTGATGTCAAGCATTTTTTTTCATATGCTTGTTTGACACACATATGCCTTTTTTCTGAAAAGTGTGTAATCATGTCCTTTGCCCACTTTTTAATGGGGTTGTTTATTTTTCACTTGTTGATTTGTTTAAGTCTCTTATAGATTCTGGATATTAGAGTTTTGTTGGATGCATAGTTTGCAAATATTTTCTTCCATTTTGCAGGTTGACTGTTTACTCTGTTGATAGTTTCTTTTGCTGTGCAGAAGCTCTTTAGTTTGGTTAGGTCCTATTTGTCAATTTTTATTTTTGTCTCAATTGCTTTTGGCATCTTCGTTGCGAAGTCTTTGTCAGGTCCTATGTCCATGATGGTATTTCCTAGGTTATCTTCTAGGGTTTTTACAGTTTCAGGTTTTACATTAAGTCTTTAATCCATCATTAAATCATCTTGAGGTGATTTTTCTATATGGTGTAAGGAAGGGGTCCTGTTTCAATCTTCTGCATATGGCTAGCCAGCTGTCCCAGCACCATTTATTGAATAGAGAGTCCTTTCCTCATTGCTTTTTTAACTTGTTGAAGAGCAGATGGTTATAGATATGCAGTGTTATTTCTGGGCTCTCTTTTCTGTCCCATTGGTCTATGTATCTGTTTTTATACCAGTACCATGCATACTGTTTTGGTTACTATAGCCTTGTAGCATAGTTTGTAGTCAGGTAACATGATGCCTCTAGCTTAAAAGAATTTTAAAAAAATTAAAATAAACACAAAACAAAAATTTATAAAATACAAAAAGATCTCTATGAACTGAAATTGGGTCACTTCTAGGGTACGTTGTTAAGGAAAAGCAAGATGTAAAATATCATATATAGTTTTTAGCTTCCGTATAAGTAGAAAAAAAGTAAGTGTGTTTGCTCATGTATGTGTGTAGCATGTGTACCTGTGCAAATATACATTTGCTTAATTTTGCAAAATAAAAAGCCAGTAAAATAAAAGGAGAAGGTAATCAAAATGGTAAAGAGGTGGAATAGAAAGAAAGTCTTTGAGTATACACTTGTATTTGGTTTCACTTTTGAATTCCATAGAGATTTTACATATCCAAAGACCTATTAGTGATACAAAAGAAAATCCCAAGAATATATATATTTATATATTCATATATATACACTTCTAAATAAATCTAACTGTAGGTCAATTTGATAACATAATATAGATATCCTATAATATATATTAACATAAAATATAATATGTAATGTTATATATTCATATATATTCCCAAATAAATCTAACTGTAAGTCAATTTGATAACATAACATGCAGAGAATTAATTATTTTGAGTAAGTCTTGCATATAGCTTTCTAACTAGACACCTCAGTGGAAAATATTCTAAGGCTAAAAGAATGACCCAGACATCCTATGCTGTTTACTCAGGAGGTGGGATGACCGTAGTGATGTGATGGTGTAATTCTGAAATTACTTTGAATGTATCATAATATTTAGCAAATGACTACAAATATTGATGTTGTTTAAAGAGAGTTTTTATTGCAAGAGATGGGAGATGAAAATATAAAATGGGGGAATTGAAGAAAAACCTCTGGTGTTTAAGTGAAATTGGAGATAACGGTATACATTTGTGGCCTAAAAGACAAAAAAAATTCTTCACTTTGACAACTGGAAGGGCCTAGAAGCAATGGCACCCAGTTGTAGTGAGCACACACAGTGCCAGGTCTTGCTTCCTAAAGCCATTTACCGTATAAGTTACCTGGACTCTGTGAAGGAATGCATTCTGGGCCCAGGGCAGGAAAAGCACGAGGCATACTTAGAACTTTTATATGTGACAGGAAGTAGAAAAGTGCTCAAAGCCCAATGTGGCACGTCCAACGTGAATAGGAGCTGGACTTCAGGGCTTCCCACTGGTCAATGGGGGACAAATTTGAGCACCAAAAATAAGGAAAAATATGGTAACAGTTTATAGTAGTGAATAAAACTGATATTTATAAGCCCATACTGATGTATTTTTAAATATAAGGGGTATGAGGAAGAGAACAAAAGGGGAGCTTTTTTAATAGATGAGTGTGGGCAAATATACACAAATAGTGTGATAGAATTAAAAAATAACCAGTTTGTAACTCTAATTGTAATCATTGATTCAGGCAGGGATTATCAATGGACCCAAAAAGCCACTGGACTGATAGGTTGATGGGAAAAGAAGATGCATGATATCCATGATTACTTATTAATTACCAAAGGAAAATGTGCCTTTGCAATGGACACCACCTTAATCAAGTGATCAAGCTTAGCTTCCCAACTGTGGGAAGTCCTGGTGTGCCCTGGCAGGGTGGTGAGAGGTGGGCAGCTTCACCTCCATGGTGTTCTTTTCAGGAATATTTGCCTTGAATCAAATGCCAAGGAAACAGTCAGGTAGGTCCAGAATGTGAGATGTCCCGCCTGAACGTGGAAAAGGAGGTGGGAGGAATAATCTAGATTAAGTAGGGAGCGTGTGATCAACCATCACAGTTTGCCTGGGACTGAGGAGTTTCCTGGGATGCAGGGGGCTGGCTGGGGGAGGGTATGATAAAATATTAACAATTGCTGAATCTGTAGGAAGAGTACCTCCCTGCATGTTTATTTTACTGTTATTATTACTGTCATTTAAACTTTTCTATGGTTGAAAAATTTCAGATATCAAGAAAAAAAAAGGATCCTAGTCTTCTGCACACCAAACAGAAACCTGGATCTTGATTGGGGCCATACATGGCCATTAATCAAAAGTACTGGAGACATTGGCTAGTTTGATGTCCCAAACTAGCAAAGTCAGTTAAAGCAAGACTACTTAAGTGTGGTCCCCGACCTGCTGGGATCTGCAAACTGTTTTTTACCATCCAAGGGAGATAGGCACAGAAATTCAGAGTAGGAGTTTAGGAACTATTATAACAAATTGACTGAGTGTTTTGTTTCTTTTGAATCTACTAATATTTAAAATGGGCTTGTGTTTTTATGGCTTTACTTTACCATTCTATTTTATAGTAATCGATTGATTGATTGTATTTCTGAAAAGTACTGATCCATGAAGGATTGGAAATTGTTCAAAAAAAAAAAAAAGCTTTCTCACCACAGATGACTGATAGATTGAGAATCACCAGGTTAAAGGAAGGAATAAATGGAAAGTAGTTTTCAAAATTTCTTGACTTTTCATTCATCCTGGCTTAACACAATTGTCAAGGCAAAGTGATGAAGGGACAAAAGAGGATCTTAAAGGGTCCCTGACTCCCTGCAGGTGCCGCATTCATTCAGAGAAGGTTTGCAGAGTACCCATAAGTGCCAACGTCTGTGCTGGGTGCTGGGAGATCACAGTGAGCAAGCTCACCTGGCATGAGTACTAAGCATTTATAGCCTCAACACGTGCTAAGTGCTGGGTCCCAGGAGATCTTTGGCAACTTGTGTGGCACAGAGAATGTCCTTGTTTCAGAGGCAGGCAGTGAGGAAGAAGAGGGGCACCTGGGTGATCTGGAGTTACCTCCACGGTCCCATTTACCTGCACAGGAACAGAGAAAACCCTGCTTGCTGAGTGCAGACTCATTGGTTCAGGGTGCTTTTATATTTGTACTCTGCCTTCGTTTTGGGACAGCCGATGCTGAGGCCCAATGTCCAGTGACACCAGAACAGGGTGAAAAGATGTGTGACTAAACCAGCCGGTCTTACCTTGGGCGATTCTGCCCCTAGGGTCATTTGGAAATGGCTGGAGACAGTTTTGATTGCCGCAAGTGCAGGGCAGCTGCTGCCGGCATCTGGCGAATGAAAGCCAGGGACGCAGGTTCATATCCTACAGCGCACAGGACGGCCCCCAGAAAGGGTCGTCTGAGCCCAAATGCTGACAGTGTCACAGTTGAGAAACTGTTCTAGGCTTAGGGAACCTGTCATGCGGTGGGCTTAGGTGTCAGCTGTCAGCTTAGGTGGCTTTTGGACACGGTGCTAGCAAACCTCACACCACGTGACACTTCTGGAAGGGTGGTAGAGACACTTGCTGCGGGTTTCATTTGGAATCCTCTTACCACAGACTTTGTCCTGCAGCACAGGACACATTAGTTCACGCAGATCATGAAAAACGGTGCCACTCATTTCACCCAATTCTTTCTCAAAATATTTACAATTGCAAATTTGATGGTAACTGAATTTCTATATGAATTCAGCTCAGCCTGACTGATATTATGATTCTGAGATGATGTCTTGAACCTTTACTCAACAAGAAGTGCGATAATCCAACTATGCAGAGAGAATTCCTCACACGACAATAAACAACGCTAGCAATCTATAAATCATCTGTGCCTCTGTTCCATGTTCAAGGTCTGGCTGCCATTCATAAGACAGAAGATAATGTCACATGCAGTGGAATTTGCCTTCACTGAAGTATCCTTAGTACTGATTTTAGTGCTATGTGTATTTTTTCTTTTTTCTTTCTTTTTTTTTCTAGGCTGTCATGACTTAACACTTGGTGTTCAGATTAAGAGATTCATTTTGTTTCCAAGGAGCATATATGTTTCTTTAAGATACCAACAGATCTCACTTTTGCAAAGACAGAGTGACTCAAACCATAAATAAGAACTTTTATTAGATTTGAAAAAAATGGTACGTGTGAAAATCTTAGTAGACGTTGGAAAACAGGGTGAGCAATTTGAATAAGAAAATTTAAAGCATTCATGTTTTCCTTTGTTCATTCAACACATATATTTATTAAGCACTTTTCATGTGTGTTTATGAAGCTGCACTATATATATTACAAGGCATGCATTTTATAATGGCCGAATTTATCACTTTCTAAAATTATCACTATAGGGATTATTTAAAAATAATTTCTTGCCACGGTATTGCCCATTTTAAATACCGTTTAGCTATGGATTAAATTTATAAACATTTTCAAGTTTTTGGTGACATGGCCATTGATTAGAAACAACATACAGGTGTAGCAAGGGTAAGTTGAGTGTGACCAGCCACATGCAAACATCAGAGCTTGAATGATTAGATGTAACGTGTGACAAGAAAGAAGCTTAAGCCCATGTATTCGATGTACAAGAAAGACCAGCCTCATTTTTACAGTTTCAGCTAGGATTTTAACTACCTTCTGAGCCGTCCCCCTCCCTCCTTGCAGACAGGACACTCAATTCAGTCATTATAGAGGCTCTCTACTGCCCCTACCCACCAGCACCAAAGCATAGAATGGCTCTTCCTTATTAGTAGAGTCCACCCTGGTTGGCACCCAAATGTCTATTGTCCCAGGACACAAAGTCCTTGGACACAGAATGGCAGAGTGCTTAAAACACAGCTGGTTGAATTGAATGTCAGGGTTCACACTGTACCTTGGCTGGTTACTAGTTATATAATCTAAAAAATCAAGATAAAAATGGTAACTTCTTTTGAAAACCGTTGTCAGGATGAAATTATGTGCTGCCTGGGAATCATGTTGCCACATTCTCAGGGCTCAACACTGCATAGCTGGTGTTTCTGGTCCAGGGTCCACAGCAATAAACCATGCACACAACTTCTGAGATTTGTCTTTGGCCAGGAAAGAAATGGTCTTGGGGTCTGTGTACTGTCCCTCAACAGGTGATGGTAAGAGGAGGGTGCAGGGGGGTGGGTGAGATGTTTTCAGGTGCATGGAATCAGACACCATGATTATTCTGATCTAAAGCCTCACTGCAGAATCAGACTCTCATTGCTTGCAAGAAGGATAAAATGCAAGAGGAAGAGCGAAGTGGAAACAACAGGTCCACTAGGTGGAAGACCTGGATTTTGATCCAGTTTCTATCACTTAAACCTGAAGCCACCAGTATTGAGCCTGAGTGACCCAGGCATTTGATGCCCACCCTCTCTGGGCATCACCCCATCCTGCTAATTAGATGCCATTTCCATCATTTGGTGTTGGAGAAACCGAGGCTCCAAGGAGGGAGAACCGAGTAGCCTGTCCAAAGTTGTCCAGCTAATAGGTGATTCCAAAATCCATGTTTTTCTTATTCACTGATTCATTCCATTAGCATTATTGTACCTATCCAGATGGAAAGATATGGGTTTTTTCTTCCACACCATGTGGTTCTCCTGTGCTCTGTCTCTCTGCAAGTCATTCATCTCCAGAGCCTTGGTTTCCCTGTCTGTAAAATGGGGCTAATGATGCCTGCTCTTCCTGCCCATTACATGGAGTCAGATCCCAAATGGACTGATACAGGAAGGCCCTGCGTGGAGTGCATGGTGCTGTCTACACAAACGATAGCTTTTGGTGCATTCGACCAAGTTGTGCAAAGGGACATGGGAGGGCTTGAATAACATGAGGTGGTGTCTATGAGGTTCAGTTTTGGGCTTCCAGGCCTAATGTCTTGCAACACCGGCTGATTGAGAGGCTGTAATGCAAACTTGTAAGGATGATGACATATTCACCCTCAGGTGGCCTTAGTTATGTCCTAGTGAGGGTCCTGATTTACCCTGTCATTTCCAAGACCCACTGCTCTCAGGGCCATTCATTTTCAATAGGTATCGGTTCTTACCTCCTTAGCTTTGTGCTTTTCTGTCTCCTTCTTGTCCTCCTTGCCCCCCTTCACCCCCAGCACTCCAGGGTAAATGCCCAGTGCACGGCACTGAAGAGTACAATGGCGTAAATGCTGTTATTGAAGAATCTCTTGTTGGCATCCCTTGTTCCATTTCCCCAGACCCTCCTTCTTCTGAGAACTGCTCCTCCACACCCACCCCTCTCCTATCTGCTTGGTCCCCACTAGAGCTGCCAGGCCCTCCCCAAGCTCCTTTTACTTCCTTCCCAGCGCCCACCCTCTGCTGCAGGTAATAGTATGGAAGTGGGTGCAACACTGGTTGGGACAATCAGAGTCTTTCCTACACTGCTAGGACCTGAGCAGTCTCTCCTGTGACTGAGTGGCAGACACCTTAAAACCTGGGGCAGCTGGTAGCTATTCTCCCCTCCATTTGGAGAAAGAGAATCTGATGAGAAAGAGTGAGGCCAAAGGATGTGGGGACCAATGAAGGGGTGTGCATCCTGGCAGCCTCCAAATCCTCACGTCCAGTTACTCCTGACATCCAATTACCTCCCATCCTTCTCTTGCACAATACTCCCTGGATGCACTGTCAACCGATACACCCTCTTTGGTTAGCTAGATGGAGCTGGGCTGCTATCACTCCCAGCTAACAACTCCTAATGAACACAGAGCATTTTCTGTAGTTAGCAATCTTTAAAACAGTTAGTCCTTGTCCATGGTATTTATTCATAAGTCTAACTTTTATAAACTTCAGAGCTGCAGGTAGGCACAATTGCAAGTCCCCCGGATGGACTAGAATGAAGCACCAGCCTGCTACTCAAGGACTAGGCTAGTGGTAATGTGTACTGCTGTAATCACGAGTCCTGGAAACCAAATCAATTCATTCACTTATTCATTCACATAAAAAAATTGTTTTCCACTGTATCCCATCAGCAAAATACTCATGATGACTGTAGAGAATATACAAGTGGACTACGGCAGGACTGGCCCTGAAAGAGCAAGTGAACGAATGTAACTGTATATGAATGAGTGAGTATAGCTGTGCTGGATAAATGGACAAGTATCACCTGGAGGTACAGAGAAGGACCCCTGGGAGTTCAGAGGAAGTAGATGCTACTCCAAGCTCATGGAGAATGGTGGCATGGTGTAGGAAAGACATCATGGGTAGTGTTTTATTTAGTCTAACTAAGGAGTAGGATAAGATAGGAATTGGAGGACATGAATTCCAGACAGGGTAGGAGGATTGCTAGCATTCTCTTCTGCCTGAGTCCTACCCCAACAAGGAGCTATACAGGAGGTGGGCAGCTAGAGACTTAAAAAAAAAATAAGGTCTCCTTTTTTACAGAATCCTAGTAGGCAGAGTACTAGCCACCCCTGAGTTAAGCCAACTTGCCTGCCTTGTCGCAGACACAACTGGATAGCTGCCCCCTGTGCCAGAGACAGAGACACTTCTAATGCATGACAAAGATACAAGGTGACTGGAGTTTACCACCCCAAATGGGGCACACTGAGACCAAAAGAAGGTGCTAGTAAGAATTATTCCAGAAAAAGATCAAAAATCGAGACCAGGCCGGGTGTGGTGGCTCACGCTTGTAATCCCAGCACTTTGGGAGGCCGAGGCCGGCGAATCACGAGGTCAGGAGATCGAGACCATCCTGGCGAACATGGTGAAACCCCGTCTCTACTAAAAATACAAAAAAATTAGCCGGGCATGGTGGTGGGCACCTGTAGTCCCAGCTACTCGGAAGGCTGAGACAGGAGAATGGCGTGAACCTGGGAGGTGGAGCTTGTAGTGAGCAGAGATCTAGCCACTGCACTCCTGCCTGGGCGACAGAGCCAGACTCTGCCTCAAAAAAAAAAAAAAAAAAAAAAAAAAAAAAAAAAAAAAAATCGAGACCACTCTGGGCAAAACAAGAGTAGACCCAAACCTTCCTGCTGCTGTAGGGAGGCAGATTACAAAGAGAAAGAGGGCTTGACCTGAATATGCCAAGATCCAAACTCATTTTTCAGAAAACCTTGTTCCTCCCTGAGGATAAGGGGTGGAGAGTAAAACCAAAGGGTTTGGGCAGTTCTTTCCTAGCAAATACAAAGATTGTGGAATAAATGTTCTCTCCATTAAACATGACACAAAATGGAGGAGGGGATGGGATATTTAAGGTTATATGCAGTGAAAAAAATGGCAATGGGAAATAAGATTTGAAATGGCCTAGGGAAGTATCTGACTTGCAGAAATAAGTAAATGACACCATTGATTGAGTCCCTATAATGTGGCAGACTGTTGAATGAATGACTTGATGAGATGCTTTGCATAACTTCATTAATTCATCAATTCTGTGAATGACCCCACACACCAGGTGTCATTATCAGTGCCACTTGACAGTCAGAAAACTGAGGTTCAGAGACATTTGGGGACTTGCCCAGAATGACGATGTGACACGGTTGGGATGTATGTCCCCTCTACATCTCACGCTGAAATGTGATCCCCAATGTGGGAGGCGGGGCCTGGTGGGAGGTGTTTGGATCATGGTCCCCTCCACATCTCACGTTGAAATGTGATCCCCAATGTGGGAGGCGGGGCCTGGTGGGAGGTGTTTGGATCATGGGGGCAGATCCCCCAGGAATGGCCTGTGCCCTCTCCCATGGTCATGAGTGGTGATGAGTTCACATGAGAGCTCGTTGTTTAAAAGAGCTTAGGATCTCCCTCTCCTCCAGCTCCCTCTTTCGCCAAGTGATACGCGTTTTTCTCCCTTCACCTTTCGCCATAATTGGAAGCTTCCTGAGGCCCTCACTGGAAGCAGATGCCAGCACCACACTTCCTGTACAGACTTTAGAACCGTGAGCCAAAATCAACCTCTTTTCTTTATAAATTACGCAGCCCCAGGTATTCCTTTAGAGCCATGCACACAGCTACTAAAAGGCAGAGGAGGGATTTGGATTGAAGGCTTCAGCTTCCAAATTCCGTGAGCTTTCTCCCGCTTCAACTGAAATTACGATTTTTGAGGACGCTCTTTTAAATGCATGATAAAAACGTAAGAGGAACTAGAGCTGCTTGGCTCATCCCTGGAGAAGGGGCCACAGAGGTCTCCACGCTACTCGCGAGCTTGCTTGACTTCATCTTGGCTTCAGAGGGAGCCAAAGCGGAACATGCTCTCGGCGCATCGGGCAGGGGCTGCGCTCGCCCTGGCTTAATTACAGGTAGTCGGCGTGGACTCACCAAGGAAAAACCAAGCGTGGTTGATCTGATAGAATTTTTCAAGGAAACAGCACTGAGTCAACAGGAGGAAGCCTGGCTATAATTTACTTGGACTTCAAGAAAGCTTTTGATATAGTAGCACACAAAAGACTAATATTCTAGGTCAGCAAGTATGTAATGGCGAGGGAGCTGCTTGAATGGATAGGGAACTTGTCAAGCTCTTCAAGATAGAGCGGATAAGAGTCAGAGCAAACAGCCCGGAGAAGGGAAGATGTGACAGTCGGAATTCTGCAGACAGCAGCACTCCGGAGGGCTTTGTTCATTTCCTGACTATTCTGTTAGCGAGGTTTGAGTTAAGAGAAGGCCAGTTGGCTTTTTCCGAGGGCCTGGAGATTTAAATTTAAATTTTTTAGCCCAAGAGATAGTCCAGAGGTGTTTGTGGGTCAGGGGGAGGCTTTATTTGGTAGCTGGAGCTGAAGCAGCAATTTCCACTGAAGTTGCCTGAGGGAATTGAGATTCTTCTGAGGATTTAAAGTCGTCCAGGCATCAGAATGTTTGAGCTTTGGTTTCACTCGCAGCATTTCTTTAACTGTCTAGTCACCATTTTCTAATTTCTCTTGAGGAGCCCCGTTCCTCACACCCTCAGGTCACATAACCCACATGAGGCTCAATCCTCAGCCCTAAAGTGGGGAGCAGAACCCCAAGCTGACGTGAGCAGCACCTTGTGCTCCCCAGGGCTCCGTGGCTGGATCACGGATGGACACGTGACTTGGGGTCACCCTGGGATTGCGGTGCCAGGACTGGCTCCTTCACAGACGTTGCCTGATGAGGCGGCCAGCCTCCCGTGGGTAGGAGGATTAGGGGACAGGCGTCAGTGGATGCCACAGCTGCAGCTGGCGAGAGACAGGCTGGGGAAGAAGCAGGCGCAGGAGCCACGGAGACATGAACCTGAGCCTGGGGGGACATCTTGTGAGTGGACATTTTCTTCCTGTTGAGGCCGGCTTGGGTGGGGCTTTCTTTGGCTTGCACCACAAAGAATCGTGACTGAAGCAAACATCCCCTCAATCCCACATTTTACGTATCACCATTGGGTTTTTAGACACAGAACATTTTGTTCCAGAATTTAACATAGAAACATAAAATGGGAGCTGCTCTGAATGAAGCAGGGGTGAGGCCCTGACTGCCCCATCCCCAGTCATGGTCAGCCCTACCCAGGATTAAGGGTTCACTCCTAGAAGACTTTGGAGAATTTGGATACCTCTTCAGACCAATACACCCATTTAGTGTTCAAGGAAATGGAGGCCCACAAAGGGTAAGCAACTTGCCAGGGGTCACAAAGACCATTTGAACCAGAGCTGGGGTATCCTTTATATGCCAAATCTGTTCTTTTCCATATCAAAATGGACTGCTTTTTTTTCCTCTCAAATATACAAATATGGGGGTGATATTCAC
Source organism: Homo sapiens (assembly GCF_000001405.40). NCBI lineage: Eukaryota > Metazoa > Chordata > Mammalia > Primates > Hominidae > Homo > Homo sapiens. The sequence continues at coordinate 60,598,095 of NC_000020.11, read as the reverse complement.
AAACCCTGTAAGATTCTGCTTCTGCTTCCAATAACATTAATTGATCATCTAGTATAAATTGGGTTTTGTCCTATGAATGTGTGCACCTGATCAATTTTTCTTCTTAATCAGTATCATCATTTTTTTGAGACTGTCGCTCAGACTGGAGTGCAGTGGTGTGATCCTAGCTCACTGCACTTTTGAATTCTAGGCTCAAGCAATCCTCCTGACTCAGCCTCCCAAGGAGATTGGACCACAGGATCATCATCATCACTTAAATAATTATCTTTGTTCGGTGCCCCAGTGATGTGCTAGACTCTGCTGAGTATATTGGCAGTGCTATCGTGTAGCATCTTCATAAAGTCATTCTAAATATTAGCTGCTATCACTAGCCCCAAATTATAAATGGGCAAACTGAGGCTTAGGGAATTCAGATTCATTTGATCAACAGATATTTTGCCAGTGCCTGTGATGTGGCAGCAACTGTGCCGGGCATTGAGAACACAGCATCCAAAGAAAACGATACTCATTTCCCTCCATGGAGGACAGAGACTAGTGTGGCTGGAGAGTAAAGAAAAAGGGGAGTGAGTCATGACCACTGCTGGGGAGATGGAGAGGGTGAGATTATCCAGGGGCTTTAACGAGGCTCCGGGAATTGTTGTTTTTATCCCCTGATCCGTGGAGGATCATTTATGGGTTTAAGAGAAAGTGGTGACAGGAATTGCACTTTAGATAGACAATTTGGAATAATATGAGGTTGCAGAGATACAGTGCACCAAAGGGATGTGAGAAATACTTGAGGGTAAAAATCCTTTAAGATGTGGGGAACTTTGCTTAAGGGGGATGAAGAGGGGAAAGACCAAGGGTGATGGCTAGGGTTTGAGCTAACCCACTGGATGGGGCATGACACTAGTCACCAACCTGGAGACGACGGACAGAGATCCTATAGGGGAGATCGTGATTTCAGCTTGGGTATATTGAATTTGAGAGAGACTTGAAAGCTAGGGTTGTTGAGTGTTCTGTTGAATAGATCTGGTAGGGAGCAATCTTCTGGGAGCCTTCAGTTTATATGTAGCAATTTGAAGCATCGAAGTAGATGAAAACTTCTAGGAAAGAAAGAGGAACAGTAGGGCAAATACTAACAAAGACAAAGGGTAGGGCAAATAAGAACTAGAGGGTAAGAACAGAGCCTTGAGAATGCCCACAGTGGAAAACCAGCTAGGAGAGCACGAGGAAGGCAGATTGGGAGGTGGGGTCCATGCTGGGGCTGTGCTGGCATGGATGGCCCAGGAACAAGTCATGTGTTAGCCAAGCAATAGCAGAAACTGGTGGAGTCCAGTCAAGGGTGAATGCAAAATGGAGACATGGATAGGACATGGCTGGCCAGGAGAGGGAAGTGGGAGGTTGGAGTCCTGAGGATTTTGCCTGTTTGTTATTAAGACGAGAGAGAAGCATATTTAAGAACTGAAAGAAAGAATGGCAACTGAGAAGTTGAGGTTATAAAAGGGAATAAAATCTAATTGAGAATCTTAGTTTTCTGTGAAAGCAAGGGCTTCAGAACAATGACGGGAGAGTTGACCTCAGCCCAAGGAGGGTCAGCCCTTTTTCCATAGCAGGAGAGGGGAGGAAAGGGAGTGCCGATGGATTAGAAGACATCACCCATGGTCAGCCAGCCAAGAAGTAACAGGAGCTAATCTCACTCTCTAGCTGTTCTCACACGAATGTCACTCTCCCTTATGACATGACTACATTAATTATCATTTATCAGCCTTGTGACTTTGAGTGCAAATAGTTCCCCCAAACTATTTTGGGACATGCGCCTCCTAGTAATATTTGCTGTTTACTTGAGAACTTGGGTACTGGAATTTTAACACAAGACATTAACGTAGCCCCATGAATGTTGGTCAGGGAACTCAGACTCTATGGAGCCTTTACAAATTCAGATTTCCAGGCACCAACATAGGGGACAGTGATGCGGAAGGTTGGTAGGTGAACCAACGGATGTCTGCTTTGTATACAGGATCTCCCTGTTTTGTATATTGTTTGGTTGGGTTTGGGAACAATAGAGTTAAGGTGTTATTGATAATATGTGGCATTTGAGGTGGGTCCCTGGGTAGCCAGGTCTACACAAATAGAATAATCAGTTGTCCCTGTAGCTGGTCCAGGATTCCAGGTGTCTGAAGGAATTGATTGGCCATAGAGTTCTGAACTGATTATGAACTAGTGGTCGTCAGCCGTGGCTGCACATTAGAACCACCTGGGGAGAGTTTATCAGCTGCATTCGGGACAAGTTGAATTTGAATCTCTGGGTGAGGGATTCACTTTGTTTTAACTGCTTTACTGAGATATAATTTACATATCATCAATTTCCCCTGCTTTAAGTATACAATTCAACGGTTTTTAGCATACTTATAGAATTGTGCAACCAGCATCATAATTACATCTTCATCCTTCCCAAAAGCTTCCTAGGTGATCCCAGTGTGCAGCCAGGGTTGAGACCTGCAGTAAAAAAATTATTTCTTTATGGTTTGACCATGCATTGCATGTGTGGTGATAGACAGTAGTCAAGGTCTATAGATGCCACATGCTTGTGTTCTGAAACTCTTAGTGGTTGAAGAAGACCAGAAAAGATTGCACATAAGCTAATAAAATCCAAACGTCTATCTCAAAGTCCCTATCTTAGTATTTATTCATTTATCCATTCAAATAATATTTGACTAACTGATACATATACATAATATATATGTAAGGTATATGTATGTATGCATGTGTCAATCATTATTTACTGACCCTGCAATAAATCCCAGGGATTCACCAAGGAGCAGCAATTGGAGTTTTCAATAACTGGAATCATGAAAACTCCAAGAGGTCCTGAATTATCACCTATTTTGTTGTGTAAAGTGGTGTATGAAGTGTTCTGTACTGTTTATATGTTACTCAAGAACAAATCCTTTTTTAAAAATGTAAGTCATCATCTCTTAAAAATTTATTTTAAATATTTTTTCAGGACCTCTTGGAGTTTTCAATAACAGGAACTGTGAAGCCCAATATTGTTTATCTTCTAATAGAACACAATATACACAGACAATCAGAGTATATAGGACAATATAAGTATAGCTTAAAAGTTACAATAGAAGTTTTGATTTTTTAGTTATAGTTGATAAAGATATTGCCCACATTTATCAGATGTGTTGCTCATCATAGCAATGACATACATACTGTAACATGTATATTGAAAAGTCTATATGGGTTTAATAGGTTTGGGCCATAATCCCAAAAGACACAATCCTGAACATCACAATCTTGAGTGTTGAAATCCTGAAAAATCGGAAACCCCTAAGGTCTATAATCCTGAAAATTACACTCTTGAAAGATCAAAATCCTCAAAATACAATTCTGGAAAAAATTTAAACTAAATCCTTAAAGAGAACATTTATTTACATTTTTAAAAGGGAATATTTTTTAGAAGCATAAAAATAGGGCAGAATACTTGATTGGCCACTTTATGCAATAAAATCGACAAGAATAACACATATTTTTGCAAGCATAAACACTCAGGTATACTAAAGACATTCACATGGGTATAACAGTGATGAGCAGGCAAGCTCTGTTCATAAAGAAATAGATCAAAAAGCAAGATGTATGAATGTGTATGACAATGATTGGTGACTGCATGCACGCAGGTTCATGACTGTGGTTATCTGAAATATGACAGATAACCTGTGTCTTTTGAGGAGATTGATCAAAAACTGAGATGAGTTACCACCACATGTGCAGATGGCTAAAGAAATGTTAAAGGAATGTCAAGCAATATTATCTTTCACAAATGCAAATGTACAAAAGCCATCTCTTATTATTTAAAAGGACATCTCTTTGTTAATTAATTAAAATTAATTAATTTCACACACATGCACAATGCTTACATACAAAGTCAACTTTGTGTAAGGTACTTCCATGGAGTCAATTTGCAAAAATGCGTAATATGAATTAGAGCTCTCTAAAACTCTTTACAGAATTTATACCTTCAATGTTGGAAATGATGCGAAGATGAAATACGGAGCATAGTAGGTTGGTGCTATGTGTGAAAGGGAAGTAGCCATACATAATTGAATAATTTGGCAGAAAATATTTCTTGTATTTTTCACCTGCATTTTCACTTCTATGATCTTCCAAACACTTGGTGCACTTGTATTTGGAGAGTGGTTGTGATCTACATGTTTTTTTTTTTTTTTTTTGAGACAGAGTTTCACTCTTGTCATTCAGGCTGGAGTGCAATGGCGTGATCTCAGCTCACTGAAACTTCTGCCTCCCAGGTTCAAGCAATTCACCTGCCTCAGCCTCCCAAGTAGCTGGGATTACAGGCCCCTGAAACCATGCCCAGCTAATTTTTGGTATTTTTAGTAGAGATGTGGTTTCACCATGTTGGGCAGGCTGGTTTCAAACTCCTGACCTCAGGTGATCTGCCCACCTCAGTCTCCCAAAGTGCTGGGACTATGGGCGTAAGCCACTGTGCCTGGCCTGCACATTTTATAAGTATGTGCTCGTTCATTGGAAAGTCTGATTATTGCATGGCCATTGCAAATAAGAGAGACTTTCTGCTTTTGCAGCACCAATAATAACTAGCTTTTAATATTTTATCTTTCACCTTAGGTAGCCTCGTACACTAAACTTATCACAGCCTTTTTTCAAGGGAACAATTTCACAGATTTCTTCCATTATGTTGTGAAGGATACAGTAAGAAGGAAGGATATTCAGCTTCCCCAACACCAAATTAGCCAGAGTTGTCAGAGAGATGATACTGATAATATATGTATATAGACATAGATATAGAAGGGGAGATTTATTACGAGAATTGGCTCATACAATTATGGTGGCTGAGAAATTCCACGACAAGCTGTTTGCAAGCTGGGATGCTGGGATGCTGAGAGCTTCCTGGTTCAGTCAGTCTGAGGCCTCAGAACCAGGAAAGGCAATGATGTACCTCTCAGCCCAAGGCCAAAAGCCTCAGGACCTGGGGGTGCTGGTAGACGTCCCAGAATCCAAAGACAAGTGACCCTGGAGTTGTGATGTCCAAGGTAGCAGAAGAAAAGTCTGTCCCAGCTCTCAGACAAAGAGACCCATCTGTCTTCTTGCCTTCCGTCTTTGTTCTCTCCAGGTCTCCAGCAGATGGGATGATGCCCACCAACAATGAGGGCAGATCTTTCTCATCAGCCCACTCAGACTCACACACCAGTCTCCTCTGGAAACACTCTCACAGACTCACCTCAAATAATGTTTTACAGGTTTCTAGGCATTCCTTATTCCAGTCAAGTCGACATGTGGAATAAAGCCCACAAGTCCACACCTTATTTACTTGGCTCCCATATGCCTCTCCTTAAACCATACTCAATTTCCAAATAAAGACAACAACAAGTTGTCTCTGAAACAATAAAACAATAGTTTCACCTAACACGATGCAACTAACTCAACGCAGCGATCCTGCGTACCAATGAAAGCACATGAATCCCTTCTGCACAATTCAACTTTCAGAATTTCACCATCTGAGACTTTAATCTTTCAGGTTGGTGATTTGGAAGGGTTTTAGATGTTAGGGATTTTAGACTCTAGGGATTTAAATTTTTCAGGATTCCAACATTTGCGATGATGGCATTCACGATTGTGTCCTTCAAGGTTACGATTGGCATTGGAGCTGAATGTGCTGAAAACTAGAGTGCCACAAAATAAGACAAAATAAGTCTACTGGCTTAAAATAAGACATACCTATTGTAGAATCTGGAGATGGAAATTAGGTACGTATACGATTTAGCAAGTCCTCAAGCACTGGGAGGAATCTGCGGCAGAAAAAAACAATGGTCCTTATGGCTTGTGATTGTCTTCACATATTTAACTATGAGATGATCAAAACAGCAAGCAGTGTGTGCCTAGATTGTAGGTGAGACTGAATGAAAGTCTGGGCTTGCCTTATGTCTTTCCTGGGTACTAGAAGACTTGAACAATTTAATTGTTAGAACGGGAATTCAAACACATGTGTCTTTTCTAATTGCCACACATGTAGGAATGAACATTTTGAGACACAGGCAGAAACACAATCTTACTTAGTGTTAAGATACCCTTCCCCACTACCCCAACCATGAGCCCATTCCAGCCCAGATTGGCTGTCTCCGTCTTGTGAAGTCCTGCCTGTTGGTTGGCGACTGATGCCTGTGGAGACAGTACTCACAGGCCAAGATGAGGACTTGGTTCACGTGCTTGGGAAGAGAGGGAGAGACTTTTGAGCCAATTCTATGATTTAGATACCTGGAAACTGTTCCTCAGTAATAAAAGACTCAATTCTGTATTCAAGATGAATGATCTCTTGAAACCGTACCCCTGCCTCCGTTAGAGTCCTCTAATCTGGTTGAGAACAATTGTCATGAAAAGACCAAGTCATTCCCTGCAGCCCCCAGCCTGCTCTCAGCTGGCACCTCTCCTGTCCCATGGAGCCTGTCATGCTCATGGGAACAGCAGGGGAGACGTGGGCATGGGTGGGGGAGGATAGAGGACGAGGTGGAGAACCACAGCTTGGTATATTTCCCTTGATTGTTTTCTGGGAGAAATGACCAGCAGCTGGGCAGTTTGTGCAGCTAGAACTCCAGAAATGATTCATGTGTTGATATGTTAATTAGGAGCCATCATTTTTCAGTAGAGCAACCCAACAAATATGATGACTAAATAAATCTGTGTGTTTCACTGCCAACAGCAGCATTTAATCTGAAGAGGCAGAGCTCCACGCAGGCACCTCCTGGGGAGACAGCAGACTCTGATTTCAAGGGAAGGGGCACATTCATTCTGCTGCCTGGCCCAGGGAGGTGAGGTTCTGAGGATGGATGCTTATGGGGGGTTTAAGTGGATCTCATTCTCTAGATTATGCACTGGAATCAATTGGGCATACGAATTATAACAACAAAAACAACAACATTCACGAAAAATAGTAATATCAGAGAATGTGTATTCCCCATATTTTATGTGCCAGACACTGATTAAGACTATGACATACATTATCTCATGAAATACTCACAGCAATATATAAGCAATAAGTATTATTATTATCATCATCTCTAATTTCCAGAAGAGGTGTTGAGGCTCAGAGATGTTAAGCGACTTACCCAAACATGCCAAAGACAGTAAGAGGCAGGGCTGAAATTTGAATGAACACAGATGCATCAGGCATGAAACCTCTTCTCTTAATGACACTAGGAAGGGAATTGCAGATGGACAGACAGGAGTCCCAGTAAATGCTTGAAGTTCTTCCACCCTCAGGATTTTTTCCCACTGCTGACAAGCCAGGATGTTGAATTGCTTTTGGCTAAGAACTTCTGTCCTCTTTGTGGAAACTTCTCTACCCCAAGACCCAGGCAAAGAGAAAGAATGCTAAGGCTGTTCCAAAGAGATAGGAGCAGATGATGTGGAGATGCAGGAGTAATAACCTGGAGTGGAGAAGAAACAAGAGAAGATGGGACACATCAGGATATCCTGGGACCATCACAGGCACCAGGTGTGTGGGTACGACCTGCTGGTGTGTATGGGAGCAAGACCGACATGAGTAGATCAGTTCTCCTCTTCCTTGGGGAGGAGACAGAGTCTTGCCTCCAAGAGCATGTTCCTTCCAAATCCAGCATTTTCACAAGTGTATCCTCACAACTCTAGTCTTGAATGGTGCATTTACCCCCATAAAGCTTTTCTGTTAAAAACTTTTGAGAAATGCTGGGTATTCTATTCCCCCTCTTGAAGAATCCAAATGCAATTGTTGTGCTAAAGGCTCTAGGCAATCTAGGCAATACCATTGCAAAAACAAGATGAATTTAACTTCAAGTAACACATAATTTATCAAGGACATTTGTTCACACCTTTTAAAGTAAACCACAAACACCATTCCAGGGGTTCCACCCTGGGAAAGGCTTTGCCATTTGAGAGGGGTCAGTGGTGTTGGAGATTTGCAGGCCCTGGAGCTCAGGAGTATGGAGATGTTCCTAACAGTAGGAGGAAAGATTGCAGTGGCTGGCCCAAGGAGACCACTGAAAATTAAAACTTCACCTGGCCAGTATTTCTCTGCTTCTGTCCATCAAATTAGAGGCAAATATAGTTTGCTAGTACCCTGAATTTCCTTATGTGAGAAACAGAATTGCCTTTGGCCTTAGAGCGTATTTGCCTCTGCTATTTCTCTCTTTAATATGCAAAATGTATATAATACGGAAATGTGTTTTGTTTGTGATGCTGAACACCTGGGGAGGCCTTTAACGCTGTCCTTGGTTCTAAGGGTTTGAGAGCTGTCCTTGGTCCTGAGTTGGGCAAGGCCATTTTCTGAACAGCTCCTGTGATATTTAAAATAGCTCCTCTAGTCATGTGAGGCCTCATATTCCAAGAACTTACAGAAAGAATAAAACATTTCTGCTCAACAAGGGAAATATTGCTTCCACAGTCTTCTAAATAGTGTCCTTTCTCAAATAGAGCACTGCCTTTTAGCTCTGAGCTCCCTGATGGGCTTGGCTGTACCCCCCCCCCCCCCCAACAAAAAAGCCTAGATCCAAATTTGGGGGAAGAGGCTGCATTACCCTGCATGAAAAAAATCAGAGTGTGTGTTCTTGCAACTTGATTTCTTTCTCAGTCCCTCTAAATACTGATGAAACTCTACCATACATACGAAGTGCCTTCTTTGGGTGAGGAGAGGGTAGGAGATGGTGAGAATGCCTGGTTTTGGCTTCTGGATCAGTGTAGCAGTTCAGAGAAGCACCATGTGCAGGACGGTTGGAGGGTCATGTGTCATGGAAATTATGCTCCTGAGGAAGATATGACTATGGAAACGGAAGTCCCCAGGCCCCTTTCTAGGAAAGATTTGAACTTCCATAGTAGAGTGGAATCTAAGAGTCCATGCATCTAGATTCCAAGAGCAGGGGCTGACAGGGCAGCAGGAACAGTGAATCAGACCTTGGAATTGAGCTCAACAAGCTCCCTTTACTATTCCCTCCACTGATGCTCATGAGAGGAAATGCATTGTTAGGATGATGGGAATGGATTGTTAGAGTAATGTAATGGAAAGGCTTCAGAAATACTTGTATTCTTTTTATGAGCTGGGCTCAAATGGTTGCATCTCACGGCCTGAATTGTAGCTAATGAAATCCCCTAAGATAGTAGGAACCAGTAAAACATTACATTACCCTATTACCTCCACCAAAATGTAAGTTGCATTGTGGCTGTTATAATTTTGGTGGTAGGGGGCCCATGTGCCACTGTTTTGCATTTTTGTAAGGCAAAAATGAGGAAGGTCTGGACATCTTTACTCTAGGGATGCAAATGACTGCGTGTGTTTAAAGTTAAAACCAGTAGAATTCAACTATGTGAGAGTGAAACCTTGAATAAAGTCACCAAACATGGAGAATGGGCTGAATTTTAGGAAAATCTAGGGTTATAAATACCATTGCTACCCTGAACTAACCAAAAGTTTATGTGGATGCAACTAGGCCTTCAAAAGGTGGAAAACACTAAGCTCTTATAATTCACTGTTCTTGACTACATTCCTTTCTGGAGAACAGCTACACAGAGACCTCAAAGTGAAGTGAAGTTACTCAAAAAATACTTAATATTTTGAATCCTCACTTTGCTATACACAAAAACTGCACTGTGTAGATAACTTCAGCTGGATACAAATTCCAATTTAAAAACCCAACATAAAATGCACTCCCAAGAATATATAATTAGACAACATTTATTATGACAGCCTGGGTGCTTAAAGTGTTGAATATGGGTTAATCTTGGATAGATTTAAAACACCACCTGTTCACTTCTGTTAAAGAATATATTATAATTGTAATTTCTGTTTCACTGAAGTACTTAATCCTCATGTATTTAGTTTCATCTTTTGAATATGTAGAGGTATGGGAGAATACCTCCCATCAGTCAGAGCCAGCAGGCGGGCCCTTTACTGAAAACGTCTGGGTGTCACAGAAATGTGACTTTCAGAACAGGCCCGTGGCTCATAGAGGCCTTCCTGTCTGGGAAACCATTGCTAGTGGAGCCATCAAGACCAATTCAGGACCAGGGAATCCTTTCAGCCCTGCAAGGGAAAAGGCTGCCCCAGGGCGTGTGGGCATAGAGCTGGCCAGGACTTTGATGGCCTGAATTCACAGAGGCCAGAGGTAGTTGACTCCTTAAAACATTATACGTTGTGTGCACATTTCAAAATATCACTCTGTATCCCATAAATATGTGCAATTATTGTGTGTCAAAAATAAATAAAATAATAAATAATAATAAAATAAATAATAAAAGGGGAAAAAATGTGCTTGCTTCTCCAAAACAGAGAAGTTCTGTGGAAGCCATCCATCCATACCTTCTACTTTTTCAGTTCAGTGTTTCCTGGGGCCATCGAGGTGGGTGAGGACAGGAATTAAAACAATGGAGAAGATGCTGACAACTGATTTTGTACTCACCTTGTGTCTTCTACCAGGTTATACGCTTCTTGAATGAAGGCCATTAGGGCCATAAGGTGATTGAAAGAGATCTAGTTCAACCCTTTATCACTAAAGCCAGAGTCATGGGGTCATCTCCAGGGTTACATGGGGAGGCATCATAGCTAAGAGCTCAAGCTTTGAGGGTAGGGTATCCAGATTTGGCCTCCCAGAGGACACTTGTCAATGTCCAGAGACTTGGTTGTCACAACCTGGTGATACTACTGGCATCTATCGACTGGGAGAGGCCAGGGCCTGTGCTAAACGTCCCGTGATGCCCGGGGCAGTGCACACCACAAAGAACATTCTCCCTCAAATGTCCATCATGCCAGGCCTGAGAAACCCCGTGTTAGCCATATAACCTAGCACAATTCATTCAACTTCTTCTGAGCTTCAGATTTTGTGTATTTAGGTAAAAGGGAATAACAATGATACCACTTCATTATCCACAGGCCTGGCCGAATTAGATGAGATAACAAATGGGAAGTGTTCATGAATTGCCAGCTAGCCTTGCTCCCCTTCTGCCTTCCCCCATTTAAACAGCCACCTTTGCAAACCTCTCCCAGTTGCTCTCTCTTTGACTTTAGGTAAGCTGCTGTAGTCAGGCCCTTATTAGGACACGGTTGGCCTGGGGCCACTGTCCAAAGAAGGAGTGCCAGGGTCTCTCTCCGTGGAATTCCCAGCGTGATCTTAGCTATCAGCCAGAGTGTAATTACGCCCTTCCTGCTCCCCTCCAGAATCAGGAGGGGCTGCTGCTGGCAGGAAAACAGTGGACATCTGTTGTGGCTTCCCATTCTGGCTCCATGATCAGCTGGGGGAGGCCAAATCCCTCACCCCGTCCTCACCTCCCTTTCCTCCTTTGTATAATGGGCATCCCCACAGTGCCGGCCTCATGGGGCTGTTTTATGAGGTCTTCAATGGGGTCATCTTTGTAAAGTGCTTAGAGCTGTGCTTGACACAAAATTAGCACCATATGCTTGTTAAATAATGCCCACCAATATGTCAGAGATAACGAGGGAGAAAAATGGCCACAGCATCAAGCCAACAGGACCAGAAGCTTCTCATAGGCAACTACAAGGAGGGGGCAGTGAAGGCGGATCAGGTACGTCCACTGTGGATCTGCTACACCTCACCGCTGACACCAGACAGCAGGGTCCAACAGCCCAGGTCCCCAGGGACCCCTGGGGAGGCTCCAAGAAAGTGGGCTGGGTGGGGAAGCACACACAGGTCATCTCCGGGCAGCCTCAGCACTTTTAAATTTGATTGACTTTTATTTTCCTCTAGAGACTGCAAATGCTGGGTTGCAGAAGAAGGAATCAGAATTAAACAGACATGGAAGGAGTTTAAGGTAGATTTAGGATACTATCTTTTCAGGTCAGCTGGCTAGCAACAGGATTAAAGAAAGTTTTGTGGGAAAGCAAAATCATAATTTCAGGTTCCTCAAATGGACCCATTTATCTATAAATGAAAAAATCCCTTAAAGTGGAATATTCTATAATAGCATATTTAAAATACTTCTAAAGGTAGTCATTTTATACGGAGTTTATCTTGACCTTATGCTAAGCATATATCCTAATTCACACGTTTTAAGAGGTTGGATTATGGATGAAAATGTGGAAAGAAGAAAGGAATTGAGGGGCGATGTTTTTCATTGGCCACTCACAATAGAAGCAGCCGTGGGAAGGAGAATTGTATTTTCAGTGCCATGAGAACAATTTGAAAATGATTAGTTCTAGTTCCAGATCTTCCTACAATAACAAGAGGGGAAAAATGTTCTCTTTTGTAAAAGGTCTGAGAGTAGTGCCCAAATTCCATTTTAGAACATTAAATATAAAAATTGATTTTAATCACATCTAATGTTTTAGCGTAACTAAACAGCTTTCAGTGTTTGGGTAGAAATTCATTTACCAAAGGGTTAGTAGCAACATTTCTGAGATGGCTGTGTGCCCTCTGAGGGGTGGAAAGTGCAGAAGTGAATTACTCGTAACCAAAGGTTCGAGTTCCCAATTTTTGTTCTCAATCAAAAAATGTGTGTAAGACATCCAAGCAGTCCAAAGAAAGAAACATCAATAAAGTAGGCTATTCTAGCAAATTGTCCAGGTGTTTGGATTAATGCAAAGGTTGCCCCTGGTTTGCTAGTATTTACCTGGAGACAAACACCATCCTAGTGGTTGGGGGGTACAGAGATGAACAAAACAGATGCCCTCATGGAGCTTGGCTCCCTGTAGGGGAAGACGGTCCAGAAATAATAATATCTTGAAAAGAAACACTTTATATCATGTGTCAGAAAGTGATAAGGGCCAGGAAAAAAAATATAGCGGGCAAAATAAATCAGGAGGCCTGGGGAAGGGTTAACAAAGGAGGCTGGTTACCATTTTAAATAGCACAATCTCCATAGGGCACATTTGAAGGTGAAAGTTTGTGCGAATATTTGGAGAGGACTTGGAAGTGAGTTATGCGGTTACTTGGGGGAGGAGTGTTCCCAGCAGGAGGGAATAGCCAGTGACCCTAGAAATGGAGGGAGAAAAAAGAAAGGAGAAAGGCAGTTTCCAAAATGTTTTTACTAGTGGTAAGTTCTCAATAATTAATTTTTTTCAGATACTCTTAGGGCAACCAAGTTTGGCTGCTCTTAAAAAGCAACGTGGCTAAATTTCCCCTGCAGAGCTAGATTTGCATACAATGCTTAATTTTATACAATTCAAATCCAACGATGATCAAAAATAAAAATTTAATGCCCGGAACTTTAAGTATACTGTTCTTCAATTATTTGGGTTGTTAATGTAGCTAATCAGTCTTTTAAATTTGAAGCTATCGAAATTTGTAAAATATTTATAAGCAAGTGAAGAAATGCCACACACAGATAGTGTTGAACAATAAATCTTTTAAATAAGAAAATGGAAATGTCATTTAGCATTTTTGTCATTTGCTTTCAGTTGAGCATGTCAAACATTACAGGCCAGCAAGATGGCAGACTTAATTAAGTGCATGTAAAAGAGATAGAAGTGGTTTTTATAGAAGCTATGTAAATGTGAAAATAGGCACGGATAATTATGTGTGCTCACACATTCTGTTTCACATTTGGATTCTAAATAGTTTTTAAGGCAGGGTAAATGTGGGAGGTATACTTGATGTAAAGTCTTTGCTGTACGTTTTAGATGCTTCTATCCCTGATAGTTAAACAGACTCTGGAATATGACTGATGAATCATTTGATGCCGAATACTTCTCAGTAGCAACTATGATGAGCAGTCATCAGTCACCTTTGGAGGCTGCATTATGACTATGTAATATTTTTTGCTAGAACATGATGATTCATGTGTATTTCGTAGCAGAGGGAACATTTATAATCTAAAAGCAATCACAGATTTGGGATATTTAAACTAAATTTTGTATTTTCCTGAGGCAAATAAATTTATAGGAAATACAATCAATTATTTATAAGCTGGTTACATGCTGCAATAAATATTAGAATTGAACAAGCTTGAGACAAACTGTCAATTTTCCAAATAAATTTCTGTGGTGTATGTATTTTTAAAAGCAACCAAGTTCACTGTGCTTATAAAGCTGAGAAATGTTATGGCCATTTATGGATGATGATTGAGCACTTTAAGAAGCCATGTGGGCTTATTGTCTAATAGATGATGCAAATGCCTGGAGCAACCCCGAGTCATAATTATGCACCAAACTGTCAATGAGTCATTGATGCCTACGCTCTTCCTTAATTCACCCATTTAGAAGGATCTCATTGTGTCCTCTCTATGGAATGAGTTTTGCACAGACATTCTCTAGAAAAATGCAGTGTATTGTTCAAACTCCCTAAATCCTACAGAGATTAACAGAAGTTCTGAAAGCCTGGGTTCTATGTAATGACTCACTGCCCATACACATATTTTACAGAATATATGGGGTGCATGTGTGTATATAGCAACTCTCATTGCTTAGTTTGCAGATGGACTAGAAGCACTGACCACAGTGTGTTTCAAGAGAAAAACCCACAGTCATAGAGATTAGGATTTAATTGTTGAGTTTCTAGGGCCACTCACAGCAGGTGTGCAGTGGGCTCACGATACACACTGAAAACCCCAGTCTGCTATTCCACAGTTCAGCAAAATGCCAATTATACATATTTTCAATACATAGAAGCTTATTTTTATGTTGATGGTTAAAATTCTCACTTTTCAGCTGAGTATTTTGGCTTCATGCAGGAGCTATTAGAAGGATAGAAAAATGATCTGGACATTCATCTGTCCGTAGATATGCAGCTAAGCCTGTGTAGAGACTGTACCCTGTTCGTGGTCTTCTTCCAATAAGAATTTAACTTCCTTATTGAAGTGTTCTAACCTTGGTGCCCAGGCCTGGCCAGCAGCACATTTCTCTTCTTCACAGTCGAAGAAGCATCTTGTACCTGCCCTCAGTGCCTTTCCATGTAGACGCTTTTACACATGGCTTTGTTTCATTGATTAAAAGTCTTGTCTACAGACCTGGCTACTTCACCCCATGCTGCACACAGCAGAAGAGCTACCACATCAAACACAGGAACACTAATCAGTGATAACTATTTTCAACTATAGTAAGTGATTATTTTCCTGCTGTGCGGCTGAAAATTCAATTTCTCATCTAAAATTCATCTAAATTGCTTGCTCATGAATTAACAATTCTGAGTGCTAACAGAGATGCTGGATTTTATTATCTTTTAGCTACAAGTTCTGGGAAATATAATTGGAATTGACAAGGTCTGCATAGTCTTCCCCCTACTTCCAATTTTCTCATCTATATTCTGTAGAAATGCCTGACTGCACACACACACACACATACACATATGTGTATATAGGTGTGTATCAATGGGAACTAAAAGCATCCAAAACATGAATATTTGCAACAAAACCACCTTTATCGTACTTACACTCTAACAAGGTGGATAGACAATAGACAAACAAACCTGCAAATGGTCATGTAAGCGCAAAGTGTGCTGAGTTCTATCAAGGAAAATAAAACCAAAGCATAATCTATAATCTAAAAGATCGTAGGTTCTTTGGGGATAGACTGGTCTGGCAAGGGGACTCTGAGGAGGTAGCATTTAAACCAAGACTGTACAATGAAGAGTCAGCCCCCGTAAGGAGACAGTGACAGCATTTCAGATGCAGGTAACTGCAAAGATGAAGACTTTGATGATGGAAAGAGATCTAAAGCCATAGAAAGGTTAAATATTTAGAGAAAACCTCTTAGAGAAGCACTCATAGGGAATGAACATAAGCCAACATGACTGATTGAAGGCCAAAGAAGAAGGCTTTTACTACCAAAGGATCATTTGGCTTTTCTGCACACTCCCTCCAGATAAATTATGCCCCTTAATGTTTTCGATCATTTCACAGTATGAACGCTTTGGGCATGCATAGATGGTGGAAAGCAAGGTGCCTCCTTCACAGCAGCTCTCCAAGTGTGCACCCTTCCTTTGGTGGTGGCTGCTGGCAATAATGTGCATAGAAAACACCCACTGCCTGAAGCTGCACCCAAAGCATCCCAGGGAAGCAGCTCTGCAAACCACAGCACTCTTTTGCTGCAGGGGGGTAGGAAGTGGACGCAGTGTGCAGCAATATTAAAACATCCACAAATTCATCCATATCTTCTTTTCAAGAGGCAGAGCCTAACTCTCCTCCCCTTCAGTATGAGCTGGACTTATGGACTCACTTCTAAGAAACAAAAGAAGCCACTGGGGACTTGTGGGATTAGATCACAAACTGCTGCTCTGTTTTTCATGCTCTGTCCCTCTTGGATCACTGTCTAGGGAAAGCCAGCTGCTATTCCATGACAGCCCTCCAGAAGTCCTGTGCAGAGGCCCATATGGGGGGAAACTGAGGCCTCCAGTCCATATACAAGTGAGTGAGACTCTTGCGAGTGGCTTCTCGAGCCCCAGTCTCACCTTCAGATAACATCAGCCCTGGCTAACAACAGGTATGCAGCCACTGAATGAAGATCCTCAGCCAGAATCAACTCACTAAACTGCTCCTAGGTTCCCGACCTTCAGAAGCCATATGAGATAATGTTTGTTGTTCTGACATTCTAAGGCTAGAGGGGATCATTTATTATATTTGGGGATCACTTATTACACAGTAAGAGATAACTTGTACACATGCCATTGTACTTTATAATCTTTTGGAAATATGTTTATTTTTAAAACTTCCATTTATATTCTACACATCAGTATAAACGGTGCAGAATACCAGTTTGAATACATATGTATATATGTACATATTTATGAATACATGTGTATATTCAATAAATGAATACATACATGTGCATTAAGTTAGCCACAACTTAATTTGAAGATACTGAGACAATTACAAATTAAAATTAAGATTAATTTCTCTACTCAGGGCAGGTAACACAATTTCTCTAATCTATTTTTTCCCTAGCTGTAGAATTGGTCTAAATTAGACCAGTTTCTAGGCATTATAATTCGGTTATCACCATACCTGGCACATAGCAAATAGTCATAGTAGTGGCACATCTTTGAAGTATCTTCGGAATCTTATTGGCTCAGCAATAAGACATTTACTTTCTCACTGTACTTCATTAACCACAATAAATTCAAGGTTATATTAATAATGACAGCCAGTAATTTTTCTGTGGCTTAACATGGTATTCACTGCTCTAAGTGCTGCAAGAGTACTAATCCAAGAGATAGAAGCTACTATTTTCATCATTCTCAATTTGCAAGTGAGGAAACTGAGGCATTATACATTTAAGCAATTAGGCCAAGTTCTTAGAGATTTGTAAGCAGTCAGATTCCAAGACAGGCAATTAGAAATCTAAATCCATGATCTCTCCCACCAAATTAGGCTGCCTTGATATAGAGAATGTAATCCCCACTGGGCATTCTATAAGAACACCATTTCACAGGTGTCCCTGGCCCCAGGAGAAGTGGCCACATCCACACTAAGTCATCTGAGTGGCAAAGTGAGGCAGAAGGAGGGTCAAGGTTCCCCTTGGGGTCTCCACGGGTCCCAGGAGGGTGGCAGACATTCAGAAGCGATGCTGTGACACGTGCAGAGTAACCCACCCAGCGAGGAAGTGAAAATGAGCCCCAGCCAGACCCAAAGGGGCCCATGAAGTGGGCCAAGGGAAGGATGGCTAGGCTCTAGGAAGTGGAGCAAAATCAGCTGAGAGTTCTTTGGCTGTAGCCTCAGCAGTCAAAGAGGAGTGGGGACAGGACAGCGGCCTGGCCAAGCACAAGAGACAGCAATTCCCCAGGCAGCCAAGACCCAGGGGTGGCTCAGGACTCACACACACCTTAGCAGTGTCCTCTCCCCACTGCCAGGAGCTCCTGTCCACCCCAGACACCGCCATGGGGGGAGGAAAGCGGAAGGCTCTGAACTCTGAAAACTGAGTGTTCTCATGAGAGGGACGCAGAGGCAGCTAGTTAACTGGGGAGAGCAAAGTGAGTGTTAATTGGAAAGTCCATTTCCTGCTAAGCAGTGGGTGAACAAGTTTAAGTGATTCATATGCAGATGCAAAAGCCTGCACTTCATCACACATCCTGGTTCAGGCTGAGTGGATCATTGACCCTATTGAGGAAGCTGTTTTGAATCTGACAAGGAGCAAGGCACTAAATGGACAAAAAGTATTATCCAGTGGGGGTCTGCTTACTCCATATTTCCTCACTCCACATTTCCTCACTTGGTTCATTTCCTGAACTCAGTGGGTTCAGTGACAAGGGATGATGTTTAGAAGACTCTTCTCTGGGACAGCAAAGAGAGGATCCTCCTGATGCCTGTTTCAGACCTCAAGGCATTGCACAGCCCTCCCACTCCTCTAGCGTACTTTCTGTCCATCTTTGACTTTATAAGCCAAAAATAAAATTGGAGACCTCCTAACCAACAGAATGGGCCCCACTCTTGGCCAAGGGCATTCCAAAGTAAACCTGACAACTAGTTCAGGCCATGATAGAAAGGATGGGTTGGACATGCCTCATTATGCCCTCCTTTCTTTGGAATTCAGGCACAACTGACCAGCATTAACATTAAAAAAGAGATCTTAAGGCTGACAAAACAGACTGTTTGTAGCAATAAAATATCAAATTCCAACCTGACTCTAGTATAGCATCACATGACAGATGGCAGGCCCTAAAAGATATCAAAGTATTTTACCCCAAAATACATTTCTTGGGCATATTTTGAAATGGCCCTGCAAAGCTGTCTCTTGTGGGGAAAATCTACATTCTGTAGAGAATCCTCTTCCCTTTTCAGGTCTTTCTGGGACCAGGAGAGACTTAACTAAGAGTCTGGTACCTTTTAATTCTGATAAGAGACAGTTACCTTCTATTCTATCTGAAGCTGGCTACCCAGAGGCTTCATCTGCATAATAAAAACCTTGATCTCCACAACCCCTTATCTTAACCCAGACACTTCTTTTTTTATTGATTCCAGGTCTTTAGATAATAACTTAACTATTTCAAGCAATTACCAATCAGAAAATCTTTGAATCCACCTATTGTAGCAGGACAAGATACAGACAAAACTCCTCAGACACCGAGTTAAAGAAGGAAGGAGTTTATTCGGCCAGGAGCATCGGCAAGACTCCTGTTTGAAGAGCCGAGCTCCCTGAGTGAGCAATTACTGTCCTTTTTAAGGGCTCACAACTCTAAGGGGGTCTGCGTGAGAGGGTTGTGATTGATTGAGCAAGCGGGGATACGTGACTGGGGGCTGCAAGCACCAGTAATCAGAATGGAACAGGACAGGACAGGGATTTTTACAATGCTTTTCCATACAATGTCTGGAATCTATAGATAACATAACCGGTTAGGTCAGGGGTCGATCTTTAACTACCAGGCCCAGGGTGCAGCGCCAGCCTGTCTGCCTGTGGATTTCATTCCTGCCTTTTAGTTTTTACTTCTTCTTTCTTTGGAGGCAGAAATTGGGCATAAGGCAATATGAGAGGGGGTCTCCTCCCTTACTATGACCTAAAAGTTCCCTGCCCCACCTCACTTCGAGTTGTTCTGCCTTTCCAAACTGAACCACTGTACACCTTACATGGATTGATTTATGTCTGCCTGTAACTTCTGCCCCCCTAAAATGTATAAAATCAAGGTGAACCCAGCCGCCTTGGACACATGTTCTCAGGACCTCCTGAGGCTCCTGGGGCTGCATCATGGGCTTTGGTCACTCATATTTGGCTCAGAATAAATCTCTTTACTATTTTACAGAGTTTGGTTCTTTTGTCGATAGGTTAAAGTACTCCTCTCCATCCCAGGGACTTGGGCACCATCTTGATGAGATTTTTCTCATTCTCACACCCCTCTCTGATACCATGGAACTTCACTGTGGTAATTTCTCTTCGTGTCAGAGGTATTTAAACATGAGCGACTCCATCTTGATTAGGGGCTGGGTAAAATAAGGCTGAGCCCTACTGGGATGTGTTCCAAGGAGGTTAGGCATTCTAAGTCACAGGATGAGATAGGAGGTCAGCACAGGATACAGGTCACAAAGACCTTGCTGATAAAAAAGGTTTCAGTAAAGAAACCGACCAAAACCAAGAAGGAAATGAAAGTGACCTATAGTCTTCTTCACTGTTCATTATATGCTAATTATAATGCATTAGCTGCTCAAAGACACTCCCACCAGTGCCATAACAGTTTCCAAATGCCATGGCAACATCAGGAAGTTACCCTGTATGGTCCAGAAAGGGGAAGAATCCTCGGGTTCCAGGACTTGCCCACCCCTTTTCTGGAAAACTCATGAATAATCTGCCCCTTGTTCAGCATATAATCAAGAAGTAACAATAAGTATAAGCAGCTGAACAGCCCATGCTGCTGCTCTGTCTATGGAGTACCTATTCTTTTATTCCTTTACTTTCTTAAAAAACTTGCTTTCAACTTAGTTTATTAAGTTTCTTAATAAACTTGCCTTCACAAGGCTGCATGGATTTGCCTTGAATTCTTTCTTGTGCGAGATCCGAAAACCCTCTCTTGGGGTCTGGATTGGGACCCCTTTCTGGCAACAATGGGATAATATATCCCCAGAATTGTTTCTCCTAAAGGAAAAGTTATTAGTGAAAAGGAAGGTTTGTTGTCTTACCTGAAAACTGTGTGATCACAACAATTTAGAAAATCAGAAAAATTTCAGAAAATGTTGCTTTTGAGAAAAAGCAGCTGCAAATGCTCCTGTCGCATCCCAGACTCCATTTATTCTCCATCTGTAACTTGAAGTATATGATGCTGATTTTAAAAAAAAGTTTTCCAGGAATTATAAGCACATGATATAATTTCTGCATTCTTTTAGACAGTGAGTTTTACAGTAAATTTATTAAATATGAACTAAAAGAAATGGTATATCTTTTTGTTCCTGAGTTGAACTAGATAGCAGAAACTGATGAGTCTTGTGAAGTGTTAATGCGAGACATCTCCAGAGCTGGGATGATATTAGAGCAGCTCTATCTGATGAGCAGCATGATCTCTCTGCTCATCGTGAGATTTGAGCTATAATAAAAGAGAACTGTAAGGTGCAAGTCTAAGAGCATGTTGTCTAACCAAGTGGAAATTAAAATGAGGTTGTTCCAGGTATAGTGTTATACCACTTTATTTGAATTCAGAAATTAATATGTGCCTGACTTTATCTTTTTTTCCAGTTAATCTCTAAAAAAATAACATATTTGGCAAAGTGAAATGCACACTCATGGTTTATAGTTTGTAGTCACTCTCAGATCTCCAATGATGAGGCCCTAAGACTCGCTATTTGAATATTCCACTATTCCTATGAACCAGTACTGTCACTGTTAACATTTGCCTACAGTTAAAAGGGTGACTTCTTTCTGGAAAAATGCAGGTCCCCCTTGTGAATACAACGTAGAGAGATGTATGATTTTCTTACATCAGTCTGCTTTCATTACCTAACGGCAAATAAGCAGAATTATCTTTTTCTTTGTCGCTAATTTGGTTTTTCTGTAAGTGCTAAGGGAATATTTTAATAGAAAATCTTGATATTTTTATTTACTACATCAGTTTGAATATGAAAAGTAATATAGTTCTTTGATTTTATTTTATGTATTTTCATATATCCTATATGGCTACAAACACCTGAACTACATAGCGGATACATAACTTCTGGTAGCACTGGAAGGATTTCTGTGCATTTTTATTGTTTAAGTGGAAAGCTGTTTGCAAGGCTGGCTTTCAAGTCAATGTTTTCATTTGGGAACAGAAGGTGTAAAAGTGAAAATATGTCTCTCTCTTTCTTCAAATGGGACCTAAAAATGTTTTCTAAGAATGCACCATGCAGATTTGCATGTGATTTTCATTGGATTATCTGTGGAGGCATACAGCAAAAAAGCAAAATAATATCTTAGAAAACACAAGAGAGCCTGGTCACAGTGGGTCTGTATTGATAAACTCGCACTTGTCACAGGAAAGAAAAGGTTATGTTTTCAAAGCCTCTTTGTGTCCTTTTCCCCCAGAGAAGTAAATATGAATCTCTACTGCTAAATCAGAGGCAAACGAAGCAATCAATTTAGGAAGTGTAGGTTCCGTAAAAGTAAAAATAACTCAGCACTGTGCCTCAAGAATTCTAATACTGTTTGCTTTTTTTATTTTGTTTGAGTGATATACATCCTCGTTCAATATCTAAAGATTCAGTAAAACCTGTTTCAGTGCAAATACTTTCCTGTTCAGCCTCAGATGATCAGTCGACATGGAACACTCCTGGGGCTGGAGTTTGACCTCCCATCACACTTCTGCAAAAGGAGGGCAACTAATCCAACATCTGGAGCTTGATACTTTAGAAGAAGATAACGGTTGCTTCTCAAGTCTTGGGAGGCCAAGACCAATGTGCATAGATTTGTGCATTTTTAGAATTCTTTTGTGCCCAATAATTATAAAATTTCCAGAAAATTTCAGCAGATCTTTAATCTGACATTTTGGGAAGTTTGACATTTTGAGAGGTTTGATCCATGGAGAGGGATCAGTATATGACCACAAAGCTGTCTAAGTTGTCCAGGTGAGCACATTCTCTTACAAAAAAAGCTGTGGTTGCCCCATGTGTTAGTTTGTTCTCACACTGCTATAAAAAACTACCTGAGACTGGGTAATTTATAAAGAAAAGAGGCTGAGTTGACTCACAGTTCCGCAGGCTATACAGCAAGCATGGCTGTGAGGCCTCTGGAAACTTACAATCATGGCAGAAGGCAAAGGGGAAGCAGGCACAAATTTCACATGGCAAAGCAGGAGAGAGACAGCAAAGGGGGGATGTGCTACATACTTTTAAACAACTAGTACTCATGAGAGCTCACTATTGTGAGTACAGCAAAAGGAAATCCACCCCCATGGTCCAGTCACCTCCTACTAGGTCCCTCCTCAACATTGGGAGTCAATTTGACATGAGATTTGGGTGGGGACACAGAGCCAAACCATATCACCCTGATCCATGGGCTATGCATTTCCCATTTTCCTTGGGGATGGTCATCCAGGCAACCAGAATCTCCAGGAGTTTGGGAGCTGGCACTGCTTTATGGATGATTTCCACCATGCTGCCACAGTTAAATCCATTCTCTTCTGTCTTGGAATTCTGAGTGATGGTTCCATGGAGTTAGTTCAACTTATCCCACAGCTTCTCATAAAGAGGTCTCTATAAAGTAGAGCAAAGTATTCATTTTCTAGGGCTACCATAACAAAGAGCCATTGACTGGGGGGCTTAAACAATAGAGATTTAATTTTTCGTAGTTCTGGAGCTTGAAAGCTGAGATCAAGGTATCTCCAGGGCAGGTGCCTCTGAAGCCTTGCTCCTTGGCTTGCAGAGACCGTCTCTTCCCTATGTCATCACATGGTCTTTTCTCTGTATATGTTTCTGTTCTAATCTGCTCTTCTTACAAGAACACCAGTGATAATTGGAATAGGGCCTAACCTAATGACCTCATTTAACCCTTATCACCTCCTTCAAGGTCCTTTCTGCAACTACAGCCACACTCTGAGGGACTAGGGGTTAGGACTTCAACATATGAATTTGGGGGAACACAGTTCAGCCCATAGAGTCCCTCCATTCTGTTTCACTGATGAGCTGAAGTGAAAAGAGAATACAGTAATTCAGCCGACTTATGAATAGCTGACGGGCATCTTCGGAGCAGAGTATTGTGCAGGTGTGGAGGCTGGGCAGTCGTGAGGCCTAGCTCTGGGAGCTTCCTGGTTAGCAGACAGCAGATGCATTAGATGGAAGGAAATCAAAGCAGGAAATCTGAGTCAAGACCACCTTTAAATACAGGTTTTCATTTTCATGAAGCTTTTTCCCATGGACATCTTCCTTCTGTCTATTAAACAAAAGGTATTCTTTTTGCCCTTTTCAAAGACAACATCCAAGAGAAGGCAAGAACAAAATCTACCTGCATGTAGGCCAGCTTGCCGTTGTGTGTCCAGGTTTGAAGTGTGGTTCTGGTTGAAATATTCACCATGGATGAAAATGTATCGCACAGGCCGTGAGTAGCACGACCTAGATGGATGCAGATCCAAAAGGCCCCTTCCATGTGAATGTGATCACGGTCTCCAATTTTGTGAGAAGTGATTTCCTATTAAAGCCCAGTTTTTGTTACTTTATCTTTCCCAGTGTTTGGCTTTCTACCATATAATGGGAAATTAGTAGAAACACATTGAAAACATCATTGTGAACAGGTGCATGATTCAAGCAGCCGATGTCTAAATGACAGCTGAAGCATGAAAGCAAATACTAGCAGATAAATGTGTGTGTAATTTTAGAGTTAATAATTATGTTGCATAATTTTCTTTGGAAGAAGAGTTTATAATAACATTTTTAAAAAGTGCCAAGCAAAGTAATTACACACTTGGCAAGCGATAAAACTAAACAATTTGGCAAATCCCTCATTAACCAAGTTGTCAGGTCAATGCAAGTTTTTATTTTAAAGTAGTAGATTAATTTTTTTAAATAGAGCTTACTTTTTAATTCTATGATTTCATCATTTTTCTTATAATTACAATTTTACTTACTGATATGATGTTTTAAAATGAGATCCTTAAAAGTCAACACAGTAAAAGTGAGACGGACGCCTCATTCATGGACATCAAATGGAATTGATTCTACAAAGTAAAACAAAACACCACTTCCGTTCCTAGTTCCAAAGAGCTAGAGTCATTATTTTCATCTCCATGGAAGCAGGCCTTCAACATTTCATTATAACTTTTTGGCAGCCATTTAGCTAACAGCTACAGAAATCATTCTGAGGCAAGGACGTAATTTTGTTGACTTTGTCCATATTTTTGGAAAGTCAATCAGTCCTGCTTATTAGAATTATATTACTGGAAGCTCCTGAGAATGTTGAAATTTAAGAAAATGATACTTCATATAAATTATATGAACTTGACAATCCCTTTTCCTGAGGCTTCCATTTATACTGGTACATTTGCTAATCAATTCCAGCTAGTAGCCAATTAAGTGGCAAGCCTGGGAACACAGCCCAAATGAGAAAGGGGGTTGAGTCAGATGGACTTGGCTATCCTTCATTTATTGACTTGATTGGTTACTTACCAAGAGAGCTCTCACACATTCAAAACCATTTTTAAATAAGTTTGTTGCATTTATTTAAATTTCTTATGAACACAAAAAATCAAAACACATAATGCCAGCCTTAAAATATGTTAAGAAATAAGTAACAACCATTTCCTTTCATGCCCATCCCCCAAAAGATATAATTTACATTTTTTCATAACTCAGTTTATGTTTGATCTATAATTTACTTTTTAGATTTCTTCTTAGGTTTATGCCATCTAGTCTATTATTTGTTTAAAATGCTGTACAGACCTGCTATATATGTTGGATAGTAATTTTGTTCTATCACTTAAGACTGTATCTTAGAAAATTTTACATGTCAATCCATAAAGATTCTTCTTCTTAAAGGCTACATAGAATTATGTTCTATGGATGTATCATAACTTATTTAGTAGTGTCTTATTGAAAGGCATGTATGGTGATTTCCTTTTATAAACAAACAATACTGAAAAGAATCTTTTGTTTATACATATTTGTCTGCCTAGTTGTCATTGCTGTAACTTAGACACCAAAAGTAGAATTCCTTGGTCACAGAGTTTGTACATGTTTAATTTTTATACATTTGGTCGAATCACTCTTCAGAAGGATTGAGCTGATTTACACTGCTGCCAGCTGTGTGCACAGGTACCCATGTCCCCACCCCTTGACATCTCAGGAGGTTAATGATTTTTTTTTTTTTTTGGCTATTTAGGCAGTGAAAGTATTCATTTCATCCTTTATTTTGCATGTATTTAATGATTAGTGGTGGGTAGAATCTTTCCATGGGTTTATTGAGTTTGCTCTTTCTCCTGGCCAAAATGAAGAGAATCCATTGATTTTTCTAAGCTTTTAATGATTATTATTAATACTAGATTGAGTGGGATGATTAACAACAACAATACTTGCTAACAGTTAATGAGTACATCTACATCTTATCATTGAATTTTTATGACAACGCTTATTTACTCATTCAAAACATATTTATTAGGCATCTACTCTGCACTGTGCTTCACAATAAAGATGAAATAACCAATGATGGAAAGAAGGCCATGGCCTCCGTAAAGCGGGCACTGTATCACCTGCATGGGAATGAAACAGACTGCAGCTTGAAGGCGTGGGGCAATGGTACACGGCTAGCTAGGCAGAAAGTCAGATACGGGAACCCAAGTTTTTGGTTCACAAATTGTACACAAGCAATGGTACATGGCTAGCTAGGCAGAAAGTCGGATACGGGAACCCAAGATTTTAACACCCACAATCTAAAGTAGATATGAACTACGTCCCTACTCTCTTCCCATGTGAAAATATTTTTTAGTCACTGTGTGTAATACCCCACCCACAATTAAAGTAGAACCAATTAAGCCCAAAATTCATAGGAAGAAGGGAGTGGTCTCTTTTAAAACAACGTTTGCTATTATATTTTAACTTATCACTGCCTTACCTATCTTTTAGTCACTGCATGTCCAATATGAATGATAGGCTCTTCCTATTATAATCTCAAAAAAAAAACCCCACCAACAGGTGACCTCTGAAAATCGTGTTTGAAAACAGATAAGTGCATTTAAGTATAATTGATTGCACAAGTAATAACGCCTAACGTGATTACACAGTCTGGTACTTACAAAAGTAATTACACTTCAGAAAATCAAAATTAATTTGTACACTTCTGATGCACTTTTAAGGCTGTTGACATTTTATTGTAGTGCTTCTAATGAAATGAAAATTATTAATAATTGTTCCTACTTGAGTGTGACAAATGTCATTTGGCTGGAAAGGCAGAAGTGCCACTGAGCACTGCCAAATTATAATGTTGCCGAAAGTTGGGGTGGATATTAATATTCAAAATGGTATTAGGCATCTGCATTATTTTAGCCACCAGCAGCTGATCGGCCATATATCCTGAGATGGATGTGTCTGGGTGTCTACATAATTTTCTCATCCTCTTTAATGGCCAGGCAATTAGATTGGCAAAGGACTGCATGAAGTGTGAGCATAAATCACACTGGCACACCTGCAGCACAAAGGAGGTCACTAAGCCAGATGGACGCGGCGTGCGGAAGAGCCTCCTTTGTGTGCAAGCATTATTAGTGATCCCATTGGCTCTTTTGCAAGGTATATTAGGGGAACCATTGTGACAGTCACAGGCGCCTGGTGACAAATGAAGACTCATCAGCATTCATTGTGCATGCATAAAATATGAAATTAGTCATTTTCAAAGGAAAATAGGCCTGAGGTTCACAGATGGGTTTTTAATGTAAAGAAAAACAAAAATTAAAAATTAAATTATGCAATCAACCCAGTTCAGAGATACATAAAAAATGGCCTTGGATATTCAGAGTTACCCTGGACCTCGGGCCAATACTCTTTTATCTTCATTGTGGTAAAATACACATAATATAAAATTTCCATTAGAAACATTTAGTACATTCCCATTGTTGTGCAACGATCATGTTTATTCAGTTTCGGAACACTTTCATCACCCTAAACGGAAACTCTGTATCCCTTAAGCAGTCACTCCCTAATCCTCCCTCTACCTTAGCCATTGGCAACTACTAATCTACTCTCTGACTCTAAAGCTTTGCCTATTCTGGACATTTGCTATAAATGAAATCGTGCATTATGTGGCCCCTTGCCTCCAGCTTACTGCACTCAGCATGATGTTTCCGAGGCTTACCCATGATGTGCATGCACTGGGACGTTATTCCTGTTCATGGCCATTATTCTGTCCTACCGACACACCACACTGTTGATCCCTTCATCAGGTGATGAACCCTTTGGTTCCCACCTTTTGGGTCTTGTGAATAGTGTTATTATGAGCATTCATGCACACATTTTGGGTTGAATACCTGCCTTCAATTCCAAATTCTTTTAAATAAAAGTCCTCATGAATGTTTAGAGGCAAAAAGGGGATGTAGTAAGTACGTGGGTTCTTGCCCTTCCAACCTTTGCCTTTGAGAAAGACACTCAGAGGGAGGTTGTTTCTGAAGAAATGCTTTGTGTAGGGCCAGGGTCCCCTGCCCTGAATCTACTGATTGCCATGAAGAACTCTTCCAGCCCCAGTACAGCATGGATGGTTTGCTCCAGTTGGCTTTGCATCTTTCCACACACACAGGGAAAAACCTATGGTGGCTAGAAAATGAGATTCATCCCCTGTGTAGCTGAAACCCTGCAAATTATTTCCATGGATTCTATCATGAGACATGGTTAGTCTCTGGAAAGGTGCCCAGGCTTTGATGTTAGAGCTAAACTGGGGGCTTCCCATCTTGCTACGCCCAAGACCCAGACAGATACTTACCTACCAAGGGCCACAGTTTTCACTCCCTCCTGCAAAATGAGGATAATCATCTGTTTAAAACTCAGCAAAGTATTGGAAGCCTCATGTCAGATAATGCCATAGAAGAACGTGGTGAGAGGCCACATAGGGGCCATTTTGTTACTGATGATAAAACAGCGGTGTGTTGAAGGATTGCAGAAGGAGAGCTGCTGTGTAGGTGGTCTCCACATATACTAGTCTGGGCTTCTCAGCAGGGCTGTGGGGTAGGGGAGAATGCTGAGGGTCAGAAATGTGAACCAACACAGGCAAGAGGTGGCCAGGCTAGAATTAGACCCAGGCCTGCTTGGCTCCATTGCCTTGTCCTCTGTGTGGAATATATGAAGCCCCGAGAAGGTTGGCTGGCTCAGAGCCCCGGTCCAGCAAGTCCGAGATCGGGGCCTCATCACCTCCAGGTTTGGGTTCATCCATGTCACACACACCAGGACGCTCTTCTCCATCCTCCCCACAGCCTTCCCTACACTGGGGAAGTGAGTGTGGATCTCATCACCCATCATTCCATGCAAAGGCCACTCAAAGGGCCCTTTCCCCTCCTGCTTACTGGGACAGGGGCACTGGGCAGCACTCCCACCCACAACACTGATAAGTATCTACGTCACATCCCTGCTTAACACCCTTCTTGTCTTCCTAGTTCCTTGGGAATAAAAACCTAAATCCTTGCCATGATCTTCAGAGGCAGTGCACTTGTCTTTGCCTCACCTCACACTACTCTCCTCCCCATGGGATTCCTTTCATTTTTCCCATACACCCATAAACAGATAATTTTAGAAGTCTGTAGATGTCAGCAACAAAAGAGCAGGGATTGGGCCTATATCCATAGTTTCTTGTACACAGTAGGTACTTCATAAAGATTGTTGACTGAATACACATCACATGGAGATGGGGTGGCCAAGTGCCCCAGGAATCGGGGACAGGGGCCCGGGATGTGGGATGCTGCTTTAAAACCAAGACAGTTTCAGGTACAAGGGGCTTCTCGTT
This sequence comes from Homo sapiens, assembly GCF_000001405.40. Lineage (NCBI taxonomy): Eukaryota > Metazoa > Chordata > Mammalia > Primates > Hominidae > Homo > Homo sapiens. The sequence goes on along the minus strand of NC_000020.11, from coordinate 60,568,805 downwards.
CATGGGATTTTCAGGGCTAAAAACAGAAAACTCCAGTGCAAATTAGGATGAGTTTGTCTTCTACATATAAGGATTGCCAAGATCTTGCTTCAGCTGATTTTCATGCCTTAACTTCTACAATTTCTTCCACCTTCTCCCCACCTATCAACCACCAAAGGTCTCACAGCTTCCTAATCATGCCTCAGTATCCTGGCTTGGGATGTCTTCCTCCCTGTCTAATAAGCACATTCTAGACTCATGTGAGACTTTCCTGACTTTTTTTGCAAAGTTGGTAACTCCTTCCTCTTGCCATACTCTACCTTGAAAGAAAGAGAGGGAGAGAGACAGGGAAATGTATTTTAAGGGATTGTCTCACTCAATTGTGGAAGCTTAGAGAGTCCAAAATCTTATACAATAGGCCAGCAGGCTGGAGACTCAGGAAAGACTTGCAGTTTGAGCCAAAGGCCATCTGCTGGCAGAATTCCTCCTTGCCCAGGGTAGACACCAAACTTTGTTCTATGAAAGCCACTACTGACTGGATTAGGCCCACCCATATTATGGAGGGTAATATCTGCTTTACTCCAACTCTAGCGATTTAAATACTAATCCCCTTCAAAACACCCTCATGAAACATACAGAATAACCTTTGACCAAATATCTGGGTGCTGCGGCCCAGCAGAGTGGACCTATGGAAATGAACTATCACACATTCTGTTTCCAAATTAACATGAGCTTAGATTTGTGGACCTGGAGCTCAGCTGAAAGCAGCAGCTAAAGAAGTTGTGTCTATCATCTGGGGTCTTGAGACAGGAGTGGCATGTCAGGGATCCTGCGGGAAATCACATATGCATGTGTCAGAGCAATGGTGGACACCCCAGAGGCCCTTCAGACTTGTCCAGAGAAACCCTCCCTGGGAAACACTTGGGGTGTCCTGGTAGTGTCTGACAGATCATGTGGATTGTTCTTAGTGGCTCAAGGAATGCATCGAGTTCTCTTTCTGGCTTCTCAATGTTTTCTTGAGAAGAAATTGTTTTTAATCAGCTCCTTTCTAGTGTTTGCTTTTTCCTGAGCAATAGTCAAGGTAATAAATTAATTACTTAGAGAAAATCCATGTAGTTCTGTGTTGACATTTCCAGATAGAACACCTTAAAAATGTATAGCGTCTCTCAGAGTAGGTGTTCCCATGCATTTGAATGATGCAGCGTTAATGCCAAGTGGAACAGTAAGTCAACTCCAGGTTTAGGCACAGAATTCAAAACGTTGCCAATTTCTCCTAGTTAAAATGTAGTTGAAAGTCACATAGTTTTGCACAAGTTGGCAAACTGCAACCTGTATTTGTGTAGTCACTGCCCCAGCTGGGAAGCAGGAGGCCCTGACACACCTCAGCTGGATTTGTCTTGAATTAGGCAGGTACAATCTAAAGCAGGAGACCCTGCCTTGTTCAAAGGCCAGTTATGGACTCAAACATACAAACTCCAAGGCAAGATGCCCCATTGCCACTGATAACTCTGTTATTTTATGTGTCCTGTCTTAAAGGATAGCCTTTCTCATTGGGGCCCCACCCTGAGGGAGCCTCCTCCACACCCTTTGGTCGGCTACGTGTCCCGCTGAGTGCGGCCATTGGATCAGCAGTCCTCAGACTGAGCCAGAGCAGCTGGGGCACACAGAGCTCTACCATGCTCACTGTTGATGGGCTGAGGAGCCTTCACCAACTGACTTGAGTTGACGCAGACGCAACCTTCTGTGGAGTACAAATTCCTCTTGTTAGGATTTTCTCCCTTCACTGAGATACAGGTTGGGTTTCATGAAGACCTACAGAATGTGCACTGTAGGGAAAGAACACAGGACCCCTCACTCATCCATACACAATTCAAAATTAAAGAAGACAAAACCATAAAAGAAACCTAAGGAAGTCCATCAAAAGTTTTATTTTCTCCTAAGTAGGACTTTGTGTTTTGTGAAAGAGGAACAGCCTTTAAAACACTTTTCCCCCCCATTTCTCCACCTGGCTGGTAGTCTGAGCAGGTGTAGCTCCCCTATGGCTGAATCCAGCCCCGAGCCCAGTGCAGAGCCAGATGGGGGGACGGCAAGGATGAGGCCGTGCAGGTGGGTGCTGCTCGTGTTTTGCACGCTATCACAATTTCTCAAAATTGTCATTTGCTTTTTATTTAGTTCTGTTGAAATGTGGATTCTCAGGACCCTCTGGCTTGTCTTTCGCCATCTGCAGGTGGGCCTTCCTGGATGTCTACAATCGTCTGCAAGCCACCCTGCTTCACACGCCCTCATGGGACATGCAGGGGAGCACAATTCCCGGCTCAGGGTCTTGCTTGTGACACCAGGAACCCCTGAGCTAAACTGCAAGCCTGGCCCCTCTTACCCTGTGAATCTCTGGGCAATTATCCCCTCTGGTCTTCAACTTCCTGGCACACAAAGTGTGGCCACAATAGGGTAACCATGCATGTTGTTTTTCAAACTGGGGTGCTTTTAAGAGCACAAAGGGACAATGTGTCATTATGTCACGGCAAAAGGTGGAAACAGGTTCCAGACTAACTGGGTCCTATGGGTTAGTCCTATGATTATGATACGCCCTCTTCCTCAGAGGGCCCTTTCAAGTATCCAATGACATAAAGAAAGGGGTGTAAAGCGTGTGGTCTCTAATAAGTATCTGTAACACCATGTATCACCAGTGTTGGTGTCACATCATTAAATATCCAGGAGGCATTTTATTGTTTTAATTATGCTCTTACAGCAAATAAAGAAGAAAAGCTGAGGAAAGAGGGACCTGTTGACATGATGATGAAGCCTACGTGCTCACAGCGTCGTCAATACAGAGCCTGTGTCTGATCCATGGGCACTGAACAGGGGAAAGAGACAGCCAGCCCTGTAGGACAAAACGCTGGAGGATGTCACAGTTCTTCCACTTCTTCCACATCTGCCTTTCCAGTCCAGAGGTCTGGATCCTTGTTGGCCTCTGCCCACAGAGGGACATGACAGGCAGCGTGTGCCTGGGCTGTTTTCCCACCAAAGCCTGGTCATATATTAGCCCTGCACTGTGAGGAACAGATGGAGTATGTGGTGTCCCAACCCTTCCTCATCTCGTTTTTAATTTGCCAACCAGCCCCGTTGGGAGGAGCCAAGGGATGCAGTGACTTTGCTGCTCTTCCTCGGGTTCTGCCCAGATATGTAATTTCTATAAAAACACAAATTCTGCTGGTTTGCTTGATGGCAAACTTTCAGCTTTCTTTCAGGAACTTGTTCTTCAAAGAGATTGTGTCTCAGTAAACCTGTTCCTATGTCTGTTGCTTTATATTGCACAAAATATAGAACTTTCGCACATCATAACTGGAGAGCATTTTTGTGACTTTTGTGCCAAAGAGGCTTCAGTCCTTAGCCCACAGATGCTTCCTGTGATCAGGAGATGGTGTGCTGTTGGAAGTGGCTTCAATCCAAGGCTTCCAACAACGACACCGTCTCAGGTTAAAAGGCTGGTGCTGTGTTCTGGCAAGCACTGAGAGCTGCTGGCTGGATAGGAACCCTCCCCGCCCTTGTCTTCCTGCTTGCTAAGCAACTCCAATTTAGTCCAGGACAGTAATGCATCCAGCCTTGTAACCAAGAGGAAAAAGAAAGGCCCAGAGCGCTGATGTGAGAGCTGCTGACACCATGAAAGCAATTGCCTGGAAAACAAGCAAATGAGCAGGCAGACTCTGTTAAGTCATTGTCACCAGCACACTTGAACCCAGGGAGCGCTTGGCCAAACCCAATTGTGATTAAAATGTACCCAGTGTCTTTGCACCCAGCTGCGTTAGATTTTCTGGGATTTTCTTTATGGTCCCCCAAAAACTCCCCAAACTCTCTAAGCCTCTTTTTCTCCCTCTGTAACTTAGGCACAATAATAACTCCTGGATGAAGTGTTCATGGGCCTTCAACAGTATATCTGTGAAAGCGTTTTGCGAGCCAGATATTTGTTGTCACTATTCGTTGGTGCACAGATTCCGCCTCAACCTGCAGAGGGAGGACCAGTGTGGTTTATCCATAGAAAGGGAAGGGGCTGCCTGAATTCCAGATGGATTAAACTCTCTCTTTCTGTTTCTCCCAGCCTTCTCCTACTTCCTTCCCTGAGCTCCTAACTAAAAGCGAAGGCTGGGCTGCTAAACAGCTGTGTGTCCCCAGGAGGAAACCCATGGTGGGCGTGTATTAGGTCGCTGCAAAGGTAATTGAGGTTCTTGCCTTTACTTTCAATGGCAGAAACCACAATTACCTTTGCACCAACCGAATACGTTGTTTGACTCACATTTACGGAGAAGCCTTCACACACAGCTCTTCAGCTTGGTGATTCCTGCTTCCGGAGAGTGGGCTAATTAAATTAGGAAGGGAGCGGGTTGTCATTAGACAGCCAGAGACACTATCACCCATATCTAATTTTGTTCCTGGTTTTAGATAGAGTCATCTCCTTTTGATGCATATAATTTAAGAGGTTAATAATTTTGGCTTCGAGCATGAATAATAATTCATTATTAGCAGAACAAGAGAGAGATTCGGCTTTCTATAGTAACACTCGGTCTGAATTTGTTTTTCCTTAAGTTAGGAACAGGAGGAATGCGCTTTTTGGAAGTTCAAAACCGCCAGTTTGATAGTGTTCCCAGCAAGTCTCATTTCAGTTACAGGATTAACAAATCAGACACTCGCCCTTGGTATCTAATTAGCTTTGTCATTTATTGAATTTCAGAGTTCCCTAGTCAAAATAAAAGACCTTTCCCTACTTATATTAAATGATCATGCTAATCTCCATTTTAACACAATTAAATTTTACTCAAATTGTTTAATTTTTTAAAAAGTGAGAAAAATGTCAGGGACTGACTAGTGTTTAAAACAAATGACCGTTCTCCACTATGAAGCCGTTGGCTGTAAACTACCATCTCTATGATTTCCCAGAAGGACAGGGGTACATTAGAATGAAACATCTGCCCAGAAGAGTCTCTAATTACAAGAAGTGTAACACAAAAAACCTATTTCCCGAATTAATTCCTGAAAGTTGAACTAATACTAAATGCTAAATACTGAAATACTCAAAATACTAAAAAATACTAAAATCCAAGGTGAAAATAGACTGCCAGTGAATAAACAGACTTGTGATAAGGAGATCCAAAACCAGATTGTTCCTTTGGAGACAAACAGATGTCAGCTTCTTTTGTTTGTTTCATTTCTCTAGGCCAATGTGCTGACTGCTTATTATTTTCAGTATGATAAAGTTTTATTGGAAAGTAGCCTCACCTATCTGTTTAGGTGTTGTCTGTGGTTGCTTTGACACTGTGACTGAAACTGTGGCCGTCAAAGCCATGGCAAAGCTAAGGAGAAACGTCTTACAGCATTAGCCTTTAGTTCCAAAGTCCATGTTCAAATTCATCCACTATTCTTTTTTAAAAAATAGATCTGTCCCATAACAAATACATACAAACAAACACACCCCCACCTGCACACAGCCTGAAAACTGAGATGTAATCGTTTAATAATGATAATGGAATACTGCAAAATTTTTCCTAATTTTTCTCTGTGACACCACAAATATGCATTGTACCACTCGTGTTCAGTTTATGTAATGTCAATGCCCATTTCTGCTTATTGACTCATTTTATCATACAAAACTGACACAAGCTTCTGATTAATCTGTCTCCAAAGGATCAAAATGCTTTAATAAATACATTGTTCCTTTAGGTCTGGGAAGAAATGAAACTGTTAGCTTAATGTACTGTGACATTGAATGAAAACCTCTGGTTGCATTTAACTGGAAAGCCAGCTAGATAAATCCGGAGGACCCGTTAAGTAAATGACACCACACTTTCTTAATGGCCAATTGGGGCCTACCTTCCTGAAGCAAATAAATAAGAAAGATTTGAAATGGAATTTGGGGGTTTCGTTCGTTGGTTAAATTCTCAAAGGGGTGGTGTACCTTGGATAGAAATTATGACAAAAATCCGTGGCTTAAGGTAATCCTAATAGGGAGAGCAGAGAGAGAAGAACAAAACAATCTCGGTTTTTTATGGGAAGAGGTGAAGACTCACAAGATGGGAGAGAGCCCTTCATCTAGCGGTTCTCGAACGTGGTGTGCCCCAGAATCATCTGGGGATCTTGTTAAAAATGTGTGTTCCTGGTCTGGATCCCAGGAGACTCCAGCACAGGCTATGCTGCCCGTGCTTTCTTTAACGGCTCTCTCCTTTCCTTCAGAATCCCTTGAGGCGGGTGATTTGCTCTGTCAGGCACACTGCTGGCTCCTCCCCTCCATCACCACAGCCCTAAGCATTAATCCAACTATGGCCATTGAACAGGGCCCTTTCTCCTGGATGTGAAACCCAAATCCCCAGCTTTCCAAATAGCACTTGGGGGTCTCGTCTAAGGCCAAGGGCAGGGCCTCCCCTGGACAAGCCATTGTCAAGGGCTCTAGCACCAGTGATCACTGCTGCTTAGAGAAGAAAAGTGGTGTGAAACTGACCTGCTCTCTGCTGGGAGCCACAAGCTGGAGGAGGCGGCTTTGGGTTTCAGCATTAATGCTTTCCCTGCAGATCTTTGATTTTCCTTGATATCTGTGTTCTCCCCATGCTCTCCCATCCCTTGTCACTGACAGGTGCTTCTTACCTGTCCTCTTGCCCCCCTCTATTCTCTGTTATTGAAAATAACATCTCTATGAACAACTCCTTCTTCCTGCTCTCCACCGAGTATTTGGGGACATCCATGCCACTGTGATCAGCAGGACTCTCATTTGCTTGGCATGTTCAGTCTCCCAAGAGCTCCCCAGCCCACTTACAGGACAACAAGACCCCCAGACCCAATGAGGCCACACTGCCCACATGGTTTGGTGATACAGGGCACACCATTTTTCGGGGGTGGAGAGTCAGTCCCTGAAGAATACTACAAAAGGAACAAGGAAGATGCTCCTGGGAGCAGGGATAAAGGACAGGAACATTCAACCACATTTAGGATTTTCATGACTCAGAAATGAGTGGCCAAATATCTGGACTTCAGATCTTGTCAAAGAGCTTTGTGATGGCCAAACACTTTTGGCTCTGTTACAAGTCATCCTATTTACTCAGCCCTGCTAGCCATGTACTAGAAAGTTCTACAGCTTGTTCTTCTCTACCACTGAATCACATCTGAAAACTTATCTTAGGTGCTTCTTATTCATTTATAGCTATGAGATGCTTTTCCTCTTTTTTTAGATTTTGCCATTTGAAATGTGAATCTCCCCCTGCTCCCCACCAACACCTTCCATCAGAAGATGTAATTAGATGGGCCTCTACCTGCATTGTAGCCGCTGAGGAGTTGATTATATCTGAAGTCAGGTTTCAGGAAAACAGACTGGGAGGTGGATATTTTCCTGTGGCAGGTTCACAGGGAGTGTTCTCAGCAACACCCGACAGTGGAGGAGAAGGGCTGGGCAAAGGGAGAAGCTAAAGTGCAGTGCAGTTGCCCAGGAGGCCTCGCCAATCTCCAAGGGGACCCTGGAGATGGAAGGCACTTCTTTTTCATTCAAATTGAGGCAGCATGGCTGGGCCTTTTTACCACTGAGTAGACCAGCCACTGAGCCTGTGTTGTCCCGGGGAGGGGATATAGGCTAGGGTGAGGCCATTGTCTTGGGGAGGTGCAATGCCTAGAGAAATATAGCTGTCAGCTGACAGCAGCCAGAAGCCCTGCAGAGGGACATCAGGGGCTTGGTCTTGAAGGGATGATCTGGGCCATGGACCCCAGCATCCAGAGATTTACCTTTCAAGTTACAGAACCATCTAGCTGGCCTTGTTTTGCTGTTTGTCTCTAAAAGCAGATTCTGCAGAAATGAAGACATCCTATCTCCTCCTCTCTTGAAATCAGATTTATCCTCAAAAGTCGTCTACATCCAACTGCTCTCCCCACCTTAGTGTGAGCTACCATCATCTGTGCCCTGTGCTTCCACAGCTCCCTGAAATGTTCTCATGCTATTACAGCCATCCCACTACTCAGCAGCTAGTCCAGCATCACCCTCTTCTCGGGACCCTCAGTGGGCTGTTCATCAAACCCTATCCGACACCCAAGCCATGGTCCACAGGCTCCCAGTGATCTGGCTGCCCCTGACCCCTCCCTGCCCTGCCGGCCCCTCTCCCTCATCCTGTCGAGCGGTGTTGGCTTCCTTCCAGTACCTGACATTCCAATCTTTGCACATCTCTTCTCCTTTCTGGGGCATCTTGCCCTAGATTCGTGGCTTACTCTCTCAGCTCCCAGCCTCTGCTCCAACCTCGCCTTTCTGAAGGAGTCTTCCCTAGACGTCCTGGGACAGTGGCCGCCTGTCACCCTCTAGCATTGGATCCTGCTTAGCTTTTTGCTGCGGCCGTTTTCCTGTCATACTCCTTTTATTCTGTGTCTGTTTAGTTGTGTGATCCCTGCCCCACCCCCTCAAAATGAAAAATGTAAAATTCCATGATAATGGTGACTTTGGTTGTTCACAGTGGATAAATTTTTTTTTTTTTTTTTTGAGACAGAGTTTAGCCCGGGCTGGAGTGCAATGGCACAATCTCGGTTCAGTGCAACCTCCGCCTCCCAGATTCAAGCAATTCTCTTGTCTCAGCCTCCTTAGCTAGGATTACAGGTGCCTGCCAGCATGCCCGGGTAATTTTTGTATTTTTAGTAGAGATGGGGTTTCACCATGTTGGCCAGGCTGGTCTTGAACTCCTGACCTCAGGTGACCCACCCGCTTTGGCCTCCCAAATTGCTGGGATTACAGGCGTGAGCCAACATGCCCGGCCAAGAAATTTCAATTCTTTAGAAGACAGGGATCCTTCCAATAAGTGGCCTTTTAGGAGCCACTTGGCGAGGTGCAAGACCTCATCTTCGGGGCAGCCCATTTTCGCTTCTCCTTTCTGAAAGTTCTGTTGATGAGTTTCTGCACATCGACTTCAGCCGATTAAGCCTTGGAAAAGGCGATTCGGGAGCAACTTACAATGTCACTGGGAACCAGAGTTGGCCCATCACAGTGGTGATTTTCCAGTGTCCTGGGATGGTTGAGTTTTACTTGCAGAGTTTCTTCTGGCACCCGGCATTCCAGCCAGAGACAGGTGCTCAACAAGTGCCACGTGGAGGAACTAAGACAGCAGCCGGCCAGGCGGCCACACATGGACTGAGGGAGGTGGATACAAACGCTACTCGGGTTTCAGGCCTGGCTTTCTGTTTGTCAGAGAGGCCCAGTGGCCCCAGCTCCTCTTTTCCCTGACATCCCAGCAGGCGCTGTCATCACCTGATGAGCTCTTCAGGGCCTCAGTAGCTTTGCTCCTGGCAACCTGGAAAACACATGCAAACAGCTCTTTTAAAATTCCCTAAGTGCAGGGGCACTAACTGGCCCAAAGGCTCCGTGCTTCGGTGGGAGGTTATGCTGGAGTCACAAGAGATGTGTCAGAAGAAGATCTGGTGGTCAGGGGCTCCCCTCCTCACAAAGGAGAGAGGATTGCACAAGGCCAGCCCACGGGGCTCTCTGCGCTCTGTGCTGCAGGGTGGGTGGGTGTGGGTGAAGGAGGGCAAGGTCAGCTCCAAGAATGCTTTCCAAGGAGGTGGACTCAGGAGTGCAGCTGGCTTTTCTCAAGGTTTCGCCTCCTCTACAAGTGTTCCCCAGATCCCTCATGCATTTCTTCCTTCATTTCTTCAAAGATAGACATTGGAGATCAGAGCAACACACCAGGATCCTCTCATGTTTATTCTCTTAGTTTATCAGATTCTTCAGCCCATATCATCTTTGCCAATTAACGAAAGTCTTTTTTTATTATCTCTATCATCCAAGAACTCCGCCTCTGTTCCTTTTCTCCTTTTCATCACCCCCTCTAATATGTTGGACGCATACCCATAAACAAGTCATGCAGCCTTATCAAATATATGGGGTTATTGTACTGGGGCATTTCTTTGAAGAAACAAAATGAGATTTAGAGCTCAGCTCCTAAAAATGGCACTTATTAGAGGGATCCCTGCTTTCTAAAGAATTGAAGTTTCTTTCTTTATCCACTGTGAACCACTGAAGTCAGTGTTCTCATGGAATTTTACATTTTCATCTTGGGAGGGCAGGGATCACACAAGTAAACAGACACAGCATAGCATGAGTATGAGGCGAAAGCAGCTGCAACAACATTCATGCCTGCTCCCTCCGGGCCACCTGCTCCAGTTGAGATGGAATTTGCTCCCTTGTCCCCTGTCCTGGGATCACATGTAAACTGGCTGTCACAGACAGGTTCTTAAAAAGTCACACAGGTGCTCCGTCCACATTGTTTGGGGTGCTAGAGAATTGAAGGTGAACTAGAGATCCATTTTTGGGGTTATGTAATGTAGAGGATATATACCAGGCAATGCTATGCAGCAGTTAGGAGCAGCAGAATAGATATGCACGCAGCAGCAATGTCGTATTGTTCTAAGATGTTGTGCTGATTGAAAAATATCAGAAACAAAATGAGATTTAGAGCACAATGCCCCAGCACAATAATCCCCTATATTTGATAAGGCTGCATGGCCAGTTTATGGGCATGCATCCAACACATTAGAGGGGGTGTTGAAAAGGAGAAGAGGGACAGAGGCGGGGTTCTTAGATGATAGAGATAATAAAATAAAAATAGACTTTCATGAATTGGTAAAGATGATATGAGCTGAAGAATCTGATAAACTCAATTATGCTTCTAAGGAAAAAATAAAGGAAGGAGGAAGGAAGGAAAACAGGAAGGGAGGGAGGGAGGGAGAGGAAGAAAGAGCAAGGCCACTTCATTTAAAACTTGCTTCCTTGAACTATCGCAAGGACAAAAAAACAAACACTGCATGTTCTCACTCATAGGTGGGAATTGAACAATGAGAACACATGGACACAGGAAGGGGAACATCACACACTGGGGCCCTGTTGTGGGGTTAGGGGAGCGGGGAGGGATAGCATTAGGAGATATACCTAGTGTAAATGACGACTTAATGGGTGCAGCACACCAACATGGCACATGTACACATATGTAACAAACCTGCACGTTGTACACATGTACCCTAGAACTTAAAGTATAATAAAAAAAAAAAAATATATATATACATATATATATATGTATAAAAATAACACTTGCTTCCTTGATCCCAACCCCAAAAGACTTGCCATCCTGTGTCGGGATGGGAAGGGGGCAAACCTGCTCACAGGAACAGGCACATCCCATGTGGGAGCTGGTACCTGGAGAGCCCGGCCGGCACTCAGCGCTCAGCCATCCTTCCTTGTGCTGCACATTCCTGCCAGGATTGGCCTGTGAATTGTGACCCCCCTTGAGTGAGGAGACATCTCCTTATTTGCTCCTGGGTCCGTGCTTGCCTTATTCCTCCAGAATAAGCACTCAGTAAACATTTGCTAAGCAGAACATAATCAACAAGACAACACGGGAACCTGAATAAACACATGTGAATTGACTGAGAACAAAAGGGATGTTTGATACAAGGTTTTAAAAAAGAAACCCAAAAAGTTAAGGTTTTCTGAGAAAATCAGGGGAACAATGTTCCTGAGTGGGCAGAGACCCGGGTGGATGTTTTGGATGGAGTCTTGTTGACTGAGTCTCTCTGTGACCCAGCTGACAGAACACAGGGGAAGCCCCCAGCATGGGTGGGCATTAGAGGACTGTGTCTTTCTATCTTGAAAATGTGGGAGCTCCCTGTTACACAAGGGAGGCTCCAGGGTGGTGGGAAGAGCTACATTCTACTCTTCAACCCTCCACATTCAGTTGAGGAGAGGATGCAGGTTGAGAGCAGCGCTGTGAACAAACCTCTCCAATGCTCTCAGCCACGGCCATGCCTGTCATCCACACATCCTGCGGGGCACAGAACACGTTCAATACACTAATTGGTCGGAGGCAGCCATTCCTCCACTAAAGCAAGTGAGCAGGGAGGCCTGGGCAACCCAGAGCTGTGGAAGCTGCTGCTGCAATGGCTTTCATTGCCCTGAATGTGATCAGATGCGGTACTCACCCCCCTGGGTTTCCTGCTTTGCTGTTTTATCCTTCATTGGCATCAACCGTTCCCAGTGGGGTGTTACATCCCAGGGAGGTGATTTTGATATGGGGGGGGTGCATTTTAAAATTCTCATGCCCTCATACCAAGCATTTAAATATTGAATACCTATTATGTTCCTTTCATTTCTTCCTTACATCACAGTTAGGGCTTTAATTTTTTTTTTTTAAATTACACGTAATAGGTATTGAGCATTACCTATAGATTTCATCTCAGGATAGAGAAGGGGCATTACAAAATGTTTTGTTACATATATATCAACTCTTTCACACAATCCTGGATTGTGGCTGAAACCTCTAACAAGAGCAAAGGCCATCGTGGAGGAGATCAGAAGTGTTTCACCTGCTGAAGGCAAAAAGCTGGGAAGACTCTGGAAGCCTCACCTTTCCTTCCTGTCTGCATCCAGTAAAGGCCAAGACCTTTCAGTTCTGCAGCTAAGATGTGTCTTCAATCCTGAGTCTTTCTTCCCTCTCCAGGGTCCACCATTATTGGTGCAGGCATCACTCAGGCCCTCCATTCCCAAGAAAACACGGGGTTCTTTTTAACACCCCTGACCATGGCTCAAACCCTCCAGTGGCTTCCCATCACTCACAGAATAAACTCTGCATGCTGTGGCCTGGGTGGGAACTCTCTGATCTGCTCCTGGCCTGTGTCCCCATTTATTTTCCAAGACTCTCCCCTGGGTCCCCAAGCTCAGCCCCAGGGCCCCCCTGACCTGGACAGAGGATGTGCTGTTTCCTCTGTCACTCCTGTCACCTGGAGCTCACTCGTTGCTGATAGCCCCATGGATGACCCTCAGATTCCTCCTCTGACTGCACTGTTGGATGGGTCCCCCTTCCTGTGACTCCCCAGGAGACCGCCTGCCCCACCTTCCTTCCTGGCACCTCTTAAGAGCTGAAATTGTGCCATGAGCTCATCTGCCTTCCTGTTGATGATTGTTCTCATGGATTAGAATGAAAAGTCCATGAGGACAAAGACTGTTGGTGTGATTCTTAAGTGGATCCCCAGTCCCTAGAATCAAGTGTGTTAAGCACGTACCTTTTAAATGGGAATAAAAATAGCCTTTAACTCATGGGGCTATTATAAGATTGTGTGAGATTATAGAAATCATCACTGTTTAGTGTATTGCCTCTTTTTAAATGTTCTGTGGGCTTCGTATCATTTATTCCATCATAGCAGCCCAATTAAGTACTTACTATTACTTTGCCCATTTTGCAGATGAGTGCATTGCTGCACAGAGAGGGTAAGTAGCTTGCCTGAGGTCACATAGTCAGCAGGTGACAAAGGCAGGACTCTAACCAGGAGTTGGGCTTTCGAGCCCAAGCATTTTGCAAAACACTAGAGTATCTGATGTAGAGTTGGTTACATGAACGACTGCTTCGAAGACAATGATGAAGACCATGGCACTGATGACAACTGGTTCAGCCATGGCCAGCAGCCCACCCATACCACCACGTGGCTTCAGCTCTCTTGTCTTGGCAGGGAGACACAGGGCACAGAATGCCTTCAGGCTTGGTTTACTGGGAATGAACTCGCATCCTGCTTTACACAGGATCATGGGAACCTCACAAACTCCAAGTACCTTTGACCTCCATGAGCCCTTCTGACAAGAGGGGAGATCATGCTCCTTCCATGCAGACCAGTTTTCCAGGAAGACGGCCGGGCTGTTGGCATTCTCTGCCACCGTCCTAGTTTGCATTAGGATGAATTGAGAGTGTGAAGATACTTTCAACAGTGGGAGGTGTTGGCCTTTTCCTGGAAGAAGCAATGCATACTGCCCTTTAACCAGCTAGGATATCTGTGCTTTCAGGCATAGATGTCAGGAGGAGAGAGTTCAACTGCTGTGAAATCTCTCTGAATCTAGCGTGGCTGGCTGAATGTCATACGCAGTTTCTACTAAGACTCCTAATCCCCACACAGAGTGAGGGATGTGTTGGGAGTCTTATTTTAAGGAAAAACTTCACTAACTCTTTGATTGGGGTCCACCATTTGCAGGCAGTTTGAAGTGGCTTTGAAACCCACTGTAAAAAAAAAAAAAAAGTCATCACATTATTTGCTGTAAACAAAATTAAACCTAATCTATCTATCTTGTTGTACCTGCAAAGCAAAACAATTTGGAAGGTCTGCAAGAGTTCATGGTTTAAATCACAAAGCACAAGCTCTCGAGGAAGTTTCCCTAACCCAGCCACCACTGCGAAGTGAAACAGAGGAGTTTCAGGGGAAGGAAGGAACTGGTCTTTGAAGAATGTGCTATGTGCCCTACAAACCATACGTCACCCGTGAATCCTGCCTGAGCCGTAAGGGCACATCCTGTCTCATGGATGGGAATATTGAGGTATGACTGTGTCAAGAGATGTGTCCAAAGTCACACATCACTGAATGTGACCCCGGTCAGTCTAACCCCAAAGCCTTCACACGGCAGCCTCCTTCTGAGCAAATGTAGTCTACATTTGCTCATCTTCTCCGTACAGCAGGACCAGCTCCTCCAGGAGCAAATGGCCAAGTGAGTTGTCAACTTCATCAATTCTTCTTTGGAATCCCAGCAAGGCAGGGACCGTGCCTGTCAAGACGGATCCGCTTCCAAAACTCAGCACTGTTTCCTAAGTTTAGAAGCTGTGATGTTCCCCGTAGCTTCAAACAAACAGATTCCAAATTGGCTTGGAGAACTGCTGAGGCCAGATAATTTATTGAGATATTACTTTGTATTTTGTTCTTCATATTTTCGGACTCCTCATCCCAATAAGTAGCCAGACCATTGTTCTCAGTGTTCTCACAGGCGTCTCTGACATAAATTCAGGAGCAGAGGTACCCTCAGAACCTTTGTCTCTGCCTTTTATGGAAGTCCGAGCATTGTTCACTAACCTTAATGTTTTCTCCTAAGATAAAGGCCAGCTTTTTCTGAAGGGTTGCCTCTCTTTTTAAGGCAGCACTGACAAATTACTGATCATATCTAGCATGCATGGCTTTTACTGATTTAAGTGTCATGGTTCATTCATTCATTCTTCCATCAAACATTTCCTGAATCCTGACCATCAGCCAGGCACTGCTCTAGCTGCTATTCAGGAGCAGGGGGTGGGGACTCTCTTTGAACCAGTTTAAGATCTAGCAAAATTTCTATGACTGAAACTCTGTATGAAACATTCATTCAATCTGGCACACAGATCTCTCAAAGACTGTGGATGCTTTCTGATTATGTAAAAATTGCAAACACATATTTACGCAAACAAAGTATTTTTGAATGGGAAAAAGCAAATTTATAAAATAATGAAAGTGGTTATCTTTGAATGTTGGGATAATAAGCGACTTTTTCTTATTTATTTTTTGCACCACATATTTTCTTCAATAAAAATGTTTTATCATTACCGCGAAAAGAACTAAGTATTTTAGAAATACAGTTAAAACAACGCTGTATGTGTTGATTGGGTTTTGCAATCAGTGCAACTCATTTTTCACAGCATCTGAATCATTAAGTGCAATGATGCCGAATAGATTTCTGATGCATCTGCCACGTCATTTCCTGTGTTTCCAAAGCAACCATATCTGATGAAACAGGATAAATACTGGATATGTGTGAATTTACTTGGTATATCCTTTTAGAATGCAGTATTCTGCAAAACTGAAAAACATGCTATAAAGAAACAAGACTATTCAAATAGAAATGAAGAAACTGGTTGTATAAAAGTATATATTTGATAAATAATTAATGGAAATGTGAAAATAAAGCAGAATGACTCTTAGAGGGGAAAAAACTTCTGAAATCATCTACGGGAAGATAAATAGAGGAAAAAGACAAATAAGGATGCAAAAAAAATCTCAAAAGAACATAAAGCATTCTGTCACAGACAAAATGTCAGCAATGGGATAAATACAGAGATTCAGATAATATTATCATCCAGCATATCCATCTATTGGCTTTTGGGGAGTTGGAATCCTGCAGCTCCATACTCTCCATGCTAAGCCTGGGGCATGGCATCCAGATCTGGGGCTTTAATCACACCCCTGCTCAGCTCCACCTGTGCCTTGAAGTCCTGCTGACCTCTGGAGCTCAACTGCTGGACTTGCCCACCCTGTGCAGGATTGGGTGCCTGAAGCCAGGAAGCTGAGTCTCAGGCCATCCAGTGAATAAAGCCTCAACATCCACACTGTACGTCTCCCTCACCCTCTCCACTCTGCACTCTGCCCCTTGTCCCAGCCCCTTCCTCTGACTCAAAACCATCTCCTTCTTCTCCCATGACCCCTCCTGACATAGAGCCTTCACTCAGTAAAAGTATCTGCTTTTGCTTTTATTTATTTTTCAGATTATATTTTTTTAAAAATAAGGCTACATTGTGGAAAATACTGAAGAAAATGTAAGGAGAATATTTGGAATTGCCTCAAAGTCCACCAATAAGAAAAACAAAATTCAATTTCCAGGTTACTGCATTTTCTGTCATAGACCTGAAGCATATTACAGGATGGTAAGAATAGTTATCAACTAATGATTTAATGACCATCTACTATGTGTCAGGTATACCCACAGTGTGTTATTTTATAGCTGTGAAAACCATAGACTATACACAGTATTATTATCCCCTTTTAACAAATGAGGAAACTGAGGGTTAAGGAAACTGAGTCACAGAGGGTTAAGTGGACTGCTGTTGAGGACTGGACAGGATTAGAACTCAAGGTCTTATGTCATAGCTCACATTTCAATTTTTCTTGCAAATCTAGAAATTTTACCTGTGCCATGACAAATTCTTTGAAAGCCATACTTACAGTGACTACAAAAACTTTCATCTTATGGCTACACAACAATTTAATCAAACCATTGTTATCTGATATTGATTGTTCCCTATTTCCAGTTACTACAAATAAAATGGAAATAATACTCTATACTTAAATCTTGATGCACAGCCAGTTGATGCCATATCTGACTTCCAATTTTAGGCCTGGATTGATCTGTGCCATATTGTGCCATGTTTTCAGTTCGAACATGAACTGGAAAGCTATGATGCCCATTGTTACTACTACTACCTTACAGCATTTGGAAAATCTATCCCTTACAATAAAATAAAAAAAAAATCAATATGGTACAATTATCAGGAATAGAAGATTAAATTAGTTTTGCAGATCACATTGTGCATCTTAAAAGGCCAGTAAAACCACAGTATAAAAATAACTAGTGTCCGCTAATATATTGAGTTACAAAAGTGAAAAATAAAAATTAATAGTTCTACCATGTATTGACCAAAACAGTTACAAAATGTGACCAAAGAAAGGTCATATTTACAACAGACATGGAAATATAAAATGTTTAAAATAGATTTAGGGAGAGGGAAAGCAAGGCGGTTGAATAGAAGCCTCCATCAATCCTCCTCCTCATAGGAACATCAGATTGAACAACTATTCACAAAAAATATCATCTTCATAAGAACTAAAACTCAAGTGAGTGATCATAGTACCTGATTTTAACTGTGTATCACAGAAAAAGGCACTGAAGAGGGTAGAAATTACAGTCTTGAATTGCTGACAGCATCCCTCCTCCATCCCCCAGCAGTGGCTGTGTGGCGCAGAGACAGAATCTGTGTGCTTGGGAGAGAGAGAGTGCAGTGATTGTAGGACTTTATGTTGGACCTCAGTGTTCTCCTGGCTCAGTGGAAAGCAACATGGGCAGAACTCGGCCAGCAGTCATGGATAAAGCATTTAGACTAGCCTTAGTGAGAGGGAAATCATCGTCCTAGCAGTGAGAATCTGAGTTCCTGACAGCTAACCTGATCTGGGGTTCGAAACAAACTTGAAAGGCAACCTAGGCCACAAGGACGGCAATTCCTGGGCAAGTCTTGGTGCTATGCTGGGCTCAGAGCCAGTGAAGTTGGGGTACACGTGACCTAGTGAGACACCAGCCAGGGTGGCTAAGGAAGTGCTTGTACTTCTCCATCCCAGGCAGCATAGCTCACAGCTTCAGGAGAGGCTCCTTTCCTCCACTTGAGGAGAGGAGAGGGAAGAATAAAGAAGACTTTTTCTTAAAACTTGGATACTAGCTCAGTCATGGTAGGACAGGGCACCGGCTAGACTCCTGAGGCCCACTTTCCAAGCCCTAGCTCCTGGATGACAGGATTTCTAGATACTCTCTGGGGCAGAATGAAAACTGCTGCTTTGAAGGAAAAGATCCAGTTCTGGAAAGATTCATCATCTGCTGACAAGAGAACCCTTGGGCCCTAAATAATCAGCAGTGATACCCAGGTAGTACTCACTGTGAGCCTTGGGTAAGACTCAGAGACATGCTGGGTTAAATGTGATCCACACGTTCCCATGCTATGGTTGCTGTGAGAAGAGGCTTCTTCTGCCTGAGAAAAGGAGAGCAAAGAGTAAAGGGGACTTTGTCATGCAGCTTAGGTACCAACTCAGCCACAGTAGGGTAGAGGACTAAGCAGGGACATGGGGGTTCCTGATTCAAGGCCTTGGCTTGTAGGTGACATTTCTGAACCTACTCAAGGCCAGGATTGAGCCCACTGCCCTAAAGGAAGAGACTCAGGCCTGGCAGCATTCATCACAAGCTGACTGAAGAGTCCTTGGGCCTTGAGTGAACATCAGTGTAGCCAGGCAGTGTTTGCCATAGGCCTGGGCTGGTGGTGGCCATAGGGAGAGACTTCTCAACTTGTGGAAAGAGGAGGAAAGAGTAGGAAAGAAGTTGTATTGTGGCTTATGTGCCAGCTCAGCCTTAGTATAATACAGCAAGTTAGATCCCTAAGGTTTCTGACTCCAGACCCTGGCTCTCAGATGCCATTTCTGGACCTACCCAGGGCTAGGGGGGACTTGCTGTTCTGAAGGGGAGGACACAAGCCTGGCTGGCTTTCCCATATGCTGATTGTAGAGCCCTAGGGCCTTGAGAAAACATCAGCAGTAGCCAGGCAATGGTTACTATGGGCCTTGGGTGAGACCCAGTACCATGCTGGCTTCAGGTCTGATGCAGTGCAGTCCCAGAGATGGTGGTCACAGAGGTCAAGAAGTGGTGGCTTGTTTCACCCATGCCCCAGCTCCAGGCAGCTTGGCACAGAGAGACTCCGTTTGTTTGAAAGAAAGTAAGGGAAGAGAACAAGAGTCTCTGCCTGGTAACCCAGAAAATTCTTCCAGATCTTGTCTAAGACCACCAAGGTGGTACTTCTATGAGTCTGCAAGAGCCACAGCGTTGCTGAGCTTGGGGTGCCCTCTAATGCAGATATGACTGCAGTGATCAAACTGCAGTTTCGATTACAACACCCAACTCCATTCAAATGCCTGGAAAGCCTTTCTAAGCAGGATAGGTACAAACAAGTGCAGACTGTGAAGACTGTAATAAATACTTAACTATTCAATGCCTAGAGACCAGTGAATATCCACAAGCATCAAGATCATTCAGGAAAACATGATCTCAACAAATGAACTAAACAAGCCATCGGGGGCCAATCCTGGAGAGACAGAGATATGTGAGCTTTCAGACAGACACTTCGAAATAGCCATATTGGGGAAACACGTGAAATTCAAGATAACACAAAGAAGAAATTCAGAACACTAACAGATACATTTAACAAAGATATTAAAATAATTAAAAAGAATCAAACAGAAATTCTGGAGTTGAAAAATGTAATTGACATACTGAAGAATGCATTACAATCTCTTTAGAACAGAATTGATCAAGCAGAAAAAAGAATTAATGAGCTGGAAGATAGGCTATTAGAAAATATATAGTCAGAGAACAAAAAAGAAAAAAGAGTAAAGCACACCTACAAGATCTAGGAAATAGCCTCAAAAGGGCAAATATAAGAATTATTGGCCTTAAAGAGGAGGTAGGGAGATATAGGGATGGAAATTTTATTAAAAGGGATAACAACAAAAAATTCCCAAACCTAGAGAAAGATATCAATATTTAAGAATATGAAGATTATAGAAAACCAGGATTTAACCCAAAGAAGACTACCTCAAGACATTCAATAATCAAATTTCCAAGGGTAAATAATTTAAAAAGATCCTAAAAGCAGCAAAAGAAAAGAAAAAAATACTACAAAATGGAGCTTCAAACATGCAAACCAGGATAGAATGGCATAACATAAAGTGCTAAAGGGAAAAAGAAAGAAACTTTTATCCTAGAATTGTATATCCAGCAAAAATATACTTCAGACATGAAGGAGAAATAAAGACTTTCCCCAACAAACAAAAACTGAGGGATTTTTATCAACACCAGACCTGCCCTGTAAGAAATGCTAAAGAGAGTTTTTCAATCTAAAAGAAAGGGACATTAATGAACAATAACAAATCATCTGAAGGTGCAAAACTCATTGATAATAGAAAGTGCACAGAAAAACACAGAATATTATAACACTGCAATTGTGGTGGGTAAATTATTCACATTTTGAGTAGAAAGGATAAAAGATGAACCAATCAAAAACAATAACTACAATAACGTCTGAAGACACAGACAGTACAATAAGATATAAATAGAAACAAAAATGAGTTAAAAGCAGGGGATAAAGTTAAAGTGTAGAGTGTTTATTCATTTTTTTCTTTGCTTGTTTGCTAGCCTGTTTATGCAATCAGTGTTAAGTTGCCATCAGTTTAAAATAATCAGTTATAAGATATTATTTGGAAGTCTTACGGTAACCTCAAATCATAATACATACAACAGATACCCAAAAAATAAATAGCAAGAAATTAAAACATACCACTAGAGAAAATCACCTTTACTAAAAGGAGGACAGGAAAGAAGAAAGAGAAGACCACAAGACAACCAGAAAACAAATAACAAAATGACAGGAGTAAGTCCTTACTTATCAATCATAACATTGAATGTAAATGTATTAAACTCTCCAATTAAAAGACAAACATTGGCTGAATGGATGAAAAAACGAGACCAAATTATCTGTTGCCTACAAGAAACACACTTCACCTATAAAGACACACATAGACTGAAAATAAAGGGATGGAAAAAGGTATTCTATGCAAATGGAAATTAAACAAGAGCAGGAGTAGCTATACTTATATCAGATAAAATAGTTTCTAAGACAAAAACTATAAAAAGATATAAAGAATATCATTAGATAATGATAAAGGGGTCAATTCAGCAAGATGATATAACAATTGTAAATATATATGCACGCAACACTAGATCACCCAGATATATAAAGCAAGTATTAGTGCTAAAGTTAAAGACTCCAATACAATGAAAGCTGGAGACTTCAACACCCCATATTCAGGATTGGACAGGTCGTGCCAACAGAAAGTCAAGAAAGGAACATTGTACTTAATCTGCACTATAGATTGAATGAATCTAATCAATATTTACAGAACATTTCAGGTGACAACTGCAGAATACACATTCTTCTCAGCACATGGATCATTCTCGAGGATAGGCTATATGTTAGGCCACAAAACATGTCCTAAGAAATTCAAAGAAAATAAAATTGTATCAAGTATCTCATCTGGCCACAAAGGAATAAAACTAGAAATCAATAACAAGAGGAATTTTGGAAACTATACAAACACAAGGAAATTAAACAATATACTGCTGATTAATGATCAGTGGTGTCAATGAAGAAGTTTTAAAAAAATTAAAGTTTCTGGAAACAAATGATAATGGAAACGCAACATACCAAAACCTATCAGATACAGTGAAAGGAATACTAAGAGCATTTATAGCTATAAAAGCCTACATCACAAAAGTAGAAAAATTTCAAATAAACAACCTAACAATGCATCTGAAAGAACTAGAAAAGAGCAAGCCAAACACAAAATTAGTAGAAGAAATAGTAAAGATCAGAGCAGAATTAAATAAAATTGAAACAAAGAAAACTATACAAAAGATCAACAAAATAAAAAGTTGGTTTCTTGGAAAGATAAACAAACCTGACAAAACTTTAGCCAGAGTAACCAAGCAAAAAAGAGAGAAGACTCAAGTGAGTAAAATCGGAGATGAAAAATGAGACATTACAACTGACACTGCAGAAATTCAAAGGACCATTAGAGGCTACTATGAGCAACTATATGCCAATACATTGAAAAACCTAGAAGAAATGAACAAATTCCTAGACACATACAACCTAGCAAAATTGAACCATGAAGAAATCCAAAATCTGTATAGACCAATAACAAATAATGAGATTGAAGTCATAATAATAATAATAAAAAGTCTCCCATCAAAGTAAAGTCCAAGACCCAATGGTTTCACTGCTGAATTTTACCAAACATTTAAGGAATAAATAATACCAATTCTACTCAAAGTATTCTAAAAAATAGAGGAGGAGGAAATACTTCCAAACTCATCCTATGAGGCCATTATTACAAACCAAAGACACACTGAAAAAAGGAAACTACAAGCCAATATTCCTGATAAACATTGATGAAAAAATCCTCAACAAAATATTCAACAACACACTTTAAAAAAATCATTCATCATGATCAAGTGGTGTTTATGCCAGGAATGCTAGGATGGTTCAACATACTCAAATCAGTGTGATACATCATATCAACAGAATGAAGGATAAAAACCATATGGTCATTTAAATTGATGCTGAAAAAGCATTTGATAAAATTCAACATTGCTTCATGATTAAAAAAAAAATCCTGAAGAAACTGGGTAGAGTAGAAACACATCTCAACAGAATAAAAGCCATATATGACAAACCCACAGCCAGTATTATACCAAGTGAGGAAGACTGAAAGCCTTTCCTCTAAGATCTGGAACATGACAAGGATGCCCACTTTTACCACTGTTATTATTATTTTTTTTGAGATGGAGTCTCGCTCTGTCACCCAGGCTGGAGAGCAGTGGCACTCTCTCGGCTCACCGCAAGCTCCACCTCCCAGGTTCATGCCATTCTCCTGCCTCAGCCTCCCGAGTAGCTGGGACTACAGGCACCCACCACCACGCCTGGCTAATTTTTTTGTATTTTTAGTAGAGATGGGGTTTTACCATGTTAGCCAAGATGGTCTTGATCTCCTGACCTCATGATCCGCCCGTCTTGGCCTCCCAAAGTGCTGGGATTACAGGCGTGAGCCACAATGCCTGGCCTTACCACTGTTATTAAACATAGTACAGGAAGTCCTACTTACAGCAATCAGAGAATAGAAAGAAATAAAGGGCATCCAAACTGGAAAATAAGTCAAATTATCCTTGTTTGCAGATGATAGAATCTTATATTTGCAAAAAACAGAAGACTCCACCAAACAATTTTTAGAACTGAAGCAAATTCAGTAAAGTTGCAAGGTACAAAATCAACATACAAAATCAGTAGCAATTCTATATGCCAGCAAAAAACAAACTGAAAAAGAAATAAAAAAAAAAATCCTATTCACAATAGCTACAAATAAAATAAAATACCTAAGAATTAACCAAAGAAGTGAAAGATCTCTACAATGAAAACTATAGAACATTGATAAAAGAAATTGAAGAGGACACAAAAAATATGAATAACAGTCTATGTTCCTGGATTGGAAGAATCAATATTGTGAAAATGTCCATACTACCTAAAACAATCTACAGATTCAATGCAATCCCTATTAAAATACCAATGACATTCTTCACAGAAATAGAAAAAAATCATAATATATTTATGTGGAACCTCAAAAGACCCTGAATAGCCAAAGGTATCCTGACTAAAAAGAACACAACTGGAGGAATCACATTACCTGACTTCAAGTTATGCTACAAAACTATAGTAATTAAAACAGCATGGTACTGGCATAAAAACAGACTCATAGACCAATGGAACAGAATAAAAAACTTGGAAACAAATCCTTACATCCACAGTAAATTTATTTTGACAAAGGTGCCAAGAACATATATTAGGGAAAGGACACTCTTCAATAAATGGTGCTGAGAAAACAGGAATTCCATATGCAGAAGAATGAAACTAGACTCCTACCTCTCACCATATATGAAAATCAAATAAAATGGATTAAAGACTTAAATCTAAGACCTCAAACTATGAAACTACTAAGAGAAAACTTTGGGGAAAACCTCCAGGCCATTGGACTGGGCATAGATTTATTGAGTAATACCCCACAAGCACAGGGAACCAAAGCAAAAATGGACAGATGGAGTCACATGAAGTTAAAAAGCTTTTGCACAGTAAAGATCAACAAAGTAAAGAGCCAACCCATAAAATGTGAGAAAATGTTTGCAAACTACCTCTCTGACAAGGGATGAATAACTAGAATATATAAGGAGCTTAAACAACTCCATAGGAAAAAAAATCTAATAATCTGACTAAAAAATAAGCAAAAGATCTGAACAGATGTTTCTCAAAAGACAACAAACAAATGGCAAACAGGTATATGAGAAGGTGCTCAAAATCATTGATCATCAGAGAAATGCAAATCAAAACTATAGTGAGATATCATCTGACCCCAGTCAAAATGTTTCTTTTATCCAAAATATAGGCAATAACAAATGCTGGTGAGGATGTGGGGGAAAAGGAACCCTCGTATACTGTTTGTGGGAATGTAAATTAGTGCAACCACTATGGAGAATAATTTGGAGGTTCCTTTACAAACTAAAAATAGAACTACTGTATGATCCAGCAATCCCTAGGGATGCTAGGTATACCCAATAGAAAAGAAATAAGTATATTAAAGAGATATCTGCATTCCCATGGTTGTGGCAGCACTATTCACAATAGCCAAGATGTGGAAGCAACCTACAAGTCTATCCACAGACAAATGATAAAGAAAATGTGGTACATAGACACGATGGAGTACTATTCAGTCATAAAAAAAAATGAGATCCTGTCATTTGCAACGACATGGATAGAACTGGAAGTCATTATGTTAAGTAGAATTAGCCTGGCACAGAAAGATTTTGCATGTTCTCACTTATTTGTGAGTTAAAAATTAAAATAATTGAACTCATGAAGATAGTAGAACCATGGTTATCAGAGGATGGGAAGGGTAGTCGGGTGGGAGTGGGGTGGGAGTGGGGTGGGGTGGGGAGAGGATGGTTAATGGGTACAAAAATGACATTGGATAGAATGAATACAATCTAGTATTTGATAGCACAACAGAGTGGCTATCGTCAACAATAATTTATTGTGCATTTTAAAGTAACTAAAAGAGTATAATTGAATTATTTGTAACACAATGAATAAATGCTCGAGGTGATGGATATTTCATTTGTCCTAATGTGATTATTAAACATTGTGTGACTGTATCAAAATATCTCATGTACCCCATAAACATATACATCTACTATGTAACCATAAGAATTTAAAATAAAATTTTTAAAAAGTTAACAATGAAGTAAATGTAGATACTACAGTTAATACACAAATAAAAAGTGAAAAATAGATTTAATAAGAAATTTACAAGGTCAATATCAGTAAATAAATGACATTACATCCTCTTTCTCTAGGAAGAAATTTGCAATACTATAAAGATGACAATTTCACAATGATTAATTTGTAGATTTAATTAAAAGTAAATAGTATTTTTTTGCAAGTAGATAAAAGTGTTTTAAACTTTATGTTGTAGGATGAATAGTTAAAAATGGCTAAGAAAAGTTAAAAACTGGAATTTAGAGCCAAATATTCAGTTTTTAAAATTATAACATTAAAGATGCTAAAGAAGTCAAGTGTTATATTAGCCATTGATTTTGCTTAAGGGTGGTGATTTAATTTGGAGAGGCTAGTGGGGATTTATCCAATACATTGTAACTGGGCTATTGTTTACTATTTGGAATATTAAGACATGTTCTGACCTCTCAGTTTGCATAAACAAATAAAGCAAAGCAAAATAAAACCAATAGAAGATAAAACATCAACATGTAACTTGATTGCGGTTAATGATAAAAATGAAACCAAAAAGAATTATGTCTGCTTATATTCCATAGTTCAAGAAATTATTTCCCTGGTTTAAAGAAAAAAATTATATTATTAACCTCATATTAATTACATTAAAGATAAAATACTTTATTTTAAAATATACTGTAAAAATGGAAAGGCATACCACATGCTTAGCAAAATAATTGCCTTACAAGACAGAATATGTTAATCCCATTACATAAAGGTAATTTATTAATCCACACAAAAATCATAAGGATGAATAAGAAAAAGCAGTGACAAGAGAAGAAACACAAATAGCTAAAAATATATAACAATGTTGAAGTCAGTAATGATAAAACACAGCAAGTTGAAACAGCCATTGAATAAATATGTTAAACTGCCACTTTGAAAAATATGTACATTAGAAAATATTTTCAAGAGTTGGGGAATGTACGGCAAAGAGAGTACTTGGACGCATGACGGGTAAATGTTTACGCTGGCAGGTTGTTCCTGGAAGACAATTTGGCAATAGAGCTATCAAAAGTCTTTTGCCATCTTTTGATGCAGCAATCAATCACAGGTTTGTTTGGTTTGGTGAACGCTGATTACATTTGCTCTGTTCTAAATTATTTACTGGGATGGTCTCACTTATTCCGAAAACCCTGTGAAGTAGGGACTCATAATTACCATCTAACAAATGAACATAAAATTAGAAGAATTGAGGCAAGTCAGAACCGACATCCAAACTCAGAACTTCTCAATGCTATCTATCACGCAGGCAGGATAAGAGCCTGTGCTCTTCTCGGCCCCATTGTCAACGGCAGGGCTGATGCATGGAAATGCCCATTGCTTCATGATTTATGGAGGAAAAGGGGAACAGCTGGGAGTAGCTGGGGAACTGAAGCACATACAATGTGGGCAGAAGGCTTAAGGTTATGGACCTGTTAAATTCTATATTTTCAAGTAAAACAAGTAAAAAATAACTTTAGTTTTGTGAAAAGTTGTAAAAAGAAAGAAAGAAAGAAGTAAAACAAGAAGGGAATCCACCAAAATATTAATCATGTTGAGTTCTAGGTGGGGAATTTGGGTAACTTTTATTTATTTATTTTTGGTCCAAATTTTCTCAAATAAACGTGTAATACTTTTGAAATTGTATATAACATACATAAGCATGTATGTGAACACATATACACACACACACACACACACACACACACACACGCCCCTCACCAAAATCAAGTATCATTCCTAGGAGAGCCTCAATGCTAATGTTGTCTGTGTACCCTGCAGGGATTAGAGGCCCACATTTACCAATACTCTTTCTCACCAAACCTCTGTCCAGGGCTATTTCTTCTTTACAGTCCTCCGTGATTACAAACTCCTTTTTTAACCTGTCCTTGGGCCAGCTATTGAGACAATTGCCCATCCCTGTGCTTTTGGCAGCAGAAATGCAAAAGAGATGGGAAATAGAGACTAATATGAGGGCTGCATGTTGGTAAGTAACAGGAAAATGGTGGGAACTATGGTGAAGGGGAGTGGATAGCTCTTCTAAAGGCACAGCTGTGAGTGACCCCTAGCCAATTGATGCTTCATGGAAATTTAAATGCAATTTTGCCAAAAGTACAAATTTTTAATGAGAATTCAGAAATCTGACCTTTTATGCAAAATATGTTTATGTACTCAACATCAAATTTCTCTTATTAAAAAAAAACTTACAGCCAATATTAGGAAAATCAAACAAACTTATCCATCAATGAGAAATTGCTACATTTCTTAAAAATGAAATCTAATTAGCACTGTATGCCACATTTTATGCATGTGTGTTCCTTCCTTCCTACTTTATCTTTTTTTAATCTTAACATTTTGTATAATACAGATACTCTGCTTCTAGTGTTAGCAATGCTCTCAATACAGAAATTTCAAAGCATACATTAACAAATAACAAATAAAAGAAAATGAAAAATATTTAATACAATCAACACTGCGCTTTTGTGCTCACTTTTTTTTTGCTTTTGCTTGTTTATTCCCTTACTTTTCCAGATTCACACACAAACACACACACACACACACACACACAGAGGTATTTTCATTACATCAACATAATAATTCAGCATACTTTTCCTATGATTCACAAAGAAGAAGAAAGCATAAAATATTCCACCTGAGATCTATTGGAAACAAACTCGATGTGTACACAGAATATAATATTATTCAAATAACATCATTCTTCCTGTGGACTGTAGACTCTATTAACAGCTGTTCTATAAACAATAAAACCTATTCACCCGTGAAATTCATTTATGTGAATGTGTTCATTATGGACACATTAAAATAAGGGAAACGTATGCTGGACTTTGAGTGATATAACACTGAATATTGTAAGGAAATATTCCTTGTCAAAAGAACAAATATTAGTAGAAAATAAAGCCCAATTTGAATGCAGAGCTGAGGTAGGTGCTAAGTATATGAGCTGAACTTGATTTTCTCTGGGTCTATTCATTTTCAAGTGATGGAAGCAAATATGTGACTTCAGATTTGTTTCCTCCACACTATTTCTGTTCTGTCAACTCCTGTTAATCTGTTTCAGGGATAACTTACAGTGTTTGGGGGCTCCAGAGACAGACTCAACCTTTCTCCATTACCTTGTGCTCGATAACACTTGGAAATGTTGGTTTCCTCCATGTTAAATACTGCAAACAGGTTCCCTTTTCATTGCGATATATGGAAAGAAAAATAAGACTGTTGGCAACTCCTTTATTTCACACATTCCATTTCATTTCTAGCTGGAATCAAAGTTTGCCATGTTCCTCAGAAGACCTAGCTTGCAGAGCCCTCAGCTTTTGAAATAAAACTCCCATAACATTTCAGCAGCATATGAAATGCACAGTTTTAAGTCCTCAGATACTCCTCCAACCTCCACTAGGGATGGGATGCTCAAAAGTTAGTCAATCTTCCTTCTTTAAAAAAAGAGTGGAATGGGGATAGGGTGCACTGTTGTCCCCCAGGGTCTCCTTGCAAAGTATTTGCAATGCTGTTTGTGCTATACGCATGCTTCAAAACACAGTTGAAGACTCAGACCTCTGCAACCAAACAAAGAAGCAACACATCCACGGTCCACATTCTCTTGAAGAATTAAGAAGAAAATGTATGGGTGAAAAGCATGCAATCAAAAACAGGAAAGAACTTCCAACACATAGAAAATTTGTGTGTCCTTTGCAATGTAAAATTAACTCATTTGTGGGACCTTGGTTTAACCTAATATATTGCAGCAGTCTCAGGGAAGAAGAGAAAGTTTTTTTAAAACCTGAACTGTGTAGTTTGTAAAATACTGTAAGACAGTTTATAAAATGTGAATAAGCAGATTAAAAATATTAATAAAACAGACCCCTGAGTACTCACCACCCAGGAGTGAAATGGAGCATCGCTGAAATCCTAGATGACCCACTATTACTTTCCTCTTCTTCTACTCTCAGATCATAGCTATCCTAAATTTTATGTTGATCATTCCTGGTTTTCTCCTAATTTTATTACCCATGTGAGTGTCTCTGAACAGTACAAATATACATTTTTATTACTTGACTTTCTCTGGATCTATTCATTTTCAAGGGATGGAAGCAAATACGACTTCAGATTTGTTTTCTCCAAACTATTTTTGTTCTGTCAAGCTCTATTAATCTGTTTCAGGGATAACTTACAGCATTTGGGGTCCCCAGAGATAGACTCAACCTTTCTCCATGTAAAAAGTACAGGGATTGTACTTTTTACATGCTACTTTACTGTAGCTTTATAGCAAGTCTTAAAGTTGAAGAGTGTCAGTCCTCCAACTTAGCTATGCTTCTTCACTGTCATGTTGGCTATTCTAGGCCTTTTATCTATTTAGATAAATTGGAGACTCAAGTTTGTGGATACTCACAAAATAGCATGCTAGACTTTGGGTGGGATTTTGGCTAGGCTATAGATCAAGTTCAGAAGAATTAACATCCTACCAATATTGAGTCTTCAAATATACGAACAAGAAATATCTATTTCTGCATTTAGGTCCTTGATTTCTTTCCTAAGAGTTTTCTGCATATAAATCCCACAGATTTTTCTTAGATTTATATACTAAGTATGTCATTTCTTGGGGCTACTGTAAATGGCATTGGATTTTAATTCCTCATTGCTAGTACACAGAAAAACAGTTAACTTTTATATACTAACGTTATACCCTGCAACTTTGACATAATTACTTGTTTTATGAGGTTGCTGGTTTGTCAATTCTTTGGAATTTTCTACATAGGCAATCATGTCATATGCAAACAAGGGCAGCTCTTTCCTTCCTTCTCAATCAGTATGTGTTTATTTTCTTTGTCTTATTGCACTAGCTAGGACTTCTAATGTGAGGTCGAATTAAAAGTAGTGAAAGGGAACATTCTTATCTTTTTCTGAACTTTAGGGGTAAGCATGCAGTTTCTCACCATTAAGTATAATGCTAGCTGTAGGTTTTATGTAGATTTTTAAAACAATATGTTGAGGAGGTTCCCCTGTATTTCTATTTTGCTGTGAGTTTTTAATCATAAATAGGTGTTGGATTTGTCAAGTGATTTTTCTACATCTGTTGATGTGATTATATAGCTTTCCTCCCTTAGCCTACTGGTGTGTGGATAATATTAATTATATTTCCATCATTTCCATCAATTCCATCAGTTTTGCATACTTGGAATAAATCCCACTTGATTGTGGTATATAATTATTTGTATCACACTGTTGGATTTGATTTCCTAATACTTTGTTAAAGATTTTTGCATGTATATTAATGAGGTATATTAGTTTTGTAGTTTTTCTTTGTTATAATGTCTTTATCTGGTTTTGGTAATAGGGTAATTCTGGTCCCATAGGATGAGTTTAAAAAGTAATCCCTCTACGTATGTTTTCCAAAAGAGATTGTAGAAAATGGGTATCATTTCTTCTTGAAGCGTTAGGTAAAATTCACCATTGAAACCACCTAGGCCTGGTGCTTTCTTTTTTAGAAGGTTAGTAATTACAAATTCAATTTCTTTATTGATAGAAATCTATTATTTATTTCTCCCTGCATGAGCTTTGATTGCTCAGTTTTTCAAGAAGTTAGACCATTTCTTCTAGGATATAAAATGTATAGGCAGAGCGTGATATTTTTAAATTATCCTCTTAATGTCCATGGCATTAGTAATAATGGTTCCTTTTTTTTCTTTTTCTTTTTTTTTTTTTTTTGAGATGAATTCTCACTCTGTCACCCAGGCTGGAGTGCAGTGGTGTGATCTCAGCTCATGGCAATGTCTGCCTCCTGGTTCAAGTGATTCTCCTGCCTCAGCCTCCCGAGGAGGTGGAATTACAGGCACGTGCCACCACAGTAATTTTTGTATTTTTAGTAGAGACGGGGTTTTGCCATGTTGGCCAGGCTGGTCTCAAATTCCTGACCTCAGGTGATCCACCTGCCTTGGTCTCCCAAAGTGCTGGGATTATAGGCGTGAGCCACCATGCCCGCCCCCTTTTTTCATTCCTAATACTAGCAATGTGTGTCTTTCTCTCTTACAGGTTTATCTACTTTGTTCATTGTCTTAGTCTGTTCATGTTACAGTGGGTAGCTAGTCTGGTCTGAGCAGGGCAGGAGAGGGCTCCCCACCACACACACCAGGAGAGTCTGGAGACCATCAGGTGATGGTCAGGTGGTTAACTGTCTCCCTAAAGTAATAATTGGTCACAGCTGGTGCCAGGGAAATGTAGTCTCTTTTTTTTTTTTCCCAGATAGAGTCTTGCTCTGTCGCCCAGGCTGCAGTATAATGGTGCAATCTCGGCTCACTGCAGCCTGCATCTCCCAGGTTCAAGCTATTCTCCTGCCTCAGCCTCCTGAGTAGCTGGGATTACAGGCACCTACCACCACGCCCAACTAATTTTTGTATTTTTCATAGAGACGGGGTTTCCTCATGTTGGCCAGGCTGGTCTTGAACTCCTGACCGCAGGTGATCCTCCCGCCTTGGCATCCCAAAGTGCTGGGATTACAGTGTGAGCCACCGTGCCCAGCCAGTCTCCTAATTGATAGAAAACACCACCTGAAACTGGTGATCAGCAGCTTCCTGATAAGATCTCAGAGTTGGGAGAAATAATGCAAGTCAAGACCCTGGAAGTGTGCCCATGTCTAAAACTCCAAATCAGAAAGTCAAACTGCACACTTGTTTTTGTTTGTTTTGTTTGTTTGTTTTTCTTTTTGAGACAGAGTTTTGCTCTCATTGCCCAGGCTGGAGAGCAATGGCATAATCTTGGCTCACCACAACCTCCGCCTCCCGGGTTCATGCCATTCTCCTACCTCAGCCCCCTGAGTAGCTGGGATTACAGGTGCCCGCCACCACGCCTGGCTAATTTTTGTATTTTTAGTAGAGACGGGGTTTCACCACGTTGGCCAGGCTGGTCTCCAACTTCCGACCTCAGGTAATCCGCCTGCCTCGCCCTGCCAAAGTGCTGGGATTACAGGCATGAGCCACTGCGCCTGGCCTGCACTTGTTTTTTAAGTCGCCAGCTTGGCCTTCTTCCAAGTGAACTTTTTTTCCTTTCCTTCCTCTTCTAAAAGTTTTTGGTAAACTTTCACTCCTGCTCTAAAACTTACCTTGGTCTCTCCTTCTGCCTTCTGCCCCTCAGTCAAATTCTTTCTTCTCAGGAGGCAAGACCTGAGGTTGCTGCAGACCCATACAGATAGCTTCCACTGCTAACAGTGGCTGCAATAACAAAATACCAGAGGCTGGTGGCTTACAAACAACAGAAATTTCCCACAGTTCTGGAGGCAGGAAGTCCCAGATCCAATTGTCTGCAGATTTGGTGTCTGCTGAGGGCCTTTTTCCTGGTTCATAGATGGCACTTCTCACTGTGTCCTCACATGGTGGAAGGCAAGAGGGAGCTCCCTGGAGTCATTTTTACAAGTGCATTTGGATGGCTCTGTCCTCATGACCTAATCACCTCCTAAAGGCCACACCTCCCAATACCATTACCTTAGAGATTAGGATGGGGAGGGACACAAACATTCAGTCTACAGCATTTATATTTTTGAACAACCATCTTTTAGTTTCATTGATGTTTTTCTATTGATTTTCTGTTTTTAATTTCATTGATTTTGCCCTGATTTTTATGGTTTCATTTCTTCTGCTTGCTTTGGGTTGAAGTTGTCCGTTTTTCTCTCATTTCCTAGAGTGGCAGTATAGATTAATGATGTCAGATCCTTTTTCTTTTCTGATCTATGTGTTCAGGGTAGAAGTGCCTCCGTAAGCACTGCTTTCGCTGCGTCCCACAAATTTTGATGAGTTTGGTTTTTATTTTCATTTAGTTCAAAATATTTTTAAATTTCACGGGAGTCTTCTTCTTTGATCCATGTGTTATTTAGAAGTGTGTGGTTTCATCTGTCAACACTCTGGTGTTTTCTAGCTATCTTTCTATAGTAGATGTCTAGTTTAATTCCATTATGGTCTGAGAATACACTTGGCATGATTTCCATTGTTTTAGAGTTGCGAGGTGTGTTTTATGGCCCAGGATGTGGATTTCCAGCAGATCTGGTTTGCTCTCAGAGAAACTCCTCCTCCTCCTCTGGTCCCTTCTGTGGAGGGAGCCAACTCCCTCAGGCACTTCCCAGCCTCCCTTTCAGCTGGCTTCTGGCTGCGTGTGACCCAAGAGAGGCACAGACAGGAGACTGGAAGGTCCAGGAAGAAGAAACTGGTTTATTTATTCTCCTCTCTCCACACTGGGGGGCATCGTCCACAGCAGCTGTTTCTCCCCCATGGCTTCAGCTCCTGCTGGACAGGGCCCACTGCTTCCAGCTTCTGCCAGGGCTCCCATCCCTGGTACGACTGCCTCCTTGTCTCCCCCTCCTGAGTGGTGGAAGGCTCCCCCACTGCCAGTCTCTGGGGTGACTTCCCACCTCCTAATTCCTCACCCCTCCATCACCTTTAACAAGCTCCCTATGTTAAATTCTCTCTGAAACCCCTAGTACTTTCTGTTTTCCTGACAGGCTCTAAACCTCACATGAGAATTTTTCTGTCTCACCTCTGCCTCTCCCCTTCTCTGCACATTTGTTTCATTCTTCTCTTTCCACCAAATAGACTTTTCCATTTTTCAGTTCACATGGCACAAAATGGCCATTAACAATATTCCCCAAGTTTGTAATTCCTGTGATCAAACTAACAGTGGGACTGTGGCTGGAAACTCTTAGCCCAACATTGAATGTCTGGAAATTGGCCTACGTTGCATTCAGTGACCACACACTCCTCCCTGGGCTCTGGGCTCCCATAACAAACCGCCACAAACTGGGTGGCTTAAAACAACATGAATTTATTCGTTCACAGTTCTCAAGGCTGGACGTCTGAAATCTAGGTGTTGGCAGGGCCACACTCCTACCAGAGGCTCTAAGGGAGAACCTATTTCTTGCCTCTTCCAGTTTCCAGAGACTCCAGGCAGTACCTGGCTGGGGCCCCGGCACCCCAGTCTCTGCCTCCACCTTCATGTGGCCTTCTCTTCTTCCTGTCTCAAGTCTCCCTCTGTTTCTATTTTATAAGAACATTTGTCATCGAATTTAGGGTCCACCTGGATAATCCGGAATGATCTCATCTCAAAATCCCTAGTTAATCTGCAAAGATGCTTTCCACATAAGATCATATTCACAAGTTCCAGGAATTAGATAGGCAAATATATTTTTGGAGGCCTGACCCACTACCATGACAAATCTGGGTATGGGCAGAGTAATAATCTTCCCACTTTGGATGCTACAATTCTATCAGTACAGAAGGTCAGGAGGAAGAAGACAATGACAATTTGCAGAAATTTGGGAAGGCCAGGCAAAGAAAATAATGGTTGTAAATGACATACTTCACGTTCCCACAGAAAGTTATTGACTAAATCAGGACTAGAGCTGAGACTACTCTGACACACAAACCTATAGACTTCATTTCACATTACATTGTCTCAATCAAATCAAATCTCTCCCTACGGTCTGAGATTAGGGACTCAGCCTCTGTTACCTCAAAATTATTACCCATTCAGTCTAATTTTTGTAAGGAAAGATACATTGAATCACTTAAGGCAACAAATAAAACTGCACACAATATACCCACCCAATACAAATTGTCTATTTTAGAATGCATATACATCGTTACATGTATCCACATTTTACTACAAATTCATAACACACACACACACACACACACACACACACACAGACACACACATTTTTAAAGCAGTCCAGCTTATTAGGTAGAAGTTCAAGCTGATTCATTAATCAAAAAGTAGTAAGATGACATTTGTTTGTTTTCCATATTTTGTTATTTGGACATTTCACTAATTCACAGAGCCACGATACATGTAGTTCTACTGTGTTTGATTTTCTCTTCCGTGAAACTGACAGAAACCCAAAGAGATTCCTTCTCCTTTGGAGTGGGGTTGTGTGGGACACCAAAGGGACACAGCATCATCAGAGTCTTTGCGACATGAAAAACACAGGCTGAAGTTCAAGATGAGTGGTTTGCCGTATCTGGTCTACAGAAAACTTCTGAGAAATGTATTTGTGGGGTTCACCTCCCCTTTCCTTGAGTTGTGAGACTGCTGTGTTTGGTTAATTCCTCTTGAGATATTTGCTCAGTGTGAGTCCAAGTAAAACTCAGACCAACGGCACCAGAAATCTGGAGTCAACATCTCTTGTCTTTTTTTTTTTTTTTTTTTTTTTAGAGAAAGCGCCAAGTAATCCATTCTTTCAATGTACAGCGAAAGTGACATTTTCAAATGAGAACACATTGTCAGCTGTTTTTGTCTTGCTCATTCATTTTAGTTTTGTTAGATTCTTTGTTTCTTTGATGCTCACAATATTGCACCATTTGGCTTTAAAATCTACATTAGAAGAGTATTAATTAAAAGCAGACACAGTGCAATGGAGACAGTGTTAAAATTATGCTTGAAGGTACAATGTAATTAATTTTGTACAAGAGAAACATAAAAGAGGGAGAATGAAACTGGAGGAAATAGCACCACAACCCACAAAATGATAATGAGAAATACAATTGTAGATTAGACAAACTACGAAAAGACATATGAAGTAATTTGACATCAAGGGGGAGAATAAAAACAAAGGGTTACCCACTAAGTGCTCATAAAAATTAAATGGAGAACACACATTTTATGTCTATGATGTGTGTTTTCCTGTGGACAGGATGACTTGCATTAAGTATCTGCCAAGTGGATGAAGAAGATGATTATGATGCAAATTTGCCAAAAGCTTGGACCATGGAGGTAGAAAATTGATTTGACTTAAAAACAATCCCGTTTAATGAAAGAGCAAGAGATAGATAATGATCTTCTTATAAAGTTCTCCCTCCCATGATGGGCCCAGAGCTAGCACATGCATTTAGACTTATTATTTCCAGAAAAGTCAACATTGCGAAAATGATTATTAGGGCAAACTCGATTTACAACGCCTAGTTATAGTTCATATTTGAATTCATTGCATCCATATTTCAGTAGTGCCTTAGAGTGTTATGATACAAAGTTATAGAAACCTCATGGGACTGAGTCTAGTGAAAAAGAAAGTGAATTTATACAAAATATTCTTCATGTGGGAATCCATCCAGTGACCCTATGCCACCGCAATAATGACAATGGTCATCTGATAATGAAGATAACTAACCCTGACCAAGTACTTATTGTGTGCCAAGCTCTGTTCTAAGGGTCGTAAATGATTAACACAATTCCTCACAGCAATCCTAGGGAGTTCCTCCAGCACAGTCCCTGTTTAACATACGAGGGACTTGAGCCTTGCAGAGGTTAAGCGACTTAGCCAAGGTTATACATTTTGCAAACAGCAGGGCAGGGAGTTGAACCTACATATTTTGATTCTAGCATCTGGACTTCTTTTTATTTATTTTTATTTTTTATTATACTTTAAGTTCTAGGATACATGTGCACAATGTGCAGGTTTGCTACATAATTATACATGTGCCATGTTGGTGTGCTGCACCCATTAACTCGTCATTTACATTAGGTATTTCTCCTAATGCTATCCCTCCCCTGACCCCACGACAGGCCCCAGTGTCTGATGTTCCCCACCTTGTGTCCAAGTGTGCTCATTGTTCAATTCCTACCTGTGAGTGAGAGCATGCGGTGTTTGGTTTTCTGTCCTTGCGATAGTTTGCTTAGAATGATGGTTTCCAGCTTCATCCATGTCCCTACAAAGGACATGAACTCATCCTTTTTTATGGCTGCATAGTATTCCATGGTGTATATGTGCCACATTTTCTTAATCCAGTCTATCATTGATGGACAATTGGGTTGGTTCCAAGTCTTTGCTATTGTGAATAGTGCCATGATAAAAATGCCATCCCCATCAAGCTACCAATGACTTCAATGACTTTCTTCACAGAATTGGAAAAAACTATTTTAAAGTTCATGTAGAACCAAAAAAGAGCCCACATTGCCAAGACAATCCTAAGCAAAAAGAACAAAGCTGGAGGCATCTCACTACCTGACTTCAAACTGTACTACAAGGCTACAGTAACCAAAACAGCATGGTACTGGTACCAAAACAGAGATATAGAACAATGGAACAGAACAGAGCCCTCAGAAATAATACCACACATCTAGCATCTGGGCTTCTTAACCACTTGGCCATTCTCCATCCTGCCTCTTTAAAACACAGGCAACATATACAAGGATATATGGGCAAGAAGTTGTTTGTTTTTACGTTATTGTGGTGGCAAAACAAAAATGCTGGACTCAAGTGCTATTCTTTTATAAAGTTATGAGTGAAAAATTGTGGTTTCCTTTTATTACGAAAGACCATGCTTTATCTGCCTCTATCTGTTACCTGTTGATTTAGGGATGTTCACAAAGAAATGTTAAGGAGAAAATGGAGGTGAAGGACAAGAGGAGTTGTAGGTGAATGGAATACATTTTGTAGAAACAAATAAATCAAAGAACAAAAGACACATGAGCACAAGAATGTGCGGAAGGAAACACCTCGGGCTGTGAACAAAGACGTGGCTCCCAGGGTCAGGAGTGATCAGTATGGGGCTGGGGACATTATTCAAGTTTTCCTTATATTCCTATACTGTCAACAACCATGTTGCTTTTGTAACTTTTGAAGAGGAATTTAATAATCTTTAAGAAGATTTTTAAAGATGCAGGCACTCATCAGGCATACCAGCATGGGAAGTATAGTCTGGGTCTATGGGAACAGATCTTGTGGGAACAGTTCTTGGGTGGCTGATGTCTGTTTCTCTGGGCTCCTGGGTTTCATGAAGTTAAGCAGGTGAGCCCTGGGGTCTCCCAGAGGAAGTTCAGCTCCTGCCTCTGCCTCCCATTACCTGCCACCTGCCTCCCAGGGTTTCTTTCCTCCTTTGTGAAATGAGACAGTGAGAAGGTGGAGGTGTATGTTGTAATCAAAGATGCAGGAAAGGGATGCTGGCTGCACAGAACAAGTGTTGCTCACCATCTAGAGGAAAGAGGTAAACAAGAGACCTGAGGATCACATCTTACCCCACATCAGTGCTTAGGTGGCAGATACAAAGAAATAACTAGAAGAAAATAGTGATCACTAGCCTGGGCAACATGGCAAAACCCCGTCTCTACAAAGAATACCACATGGTGTTGTGAGGATGTAAAGAGATGTCACACATGAAGCCCCAGAATACTGCATTACACAGATGAAGCACACAGTCCACATGGCTCCCGCGATAATATGATGGCATGTCAACATTAGCATGGCCTTCTCTGCAAAGCAAGACTCACCCTCTGTGTGGCTTCTAATTTCTGCTGTGCTGCAAGCTCATCCTTTGACCAGCTGACTCCTTGGCTTTGACTCTGGCCCCATGCCCCACTGTGGCTGTTCCACTGCCCACGGCTAAGGAAGAAGGTTCTCGCTGTCCCCTCTCTGGGTCCCCAGGACAGAGAATCAGAAAGCTCAGCATGGGTCAAGTGTCCAGCACTAACTCAACCAGCTTTGGCCAGGCAACCCGACCACCTTGAGTTAAGGCAGCTTCTGTTAGAGGACAGGGTAGACGCAGGAGCCACAACAGGCTTTTCCAGAGCAAGTGCAACCTCTGGCTTTTGCTCAGGGCCACATGGTTTTATTTAAGCAGCAGCCTGGTTAGACTCTCTATGGTTTATCTTCCAAGGGAACAAAGAAAACAGGGATTTGCATTAACTTAGTTGCATGGCAGCTTACATATATCGTGGGCTTTGTTTGTACAATGGACCATTCCCTGGCTTTACGTGTGACACGTCCTTACATCCTCATAGTGCTGTGTGGCTCTCACTGTCACATTTCACAAAGGAGGAATGAAGCCCTGGATGGTGGTGGCAGGTAATGGGAGGCATAGCCAGGAAATGAACTCCCTCCCTCCGGGAGACCCCAGGGCTCACCTGTTTAACTTCAGGAAAACCTGCGTGAGTTTTCTGTTGCTGCCATAACAAATTACCACAATATTAACAGCTTAAAACAGTACCCATCTATCATCTCAACATTTCACGAGTCTGCAGTCCAGGCACAGAGTAGCTTTGTTGGTCCTCAGCTCCAGCTCTTACATATGGAAACCAAAGTGTTGGCTGGGTGGGGCTGTCACCTGGGCACTCTGGAGAGGACCCCTTCCACACCCTAACAGAATGCTGGCAGCATCAGTGCCTTCTCTGCATGGCCCTGCATCTTCAAGCCGGTACGGGCATTCTGCAGCCGTTTGACCTCAAGTCTCTCTGACCTCCCCTTCTGGTCTCCTCTTCTACTTCTCAATGCCACATTCCTCACTTTATTCTGAGCCTTTGTTCTAAACAGCTCCCCTCATGTTGGTATTTCTAACAGCCTATTCAGGACGACTTCAGTATTTTCTGAGGTCATTTATGATTTCTCTATCATGCTCATCAAAACTCTTCTAGCCCTGACCACATTTCCATCCCTGCCACTGCCCGGAGCTTACCCTGAAAAATCAAGAGGGAGTTCCTGCTGCAAGACTGTCTTTGGGCAGCTTAGCCTCCTGGGTTCTTCTATAAAGCCAAATATGAAAGCAGAAAGCTTTCCTGGTGTCTACCCAAAGAAAGCCCCCAGCCAAATACACCCTTCTTCCTTGGACCTGAAGAGGCTAACAGTCTTCCATCCACTTGGCAGCCACTTACTGTGCACCGAGTCAGTGCTGAGGGCTCCAGAGTGAAGGATGCACAGCCCCTGCCCTCAGAAGACCAGTTCATGGTAGGTGAGGGGGAGAGACAAGCAGGCAATGAAGATGCAACATGGCCAGATAGGTGACAGGAAAACCAGGGGTCTGAAGGAACACAGAAAATAGACAGCTGACCAGGGAGGCAGGGAAGTCTTTCTCAAGGAGATGGCATGGAAATAAAGACCTGAAAGTCACTAGAGCCCAGTGCAGTGAGGGATGCAAGAAAAAGATGGGGAGGGCAAGCGAAGAAGGAAGGCAGGTACAGAGGCCTGGAAGCAAGCAGCCGTGGAAGATGACCAACCATCAGGACTGAATCTGGAGGAGAAGCTCAGGGACCTCAGTAGGATCCACAATATTTGGGTCTGTCTGTCCTCGGGGAGGAGGTGGGCCACGTTGCGTCTTCATTGCCTGCTGGTCTTTCCCCCTCACCCACTGTGAGCTGATCTTCTGAGGGCCGGGCTGTGCGTCCTTCACTCTGGAGCCCTCAGCACTGACTCAGTGCACAGTAAATGCCTGCTAAGTGGATGGAAGAATGTTAGCCTCTTCAGGCCCAAGGAATGTGCACTTGGCTGGAGACTTTTGATAGACACAATAAAAGCTTTCTGTGTATATATTTAGCTGTATAGAAGAACCTGGGAGGCTAAGCTGCCTAAAGACAGCCTTGTAGCAGTTCTGAAGGTAATGGACAGCTCTTGAATATGGGAATGACCAGACTGGTGTGGAAGACCCACAATATAGCACTGTCATCCCCTTCTTTCTCTCATTTGACCCAAGTATTTACCAGTCCCCTTTGGGGCCATTTTGGCCCCTTTGACTTGTCCTAGCCACAGCCAGTCAGACACACCTGCTGACAAGGTGGCAGGTCCAGGGGCCTGCAGGGACGGTCGCTCTGGAAACCCACAGCCGCAAAGCCCAACAGGATTGTAGCCTGTGACTTTTATCATCTTTTTATCTCTCCATTCAGTGTCGCTTGTGGCAGTCCTGTGAAGTCTGCAACTGAATAGGGTTGGGAGGGAAGGCCTCCTCTCCCCTCTAGTCAAGGGTAACATTTTCTCCTCACCCCCTTTCCTGTCTGCATCATCAGTGTTTGCCTACACACTAATCAGCGTACCAGTTGACCTCATTTAGGAGAATTTCTCTCGTTTGGCATTTCCTGCCTGACCTCCTCTGACAAGTGGGACAAATGTGAGACGCATCCCTGGGATCTTGGTGAATTTACCTTGCCAGAGTCGATTCAAGCCACTATAGGATTTCTCAATAATCATAGCAACTTGAAGCCTCACCAATGCTCTTCTTTGATGTTAAATCTTTTGTCTGAGTAGAAGTTTCATGATAAAAATGATGGCAGTGTCTTTATAATAAATGATGTGCATGGGTGTGGGGATCACTCACTTTTTCACAGCTGGCTTCTCTCAGCTGCTGCTGTGCATTGAAATCTACTCCTGGATGTCTCTTCTGTCATCTCTGCAAACAGAACAGGGGCTGAGTTGGAGAATCAATTCAGAAATTAAGATCTGGGTGCTGAATGTCATTGTCCTGGCCCTATATCAAAGTTCTCCATCTTCTGCAATGAATTTCTAAAGCCAAGCTAGAAGTTGCTGAAGGTCTGCAAATGGCATTCTTTAGCTTTTAACTTTCACATAAAACAGAATAAAAGATTATTACATGTCCAAAAAAAGTCTGGCTGCTGCTTGTAATAAATTCCTGTGCATGCTCCAGATGCAAAATTGGATAGTGTGTTGTCAGCTCATCCATTCTTCATGGAGCTTATTTTTATTTGGGTTGCAGGCATTAAAAATATGTATATATATAATTAATATCTCCTTCTATTTATACATATGCACACTTCCAGATACATATAAATACATGCCCACAAATACTCCCATATACACACACAAAGATATGTTCCCAACCAACTCCTCTGGCAGTGGCATCTGTTCTACTAGGGATGTTTGCAGTGCAATGTTTCCAGCTTATTGAAGGTAAGACCTGGAAGGAATCCTCAGAGTCATCTCAACTGTTGCATCTGGTCATGAATAATTCCTGTGTATGGAATCCATTGTATCCTGAGACAGACCCTTAGAATTTCCTCCCTTACTACTATGGTTTTGCTCTGTGTCCCCACCCAAATTACATCTTGATTTTTAATTACCATGTGTCAAGGGAGGGACCTGGTGGGAGATGATTAGATTATGGGGTTGGTTTCCCCATGCTGTTCTCATGATAGTGAGTTCTCATGAGATCTGATGGTTTAAAAGTGTAGCACTTCCCTCTTTACCTGCTTTCTCCTCATGTTTCCTTGTAATACGTGCCTTGCTTCTCCTTTGCCTTCTGCCATGATTGTAAGTTTCCTGAGGCCTCCCCAGTCATATGGAAAGGGTGAGTCAATTCAACCTCTTTTCTTTATAAATTATCCAGTCTCAGGTAGTTCTTTATAGCAATGTGAACATGGATTAATACACTTACTTTGGAAAAATATCTGTTTTCCTATCATGTCCTCCCTTCAGGACACATTAAAGGAATGTACCTGGCAATTATATACAAATGACTGAATGGCAAAAGGGAGTTTTGAAATGAGAATAAAAATTTGAAAATCATCAGCTTATCCATGATCATTGCAACTTTAGGAGACAAAGATTCACAAACAATACTTGAGACCCTGTGACTATGAAAGATAGAAGATGAAACACTGGGGAAAACCAACCTTTCAGGTTCTTGAAGAAAGAGTAACATGCCAAGGAGACTATATTAATCAAGATACCCACAGGAAACAGATGGAGCTGACGAAGAGACTGCAAGGATGTGAGCAAGGTAAGAGGAAGCGTTGGGGAGCACCAGCAGGGGAGCATGCCCATCAACTGTTCTGAAGGGCAAACAAAGGGGGTATCTCCTGGAACCCAGAGAGAAATGTAGATGTTGGGGAGAGAAGCCCACAAAGAGTGTTGGTCTTTGATGCAGGAAAACAGGCACTGCTGTGAACTAGACTGGGCAGAACCAGAAGGATCAATACCTCAGCTTCTCCCTCCTCCCACTATCCCATCTACTAGTATCCCCACCCCCATGGCTGGAACCCAACAGAAGACCAGAGGGCAAGGGTGATCAGTAGATGCCATCCATAGGGCCAGCACCTGTGGCACTGCCCAAGCAGGAAGAGAAAGGGAAAGAGTGAATCAGAAGATGCAAATGGAGAATCTCAAGCACAGAGGTAGAGAAGAACAAAAGCGAGGTAACAATGCTTAAAAAAAGAAATGATCAACAAGTGGTGCAGAAGAATTAAGCAACGAGAAATTCCACAAAATGCCTATGGGATTCAGCCTAGGTGACAGAAGAACAGTAGAGTGGAATAAACTAGGAAGGAAATGGAAATTGATGAGAAGGCAGAGTGTAGACTACCTTTGAGAAAGCTATCCCAGAGTGGGAGGGAGAGAGATCAAGTAAGAGCTGGAGGGGAAGAGGATTAAGAAAAAAAGATAGACGCATGTTTATAAGGGGATTAAGAGAGTGAAATATTTGACAGCATATTTCTGTTTAAGGAAATTCTGGGTTTACTAAACTTCCCAGAGTTTGACTACAATTTGACAAGGTGGCTTTAGAAAGTTTTTTTTTTTTAATTTTTTATTATACTTTTAAGTTCTGGGATACATGTGCAGAACGTGCAGGTTTGTTACATAGGTATACATGTGCCATGGTGGTTTGCTGCACCCATCAACCCATCATCTACATTAGGTATTTCTCCTAATGCTATCCCTCCCCTTGCCCCCCACCCTCT
Organism: Homo sapiens; assembly: GCF_000001405.40. Taxonomy (NCBI): domain Eukaryota; kingdom Metazoa; phylum Chordata; class Mammalia; order Primates; family Hominidae; genus Homo; species Homo sapiens. The sequence goes on along the minus strand of NC_000020.11, from coordinate 60,525,081 downwards.
GTCAGGCCCTGGTGTGTGATGTTCCCCTCCCTGTGTCCATGTGTTCTCATTGTTCAACTCCCACTTATGAGCGAGAACATGTGGTGTTTGGTTTTCTGTCCTTGTGTCAGTTTGCTGAGAATGATGGCTTCCGGCTTCATCCATGTCCCTGCAAAGGACATGATCCTTTTTTATGGCTGCATAGTATGCCATGGTGTATATGTGCTACATTTTCTTTATCCAGTCTATCATTGATGGGCATTTGAGTTGGTTCCAAGTCTTTGCTGTTGTGAACAGTGCCGCAATAAACATACGTGGGCATATGTCTTTATAGTAGAATGATTTACAATCCTTTGGGTATATACCCAGTAGTGGAATTGCTGGGTCAAATGTTATTTCTGGTTCTAGATCCTTGAGGAATCTCCACACTGTCTTCCACAATGGTTGAACTAATTTACGCTCCCATCAACAGTGTAAAAGCGTTCCTATTTCTCCACATCCTCTCCAGCATCTCTTGTTTCCTGACTTTTTAATGATCGCCATTCTAACTGGCGTGAGATAGTATCTCATTGTGGTTTTGATTTGCATTTCTCTAATGACCAGTGATGATGAGCTTTTTTCATATGTTTGTTGGCTGCATGTCTTATTTTTTTATACTTATGTAAGAAATCTGCACGTTCTGCACATGTACCCCAGAACTTAAAGTATAATTAAAAAAAACAAAGTATTTTTAAGTACCTTTTATGTTCCAATTAATGTTGGGAATATGGAGGTGAGCAAGAAGTTTTTATTCTCATAGAGAGCTCTGTGGAGGAAACAAAAATGATGACAGATGTCAACTGCCACTACAGAAGATACTTTGATGTCACAAGAGAGCACTTGAGGGGTTGAGTGGTGATTTTCTATTAGGTGTTCAAGTTAGACTTTAATGTGAAGTTTTTAATATGTCATTTAAACTGATATTTGGAAACAAAATGGATCCAGCATTCAGTGATCATGGAAAATAACATTTTAGGAAGCGAGATCAGCTAATGCAAAGACTTGAAAGAGCAAATGTTCTTTGGTGAGTCCTGGAGGCAAGCAAAAGACCAAGGTGTTTAGAATAATGTGGGCATTAGGCAGCGTGTTGAGAGGTGAGATGGGAGAATAAGGCAGAACAGGTGATGCAGGACTCTGGACACCAGTCAAGGTAACTGGATATTTTGTGTTATGTGAGGGCCGTTGCAGGGCTTTAACCAGGAGAGTGGCATTACTGGACATAAGCTTTTAAAAGAGCATTCTGGCTGGCATGTGGACAAAATGAAAAGCGAGGAGAAGGCTTATTAGGCTCCTTCAATAGCTGAGCAGAAGACTATGTTAGCGTTGGCCCTGGTGGGGGTGGTGAGGATATAGAAGTGCGGCATTTAAGATGAGCTTGGGGGGTGAAGCCAAAATGAAGTTGATGAATTGTTGATGAAATGGTATGAGCATTGGTTGGAGTAGAGCTGTTCAGCAGAAATATAAGGTAATTATGTTTGCCAGTGGCCACATTAAGAAAATTAAAAAGAATCAGGTGAAATAAAGTATAATAAATGTATTTTTATAACATTGCCTTTGAATTTAACTTTTTCCAATGTTTAACTGTGTTAAAGTATATAAGATTTGTCATCTTAGCCATTGTTGAGTGTGCAGTTCATTGGTATTAAACACATTTATAGTGTTGTGCAGCCATGACCAGCATCCATCTTTATAACTCTTTATTTCGTACAACTGAAATCCATGCCCATTAAAAAATAACTTATTATTTTTCCCTTCCCCCAGCCTCAATCAACCATCATTATAATTTGTCTTATGAAATCCTATTTGTCAATTTTTTTCTTTGTCTATGCCTTTGATATCATATCCATGAAATAATTGCTAAATCCTTTGTCACAAAGCTTTTGGCCTAAGTTTTCTTCTAAGAGTTTTATAGTTTTAGGTGTTTCAGTTAAATCTTTGATCCATTTTCAGTTAATTTTTGTGTATACTGTTAGATAAGGGTTCATTCTTTTGCATGTGGATATCCAGCTTTCCCAGCACCATTTGTTGAAAATGTAGTCCTTTCCCCCATTGAATGATCTTGGCTCCCTTGTCAAAAATGACCCTTGTCACCTGATCATATATCTGAGGGTTTATTTATAATTTATGTTTTCTATTTTATTCCATTGGTCTATATGTTTTACACTCCTAAACTGTTTTGATTACTGTAGTAAGTTTTGAAATAAGGAAGTATGAGTCCTTCAGCTTTGTTCTTCTTTACCAAGATTTTGTCTATTTGGAGTTCCTTGAGATTCTATATACATCTTAGGATGGGTTTTTCTATTTCTGAAAAAAAATTGGAATTTTGCTAGGGATTTTGTTGAATTTGTAGATTGCTTTGGGTAGTACTGACATCTTAACAATATGAAATCACATCAGTTATCTTCTTTAGTGGGTCCATCCATATCATACACTCGCACCAGATAGCTGTAGAGAGCCATGAACCAAATGCCCAGCTGTGGGACAAGGAAGCCAGCTCACACCAAACCACAAATTATTGAAGCAAGCTGTTACCTTGGGTTTCAAGAATGAATAGCAGAGCCAAAAAGAACACGAGTAGGTAGATGGGATCTCATTCATTTCCTTAAAGGCTCTCTGCGTGAGGATCTAATTCATGATAATAGGATGCATTTCCTTTTATGTCTTCTTTAGTTTCTTTCAGTAATGTTTTGTAGTTTTTATTGTACAAGTCTTTTATCTCCTAGTTTTATTTCTAAGCATTTTATTCTTTCTGATATGATTGTAAATTGAACTGTTTCTGTAGTTTGCTTTTTAGATTGCTCATTGTTAGTGTATAAAAATGCAAACGATTTTTGTGTGTTGTCTTTGTATCCTGCAACTTTGCTGAATTTATTTATTAGCTCTGACCATTTTTGTGTGTGGAATCTTCAGGGTTTTCTATGAATAAGATCATACCATCTGTGAACAGTGATAATTTTACTTCTGCCTTTCCAGTTTGAATGCCTTTTATTTCTTTTTCTTGCCTAATTGTTCTGGGTAGAAATCCTAGTACTATGTTGAATAGAAGTGGTGAGAATGGGAATCCTTACCTTGTTTCTGATCTTATAGGAAAAGCTTTCAGTCTTTTACCATTGAGTATGATGTTTGCTGTCGGTTTTTCACATTTGGATTTTATTATGTTGAGGTAGATTCCTGTAACCCTAGTTTATTGAGCATTTTAATCATGAATGGATGTTGAATTTTGTCAAATGTTTTTCTTCATCAATTGAGAAGATTGTGAGTATTTTCCTCTTCATTCTGTTAATGCGGTATACTACTACATTGATTGATTTTCATAAGTTGAAACATCCTTACATTCCAGGAATATATACCATTTGGTAATGGTATATAAGCCTTTTTATTTGATGATGAAGTCACTTTTCTAGTACAGTCACGTGTGTCATAACACTTTGGTCAACAGTGGATCACATATACAACAATGGCCCTGTAAGATTATAATATCATATTTTTACTATACATTTTTATATTTACATACACAAACACTTACCATTGTGTTACAATTGCCTACAACATTCAGTACAGTAACATTCTGCACAGAGTTTTAGCACAGGTGTAATAGGCTATACCATACAGCAAAGGTGTGTAGTAGGCTATGCAATCTAGGTTTGTGTAAGTATATTATATGATGTTTACACAATGGCAAGACCACCTAATGACACATTTCTCAGCATGTAACCTCATTATTTAGTGGTACATGACTGTATTTTGTTGAGGATTTGTGCCCTAATATTTATAAGACATATTGGTCTATAGTTGTCTGTTATTGTTGTTGTTATTTTGTTTTTTCTTGTAATTTCTTTGTCTGGCTTTAGTATCAGGCTAATACTAGCCTCGTATAATGAATTAGGAAGTGTTTTCTCCGCTTCAATATTTTAGAAAGGTTTGATAAAGACTGATGTTAGTTCTTCTTTAAATGTTTGATAAAATTTACCAGTGAAGTCAGAAAATTTGGGATTACTGATTCAGTCTCTTTACTACGTATAGGTCTGTTCAGATTTTCTATTTCTTCATAATTTAGTCTTGGCAAGTTTTGTGTTTCTAGGAATTTGTCCATTTCATGTATGTTACCAATTTCTTGGCATACAATTTTCCATATAAGTACTTTGTTATAATCCTTTTTATTTCTGGAAAATTGGTTGTGATATCCTTGCTTTCCTTTCTGATTTTAATAATTTGAGTCTACTCTCTTTTTTCTTAGTTGAGCTTGCTAAAAGTTTGTTAATTTTATTGCTCTTCTCAAAGAACCAACTTTTGGCTTTATTCATTTTCTTTATTATTTTTCTAGTCTCTATTTTGTTTATCTCTGCCCTAATGTTTATAATTTTCTTCCCTATGCTAGCTTTGGGTTTAGTTTGTTCTTTTCTCTAGTTCCTTACATTTTAAACTAGGGTGTTGATTTTAAATCTTGCTTTTTTTTAATGGAAACATCTACAGCTATAAATTTCCCCACAGCATCACTTTCCCTGCATCCCACAGTTTAGTATGTTGTGTTTTTATTTTCATTCATCTATAAGTATTTTTATAAATGAATCTTGTGATTTCTTTTGTAATCCATTGGTTGTCTGTGTGTTTAATCCACAAATGTATAAATTTTGCAGTTTTACTTCTGTATTGATTTCTAACTTTATCCCACTTGGGTGAGAGAAGATACTCATGATACCTATCTGCCTGTCATGGAATTCAGAGTGGGAAATGGGTACCTCATACTGTACTGTGGTAAGAACTCAAATTGACTGAAAATAGCCACACTTTCCCATCCACGCCTTCCCCTGGAAGCTGCAAGCCTTCGTTCAACTCCAGAGTCCCCAAATACTCACATCAGACAGATTCTGACAATGCAAGGTTGTCTAGATGGGCAGACAGTGTCTTGGTGCTTGCTGCTCTCCCATCTCCTCTGAATCCACCTGTGTAATATTTTATTAATCCATCATACACAAAATATTATCATCCCAATATACAATTGATATCTAAAAATTAAAAATTATTGATGAGATATATCACCTTCTTTTTTATACTAAGTCTTTGAAATTCCATGATCATTTTACACTTCCAGCACCTTCCAATTCAGACCAGCCATATTTCAAGAGTTCAGTGTCTACATAGGGCTGATGGCTGCCATATTGGATAGCTCAGGCTTGAGCAACTGAGTAAATGTTGGTGCCATTTATGAAAATGATGAATACCAGGGAGATGTGGATTGTGAGGTCAAAGTTAAGGAATCTATTTTGGTCACTGTAAGTTTGAAGTCCCTAATGGACACACAAAGGGAGATAACAAGAATAGAGTTGGATATGGAATCCAGTGATCTGTGAGAGACCAAGGCTGGAGACATATTTGGGAGTCACCCACGAGTGAGTGATACATAAAGCAGGAGACTGGAAATAGTGTAGAAGAATGTACAGGTAGGGGAAGACTTGGAATAGAGCTCTGGGAGAGTTCAACATTTACAGCATGATTTCTCAGCCGTGGCGCGACTGATATTTGGGTGGATATTTCTTTGTGATGAGAGCTGTCCTTTGCATTGCAAGACGCTCTACACCATCCCTGACCTCCACGATTAGATGCCAGGAGTTCCTCTCCACCCCATTCTGAAATGTGACAGCAAACACAAAAATGTCCCAGGACTTGCCACGTGTCTCCTGGGGGAAATTTTGCCCCTGATTCAGTGATTTACAAGATTTACAAGTTGGATGGAGAAGAAGTCAGTAAAAGGGTTTGAGAACAGATGCCAGTGAGGTGGGGAAGATGGGAAAGCCATGCCTGAGGATTGGTACACAACGGATGATCTGCGGAGGAGAAGGGGGCGATGATGACTGCGGGGCTTTAGCTTTTATAAGTGACTAAGAAGCAGGCAAAATTAATCTAAGTAATGCATTTTTTAACCCAATATAGAGATGTGAGGCATTTCACAATTAGCCTGATAATATCTGGGGAGACGCTGAATTATGTGAGAATGGTGAGCAATCCTTCATTAAAAGAGGGAATAAAGTAGAAAGGAAATGTCTTCAGTGGTGAAGATGTACTACCACATCTCTGCCCATGCACCTCACTCCTCGCCAGGCAAAGGGGCACTGGAGACAGTATTCCTGATCAAAAATCTCAAATAACGAAAACACAAAGAGAGGGGGATTAATATTTTTCAGAAAACACAACATCATATTTATTCCACTTTCTGAGACTTATTAAATTTCCTGCTACAGTAATTATAGCCATGTATTGTTAGGGAGGTATAAACACTAGAGGAACTTATTACTGTCAGAGATTATTATTAAAACTACAAAATTTTGCCTACAGACTAACACAAGCAAAAAAGAAAGTTATTAAAACTCATTTTTAGGAGTCTGCTTGTGTCCTTGGGCTAAGTTCTAAAGCAGAGTAGGAAACTGATACTCTGATAATCTTCATTTACAGCACTTTTATTAACAGCGTATCTTGTCTCCAGCAATTAATCTTGGCAAAATTTTTACTTCTTTTTCTGAATGCAGACTGAATTTTGACTCTATTTCTTGCAACCCCTATAATGGATGAAAATGTTTCTTCACCTGTTCTGCATTGTGCATTTCTCTAAAGAAGGTGGCTAAACTCCAAAGCAGTCAAAATATTCCACTACTGCAAAATGTTTGGTAAAAAATGCATTATTACCATGACAGCATTCACCTCTTTCTCTCTCTCTTTCCAAGAGGACATTTCCAGTGAGCAGATACCATATGTCTAGGGACTCTTGCAGGCCCTTAGTGACCACTGTTGTGTTTTCAGATTTGCTTATCCCATAACATAAACAGATTGACCATTAAGGAGCTGTGAACTTGCACAAGCATCGTGTTTACCAGGGAGAATGAGTTGCTTTCAGGGAATCAAAGTATGTCCAAGTGGAGTGACCAGTGCATTCAGCCAGGACCAGAGCTAAAATAAAAACTGTTTTGCCCAATAAATGCAGTCTTTGGTCTAGTGAGAAATACCTTCTAATCCAGAAAATCCCCAACCCAAGAGTTGTGGTTTTACTGACTGCTGACTGAGCAGCAAAGACTCTTTCTTGGTATTGCTTATTTGTACATTTCAGGACGCAAGTGAAATCTTGATGTGGTTCCTGCCCATGTAAGAGCAAGTCCCTAAAACACCAATTCCAAACTACTCATGAGGATAACTTGGAACCTCCATTCATCATTCAGATAATCAGATTCAACCCCAGCCCCACCAAAACAGAAGCGTAGGTAAGGGAGTCTGAGGCCTGGGGGAGAAATGTCTACTTATTGTGATCACACAGACTTGCAGTGTATCTGGGTGGGGAAAAGCTTCCGGGATGAGAACATTTCTGTCTACGAGCAGCCTTGGTTATTTTAATGATGATTTTTGCTTTCCGCTGTGCAAAGTCAGGCTTTTTAGATGAAGTTTCTAAGAAAGTGAGAGTACACATCGGTTTTAAAATGTTAATTAATCACTACATTTAACATGCATTGCCAGTCAGAACCAGTAACCACTGGGATGTGATAGTTGCTTCCAGGACAGAAAATAAGTTGGCAGACCCAACTCCATTTATTCTATGGATTTAAAATGGCTGATAAGGGCTACCTGCTTCGAATGGAGAAACTTTAATACAACCGGCTCATTCCTCCGCCTGGACTATTTACAGAAGGCAGATTCTGAGCAATGTTTTCCTCACTTTCCTGAAGAATTGCTTTTGCCCTGAGAATTATATTTCCAAATTAAAGATACTGTGTTTCATGCTCTATTAGTTTTACAGTCAAAATTCAAGTTTATTTATTTTATTATTGTATTAGCCTTTTAAATATTTTGTAGGTCTAACAAAAATAAATAATATTGTATTTATTTGGTACTGTTGACCAATTTAATGTTTCAGTTAATGACTAGGTGACTTGTAGGAATAAGAAGTTGGAAATCTGGAAGCCAGATGTATTATTTAGGCGAAAAAAGGCGGAGTTAATCGTAAAACTTTGCTTAAAAAAAAATCCCCAGCTGATTTCCATAAACCTAGTCAAAGAAAAAATAAATATTGAAGTGAAAGATACTTGATATAGTCGATATTAATAACTGTTTTTTAGAGTACCAGAAAAAGGAGTTCTTTTTTAGAAATTAAGAAGTACCTTTTTAGAACATTTTAATATTTTAAATATAATTTTATGTGTTTTGGGGATATTTTCATCTGTGTATAACCAATGTATTACACATATTAATTACTTATTTTATAAGTTATGCCTAGTAAACCAGAGTGTAAGTCAGTAATAAATGTCTATACACATACATACAAATATATACATATATATGCAAGGGTTTATATACACATATGTATGTATGTACATATCTATATCTACCTATCTGTCTATTCAACCTAACTCACGTTTTAATGCAAAGATTTTTTGCTCAGTCAGCATTCATGGAAATACAACTGATTTTTGAAGACATAGGATTCTTACCTTTTAAAGGTAAGTATTTAACACAAAAATAATATCAATGTAATCTACGGTTTATAACATTTGTAAAAATAATGTGACAACAATGCATAAAGGCTGAGAGGGTAGATCTGGAAGTACATCATTGTAATGTCATTATCATAGATATAAAATAATATTTGAAAATGGACTATGGTAAATATGTACTATATTACGGTATAGTACATATGTACATATATTATGTATGTGTGTAACATACATAATAGTATGTATGTATATATATACATAATATATACATATATTATGAACATAATACATATGTACATATATTTGTACATATGTATTACCACACACCATATTGCCATATACCATATACCATACCATTACCATATACCATAATATATACATATATTATGAACATAATACATATGTACAAATATATGCACATATGTATTATGTTCATAATATATGTATATATTATGGTATATGTGCTTAATATGTACTATACATATAATACACATAGTACATATATTATGGTATATGTGGTAAATATGTACTACATTATAGTACATATATAAATAAACATGTAATATAAATCCTGGAGAAAACACTAAAAAAGAAGGTTTAGTACCAAGATAGACAATAAAATTGAATCACAAGAATAATAACTAATTCATACAAAAGAAGGCAAAGAAGAAAAAATGAAATGTAAAATTGATGAAATCTTTCCCACAAATAGTCCTGGAACAATTAGAAATCCATGAGGGTGAAAATGAACCTCAATCTTGACCTCCACTATATACAGAAATTAACATAGATTACAGATCAAAATATATGAGCTAAAACTATAATATTTTAGATAAAAACATGAAGATAATTGTGCTTACCCAGGCTTATACAAAGATTTTGTCAATTGGACTCTAAAAATCACAAATTATAATAGAGATATTTGATAAATTTTTTTTTAATTATACTTTAAGTTTTAGGGTACATGTGCACATTGTGCAGGTTAGTTACATATGTATACATGTGCCATGCTGGTGCGCTGCACCCACTAACTCGTCATCTAGCATTAGGTATATCTCCCAATGCTATCCCTCCCCCCTCCCCCCACCCCACCACAGTCCCCAGAGTGTGATATTCCCCTTCCTGTGTCCATGTGAACTCATTGTTCAATTCCCACCTATGAGTGAGAATATGCAGTGTTTGGTTTTCTGTTCTTGCAATAGTTTACTGAGAATGATGTTTTCCAATTTCATCCATGTCCCTACAAAGGACATGAACTCATCATTTTTTATGGCTGCATAGTATTCCATGGTGTATATGTGCCACATTTTCTTAATCCAGTCTATCATTGTTGGACATTTGGGTTGGTTCCAAGTCTTTGCTATTGTGAATAATGCTGCAATAAACATACGTGTGCATGTGTCTTTATAGAAGCATGATTTATAGTCCTTTGGGTATATACCCAGTAATGGGATGGCTGGGTCAAATGGTATTTCCAGTTCTAGATCCCTGAGGAATCGCCACACTGACTTCCACAATGGTTGAACTAGTTGACAGTCCCACCAATGTGTAAAAGTGTTCCTATTTCTCCACATCCTCTCCAGCACCTGTTGTTTCCTGACTTTTTAATGATTGCCATTCTAACTGGTGTGAGATGGTATCTCATTGTGGTTTTGATTTGCATTTCTCTGATGGCCAGTGATGATGAGCATTTTTTCCTGTGTTTCTTGGCTGCATAAATGTCTTCTTTTGAGAGTTGTCTGTTCATGTCCTTCGCCCACTTTTTGATGGGGTTGTTTGTTTTTTTCTTGTAAATTTGTTGGAGTTCATTGTAGATTCTGGATATTAGCCCTTTGTCAGAAGAGTAGGTTGCGAAAATTTTCTCCCATTTTGTAGGTTGCCTGTTCACTCTGGTGGTAGTTTCTTTTGCTGTGCAGAAGCTCTTTAGTTTAATTAGATCCCATTTGTCAATTTTGTCTTTTGTTGCCATTGCTTTTGGTGTTTTAGACATGAAGTCCTTGCCCATGCCTATGTCCTGAATGGTAATGCCTAGGTTTTCTTCTAGGGTTTTTATGGTTTTAGGTCTAACGTATAAGTCTTTAATCCATCTTGAATTGATTTTTGTATAAGGTTTAAGGAACAGATCCAGTTTCAGCTTTCTACATATGGCTAGCCAGTTTTCCCAGCACATTTATTAAATAGGGAATCCTTTCCTCATTGCTTGTTTTTCTCAGGTTTGTCAAAGATCAGATAGTTGTAGATATGCAGCATTATTTCTGAGGGCTCTGTTCTGTTCCATTGATCTATGTCTCTGTTTTTGTACCAGTACCATGCTGTTTTGGTTACTGTAGCCTTGTAGTATAGTTTGAAGTCAGGTAGTGTGATGCCTCCAGCTTTGTTCTTTCGGCTTAGGATTGATTTGGCGATGCGGGCTCTTTTTTGATTCCATATGAACTTTAGAGTAGTTTTTTCCAATTCTGTGAAGGCAGGCGTTGGTAGCTTGATGGGGATGGCATTGAATCTGTAAATTACCTAAACAATATTTAAAATTTCTATTCTTTAAAAGCCATCATAATGAAAATCCAAAGGCAAATCAGAAACTAGAAAAAAATTGAAAAATATTTATCTAATAAAAGATGTCCAGAATATATAAAGAATTCTTAATATCCATTAATTAGATAATGCATTTTTAAAAAATGAGCCAAGACTTGACCATACGGCTCACCAAAGAAAATATATGGGTGGCTAATATGCATATGGCAAAATGCAATGTGGTTAGTCATTAAGGAAATGCAAATTAAAATCACAGTTACGTATCACCCCACACCCACCAGAATGACCAAAACAAAAAGTGTTGGCAAGCAGATAGAAAAACTAGAATTTTCATACATTGTTGGTGAAAATGGTAGAACTAACTACTTTGGAAAATGCTTTGACTGCTTCTTATAAACAATCACCTACCATAAGACTCAGCAATTATATGCCCAGTTATTTATTCAAGCAAAATGTTAACATATATGTACTCACAGTGTTGTAGGCAAATATTTGTAAAAATTTATATAGCCCCAAATTAAAAATAGCATAAATGCCCATCCATCAGTGAGTGAATCAGTAAACTATCAAGTATTAGCAACCAAAATAAACTGAACTACTGATACATCCTGCATGGAGCTGAAAAATACATTAAGTGAAAGAAGCCAGGCCAAAAAAAAAAAAAGAATGACATGCTGCTTGATTTCATTCATATGGAATTCTAGGAAAAAGCATAATTATAGTGATGAAAGCAGATCTTTGCCAGGGGGCAGGGTGTCGAGCGGGGCATTGACTGGAAAGGGAAGAGGGGATGCCTTGAGGTGATAGCATGAGTAGATCTTTGCCAGGGGGCAGGGTGTTGAGTGGGGCATTGACTGCAAAGGGAACAGGGGATGTCTCGAGGTGATAGCATGTTCCCTGTCATAAGCATGGTGATGGTTACCTGGCTGCATTCATTTGTCAGAACTCAACAAATTGTAGATTAAAATTGGTGGATTTTATTGCATGTAAATAATAATTCTATAAACCCGAATAACACAAAATAATGCTGAGGGGAAGAAACCAGCCATAATGTGAAGATAATGGCCAAAAGAAACTAAAATCCTGATAGTCTCCATTTTAGCAGAGGCAAACTGATTAGGAGCCTAGAAGCCTCATTACCTTTCAAACACTTGAGCAATGTCAGCCCATTAATCCATGCTCTCAGCGAGCAGAAGAAGAGCTAGAAATGGCCTTAATGATTCTGGGTGAGATAAGCAGCCATGTCCCACAGTACTCTGCCTGCTCCATAAATACTGAATGATGGAAGGACAGCAGGAGACAGGGAAGAAAAGAGGGCATTGTTCAACACCCCAGGGTTGTCAGGGCCGACTGTGGGCTGGCCGCTGGGCATTGAGGATATGGCAGAAAACAACAGACACATACTCATGAAGATGACTCATGCAGAGAATCAACTATTCACAGATAATCTTTCAAATTCTTAGAATTCCAATTATGCTAACTGCCATGAAAAAGTGAGCAGTATTGTGAAAGTTTCCAGGAATATGCGTCGTTTAAAATGAGACTTAAAGAGTCATTGGAAATTGGTCAGGTTAAAAGAGGGAAGAAAATTATCCTAAGCTGAAGAAACAATTAAAAAAAAATCAAACCACGACATACTTGAAAATCTCAAAGGCTGGCATGCCTGGAGCAGAGCAAGCAATGGAAAAGATGCTGAGAAATGAGGAAATGAGGACAGATCTGCAGTTCTCCACTTTTACTGCATGTGAAAATCACATGGATCGCTTTGAAAACGTTATCTATGTGCAGGCCCTATTCTAGTTAGCTAAATCAAAAGCTCCTTCTTGGGGGGAAGAAAAAAGCTCTCTAGTTGTTCCTCATTAGCGAAGATGGTTGAGACCCTCAGGGTAGAAAGACAGGCAAAAGCCAGGTCAAACAGAGCCATATAGACTGGTTCGAGGACTGGACACCATCTCTTAAAGGTAATGGGAAACCAACGGGAAGACATTGAAGTGAGAATTCAAAGTAAAAATACTTAAAGAAAATTACTCTGGTTCCAGATTGGGGGTGGAATCCATTCTAATTTGGAGAGATCTATTAAGAAGTCCTTAAATATCTAGGTCAAAGACAATGGTATGGTATGAAAGGTAAGGATGGATTAAATGGAGTGGAACTAAGTTTGGAGGTAAAATTGATAGGACGTGTTGGTAAACTGGGTATCAGGGCACAGTGAAAAGACGAAAGTATCAAGGACAGCAAGGATGACTTCCTGAGTGCTTTTCGAAGACTAGATATCCTGCTTTCTGACATGTCTTAGAAAAGAAAGGACAAAAGGCATCAGTTTATTTCTTCTTCCTTTTTTCTTTTTTTTGCATGAATCTATAATCTCTGTTGGGCTTGAGCGCTTGGTGTGTTTGATGGAAAGCAAGATGTGATGTCCTAAGGGCATCAATTTATAAATGGACAATGATTTTCAACACTTTCCCAAGGCCTTTGTTATCTCTAATGTGGTAAGAGTCCAAAATTCATTCTTGAAGAAAGAGGAAACAATGGATCATGTTCGCACACATGAAGCACCTTTGTTTTAAAAATCTTTTTAAAAAAGGAAACTCTTATCCAAACAAGGTGGAGGAAAAATAAATTTTAAAATTAATCTCTTAAAAGTTTGTGCTGTGTAAAAATTATTTGCTTCTAGCCTTTCTAAATCTTGGAAGAGGCTTACAATCAAGTGGAGGTTTCTATGCAGATGGACACACCTGAGCCAGTTTATCCCTTGAGTCAAATTCTTCCCACACAAAACTGAATAAGGGTTCTGAAATGTACTTCTAAGTGTTGCTATGTGTCAAGCCCAAACAATTCCCCAAAGGTTGGGAGGAATATTGGCACAGAAATGGAAGCCAAGAGAATATATCCTTTTAGAAGGGATAGGAGGGAAGGATCCAGCTGGATTACAATGAGTTGCCCAGGAGATTTTTTATTTCTGTTTCATTGTAGATAATCTTTCACCAACTCCAGAGGCTTCTTTCTAGCTTTATTCATCCTTTGTAAACTTCTGTGCTAAAAGCCAATGCAGACACAAGTAGACTGCCCTGGTGTGTAGCATAGAGCCACCAGGAGAAGTTGACAGTGGGCATATTCATCGTCCTTTTGATGTGGAGCAGTTGGTTAGGGACCGAGCCCCAATCAAGCATCTGCCTCTAAAACAAGCTTCTTTCCACTTACTGAATTCTACGGGCAGGTTGCTTACTTACGCATTAACAGATTCCTTTAATTTCAACTGATTAACCCTCTCGCACCAAGTCACTCCCCAACCCACCCCTCAAAAAAGAATCAGAGACCTTTCTTGCCTGACCTGAACTTGTTCAAGCAGCCGCAGCTTCCCTCTGAAGCCAGGCTTCCCAAGCTGCCCTGTGTGTAAGCCTTTAGGTCGTATTTCCCAGCTAAGGCCAGGAATCATGCTTCAAAGGAAGCCAGGAGACAAATGTCATTAACAGAGTTTGCAGCAGATTTGAAATCACGAAGATGGTCAGGCCACCTGTCTTTATATGGCCAGCTTCTAGTAAACAATCAAAGGCTTATTTGTGTTCCTTTGATGTGGCCTGCAAGTGCATTTCCTATGCATGATGGTAGATTAAATGTTATAAATGGGCCCAAAGGCATAGCGGGAAGAGTACCAATTCCTCATCTTAGGATTAACTGTATTTCCAGTTAAATATCAGATTTTTACAATTGTAGCTAAGGTGCCTATACTGTATGAACTGGGCCACCTCTTTGAAGGTTATTGAACAACACTATTACATTTATCAAAGTTTAAAATGTCCATGTCTGGGTTTCTGATTTGTGTTACAATGTGTAGCTGGTTGCAGATAACAATACCACTGAGAACAAGAAAGAAAAATGGAAGAAACAATCCAAGAGGCATCTGCGTTAAAGCATTGAGTGGCCAGTGCATTCAGAGAAGCCAGGATCCCAAGGATTCCGAGTAAGTCTAGCCTTCTGTGAGCACAGGTTTCCAAGCTGTCCAGCAGAGCCACAAGTTCCTGGTGTAGGGTTGGGGTGACAGGTGGGGCAGAGGCTGGGCAGCATGATCTGCCATAGAGGGAAATGCCAGAGAAACTTTCTGCCATCTCCTTGAACTGGGGAGACAAAAACTGAAGCATGGGGGCTGCCAGGAAATGAGGTGCCAAGAGCCTTTTGAAAAGGGAGATTAAGAGGTGAACACAATTCCCTGTAGTTTTGCCCTTGAACTGTGCAGGGTAATGGGCTGAAAAGCCACAAGGAGAACAGATAAAGTAAAACAGGGTTTTCATCAACCCTTAGGGCTGAAAGACAATAATTATATCAAGAATATTCTGCCAAGGAGGGAGATACATAGCAAGCACAAGAGGCTCTCAGTCGGGACTACTGGAGGCTATTCCTCGGGGGCAGGTGTGCACTAAAGCAGAGGTGAACAGATGGAGCAGTGAGGCAGAAGCTGACCCGCACAGACACGATCACAGGAGTATGACAATGGTGGCACACAGGGGAGATGATGCTGCTGTGGATAAATGGCAGAGGGTCATTTAAGCATCTATAGGGGAAGAGCAAGGGATCTTGACTCTTAACAGACACCATACACAAAGCAAGACCACATGGATTGTAGATCTAAATGTGAAATGTCAAACAGCAAACCTTTTAGAAGAAAGCAGAGAGTATCTTCATTACCTTGGGGTAGGCAAATATTCTGAAACAGGAGACAAGTGGCGCTGAGCACAAAAGAAAGAGTGATTAATTAGTTGCCCTTAAATTGACAAGACATCTTACAATGCAAAGGCAAGCTACAGTGTGGGAGAAGATATTTTGAATACCTGTATCCAAAAAAAGCCTTTGATCTAGTATATAATAGAGAATGCCTACATTGATAAGGAAAAAACAAAAACAAAACAAAACAAAACAAAACAGATGTCCCAGCAGGAAACAGAAGACCTGAACAGCCACTTCACCAACGAGGAGGCCAAATGGCCATCACAGGTGTGGAAAGGTAATTGCTAGCATTCCCTGTCACAGAAATGCAAATTCAATCCAAAATGTGATGCCACTGCAGACTCAACAAAATGGCTAAAGATAAAAAGACAGAAAATACAAAATATTGGTGAGGGTGTGGAACAACTTGAACAGTCATGAACTGCTGGTGGGTGAATAGATGTTACAATACTTTGAAAATCTCTTTGGGGATTTCGAAGCAGAATACTTGAATATCTATGACCAAACAATTCAACTTTCAGGGATATACTTAGCAGAAATGCATACTTCTGTGCACTAAAAATATGTCAAAAATGTTTGTCGCAGTTTTATTGGCAATAGACAAAATATGGATGCAGCCCAAATGTATATCAAAAGTAGAATAAATAAATGGATACTGTTGATATTAGGGAGTCCTACACAATAATGAATAGGTACACACTTACAGCACACGCAATAGCTTGGGTGAATGTTACAAAGAGTGTCTGCTCTGTGCTTCCCTGGCATGAAATCCACAAACAAGGAAAAGTCAGCTATGGTGATCGAAGACAGGATGGTACCTCAGTGGGGCACCAGCAGCCTTCTGGAGTTTTAGCTGTCTTTGTTTTCTGGATCTGAGGTAGGTGTATGTGAACCAGTGAAAAATAATATCTGAATATGGATTAACTGCAATTACACTAAGCTTGTAATAATGGTTGATTCTGGACTGAGAGACAAAGCATTCAGATCTGAGCTAACAGGGAGGTGTGCATCTTTATATCCGTTGTTCTCTTTGATTTGAAAAGTATATGATTGTTATACTTCAGTAAAAATCTTACTTTAAAAATGCACCTATCTCATGGCCCCGAATTTCTTCTCTTAGAACTTATTCTATAGATATGCTCACATGAAATAATGACACATGTAGAAGGTGGAGTTTTTGTTTTGCTTTGTTTTACAGCATTATTTTCACTGACAATTGAAACAACTTAATTTGACTCTGTTTAAATACATTAAGTTGCACCCATTCCATGCAGTATTATATGGATGTGAAAAAAAATGAGATAGGTGTATGTGAACCAGTGAAAAATAATGTCTGAATATGGATTAACTGCAAAAACCAAGTTGCAAAACAGTAAGCATCGTATTCTCCCATTATTGCTAAATACAGCGGAGAGAGAAATCTACATATATCTGAAGAATTACACTAAGCTTGTAATAATGGTTGATTCTGGATTGAGAGACAAGGCATTCAGATGAGCTAACAGGGAGGTGTGCATCTTTATATCCGTTGTTCTCTTTGATTTGAAAAAAAGAAATCATGGGGATGCATTTTTTCAGCCTCAGCCCACACCACATTAAAAAAAGATGATCTAATGCAAAGAAAGCACGATAGTAGCAAAAGTGACTGTTAATAATTTGTGACTACATTGTTCTTTTCTTTTCCTTTTGCACTGATGAATCTGAGGCATTTCTAATTAATCCATGAGTATTAAACGTGGGTGATGTTCTGTTGTTTACTCAGAGCAGTTGCATAGTACAGAGGCTGCTACATAGCACCAAGCGTCAGCACAGGGCAGAAGAGGATGACAGAAGAATCAGCCCCCACCCACTACATGGGGAGGAGGGAGGTGGGAGACAAGGCTGCAGTGAACGGAGTGAAGAAGTAACTAGTCGCTTATAGATTAGCTATCCAGGCAGTTCTTTAAAGCACTGCAGGGATCAATACAGCCCTGCTCATGTTATTGTATTCACAGGGGAAGGGGTGTGCATGCCTGTGTGTGTGTGTGTGTATGTGTGTGTGTGTGTATGTGTGTATATGTGTGTGTATGTGTGTGTGTGTGTGTATGTATGTGTGTGTGTGTGTATGTGTGTGTGTGTGTGTGTGTGTGTGTTCAATCTCGGGAGTCCTTTTTAAACAGATCCACTCTCCAGCGCAGTAGGAAATAAATTCAATTCCTTGAGTGAGGAGGAGTCGTCTCCGCGAGAAGGAGTTTTGCTTTAAGCCAATTTGGAAATTAGGTGGAAACACTTGAAGCAAACACAATATGCATGTAGATTATGATGTTTTAAATCTATTTTCTCAAAATGAAATTAAGCAGGAGGTAAATAGGGAATAAATTGAAGCGTAAGGTGAACTGAGAGCAAGGGTGTCAGTGCATGCCTTGGAAGAGAGTCAGTGAGTGAGACAGGAACAGTGAGTCCCTGAATAAGAG
Source organism: Homo sapiens (assembly GCF_000001405.40). Lineage (NCBI taxonomy): Eukaryota > Metazoa > Chordata > Mammalia > Primates > Hominidae > Homo > Homo sapiens. Next base: position 60,506,882 of record NC_000020.11, on the reverse strand, counting down.
GGCCCAGGCATCCCTGGATGGAAATGAACATGCTGTTGGCACCCCAGGGTAGGTGGGTATCAAAGCCCAGGAGCTGGTGCACCCTAAGACATACTTTAAACAGAGCAGCAGATGCAAAAGCCGCTAGCACTTAACATGGTGTGTAGTAAGTGCTCAGTAAAGCTTTCTTCATCAGAATCTGTGAGACGCCCAGGAGACAATGTTAACCCATTTCAGGGTCTACTTCAAAGATCAGATGCATTTACGAAAGGATTAAAAATGAAATCTAGTCATGGTAGTCACAGGTACAAAGAAAGGATACATCTGTGTGTGTGATTTCTTTATGGTATATAATTTATATGTGTATATATAATTTACATAATGTATGTATTATACATAATTTATATATACATCATGTTAGTTTATGTTACATATATTTGTGTGTTTATAAATATGTACATATATATATAAAATCAGAGAAATTTCACTTCTTCATTTTAAGGATATTCTTTGCAGCATTGTTTATAATAAATATATATTGCAACAACCCGACAAAGGGTTGAACAAGAAAACAATTGTGCTTTCAATTGGATTTCCACACTATGGAATGCAAAGTTGTTGCCAGGAATAAGCCAATTCTGTGTACTGCCATGGGGAGATTTCCAAGATGTCATCACTGAGTGGCAGCTCTAGTCCTACAGCATGACCACATCTATGCTCCACACGCAGGCAAAGGACTCCATGCTTCCACGGTTGTGTGTCTGTTTTATGGATGCATAGAGAAAGGTCTGGAAGGAACTCTCACTCAATCACTACTGAGGATGGAAGGAGAACCAGGTCTGGCTTTGGTGGTCAAGAGGAGCTTTTTTCTTGGTTGTGATATGTGATATTTTTAACAAAGATTATATACTCATGTAATCTTGTAATTCATCTTAGTTTGGTGAAATGATAGATATGAGGTCACTTTGCAAATTACATAGCAGTATTCAAATATGATGGTATTAAGTGCATATATTGGGCATCATGTTTGGGAATATAGTGGGCCCAGAGCTGGACCCACAGCTCTGTATAGCTCTATATACACAGTATCTACTACAGCCTACTGTTATCTCAAATGATGGTCATTCATTTATTCATTCTACAATTTGTGTGTGTGTGCCAAGCAATATGATGTGTACTTGGGAAACACTAAATTTCTAGGCTGCTTGGAAAGAAAAGAAATACACAGGAAATAAAAATAATAGCGGGCCCTTCCAAGTGCTTGTCAGGGGCCATGTACCATGCGAAGAGCTTCACAGCATCCACTGAATCCTCCTGCTACACCATGAAGTGGGGCTATTACTATCCCTGCTGTGCAGATGAGGAAATGCAGGAGGAAAGGCAAGGTCATGCGTGTAGTCAAGAGGTACAGCTAAGAAATAAAACCAGGCACTTTGACTCTACAGGCTATTTACCACCAGGCTACAGAATGATAAGTAAAAAAAAACAGCACTGTACAAAGGCAGAAGGGATTCCTCAAGGCAGTGTGGGTAGACTCAGAAAGAAAAGACAACTCTGGTGAGAGAAGCTTGTGGAGGCTTCACGGCTTTTAAGTTTCATGAACGAGCAGAAAGAGCACAGCAAAATTTCCACACTGGGGAGGGGTTGTCCCCTAAAAGTATGAATACAGGCAGTTGTATGATTTTGAACAATCTAACGGAAATAGAATGTTCTTACAGAAATAGTTTAATGTCTCCCTTTTTCATTTAGGTACTCATCCTACAAATAAACATTTGTGGAGTAGCTGCTGTATTTCCCTCACTGAGTAGGAGCTGAATATTTAGTCAAGAGCAGAAATGGGGATGAATGCCTGCCTTCACAGAGCTGACAGTCTGTGGGTTAGGAATGGCAGTAAACTTACAATAAAATTATATAATTACCAACTTCTGATTTTAGCAGGAGGGCAGAGAAGATAACCAAAATTACTCCTACTATTGTTATTTTTTTTCTTTTTAAAAAATTTTCAGCTGGTTCTTAGTCAGTGTGCATATTATTTTAAAAGAGATAAAACATAATAAACATTACTTTATAAGCATGACTAGGCAAGCTGGAAAGAATGAGGAATTCCCAGGTGCAGAAAAGGAGAAAAAGCTTAAAACCTCAGGGGGCTAACCAGGTGGACTGTAGCTGCCCTGTAAAGAACAGGTGTGTGTGCAGAGACTTGGTCTCACCAGCCGGAGTGGTGGCCGTCCAGGTGCATGTGAATCTGACGGGGTCTTAAAAACACATTTTTCTAGACTCAGCCCACCTGCCCAGTTTCTGATTCCTTCGGTCGGTCTTGGTTTGGGTATGAGATTTTGCATTTCTAACAGCTTACAAGTGATGCCTATGTAGCTGGTTTGGGGATCCCAGCAGCATTTAAAAACACTGACTTAGACATTTTTGTACCCCTCAGAGCAGAGCAAGGAGAGCAGGTAGGACTGACACCCCCATAAAACTAGGACCCTCCAAAGTCACACCCTTAGTTCAGAGTAACACAGAAAAGCACATCAACCCGCAACACCACAGCTTCTTATTTGTTGCTGCCTGGCCTCACTTGGGAAAGAAACATAAAAGATCTCTCCTGAGAATTCATCATCAGGACATGAATCTCACGTGGATTTGGGGTTCAAAATTCAACTCTCATATCCCCAAACTTTCAAGTCAAAGTTTTAACATAAAAAGTAGCCTACAGCTGGCCACAACCCTAGGACATCTGACAGAAACAAGTACAAAATTGCTGTGGGGAAGACACCTACCATCCAGGCACACGAGAGTCCACTGAGCATAGATTCACAATTCAAATCATAAAATGTGTAAGGAATCCTCCACCATAAGTGAGTGTCCACAGGCCAGACAAACGGCAGGGTGAAAACCCAAGCACTGCAGATAATGGGAAAATTCTATCACAAATTTAGTACATTAAAAATGAATTGGCCGGGCACAATGGCTCACACCTGTAATCCCAGCACTTTGGGAGGCCGAGGCGGGAGGATCACAAGGTCTGGAGATCAAGACCATCCTGGCTAACACGGTGAAACCCCATCTCTACTAAAAATACAGAAAAAAAAAATTAGCCAGGCGTGGTGACAGATGCCTGTAGCCCCAGCTACTAGGGAGGCTGAGGCAGGAGAATGGAGTGAACCCGGGAGGCGGAGCTTGCAGTAAGCCGAGATCACGCCACTGCACTCCAGCCTGGGCGATAGAGCGAGACTCCATCTCAAAAAAAAAAAAAAAAGAATCTAAACAATTAAAAATGATCAAGAACATAAAAGAAGCAAAGATACGAGAAATGAATGCAGTGTGATGACAGTCACATGGGCAGATTTAAAAGGGGACCAAACAGAATTTACAGAATGAAACTGCAGTCACAGGAATTAAGGACACAGTCGATCAAAGGATGAAATAGCAGGTAAATCGCTGAAAGGAGAATTAATAATACAGAAATTACCCTGAAAGCAGCCTGGAGACAAAGGGTGATGGAAAATGGGTTGAGATTAAAATGCCATGGAAAATAGAATAGGCCCAACGTACATTGAATAGGAATTCCAGAAAGATGGACCGGAGATAAAGGGTGGGAACCCATAATTAGCATAGACGGCATGGGCATCCGACCGGATACCTTTTAAAAAGAAAGTCAATCCCTAAACATGTTTAAAATGACCTAAGAATTAAAAAGACATTTTTCTATGAAGGCAGGACCATTAGACTGGCAACGGGATTCCCAGCAGCAGCTGCAGAAGCCTGAGTCTTAAGAGGTGATACCCTTCATTGTCTGCCTCAGCCTGGATAAAAGGGAAAGAAAGAAAAGCCTCCCTGGGAAGTTTTGATGAGCGCCTGCATTCCACATGGTTTTGGAACAGAGAGAGTTATTGAGGCAGAGAGGACAGAGAAGAACAGCCTAAGAATAAAGAACAGCCTCCAGAGGGTTCCAAGGACAAAACATAATTGGTTAAAGACATTGAAAGATAGGGCTAAGTTGGAGGAATGACAAAACGTAGAGACCTGAAATGTAAGGATGACCTTGTCACTTTACATTCATGAGAATGACAATAAAAATAATATTGACCACGATAACAACATCCAAGGGCTTCCCTTGGCCGGTACCATTACTCTTATGTTCACGTGCATTGAAGGGTAGGACCAACCTAGGAGGTGGCGACTGTGGGCATCTTGGTTAACAGATGAGGCAACTGAAGCTTTAAAAAGGTGAAGCACTTGCTCGAAGTTACCAGTAGAGTCAAAGGGAAAGCATGGATTTTAACTCGGGCCTTCTGGTGCCAGGACCTCAGGGTAACAATTATGATCTGACATCAGGAACAGTACCCTCCTTGTGCAGGTCCCCAAAGAAAATGAAATCAACAGCTTCTGAAGATGCCTCCATGGCCCACAGTCCTGGGCTCAGGTGGCCACGGATTCTCCACTCTAATTGGAGTTAATGACTTAAGCACACAACTCCCCAGACAGAGATGTAGACAAATGTGAGGACATGCAGATAAGTTTGAGGTGGGATTAATCTGCAGCAGAAATCAAAACGATTAAGACTCAATGTCATGATTCAGTAATTCTGATAAACAGAAAATAATTAGAAAGGACATTAATGGGATTGTATTAGGTCTTAGCAAGACAAAATTTAATTTGAGCCTAAATAAAAGGGGTTTTGTTAGGAAGAGCAAAATAAGAAACTGTTTCCATATTTTAGGTGAAGTCTCTATAAGTATCTGTTATTCAGCATTATCCAAGGAAGAATTGAAATCCTCATCACGCCCAACCAATGGGTCTCCTAGATCAGCTCAGTGTTAGCAAGGACAAGAAAAGGAGTGTGAATACCAAGTTCATCCTGAGAATAATATCACAGTGTTTGTCCAAGGATAGAATATCTGTTAAGAATCTTTATGATGTGAGTTGCAGAAAGATTACTTTATACCAGTGAAAATATTATCTGAAATTGCTCAATTATGGTTAACAATAAATATTTGGAATATTGGGATTTGGAGATTTAAACAATGCTGTATTTTAACAACTTAAGAACAAAATATCTTTTGTTTGAAATCTAAGGAAACAGGCAGAAAATAAATAGAAAAAAAGAAATATGACAATCATGGTGATCTTTATTATAAGGTAAAATATATTGCTTAGAAGGAAAACAATTAGGAGTGGTGGCATGTAGTGTAGGGCAATTCAGTTTCTGAGGATTCATCTCCTGTAGTTATGAAACAGTTGAGATCTTGTTCCTCATCAGCATCCCCATAACCTCAGCACATCCCCATCCCCATAACCTCATCCTATCCCTGTCCCCATATCATCCCATCCCCATCCCCATAATCTCAGCACATCCCCATCCCCATAATCTCAGCACATCCCCATCCCCATAACCTCAGCATGTCCCCCATCCCCACAACCTCACCCTATCCCTGTCCCCATAACCTCATCCTATCCCCATCCCCATAACCTCAGCACATCCCCATCCCCATAACTTCATCCTATCCCTGTCCCCATAACATTATCCCATCCTCATTCCCATAACCTCAGCACATGACCATCCCCATACCCTCATCCCATCCCTGTCCCCATAACCTCAGCACATCCCCATCCCCATAACCTCATCCTATCTTCATCTCTATACCCTCATCCCATCCCTGTACCCATAACCTCATCCCATCCTCATCCCCGTAACCTCAGGGCATCACCATCCCTATATCCTCATCCCATCCCCATCCCCATAACCTCAGCACTTCCACATTCCCATAACACATCCCCGTAACCTCATCCCATCCTCATTCCTATAACCTCAGCACATCTCCATCCCTATAACCTCAATGCATCCCTGTCCCCATAACCTCAGGGCATCCCCATCCTCATAACCTCATCCCATCCCCATTCCTAAAACCTCAGTTGATCACCATCCTCATAACCTCAGGACATACTAATCTCTATAACCTCAACCTTTCCCCATCTGCATAACCTCAGCACATCTCCATTCCCATAGCCTCAGCACTTCCCCATCACCATAACCTTATCTCATCCCCATCCCCATCCCCATAACCTCAACTCATCCCCATAACCTCTGCACATGCCCATCCCCATAACCTCATTCTATTTCCATTTCCATAACCTCATCCCATCCCCATCACCTCATCCCATCCCCATTCCCATAACCTCAGCACATCTCCATCCCTATAACCTCAATGCATCCCTGTCCCCATAACCTCATCCCATCCCCAATCCTAAAACCTCAGTTGATCACCATCCTCATAACCTCAGCACATACTAATCCCTATAACCTCAACCTGTCCCCACCTGCATAACCTCAGCACATCTCCATTCCCATAGCCTCAGCACTTCCCCATCACCATAACCTTATCTCATCCCCATAACCTTATCTCATCCCCATCCCCATAACCTCAACTCATCCGCATAACCTCTGCACATGCCCACCCCATAACCTCATTCTATTTCCATTTCCATAACCTCATCCCATCCCCATCACCTCATCCCATCCCCATAACCTCAGTGAATCCCCATCCCCATAACCTCATCCCATCCTCATCCCCATAACTCATCCCATCCCCATTCCCATAACCTCATCCCATCCCCATTCCCATAACCTCATCCCATCCCCATCCCCATAACCTCGTCCCATCCCCATCCCCATAACCTCGGTGCATTACCATCCATTCTATGCCACTGGTCGTTGAAAATTTTCAAAGAATTATCATAGTTTTAATGTCAAAGGGCCATGTAATCTGAAAAGGTGCTTCCCCATGTAGACTGGCAATGTCCATAAGAACCAGTTTAATTTTCTGTTTAACCTGGTTAAATAAAAAGCCCTGTGAACAGTCAGGTTTCACGGTGAGAGCAATGGTGATGGTGTAGTGTGTTATATAGACAATGGTTTTGGAGTCAGAGAGCATCTAAGGAAAGCTAGTTCACCTTGGTTTTTTCATCCCTAAGACTGGTGTCGGGAACTTTTTTTCTGTACAGGGTCAGGGCCATAGAATCTCTGTCACCCACTTAGACTGTCCTTGTATTACAAAACAGCCACACACAATACGTCAACAAATGGATGGGGCTAGGACACCAATAAATCCTTTACTTATGGACACTGAAATTTGAATTTCATGTATTTTTCACCTATCACCAAACAGGGTTCTTCTTTGATCTTTCTTCAACCATCAAAAAATGTAAAAACCATTCTTAGCTTGCGGATCATATAACCACCAACAGGGAGCTGGAAGAGGCCTAAGATCACAGCCTGCAGCTCTTTGAGCCAAGATAATGCTCCGTGTGGCCGTGGGTCAGTTTGTCTCCATCAATGTGCTGTTCCCACGCATGGGCACATAGCAGATGCTCAGTAAATATTTGTTGGATGGATGAATGAACGAGGGGAAGGGAAAGTGAACAACTCACAGAGTTTTGTGCATATCACATGAAGCAGTGCCTGTGGAGGCAGAAGGAAGTCCGTAAAAATTGGTAACCATCATTATAGATGAATTGACCGCATGTGGTTTGATGCTTACAGCATTCTGCCCTCCCCTCACCATTGCTCTGTAAAACAACAACTTGATCTATATACACTTTTTTGGGTCTCAAATTTTCAACAGCAAATTTTGAAAATGCTAATTTTTTTTTTCTCTGACATCAAGTCAATGAGAATGCAATGAGGGCCTACTATGCTCTGGGCATATTTCTTTAACACCTTTCAGCAGAAGGGGGTGTATGTCAGCCAGCAGCCCTGAAAAGAGAGAGTAAATAAAGCCTCAATAATTTTCTGACCTATATTTGAACGTGGTTTAAGCCACTCATAAAATGGGCATTAGGGGGCTTATGCCTAAGTCACTGAGCAATAGCCTAAGGTGTGTATGCATCTCTTCCTAACTTTTGATTTTCTGTGACTTCAAAGCCTCCAAGGTAATTTGATACAGGAGGCAGGGAGATAAAACAAAGATGGGTCAAGAAAAGAGATATAGAATGGGGGACTCGAAAGGCTGTTACTGCTACAACTAGGAAGAACACGCTCTATGCAATTTTTCTGTGTGTGAAATTCAACAGTTTATGAATGTCCCTGGAACATTTCTATCACACGGATCGAAGTACAGTCAGCCCAGTTCAAGAGCTGGAATCAATTTCCTACATTTCTATAGGACATTTTTTCAATAGATGTTTGTTTTTAATAGAAGATGGGGGAATCAATCTTAGAAATGCTAAAGACAAATTTGAGAGTTGCCAGCATAAATGGCACTGCAAAGTGGTCGATGGTAACACTTGTAGAAAACAATCCAAGTAACATACCCTTGGTAATAAAAAGTGATGTCATCCGGAAAAACAAATGGCTGTGTTCCCCCTTCTCAACTTAATAAAGATTTGGTAAGTTTTCTCAACGTTGACCAGGTTGCACTCGGTTCCTAATCTGGTCTTCTAATTATCTGGCAATTTCAACCCCACCAGAGATTTCAAGCAGGTGTAATCTGTGTCGATTTAGACCTAAGTGACTTAGCAGCTAAAGTAGAAGAAAGTACTTTGACGAAAGAGAGAAAATGTTGTGAGACTAAAGAAAATTATTTTGTAAGTGGAATGAGATATAAATATTAATTTATATAAAATAAACATATTTCATATGTATTTTTTTCATTTTGTACTGTTGTCTGCTATTGCTGAGAATGTTGCATCATTTGACTCAAGAAAGGAAAGAATAAGCAAAGGAAAGACAATCTTAAATCTCATGAGATACATATCTGTGGGAGCTGAAACAATCTTCCATTTTCCAACAGTGAATCCTGCAATTACTTGAATAGAGACAGCATACTGGGCAAGTGGTTTGGAAACAAGAGGTTGGCAAAAATAATAGAAAACACACTGGCAAAAGAATTAAGGGGGAAAACACTGCCACCAATCACAGCTACAGGTTCTAAAGTGCAATTGTAAAAATGATAACTTAGCATTCTCTTTTTCTCCTCTATCACTGAGTTTTATCCCAAACTTGTACGTTTACAAGTCAAAACAAGCTTTTGGCAACAGCCATGCCAACTCAATCATCTCTGAAAATCAAGCTGTGCTCCAGCTAGCAAGAAAGACTCTAGGGTGACATTTTTGGGGGGCCATATGGGCTTGTAATGCACAGGAGAGAAGAGACTATTCTTTACTTTTTTCTTCTTCTTTATATTGAATTTCCCCCCATGAGGCGCTAGAAATGTAGCTGTCTTTTTGTCTTGATGTCTTCAGATATTGAGAGGTATCTTAGGTACAAATCGTAATTGGATAGATTAGCGTTTTAGAACTACTACATATTTCTCTTGGGAGAACTACTACATACATATTTCTACATATTTCTCTTGGGAATGAAACTTTAAAGTTTAAATGATGTTCTGAGTATCTGCCACACCCTTAACCACCTCCTGAGTAACATCTCAGTCATCTTTCTATGCATGGTAAATATCATAAACCAGTGATTTTTTTTCCTATTCTTTCCCTCCCTTTGTCTCTCCTTTCTTCCTTCTCTTCTTTCCTCCATCCCTCCCTCTGTCCTTCCTTTCTTCCTTCTTCCCTCCCCTCCCCTCTCCTCTCCTCTCCTTTCCTTCCTGTTTCTTTTTAAATATCCTAGCCAGAACTCACTGGACTAGGGACTGACTGCTGAAACATAGATGATCCCTATAATCTGGTCAGCAAGCCCCGAGCGGCCAGGTGCAAGAGCTCTGCCCAGTGGATGCCTCTCATGCTAGATAAAGGCTAAAAGGCCAATTTGACCCTCTCTAAAGACAAAAACTTGCTTAAGTATGCCCAAAATGCTGAACAAATTGCCTCATGTTTCCTACATAACTGAGCTCATAAATTCAGAAAAGTGGCAACTGAAGCCACCCACAAAATTTAAAAGAGCAGCAATGAAAATGCAAACAAACGTGACAAAGCATGCTACACTTGTTTCACCAAATCTGTGTTACATGACACAGAGCCTGGAATGAAGTCACCGGAGTGTTTTATTCCATTAAAATGCACCAATGTTGCTTGACTTCTTTATGGAATTTGGTTATCTTGGGAAGTGGGATGTGGTCTCAATGGTGACCTTATAATCTAAACAAGCCCGGGTCACTGCAAGCTACTCCCTAAATGGACTATTCAGACAGGACACGGGAGTACCTGCCTTCACTTGTCGTAGAGTTGCTTTTGTCTGTCTGACATAACTTTAGATTCTAAAGGGTATCAAGTGGAATGTCAACATTCTTTGCAGCAAATTGTGATGGAAAGCCTAGTACTTTTAATCATGTTGTCAAAAGCAAAATAAGCCGATGTATCAAGTTGTTTCTTCACGATGTGGTTTAATTACCTGAGAATCATCCCCACCAGAAAAAATGAGCGCTTGAAGAAGCACTTTTCTTAATCACACCAAACCTGGTTAATAGTGTTTGCCTTGAGATAAAATGAATGATTACAAAGCTCATTAGAAGCCAACTAATAGGAAGGGATTCCCAGATGATGTGGAAGAGAAAGATAAATCTGTTACCAGTGTGTATAAGGTAAACATAATGGAGCCCACTGGCATCCTGAAAAGCCAAGGACCAGGGTTTCAGGGTGAGCTGCCTGAAAGCCAAGGACCAGGGTTTTGGGGTAAGCTGCCTCAAAGCCCTGGGAAATTCTTTAGAGTTTCCTAAGAATAGTCAGAGATAACCCTTCTGTGGATCGTTCTTTCCCTTTTCTCCTGGCCCAGGCACTGACCAAAGAGAATAATGAATTATTACTTCAATTAAATTCTTTTTTTAGCTCAAATATTTGTACACAGGATTTCTGCGCATGAAATATAATTAAGATTCAGCTAAGATAATTTTGGTAAATTCACAAAAGGGCCTATAGGCAGCCAAGAAAAATATGTTTTAAAAATATTTAAGGTTGAAAAAATTATACAAAGTTAAATTAAAAAGCAGATTATCAGACTATCCCTCAAGATGGTTAAAAAAATGCATTTTTATCCCACTATTTTCTTGAAACCTACAGAGAACAAAAATAAAATAAGAAACAATAGCAAGGGGGAAAAGAAGCTACATCATCAATGAAAAAGGAAATGGACAAAACACCAACAAGACACCCGCTGAGTAGTTTGAAAACTGGACAGGAACAGGCAGACAGTGGATGGTAACATACCTCCCCCAAGCCCCTAGATTTCCTGAGAGCAGCGAGGACAGATTGGAGAGCCTCCTCACCCAGGCCAGCCAGGAAAGATTCAAGATGCCTGGTGACATTTAAATTCCAGATAAACAATAAGTATTTTTCGTATAAGAATGTACCAACTATTGCATGAGATATACTTACACAAAAAGTATTCATTGATCATTTGATATTTACATTTAACTGGTCTCTGTACTTTATTAAATTGTGTTTATAGCAAAGGAAGAAATTGGACTGATTAACAATGGGCTTTGTTTTATAGTGTTTTTAGTTATTTAGTTGACTGTCAACCGACATAAATAAGGAGATTTCACTTAAAAATTTAGGCTGGGCACCGTGGCTCTCGCCTGTAATCCCAGAACTTTGGGAGGCTGGGGTGGGCGGATCACTTGAGGTCAGGAATTCAAGACCAGCCTGGCCAATGTAGTGAAACCCCATCTCTACTAAAAATGCTAAAATGAGCTGGGCATGGTGGGCTGTGCCTGTAACCCCACCTACTCAGGAGGCTGACGCAGGAGAATCACTGAATCACTTGAACCTGGGAGGCCGAGGTTGCAGTGAGCTGAGATCACGCCACTGCACTCTAGCTTGGGTGACAGAGTGAGACTCTATCTCAAAAAAACAACAAAAACAAAATCTTTAAATCCTTTAGATCTCTGGCTCCTTTTGAAAAATTTGAGGATATGCCCACACTGGACCACAACTCCTGCATGACACCAGCAGCCTGGGGAGTTTTGACCATCATTTTGAATGTAATTTTCATGCTCATGTTTATTTGCTTGTTTGCTTTCAGTATACATGCCCCATTTAATTCATTTGCATTACTACTTAGCTCTTGGAAGTGTTGTTTGTTCTGTTTGTGTCTGGACATCTCTCCTTTGAATCTGCAGGTGTGAGTCAGTAGCAGGAAGCTAGGAATGCCCCTCTAGCAACTTGGTGCCACAGTAGAAGATGGTAGAAGATCACCGAGGCCCCCTTTTTGGCCTCTGTGGTGCTGGGGCTTGAGCCTCCAGGCTAAAGAAATTGGCTCCTAGTGTGGAAAAGGAAGTCAGTGCTATGACAGCAGCCAGCTGTGACTTAAGAGCCTTACTAAGAGGTGCATTGCTGTCTTGAATGACAAAAACTCAGGGATGTCTCAAGGCAAAGAAGTGAAAACAAAGTGTAAGAACAGCCAAGACCTCCAAGACCAACATGGCCTCCGGAGACAGTTGCGGGTTATACAGCAGCCCCTATTTTATTTTTGCTGATTTGCCTGTTTTAAATAGCAAAATATTTTTTTCACTAAAATAGCATGGCTGGGCGCGGTGACTCACGCCTGTAATCCCAGCACTTTGGGAGGCCGAGGCAGGCGGATCATCTGAGGTCAGCAGTTCAAGACCGGCCTGGCCAACACAGTGAAACCCCCTCTCCACTAAAAATACAAAATTAGCCGGGCATGGTGGCACATTCCTGTAATCCTAGATTACTGGGAGGCTGAGGCAGGAGAATCGTTTGAACCCGGGAGGCGGAGGTTGCAGTGAGCCGAGATCATGCCATTGCACTCCAGCCTGGGCGACAGAGCAAGACTCCGTCTCAAAAAAAAAAAAAAAAAAAAAAGCATGCACAGAATCATCGTTTTTCTGTAGAAGGTAATTGATCTCTTTCTCCCTTATCTGCACATATGCTAGAGAGAGATGCTGAAAGTGGGCATGATTAACTACTGTGGGTGAGAGTTCAGATGATGATTTTTAGTATCTTCCTTTGAATTTTTCTATATGACTTGAATTTTATAGGATGAGTTATCATTTTTATAAAAATATTAAAGCCATTATTCTTGAGTATAGAGAATCATCTATAAATATCCCCAAACATATACGAATATAGAAAAATAAAAGACTGGTTACCCCAAAATGTTAATAATGGTCATCTCTGGGTGATAAGACTATAGATTGTTTTTATTTTTGCATTTTTTGTGTTTTCCATACAGCCCACAATTAGTATGCATTAATTTCACTTTTAAAACACAATAAATAGTATATCTTAAAAGAAAGTGAAAAATTTCCACACCAAAATCCCTGAATAGGGGACAAAGTGTGAGCTCTTTTGGTCTAAGCTAGACGGGTTGTAAATGTGGTAAGAAGGGAAAATGTCTTTCATTCTTTTTAATGATTATTCTGAAGACTAATATGCCCAAGTCTCTCTCCTAAGAAACCATTTCCCCTTCTAATGGCTCTGTGTAGATCAATAAATCTGTCCTTTTCTCAAAATTATTTCAGCTTTGTTCCCACCTACCCTAATTTTATTTGGAGAGACCAGAAAGCCACTGAAACCATCCTCCTTCTTGAAGTTAATGTATTCATTAGTTATAATTGCCTCCAAAATGTCCTCACCAATCTTAGTCTCCTAGTTCCTTAATGGTTTTGATTGGATGTAGAACACTTTTATCTGGGTTAATTTACTATTCATAGTACAATGATGGAGTATTCATTTTGTTACCCAGATTATAGCTGTAAATGGAGTTATATATCATCCACGGGAAAGCTACATGGGAGTTTAGTGTTTAAATGCCTTTCAGGCATCTTAAAGTCAAAAACAGCATTCCTGACAAAACTTTGTCATTTTCAGCATTTTCTACCCAAACTTGAAGTTGTCCATTGCCCTTATGTGAACGAATGTGCTTGTCAAAGCCTGGGCTGTCCTCTCCCGTGACCCCTTTAAAGCAATCCTCCCAGATTTGAGGTTTATTGGGACCACAGGGGAGAAACAATCTACCATAAGGATGCAAAGATGAGAGTCCTGGAATCCGAGATATGTGGAAGTCATGGGGATGCCTGGACTTGCTGAGACGTAAGATGCTCTTAGAATTTCCCAGGACTCTGGCTCAGAACCTGACTTCTTGCCTATCAAGCTGTCTAGAGTCTAACCAGATCCCCATTTAAAATCTAGTTCTTGCAGTCCTGACTGCTGCTACATAGATCATATCTAAGGATTTAATTCTGCTGGACCTAAGACCTGTTCTGGCTGTTACAATCACACCTAAATTTCACCTCCCCACAAACCCCAGAGAATTTAGCCCTCCTGCCTCTGCTCTAAAATCAGAATCCTCTACTTAGAATTCTTTCTGCGACAGTGGAGACAGGCAAGTTTCCATTCTAACCAATTGAAAACTACTTTCCACAATTTCCTCTGGAACTCTTAGTTCTACCATCTGAAACAAGGGCCCACAATTTCTACCCCCATTCCGCCCACTGACCATGTGAATGCCTGAAAACAGGAATACTCCTCTCCTTAGCCTGGAATGTGTTTCCCATAGAGGTCTAGCCATCTGAGAGTCATGGTCCAGGAGATAATTACTATCAGAAGTAAATTGAGGCCCGGCATCCAGGAGGGATCTGGAGGGCTTCTATGGCCTATTCTCCAATGGATCCATCAGCTACTCATTCCTGGGGTTCCCCCGCAAACAGCTAGTGGGAGGGTTGATATTGAGAGGCACACACAGAGTAAACGAGATGGCAGCTGAAAGCCTCAAACATCCACTAGAATGATCCAGGATCTCGAGTGTCTGCAAGAACTCACTGAGCTCTGAGAACCAGAGAAGCTCCCTGGTGCAATTGGGGCAAAATTCCTTGCAGGACAAGATGACAATGGAATTGCAAATAGCCTCCTTTCTCTGGTGGTGTATCCATCATGAAATAAGCTGCAAAGAAACGTCAGCCTTTCTTATCAGTGCATAGGAGCCTGTAGTCTTTGGGTATGTGAAGAATGAACGGGTACATAAGGATACATATACACAAAAATATATTATGGCATCATTGCCTGGCCAAAAAAAAAAAAAAAAAAAAAAAACTGGACATGAAGCAAATGTCCATCAAAGGGCCAAAAGTCGCTAAACTATATTCACAGAAAAATTAGTATGCAACAATATTTTGAACATTTTATCTATACTTGATTGACTTGGAGGGATTCCTAAATGAAATATGCTGTTTCACACTCAAACAAAGATGGAGGAAAGTATTAATTAATACATAGAAATAATGTGTGAGTGTGATATGTTGAAAGATTTGCATGAAAAAAATACAGTCACCAAAAAGTTTGGCAGGGGTTATATTAGGGTATTGGGGACTCAGGAGGTTTTTGCTTTGTTTTTATATGTTGTGCAATTTTTAAACTAATGAGCATCAACTAGTTACACAATCAGAGGGAAAAATATTGAGTGTTGTGGGAATGAATAAAGTATGTTTGGCAACAATAGGATAGACATTAGGTCTTGCACCCTGCAGGCTGGGAACAGCAGGGTCCCTAACCAGCTTCCTGTGTGGAGAGAATCTTCCAGCATAGGGCTGTCCAGATTCTGAGTATTCAAGAATCAGAGACATAGGACCAGAGGTCCATCCTGGGAATGCTTAGTGAGTGCAGAATGATCGTTTTTCTTCCTAATTGCTTCTCTGAGCCATCAGCCTCTCCAACAGTAATCTGGGTATTTGGGAAACCTAACATCTTGCAAAAACTAAAGGACAGTTTTCCTTTTGTAAATGAGAGAGCCAGATTCCCACTGGAATAGCAATCCAAAACACACAGAAACATCTGTTTGAATAATGAGATGTTTGTCGGGCATGTTCAGAAGGCAAGAGTCAGCTGCTGATCAGATACGGATGTCGAAGACCCCGGCTCTGGTGGTGCAGACAGTGTGGGGTGTTGATTAGTGTCTAGGGAGGCTGCACTCATCTCCCCAAGGCCCTGCAAGGTCCTGTGACCTCTTGGTGCCAAAATTAGTTCACCCAGGGTGAGAAAGAGCGCTCCTTCTCAGTTTTCAGAGAAACAACCACATCAGACCAGCATTGTCAATAGGCCCCACATCAGCCCTCCCACCTTTGGGGAGCAATTATTGCTCTGAAGATGCATCTCACCGGATGGTAACTGTGACTAATGTTCTGCTCTGTGCATTTTCCAATTTTAATTGAAGGAAAGTACCTAATTATCTTGGAGAAGCAGTCATTATACACTGGCTTCAGGCTGGCCTTTTGCAAGAGATGACTCCAGGGCTTCTTGGGGCAGTCAATATGTTAACCAGTCATTACAGACTGTGATTTCCAAGGGGAGCAGACAGCTCCAGACCCACGATCAGCACCAGCCCTGGCTGCAGCTGGAGGGGAAGAAGGGTGCCTGTCATATTTCCCAAGAAGTCAATTGAACACAATATTGATAACTAATGAATTGCGACTTCTCTGTGACCCTAGATACCAACAGGAAGGGTGATGTGTGTCCATGCACCGTGAGCAGAGAGGTCTGTGCATTCATTTTCTCTGTGGCTTTGACTGGTTTACAGCAGATAGGGGAGGGGGAAGCATATGGCTATTGTTAGAGTCTACATAAATGCCCGGGGCTCTAAGATGGGGGTTTTGATATCATATGTGCACAAAATAACGTGCGCATGCATACATTTATGATGCATACATACATTTATGATGCATGCAAATGAAAGGTCAGGGCCTCCCACTGGGGCCAAAAAACACATTTGATGTTTCACATTTGATGTTGGGCAGCCTGGGGAACATGCCCACATTTTAAAATGCAAAGCCACTGCAACAAACAAATGGAAAAACTCAAAATATCGGTCTTACCTAAAATGATTACAATACCAGAATTCCATGAGCATAACAAAGGCCAAAATCAACAACAATAACAAAATAAATCTGAAACCAAGGGGATGGGCACCATCATGGCTCCTGCATCCCCTTGAATGAGGAATGCATCAAAGTGAATGAAAAGTGTAGTAGTCAGAAGCGTCACCAAGAGGGTGAAGAGCACATGTGGGAGGTGGCCCTCGGCTTTGCTGACTTGGTGATGTGCAGCCATCTTTTCAAAGGGCACACTGATCTTGAGATGGGGCTGTGATGAGAGACTAGGAGCTGATTGTCAGCAACTGCAGAGATGCTTCCGGGCTCAGCTGGTTAAAATTTCTTCTCTCCACCCCAGGCTTCCAGAATATTTCCAAACCTGTTTCCATCCAGACAGTCCTCTGCTCCCCTCCTTCCAACTCTGTCTCTGAACTCCAGGGCCCTCGCTGATCTGGCCTGACCCTGGTATCTCCACCTTCTGCTCCTTTACCCATTGCTGCGGACTCTCTAACCCAGCCCTTTAGGTGTGTTCACCCTCCCATCGTATGATCCCCGCCCCTGCCCCGTGCTCCCTCCAGGAACGCTGCTGACTGCAGGACCCTCCCCAGGAAGCCCCCTCTGATGGACCCTGCAGGCATTGCTCTCCCTGAGTACAGCTTAGAGCTTTGCTGTCTCCCTGTCCATCCTGTTGCCTTGGCACCCAGCTGGGCCTCAGGGCAGCTGCCCTGGTTCTGTCCATTTGCTACTCTGGTAGCAGTGGCCTGAGTTCATCAAGCTCTTACTAAGTTCCATCTGCTACCACATTCAGTGCTCACAACAGCACCTGCAAATGCCCATTTCACGGATGAGATAGCTGAGACTCAGGGGGGATAAGGGAGAGTCAGAGGCAGGCAGCTGTCTCAGAAGCATCCCTTGCAACCACCAAACAGTGCCACCATAGCACCTTTCCATGTCACATCTGTGTCCACTCACTTCTCAGAACCAAAGGGCCAACTCCTGGAGAGGAGAGGATGCAACATCTCCTTTGTTGAATCCAACATGTCCCTCTGCAAGCACCATGAGGGTCGGGTCCCCTATGCTACTCTTGGCCACTGTGATGCTTAAGTGTCAACTTGATTGAAGGATACAGAGTATTGTTCCCGGGTGTATCTGTGAGGGTGTTGCCAAAGGAGATTAACATTTGAGTCAGTGGACAGGGAGAGGCAGACCTACCCTCAATGTGGGTGGGCACCACCCAATCAGCTGCCAGGGTGGCTAGAATAAAGCAGGCAGAAGGAGGTGGAAGAAACTGACTTGCTGAGTCATCCAGCCTTCATCTTTCTCCCGAGCTGGATGCTTCCTGCGCCCAAACATCAGACTCCAAGTTCTTCTGCATTTGGACTCTTGGGCTTACACCAGTGGTTTCCCAGGGGCTTTCAGGCTTTCAGCCACAGACTGAAGGCTGCACTGTTGGCTCCCTACTTTTGAGGTTTTGGGACTTGGAACGAGCCACAATTGGCTTCTTTGCTCCTCAACCTACAGACAGCCTATCGTGGAACTTAACTTTGTGATGTTGTGAGTTCTCCTTAATAAACTCCCTTTCCTATATACGTCTATCCTATTAGATCTGTCCCTCTAGAGAACCCTGACTAATAAAGCCACCAACTGACCTCATGTGCCAGGTAGAGTCTTTTGTTTTCTCTTCATGTGACATGAAGTTAGGTGACTGGACACAAACTACCTGAATCTGCAGGAGCTAACCCCCACAGGCCACTTCCTTCCCTTCCAGCCTCACTGCCTTTAAGACTTAGGTTGCTGAAGTTGCCAGTTCCAGGAGCGCTTCCCTCTCTCCTCTGACCTCAGGCTCCTCCACGTATTCCGGGATGATGGTTAATACTGAGTGTCAACTTGATGGGATTGAAGGATACAAAAGTACTGCTCCTGGGTGTGTCTGTGGGGGTGTTGCCAAAGGAGATTAACATTGGAGTCAGTGGACTGGGAAAGGCAGACCCACTGTCAATGTGGTGGGCACCATCTAATCAGCTGCCAGCACAGCTAGGATAAAGCAGGTAGAAGAACGTGGAAGGACTAGACTGGCTGAGTCTTCTGGCCTCCATCTTTCTCCCATGCTGGATGCTTCCTACCCTTGAACATCGGACTCCAAGTTCTTCAGCTTTTGAACTCTTGGACTTACACCAGTAGTTTGCTAGGGACTCTCAGGCCTTTGGCCTCAGACTGAAGGCTGCACTGTTGACTTTCTTAGTTTTGAGGTTTTGGGACTTGAAATGGCTTCCTTCCCCTGAACTTGCAGACGGCCTGTTGTGAGATTTCACCTTGTGATCATATGAATCAAGTCTCCCTAATAAACTCCCCTTGATATATACATTTATTCTGTTAGTTTTGTCCCTCTAAAGCACCCTAATACACCTACCCTCACTGCACCTGCTGCCCTGGGTTGAAACCACCGGCCCTTAGTGTATTATAAGCCCTGCAGACCCTATGTCTATGTCTTGGTGTGGGGCAGCTCTCGGGTTCTGTGTCTTCACCCTCACCCTAGTGTCTAGCACAGCATTTGACACTTAGAGGTGCCAGCAGTGGGTTTTCACTCTCTTTTGATGCAGAACAGCCATGCAGAAGAGAACAGGTGTCATCCTCGTCCAGTGGGATGAGCTTTCCCAAGAACAGTACGCTCACGGAGCAGCCGCCAGTCAGAACCTGGACCGTTCAGCCCCCAAAGTCCCTCCAGCCCTCACTCCCTTGAGTGGTCGGGAGGCTTTGGGGCTTCGCTCCGAGAGTGCAGCTTCCAGAGCCAGACAGATGGTGGGAATCTAGACTCTTCCCAGAGCCAGACAGACATCAGCGGGGATCTAGACTCTTCCCCTTCTCCGCCACGTGTTTCCCTTCTCAGATTCTTGGGCAAAACCATGCACTGGCCTCCTCTGAGCCTGTGCTTACCCTCCATCCAGCAGCACTGGTTGAGAGCCTCCCAGGCCCTGCCCTGTGTGGTCACCGCATAGCTAATGAAGAACCGGCCAACCCTGCCTTGGCCATCTGGATGCAGACCGCCCAGGGCAATCAGGCAGACATGCGACATCTTCATAAGCCTCATAATTAGCGCTTCAAGAGAAATAAGCAAGGTGTGGTGACAGAGAATTGCAAGGGAAGGCTGCTTCAGAGAGCTTGGGCCATGGAATTAAAGCCAAGACCTGAGACAGGTCAGTGAGGCCAGGTGGGGTCCGGCAAGGGTCAGGGAAGAGCCCGTTAGCTGGGGATGTCACACCTTGAGGCCCTCCAGGATAGAGACCAGGGCGGCTCAACACCAGAAACTGGCAATAGGTCAGTGTGATGGGACCAGAACTGAGTGAGTGAGAGTGATGGGAGGAGGTGGGAGAGACCCGGCCTCCTCTGCAGGTTCCCCGGCCTATGGAGCCACAGTGACAGACAACAGGCCCTGTACTGACATATTAGCTGTCTCTCCTTTCAAGCCATAAGCCCTAAACACTTCCCTTCCCCAGCACTAGTTCTCAGCCAAGGCCAGGCTTCCCTGATGAGCATGTGCTGGCCTCAGTGACGCACTGACAACCCTGCTTATCAAGGGGAAGATCGAATCCGTAATCGGCCCAGACTGGGGTCATTATGAGTGGTCATTATCTCAACCCAAGCCAGCCCTCACATGCAGATAGCTTGAAAGAGCTCCCGCTACATCCGGCAGTCCACTGATTTAACAAGTCAGAGGCACGTCCGGGAGAGAGCTTCTTATGGTAACCAGTGCATCCAGGAGCCAAAAGCGGGAGTCCAACCGTTTCAATAAAAATAGACACCAAGGCCAGGAGGCTTAAATATGGTGCAATGTTTGCTCGGGTGATGGGTGCACCAACATCTCACAAATCACCGCTAAAGAACTGACTCATGTAACCAAACGCCACCTGTACCCCAGTAACTTATGGAGAAAAACTAGACACAAAGGGCACTGGGCAAGCTTCCAGCCATGATTGACTTTCACCTGGAAGGTGAGAGACCTGGCACGAGATGGGCCCCACTGCCTCCTCTGGACTCTCAGCCACAGCCCCACCCCCAGCTGCCTCTGCTGGATCTCCCATGACCGGCAGGAGTTCCTACTCCCCCTGGGAAAATCAGTCTGCCTCTCTGTTTATTCTGACAACTCCCATTTTTACAGAAAAGACAATCATATGACCAAAAAACCTCAAATTATGAGAACATATCTCTATTTCTCCACATCAAAAGAACTCCTGAAACAAAGAACATTAGGCTTGTCACATTGGCATCATCCACATTCTCTCTGCCAGGGCTGCTTTTATTTAGTCATGCAACAAATAAACAACAAGTACAAAAGAGGACAACAAGTACAAAAGTCCTGCCCTCATAACACCTGTATTCTGGTGATGGAAGACAGATAATAAATGAATGCACAAGTAAACAAATACATGAATAAATCATTAGCACATCCTTAGATGAGCACACGTGTCGCAGGGAGAATACGTCGTGGATGATGAGTAGACAAGACGGGTGCCACAATTTTACATGCATTGCTCAGAGTCTCCTGGAGAGGAAGACCCCCTTGGGGGAAGGCAGGAAGGAGGCGGGCAGTAAGCCGTGCAGACTTTTCTGAAGAGCACTCCCGAAGAGGGCAGAGGGAGCTGCAGATGTTCTGGGTCAGAGCTGGCCTGACACATTCAGGAGACAGCAGGAAGGGCAGGCGATGTGGCTCTTCCTGTGGCTGAGGGGAGGAGGTAAGGTCGGAGCCTTGTCAGCCACTGAGCAGACACTTCCAGTCAAACGGACGGGAGGCCGTTGAGCTTTGATTAAGTGGAATCAAGGCTACAGGTTCACTGTGCTCCTGCAGGAGAAGAAGCCCAGAAGCAGGGGGCCCAGTTGGGTGGGCCACGTAGTCCTTCAGATAACAGCATGGTGGCTCGGCCCCTGGCGACGGTGGTGGAGGTGCTGGAAGTGCCCCTGGTTGGAAGACAGAGCTGGCGAGACTTCCTAACAGAGAAGCCAAGCTTGGAAGAAAAGACGCTTGAAAGTTTTGATCTGAGCACCCGGAAGAAAGGCAATGCTGGAAGTGCTGGCTGGGGCAAGGCTAGAAGTGCCCTTTAGGGAGAAGCCTGTTATCCTCTCCAACGCAGTTGCCAAAGAGGTGGCCAGAAATGCCCCTTGGGAGACCAGGGAGGAGGTCCCTGTAATGAAATAGGAATCCCTGACGCAGATGAGGTCATCTAGCAGGGGTACCTGGGGGAGGAAAGAGGCCCAAGGACCACACCTCTGCAAGCTCCTGGGAGATGGGAGAAAAGCAATGGCAGAATGTTCCAGAAACCCAGTGAGAAAACACTTCAGGGAGAAGGTGGGAGCTGACCCCCATCCAGTGCTGCAAGGACATGAGAAGATGAGGATGCATTGATTCCTGGATCTGGGAATGTGGAAATCCCAGGAGCTACTCGTGCCTGGGACCGAGGGCTGAGGGGGACACAGGCCTGATTTAAGAGAATTCCAAAGAAAAGGGGAGGAAACAAGAGCAACCCCTGGAGGTGTGTCTCTGGACAGAGCAGAGAGATGATGCAGGGCTTGGAGGGGGAGCCCTGGCCAGGGGCGAAAACAGCAGTGCTGAGCAGCCTCCAGCCCTCAGCTCTCCTGATGGCTTCGCCTTTCTCAGGGGACGCCTTTCTGCAGAGCCTCGTTGGAAAGCAGCTTAAAGCTGTATTTGCACAGCGTGTTGCCTAACATGGAAAAGTGCAATCTGCCCATCCTTAGATGAGCAGAGGAGGGTGGCCATGAAAGGAAGGAGGGTGGATGAGGCACCCCTGGGAGAAGCCCCATCCCCATAACTGGCATTCATTCCTGGCTCCCCAGTTCCCAACTCCCTCCAAGGCTCTGCCTTACCCAAGCGTATTTTCTCATTGAGTTCTTACATCATTTATTCCTGAAATCCCTCTTGCTAGAATCTAATCCATAGACCACCATATCTTGCAAATCCTTCCCCTGTCCTCCTTTCTTCGCCCCTCCCTCAGGTGGAATGTTCCTTCCCAGCCCCCAGTTCCCCACCTTTGCTAACTGTATGGATGAACGCTGTGCCACCTTCACCACCTGCAGTAGAAAGGGAGACAGGAGAGTGGGGAGGGGGAGGGGAGGGGGAGAGGGAGCGAGGAGCCCGTACTGGGTGAAGCAACATTGACAGAAGAGCCACCTTGGCCCTCCCTGCTTGCCCCTGCCCACCCCCACACCTGCTTCCTCTCCTGCTCCCAGCTCCCAAGGGATGTGGCTCTGCTCTCTGAAACTGGGTCCCCTGAGAGTTTTCTGAATGCTTCCCCTCCCCTTTTTGGTTAAACTACTTGGAGTGGGTTCTCTCTTATGTCCAAAGAAATCCTATGATGGTGAATGGAAATGGAAGGTGGTGAGTTTTGGGCAAAAGGGGAATCCTGTACCTAGAGCTCCCCTTCCCCATCATTTGACCAGCACCCAGCAGACCCCACTTGGGGTTTTAATTCAGTCCTCCAAGCTATGGTGGCCTTGCTCCATTAGCTCAGCACAGGAAACCTCCCTTTGGGACAGGTACTAAGACGCAGAGGCTATTTCTCCTCATACAGCCACCACCATGGGGTGAGCCAGGGGTGAGGCTGTCAATGCTTTAGGACCTTGGGGAGACTCCCACTACAGGATGATGTCAGGCCAGGAAAGGCTGGGACTCAGCAGCTCTGCAATCCTATGTAAGTCCCTCAACCTCTCTGATCAGCAGTTTTCTCTCCTGTTAAATTGGGAATACAGCCTCCTCCATGTTGGTGACTGTGAGGGTTTCATTAGAGAAGTTTTACCATGCCCCTAGCATGAAGGAGGCTCACAATTATGGGTACTTATTCCAGTCTTTTTTTTTCTAATCTACTATTTTATTGAACTCAGTCTGGGAAAACATGTGGCAGGCACTTTGCCCCATCCTATCCCACTTACCCCTCACTCCGGTGCTGGCAGGCAGCTCATAATCCCCATTGTACAGGAGGGAAAACTGAGGCAACTTATTGGTCCTTTTGCATAACTCAGTGTCTGCCTTGGTCAGGATGCAAACGACTGCCTTTCCTATCAATACCATCCCCCCTAGATTGGCACTGGTGAGGGTGGCCCTTGTACATAGTGTTCAGAGATTGCACTCAAAATCCTTGACCTGAGATAACATCATCTGCCCAAATTCAAATACGTGCGGAACATGCTTGCCCTGAACATAAAGTAGTTTCTACAGGCGTGTACTCAAATCATGTGTTTCCCTTACAAAATCAAGAACAGGCTTTTATTTTCATCAGTAACTCACGCTTGTGACCTTAAGCCACTGCGTAATACTTGATTAGCTGAGGAGGAAATGAGCAATAGTAACATTTGACCTTTAAAGAACATCCGATACCACATGAAAAATATTCAGTGGAGGAAAAGAAAACCATTTTGGCTCCCACTTCATTACTTTGTGTCTTTTGCCATCTCCTTCAGTTTGGGTTCGAAACATTTTTTTTTCTTGTTTGGAAATCTTCCTAGAATCATCCAAATTGGACAAGATTGGGCTGCTCTGTGGCCTGGGGTCACTCTTTGGACGGGGCCATTTGGACCTCCCATGGGATCGAGGGCAGGAGAGTCTGGTGTGAGTTGGGTGCACTGCAGAGGCAGCTGCCCCATGTCCACACCGACTGCTGCAGAACGCATCTGAGCACATCATGAGGCAGCTCTGAGCTCATCTGTAAGAGGTGGACGGTGGTGCTCCTGCCAAGCACCGTCATTTAGTGAATGAAATGAAACAAGGCCGTGTCAGGCCCATGGGAAACTCCAAGCCCATGCGGGCTCCTCTTGACTCAGTCCCCAAAGACGCAGAGCTGGGCCAGAAGCTGTAGCCAGTGCCCTGTCTCTCAAACTGTCATGTGAGCATGAAGCACCTGGGGACCTTATTAACATATACATTTCCAGTCATCCGATCCGGGGCTCAACCAGAGACTGATTTCTAACAGGCTCCCAGGTGATACAGGGGCTGTCTTTCTGGCCACGCTTTGGGCACCAGGGATGTGCGCAGCCCAAATCCACTCTTTTTCCAGGCTGCAGAAGTGTGAGCTACCTCATGCCTGGTCCAGCAGTGAGGAATGCTCGACCTGATCCTGGGCCCCCCTCCCCATCCTAGAACTCCTCCAGTAGCCAGACCTTCAGACAGAGGCAGCCGCAAGTCTCTGAGCAGCCACTGCAGGCAGGGGATCCTTGCTGGGTTCGCTGCTGCCCCTGCCATTGTGGTGGAGGTGCGGGGACAGCTCCCTTGTGGCTGTTTTCGTTTTGTTTTACCTGCTGTGCATCTTATTCACAATTCATCAATCTCTCATACATCCAACACCAGAATTGCTCTTCAGAAGGTTCTTGTAGGCAAAGCAGTTGACCAGATCTTGTTGTTCACCAGGACACCAGAGCTTTGTGTCCTCAAACCATTCTCCTGCCCCAAGTCTCATCCCTGCCTGTAGATCATTTTCATCTGGATTCCAGAGAAACAGCGACAGTGATTGCAGGCATGGCTTTGCACAGCCACTCTGGCTTGACTCCCAGGCTCTGGGTGTGCCGTGAGGGACGGGGCGGTGATGGACTTGTAAACTCTCAGGAACGCCTCCCAGCTGCAGACGCTGTCCCCGCAGTATTCACTGGTCCAGTTCATGTCCTTTTCTGTCCTCTATGGGTCTCCGGGACTCCCAGCCCCTAGGGCTTCCTCCCACCCCACCATCACGGCAGGGAATGCAGAGGGACCCTGGGCTCTGTGCGTGCCCGTGCAATGACACTTGGGAGGCGGAAGATGTACACGGGGCCTCACACATGGGATCCTTCCTCTGCAGGGAGGATCTGGTCCCAGAGCACCCAGTGGTATCTCCCCATGGCCCCTGCGGCCTCCTTGTCTCATTTCCACACGCCTCTCCCACTTCTGCCTGGAATTGCCTCCTAAAGAAACAACTTGGGTCCGTCCCAGTCGTTTCAAGATCTGCGTCTGGAGGAATCCGATACTTACCCCGCAGGGCTCAAGTCAGACTGGGAGCTGGAGAAAGTGTGCATCCCTGCATCCCGGGTCTCCCTCACGGGGCGTGGTTTTTAGACCATGGTCCTTAGAGAAACGCTGGGATGCTGGTCTATATTGTCCTCCAAATTTACTGGGGACTGCCCTATGGGCCAGCACAGTCATCACGCCCCATGCCAGCTGAAGCTCCTGACGTGCAGGCGAGAGCCGACTGTGCGCAGGAATTCCCTAATTTCCGCACAGACGACAGGCTGCCCAAACCAATAAATCCATTCGCCTCTCCAAGGCATTGTCACGTACTGCAGGCCAGTCGTGGGTTTCAGAGGAAATGTATTAAGTCCACATTCACAGGGCATGAAAGGAATATTGAGATGTTACAGCAATCAATTTTTCATAAATAATATACATGTGTAGCCACATTACATATTCAAAGCAGCAGTCAAGTGGTCAGGGAAAATGATCATTTATTCTGTTGAATTTCTTCAGAATGAATTCTGGGATAGATCAAACAAAAAAGTTATAAAATAGGAATTATAGATAATGAATGCCTGCTTGTTGCAAAGGAATTTGACTTACTTCACGCATAATTAAAGCAGGTGAGGTCAGGGTTGAGCTTGGGGTGATTTTAGCAGGAATCTCTGTATCCTGTTCATGGAGCAAGAGTAACACTTTGCTTATTTTGTAAGGATTTGTGATTGAAATGACTGACATTAAAAGCCTTTCATTAATATGTCATGGTGAGTAAACATCAGTGTAAGCCAGCAGAATAGTGACCAGTGGCTTCACGTTTTGATCTCCTGAGGTAGAAGTTATTTGTCCCCTCCACTACCTTCTTGAGAATCCTCTGTTGCCTTGGTTGTCTTAGGCTATGACATCAATTTGTGAGTACAGGGCTGTCCCATGTTCTAAGGTTGTTATTTTCCCAAGGAGACTATAGAGCTTGGCCAACTTTAGAACAGCATGTATCTATCCATTTAGGAGGCAGAGCCAGGTGGGGAGGCAGGATGGGTAGGGCGGTTCCGTGAGCATGCAGGGTCCTAACCTACTGGGTAAATTCAATCCTGCAGGTGCTTTCACTTCACCAATGTGAGCAGATTGTAGGTCTAGAGCTGGGGGAGAGAAATAAGGGTGATTTGAAAGGACCCAAAATGTCATTTAGATAGGGGGGTGGGCGCAGAGAAGCTCAGGGAGTTATCCCACAACATAGTCATTATGGTGAATAACAATGTATTGGATACTTGAAAATTGCTAAGAGAGTAGGTAAGTGTTCTCACTAGACACCCACACACAAAGATATATATGTAAAGTAATGCCCATGTCAATCACCTTGGTTTGCTCATCCCACAATGTTATGCATAGATGGAAATACTTTGTCCACTATCAATACATACAACTGTATTTGTCTAAATAAATACAGTAATGGTAAAGAGTCCAGGCTTTTCTGACGTTCAGAGAGATCTGGGTTTGAATCTTGAGCTTACAATATTCAAGTTGTGTAATCTTGAACATAACCTCTCTGACCTTTCGTTTTTTCCCCTGGGATATGGAGACACTGATTCCTGCTGTATAGCATTGATGAGAGGAAGAAGTAAGATGATGAAGGAAAGTGCTTATCACTTTGCTGATGGGAGTAGGGGGAAACTTACTAAAAGACAGCTACTCTTGCAATTCTAATAATCATCAAACCAGATTTCTTCCAAAGTATCAGATGCTTCCTGGGTGTGCTGTGCCCTGCTGACCTTAGAAAATATGAATATCATTTCAGATTGCTGGTGACATTGAAGACACCACGGTGCACAGCACAGGAGCGCCACACAATCTTCCAGAGTCATGCGTGGGTCTGGCTGAGGCAGCCATACAGAAGGCAAACCTCCGCTCCAGCACTTCTGCCCAACTCGGCCATGCTGGGGCAGGCAGTGCTGAGACCTCAGAGCAGCTGCCATGACAGCACCTGAGGAGCACAGGAGGAGTACCTGGGTGCGAGTCCAGAGGCTGCCCCTTAGGCCAGGACCCTCTCGGGCACGTTTCCTCATTCGTGCAGCAGGGAGAGCTCAGGGGCCCACATCACAGGGCTGTCTTAACTAGGGTGCTGGGATGCATGTGGAGGGCTTTGCACTGTGTTGGTAAAAGTACAAGATCATTCAAATAAGCACTGCCATTGTTGTAAAAATCCTTAAAGTTGCTCTGAAGCCTTTCAGAAATGCTGGCAAAGCAGCAAGCCCCTAAGCCTCTGAAATTCCTTTTCTCCATTAACCAGCTTGGAGGGGCTGCAACATGGATGATGGAAGAGGGAGTGTCATGCAGTCACAGGGCCCTTTCTCCTGGGCAGGACGGGGAGAATGCCGGGGATGCCTGGCTGGCCGTCACAGCCTGGGATGCTGCCTCTGGAAAAGATGCAAGTCATGGGCTTCAGATGCTGAGAACAGCTGACTGTGGCCTCCTTTGAATCGCTTTGGTCCCAACTCCAACGTGAGTGATAAGATGCTCTAAAGCTCTTGGCATCCAGGGACTCTCTCATCGACAAACAACGGAACCCCCAGCTCAAAGTGCCTGAAACACCAGGGCAGTTATCTGCCTAGTCCTCCTGGAAGTCCAGCAGGTGGGCACGCTTCACATCTGACATCATCTGCCCGTACCGGCTCCACCTCCCACAGGGCTGCATGTGCAGCCTCCACCAGCAAGACACTCAGCCACAGCATCTCTGTGCCTAAACAAGCAGCACAGTCAAAAGCAGAGAGTGAACGTGACCTTGTGCCAAAACTCAGGCACCTTCTTGTCTGATGAATTCTCACTGCTAACCTTTCCTTATCGCTGTTTGACCTGCAGAGATCTTTTTTGCATTTTCTAAACCAAGGCCACCATTGGAACTAGCATGGTCAGCTTCCCCGGCAGCACAGAGACCTCAGGCCTGGGGACCAAACACACGACGGAGCTGTGTCAGGAGAGAGAGAAAGGGAAGTGGACGCTGGAAGGCAGCCAGCAGCGTCCGGCAACCTCCTTCCACATTCTCATGACGAGTTTCGTGTTCGGATTGCAGGTAGTTCAAAGCAAGGGGCTGCTTTCTTCAACTAAGTCATTTTAAATTAAGTCCATAAAGTGAATATAAATGTTTTATTTCATTGTGACAGGCTGTCAGTAAACTTAAGGAGTAAATTTGATGGCGGATTTTTTGTTGTTGTTGTTCTTATATATTTTTTGGCATCTCCTCACAGAAGCATAAACAATTCTCTTTGTACTGGCCCCATACAGCCTTTTTCCAAGGGAAATCTAACATCTAGAGGCACACAGGATTTTCAGCCCTAGCAAAACAACTCCAGCATCCTCACCGTACATCAAAGAGAGACAGCCTGGTTCTCATGGCCAGGAAGGTTAGTCACAATATTACGAAAAGTAACGATTAAGTGCTACACAGTAGATGGAGGCCCTGGAAATTCATCACCCAACAAACAAAACACTTTTAATTGTCAGACTTTTCTCTATGCTTCCTAAATAGGAGTTAGTCCTAGAGAGCTGTGGTCTGGGGAGAGGAGTAGGCAGAGATGGGCAGGGTTTAAGAATCACAGTGGCTTATGCCTGTAAGCCCAGTAGTTTGGGAGGCCAAGGTGGGAGGATTGCTTGAGCTCAGGAGTTGAAGGCCAGCCTGGGCAACATAGGGAGACCCCTGTCTCTATAAAAAAAAGAAAAAAATTTAGCCAGGCCTGGTAGCACATGCCTGTAGTCCCAGCTAGTCCAGAGGGTGAGGTGGGAGGATTGCTTGAGCCCTGGAGGTTGAGGCTATCTATAGTGAGCTGTTATGGAGTCACTGCTCTCTAGCCTGGGAGACAGAGTGAGATCCCATTTCAAAAGAAAAAGAAGGTGTTTTACAGAGGTTCCTCACTTTCTTTTAGAGAAACACTGACATTTCAGAAGTTGTTCAGAAAACATTTCAGGGAGGAGACACAGGAAATGCCCAGGTATACTGTAAGAGAGGCTTCCCACTGAAACTTACATGGCACTACGTGACCAGGCTCTGTGGCCTGATTCCATGTCCAGCAAGGCTGGGTGCTGACTCATCCCTGCCATGGATGTATACCTTGAAGAGATGCCATCAGAAATCTGGCCACCTTTTTTAAAGGAGATACCACTTGGCTTGGATTATAACCCACAGAACAGGCTTCAGGGCTAGTGCCCTCAAAGCCAGTCTCTCAGAGCCCCAAGGTGCTCCTCCATCCCCAGTGCCCCTCCCATCTGCTCCCACTTAGCACCTCAGTTGCCTCTGCCAACTGTCCATGCCTTCTTCAAATGTTCTCCGTCCTTGGCATCTACACCCTGGTACCCGTCTCAGTGCCTCTGTGAACACAGACACAGCTGAACAGCATCATGTTCATGCTCTAGGCTCCCCTTGATGCCAGACTCTCGGATTCCATCTCTGCCTCTCTAATCAGAGAGGCTCTCTCCTGCCTCTGCTTAGCCTTCTCCTCATCCTCAGGTGACACCAGCCCCCTTACCTTCCATTGTTTGCATGTCTGCTCTCCCATTGATCACAACGGCCTTGAAGGTGCAAGCTCAATCTGTTTCTCACAGGCCCAGTGTGCTGGAGTAGAGTTAACCCATATGTGTTTGTGGATTCTCCATTTGCTTTTTTTGCCATATTTTATCATTTAACACCTTGTTTTCAAAACATGTTTTCAGCCAACATCTTTTCTTCTATTAGTACCGCTTTGCCCTCCCCCACCTCCCCATGTGAACTTGGATTTGCTTTTATGTTCTAATGAGGTGCAAATGAATCCATTTTATAGATTCAATTCCAGCTAATTTGACTTCTGGGTCAGTTTCAGCCATTCGGGGTGTTGACATGCCCTCCCGCAAAAACAATGTTGGTTTGTACAAATCATAAAATGGACTTTCACTAGAAGGGGCCTGGGATAAAAAGAGTTATTCAAAGTTTCCACAAATCACACAGCCTCTGGTGAGGTCTCGCTTTGTTCATCACCTCCCACTCTATTACCGTGGAGAACTGAAAGTCCATAAACGGGGTGAGGCGTGGAGAACAGGCAATTTTGTTACTTTCCTGGAACAGCATCTTTTTTGGTGTATCATGGACTGCTTTGTGATACTTAAGCAGTTGTTCACGTTTCAGTTTGTGGGTAGATGAATTTATTGCATATTGCACAGATGAGAAAGAAAGTATTGTTAGGGGCATTTTCTCCCTAAAAGCTATGAGATCAATTGGCCCCTAGAATCCTGCAGGGGCTCCTAGGGTGCCTCCCTCACGACTCTCGGACAAGGAGAGCTTAGGGCTCCCCCGGGCTCAGGCGCTCAGGGGTTTTGGTGTGGACCCAACCCATGGTCAATAATCTGATTCTATGATACGCTAATTAAATGGAAGCACCAATTCCTACCTGGGCCAGAAATAACAAGGCTCAGCATTTTGCATCTTCGTGGTCATGAAAAAAGGGCAACGTCCCACAGTGATCGCAGTTTCCTGTTTCTTCACCCCTTCACTCTCCCGCTCCACTGATGCATGTTTACCTTCCTCTCCCATGATCATCTCCCATGGTCTCTGGGGTGGGGCAATGTGAAACGGAGGGCTCTGGGGGGAATCAATTGCCAGCCCCTGTTTTCCAGCCTCTGTGAAACTCCTCAGCACCACCAGCACATAAACAAATGAACCTCCTTTACTATTCTCAGATGGACACGTGTTACCTGCAAGGCAGAGACCCTACCATGCGAGCATACCAGCATTGTAGCTTGCCACAGGGGCCAGGAGATGTGTTGAAATGGACCTTCCTGATTTCGGGACTGCCATCTGAGATCATGCTTTACGTCCATAGCCATTGTCATTTTCAGAGAAACAGATATTATCCTGGCAAAAGGTTCTCAGTCACAGTTGGATGTAAATTTCCCCCAAACGTCCATATCCTTTGAATGACGGCACCACTAATGTTGACTTTAAAAAAAAAAAAAGGTTCCAAATGGAACGCTCCCAGATTAAAATATAGTATCTATATTTATTCACATGATAGTTTATCTCAAATAAAATCTCCAAGCTACATTTTAGGAAGCAGATTCAGTGGCAGGCCACAAAATTTATCTCTGGAGAGAAAGACATGAAAATACATATAAAAGTCGTTGCCATCAGCACAAAAGAGGGAGGGAATTTATAGAACTGCAGACTTCATCAGATTTGAAATCTGGGCTCCTCCAGGCATCCTGAATGGCTCTTTTACCAGGAGGCTGTGTTTGATGGAAAGAAAAATGGACCCGAGTTAACGCTCCTTGAATATCCACTGTGCTCACGTGTGCCAAGAGCTTGGCCCCACACGTCATCAACTGTGAAGTAATGCAGGAACAGTTAGGAAATTAAAGCATAAAAACCTGGAAGGAAAACCACAACACCACCTTTAGCCATGGCAGAAAGCGGCAGCAGTCACTGAATATTTGCTGTGTGTCGGGCTGTGTGCAAAACACGATCCCCATTTTTCAGAGAAGGAAGCTGAGGCACAGAGAGGTTGAGAAACTTGACTAAGGTCACACAGCTCATGGCAAACTCAGGGTGCAAATGCAGGGACTGGCTGCAGGGCCACAGCTCTTATCATTCTGCCCAGATGCCCAGCCTATCTGCCACTGGTGGATAATACTCCCCCTCCTCTCACACTTGACAGGAGTTTGCATCTGCAAGACCTAGGTCTGGTGTCATCTCTCCTTCTGAAGTCCTTAATCTGTCCGCAAATCATCTTTTAAATGTTCTGTAACTCCTAAGACAGCGGGGAGCACGGCACTCTTCTGTAAAGAATTTGATGAAGAAATAAGGACTCTTTTCCCCCAAAAAGTGCACATACCAGCTGGCCTTGCAATCCTGTCTGCAGAACTACACAAACCCCCTAAAGCTAGTCTCTGAGCCACCAGCTAATAACTACCTTAAAGGCCCCCTTTTGAGATCTTGCTCATAAAGACACTAAGCATTGGTTGGTTTGATTTAGCTTCCTTTGTGCTAATTAATCTCAAATTACTCAGATCTACCATAGAGAAATTCTATTGATTGCTACTAGATTTGTTTTGTTTTCACCTTGATTCGTATTCTAAACTGAATCAAGTTCTGTAGAAAAAACACCCATCAAATGCATCTCCTCAAGGAGTAGAATACCACTATTATAGCCTCAAGATTCCACCTGCAATCTTTACCCCCCAGGAGCTTACTCAACTCAAGAAGGGAGCATTAACTAATTGGATAATTACCATGTTAATGAAGGAGGCTAGAATTCATGCAGCCAATAAGAGGCTTCATCTTGGCCGAAATTTACCCTGGACCCAAGCTGGAGGCAGGATCCCTGGCACCTGCAGATCTCCTAAAATCTGAAGGAATGAGGTGCTTAATTCATCTCTTGATCTGTTGCTTAAATCGCCATCTGGAGAAATCACCCTCCTGGCTGTATTACATCCAAATTAAATATATTTGCTTATAAGCCCAGAAGATGAGAGCAATCTCAGTGCCATCCGCATTACAAAGGGAATAAGATATGTTGCAGGGTCTCTGCAGTTGTAGGAATGGCCATGTGAGTGCTAAATCACCTCTAATACACTACTAATAATTTAAGGAACACATTTCTGTTTGGCTTTTGTTCTAGCAGCTGATTTTTTCCTCTCTTTTTAATCTATTTTTTTTTTTTTCATCGTGGTGTGATCACTGCCTCTGTGCTGATTTTGTAGTGAGATGCTGCAGACTTGTGGCCTGTACCTGAATGGATGGGGAGGGAGAGTGAAGGAGGCTGCTGGCTTTCCTTAGGTGTTCTTGCTCACAGCCTGGACAGCAGAGATGGAGCTGAGCACCTCCAGGGCAGGCCTCCATCAGCTGGGGAAAAGCTTCTGAGTAACATAGCCCAAATTCAGCTCTACCTTTCCTAATCTCAAAGCAGGAATGAACGGCAGCTGGATTTCAGCTTTTCATCTCTCTGGTGTAAGTCCACAGAGCTACTTCAAAAAGCTGTGAGTGGAAGGGAGGCCTGTGAGTCCAGGGAAGCTTTAAAATATTTTAGACTTTGAATTGTGTGTTTTCACTTCTACATTGTGACTCAATAACTGTGCCCCCCGCCCCCCGCCCCCCACCGCCCGCCCCTTTCCACAAATGCCACCAATCAAGCCATTTCTTTCTCAAGGGGAACTGAGTGATTTGCAGGGTTTGGGGAAGGTTGCCTGTGCCTAAAGCATCATTCCGTCCCACTCTGGTAAGATTCATAACTAGCATGATTTGGGGGCTTATCCTAGTGGGAGACTTTGAGAAGGAAATCAACGTCTTCAAGGGGAAGCAGGTGGAAACACCTTGAGATAGATATCTCCCCAGTCAGGCCAGGCTGGGCAGGGGGAGGCAGAAACAGAAAACAGAATGAGTGTTCTGGGCATCCTGCAGTGTGGGGGTCTGTAGTGCCAGCACCAAAGGGGCAACTGAGCTCAGGGCAGAGACAGGAGAACAGCATCACGTATTATTGATCACGTTACTTTGAAAATTATTTTAGAAGTTAGTGTTGTTCTTTTTATTATTATTAGCAATATGGAAGGCACTTAAGGACAAAATTTACTCAGCAACTTTTAGCAGATATTTATTAAACACCGCAACGTACCAAGCAATGAACAGAATGAACAAGAATCCCTGCCTTTATGGAGTTTGCAATCTCATGGAGATAAGTAACAGCCACCACGTGGCACTGAGAACACGCCAGCCACTGTGCTGAACACGTTTTACACATTAATTCATGAATCCTTCACATAACACTGTGAGCTAGACTTTGCTATTATCCTCGTTTGGCAAATGAGGAACCAACTGAGAGTAGAGAAGTTAAGCCTCTTGCCCCAACTCACCCAAGTGGTAGACCTGGGGCTTGAACCCAAGCCTCGTGGCTGTGCTACACCGTAACATTTTCTGATGTCACAATTGGCCAAATTTGCAAATTTGAATACCATATATACCACCTTAAAACCTACTGGGATGTGGTATAAATAGAACCCACTCCCAACAATAGAAAATCACATGAGGGAAGTGGAGAGGGAGGGTCTACACAGAGAGAA
Organism: Homo sapiens; assembly: GCF_000001405.40. Lineage (NCBI taxonomy): Eukaryota > Metazoa > Chordata > Mammalia > Primates > Hominidae > Homo > Homo sapiens. Next base: position 60,472,079 of record NC_000020.11, on the reverse strand, counting down.
CTTCAGAGTGGCAGTAACCATCTAGCTGTTCCGGTAAAATATGACCCAGGCAAGGATTGACACCTCTGAGCTCCAGTTTCCATATATTTTCTTCACGAAGAGAAAAGTCCCATTGCAGCCATTTGACAGCACCATTATGACATTCTATAGACAATAAATATGAAGATGCTTTGTAAACTGAACCAATGCAAATAATTAGTAGAATCTGAAACAGACTTACTTTTGCTTTTGTTTGTTTGAGCACACAAGTGCCGTATACATTCCACAAGCCTCACATTCACCCTGTGCTGACTCTTCACATTCATTTCCACAACTGGGGAACTAAGGTTCAGGGAGATAAACAACCTGCTCAGTGTTGGACAGTGGGAATTCTCCTATTGCCTCATTTTTATACATTTCCCAGATCGATGATGAATACATACATTTAATATATACTTCACTAAAGTAGAAAACCTACTCTTTGTTGAGCCACTCTGTATACCAAGCATAGTGAAGTATCTTTGTGTATCTCATTTAATCCTTGCAACAGCTTTCTCAGGTAATTCTACTACTTTACCATTTGATATAAAAAAGTGAAGTTTAAAGAGGATGAATGATCAGTCAGTATAAGTCATCTCAGTCAGCAAGTAGTAAAAAGAGCCATCTAATCCTTACACATCTGACTCTAGAACTCTAGTCTTCCCTACTGTATACATACCTTTCATGTGTGCTCAAAGGAAAGCAAGAGTACGTCTGTTTCAGATTCTACTAAGTCTTTGTGTTAGTTCCGTTTACAAAGCATTTTCATGTTTACTGTTTACAGAATGTCATAATGGCACTGTCAAATGGCTGCAATAGGACTTTTTCTTTGTAAACAAAATATATGGAAACCGGAGCTCAGAGGTGTAAATTCTTGCATGGGTCATATTTTGTATATTAATATAATATTTTTTGCATTAATGCCACATTGTAGGATTGGAAATAGGGCCATAGAACTAGGATTCTAATCAGATCTTTCTCTCTCCAAAGTCATCATTTGATACCACAATGGATTCAGACTTCTGAGCTGAAAGTTTTTGTTTTGTTTTCAACAGTCTAAAAATATTTTTCCCCTGTCTTCTGGTCTTCATTTTTTCTGAGATAAAATCATCAGTTTTCTGAATTGTAATTCCTTGTATGTAGCATGTTAATTTCTCTGGCTCCTTCTATGTTTTTCTCTTTGACTTTGGTTTTTGGCAGTTTAATTATGATGTGTCCATATGTTGCCTTCTTTGTATTTATCCTAATGGGTTAGCAGATGTTCCAGTTACTATTACTGCATAATAAACCATCTCTAAATTTAGTGGCTTAAACAACAGCAACCATTTTCTGATCTCTCACTGTCTTTGGCTCAGGACTCAGGATGGGCAACAGCTCATCTCTGCTTGGTAAGGTCTACAGCTTCAACTGAGGACTTTAATCCTGAGGGTAACTCAAGAGCAGGAGCAGGAAACATCAGCGGCCATCCTCACTCCTGCATGTCTGGCCATTGGTGCTGCCTGTCAGGTGGGACAGCAGTGGAGCTATCAGCAAGAACACCCTCAGGGCCTTCTCATGTGGCCACTGCAGCCTCATCATAGGATGGAGCCTGTGCTCTAAGAGGGAGCACCCCAAGCTCTACCACCTTTTATGACTCATCTCAGAAGTCACAAAGGGTTCCTTTCCTAAATTCCTAGCTCCTACAAAACTCAAGGGGAAGGAATAGAGACCACTGGGTGTCTGCCATGGTGGTCTCTAAAGGAGAATAGAGGAAGTAGTTAAGTTGAAATCCAGCAAACATTCTACATTAGGGGTGAACTGGGGCAAGGAACAAGGTGACCCCACATTCCAAGCTAGTGGTTAAATGGAGGTTATAATAATTCATCAAAGAGAGGTTAGCACAGAAAGATCTAGAATAACACCCAGTCAGCCATGACAGACTGCATTTTCCAAATGTGTCCACAATGATATCTGCCACAACACATGTTCTTTGAGAACCCTGTTACTTTCTAACTCTTGAGTACAGGCAGGTTCGAGGTCATTTTTAACCACAGGTTATGCTGGAGTGGTGCAGTGTTACTCTTGAAACCTGGTGCTACAAGGCAACATGTTTCTTCCTTGCTGGTGAGACATTTGTTCTCTGACGTCTTAGGTGCTGTGCACGGAGCTCGACTATCCTGAATCCACCATGATTCGACCTCATGTCAGTCCTTTGGCTGCCAGCCCAGTTCAACTCCAAGCTGATGACCAGTGTCGACCGCCAGTCATTCTGAACATTTGACCAGTTGAGCTTTCAAATGATGGCAGTCCTGGCTGACATTTTGGGTGAACAATATGAGAGACTGACTGGTTGAGCCCTTCCCAAATTTCTGACCCACAACATTGTGAGAAAAATAATCTTAAGCCTCTCAGTTTGGGGACAATTTGTTACTCAGCAATAGAAATGAAAATATGATCTCAGTAGGACCATGTGACTTGCAGCAACCAGGGTGACAATGAACGTCCCTGCAGATACCCGAGGAGGGGACGCATGAAGGTTCCCTAGGTGCCCTGTAAATCTACAGCTTCCTGCTTTCCTCTGCCACAAACACATGACACGCTGTACCTCTACACCTAATCTTTTGGTTTGGAAAGGAACGGAAGGTGATAGAAATCTGAAAGTTGCGACTGAGGTTTACCATCCTAAACACATTATTTCAGGAGACTAACTCCAAGATGATTGGCATGAACTAGAATTTTTCTCCCCTTTCTTATAAAGCAAATGGGACAGCTCAGGAGGAAGATCGGAGCAGTTATATACAAAAAATTAACACACAAATGAAGCAACCACGTGGCCTCTGTGTATATGGAGAAAAGTGTGAGCAAATGTGGGGCCCTAATACAGAATGTCAGCCAGGAAGACGAGGAAGGCAGACCTCCCTAGAACAGTGGTACAAGACATTGGTGGTCATCTTAACAGATGTGCACTGACTGATATCCTTCAGAATAGGAAGGAAATGTGAGATCTTAAGAAGGAATTCTAGGGGAGGTCTCAGCTTTACCCCCTGTGACTTGCACTTGGTCAGTATACAACTTATTCTTCCCACCAGAGTGATAGAAAGAAAAAAAGAAACTGAGTTCTGTATGTTGAGAAATATCATCTTGGCCTTTAAATTATTTTAAAATTATAGCAACATGAGTCTTCCTGAAACTTTATTACTGTATTTTCTAAAACATGATTCCTTCTGGTCTAGGTACTCACCATCACTCTGAAGGAGCTTCTCACCTCAAGGTGGAGCTCCCCAAATACATGTTGGATTTGTAGTTAAAAACCCACCTGCAGCAGATAGGCGTGAGGTGGGTGGCAGAAGGGGAGGGGCAGCGCCGGAGGTTGGGTGCTCAGCCTTGGGCTGGAAATGAGCAATCAATATGCTAAGTACATGTAAGCCCCATGCAAATCAGCACCTAACCTTTTTGAAGGAAATGTCTGCACCCTTTGCACAAAGGGCTGAGTAGGGACCACCGTTGGGGTTTTCCTGCACCTGTAGGCTGTAAGCTGGAGAGTAAAGGCAAGAAAGCTAATATTTTTTTAAGATTTTAAAACAACCAACAGAACGTGTTCTCCCTTTGTATCTGAGCAACCAGGAAGCTTCACACACATACGTGCACACACACATACACACCTGCTTTCTATCTAACTAGTAATTGTGAAAATAATAAGACCCCCAGTGAGGGTGGGGGGGTGGACGAGTTGGTAAGTTTCAGTCACATTTGTAAAAAAGCGGCTGTCATTTTTGCTTGCCTATGGGTTTTCAGTACGTACACAGTGCCTATTCAGCTGCCACGTTCACCAATTGGACATTGTTGGGGAAATTATAGGACTCATTTAGATTTGCGATCTGTGACAGCCGACACTGTGCAGAAAGAAGAGGAGAAGGTCAGACCCCAGGAGAGAAGAAAAACAGATATTTGGGGAATAGATGAATCAGGATAGGCTTCATCTTCTAAGGCTTTATACCAAAAACAGTTACAGGGCATAAAAGAAAGTAGCTTCCTCCCCAGATCTTTGCAGCAGGTCAGCAGACAGAATCTGCTAAAGCAAACTTGGTTTTGCTGTCACATGGTCAAGGCTGCTGGCGCGAGGAGGAGGGGAGTTCAAGCTGCAAGAGTCAAGGTGGGAGGGGAGACTTTGTGTTTTTTCCTCACTATCTTTAGTTGATTTTGGGAGATTGTGTTAAATACCATCTCTACTCACAGCATAGGCCTGAAGGATTTACCTGATACGGCTGAGTCGGACAGCCTTAGTGGGGGTCTTGTCTCATTTCAGATAGTCTTGGCTGGGGTCTTGTCTCCTTGGCTTCACATTGTAACCTGGGGCAAGTGTCATGACCTCTCTAACCTTCAGTCTCAGCTATCAAAAGGACACCATAACAATAAGCCTGTGATGGCCACCCTAGCTCACAGGCTGGTAGATAGGAAGTGCTAAAGGCATGCTGGCACCCAATACCCCTTCCACGGATTTTTCTCCCCCTTGATATTAGTTTTTGTTCCAGTCTGCTAAACAGCATAGCTTGGTTTGAAGCCCAGGCAACGAGCAACCCTCTGTCACTTAGGCCTGTCAGGGGACATGTCACTGTGTCCCAGAGCCACCTCCTGCCACGTCAGCCAAAGGGACTTCTCCAGGGTCCCAGCAGAGGTCACCTGTGCAGCCAGCTATTGACACACCTTGTAGAGCATCCACTCAGCTCTCAGGAAGGGGCTCAGACAGAGGCTCCACTTTGTACATTCTGAAGTATATCTGGCGCAGAGCCCCTGTCCTTCACCAAGGGAGGTGAGGCTGTGGAAGGCAAGCTCATTTGACATTGTGAATTAGAGACTCACTTGGCCACAAACACTCTGGATGCAGAAGCAGAGTCTCTTGGCTGCTTCAGCCCCAGGTCCATCTGCTTCTCTGTGGTGAGGTTCCCAAGTACAAGGTCAGATGCCAACATCCCAAGGGTAGAGGTGCCAGCCTCAAGCCAGCATGCACCTTCAGCCAGCTCCAGGCCCTTTTCCCACTAACTTTCTCTGTGATGACCACAGAGCTGTAAGTAGGTGTGGTGTTCCTTGGCACCTAATGGTACGTTTGGACTTCTGGGAGATCAAAAACTTGGAAAAGAGAAAGATCTATGGCTGGTTTTAACAGCAATTAAATGGGGATTCAGGTGCCAGTAAGTGTAAGATACTGAACCTAATTCCAAGAAACCATCTTTACTTTGCCAGCACACACAAACACATGAGTGAACTGGTGCCTGAGCAATATTTTCTTTTCATAAGAAGAGCCCTCTGAAATCCTGGAATTCCATCCCTATAAGGAACCTCTAGACCTGAGAATGGTTCAATCTCTAGCTTGGAAAAAAAAAACATAATTCATGACCCTGGATAGTCACAGAGCTTCCTGCTATGACAGAATTTGACAATTTCCATCTGGCCAGACACTGACAAAAGAATAAGGGAGAGACTCTAACTGAAACAAGTCTCCCCTCTCATCTCCCAGCAGGTACTAGCGTGGCAGGCTCATGACTCATGTTTTTAAAGAACTAAATAGGAACACATTTTAAGAGGGTAAGAAGAAAAAGCCAAGGTGAGCTCCTGGAGGGGACTGGGCTCTGGAAACCTTCAGTCCTCCCTGAATTCACCTGGTTCCTAGAAAACATGCATAGCTCCCAAAAGTTTCCAGAGGGAGGTTTGTGGAATATGTTCATTATGAATTTGTTAATTGCATCAGAGATCAATGTGAATACAGCATCGCAGCCTCCACTCAGCAATGTCCTCTGGCCTTTGCTGTTTTCTCAGTTCAGCATGTGATGTGGGGCGGGATAGTCCACCCCTCCTTACTGAGTCACCTCTAGTCTTTTGCTAACACTACCCGAGCTACTACGCTAGGAAGAAATGCTCTGGGAACAAGGGCAGAAAGTTTCTGTGGGAGGCAATGCTTCCACCAGAAGGTCAACATGCACTAGTGGGAGAAATTCATGTGACTAAGTGATTCAATCGATGAGGACATTTTGTTCTTTTGGAATAACTCAGTGGTCGTTGTGCCCCGGATCACTCAGTGTGCTTCTCCTTCCTTCTGGTTAACTTACCTAGCTCCACTGCATTTAGAAGAGGCTCTTTGCACTTGTCTATAGTCTGGTAAACAAAGAAGGACCAAGGTATCTCAGCTGACAGATGCTGGTTTGAACTGTGTTCCCTTTGCTAGCAAAGGAGAAATCCTCTTTCATCAAGGAAATTGTATTAGTTCATTTTCATACTGCTATGAAGAAATACCTGAGACTAGGTAATTTATAAAGGAAAGAGGCTTAATGGACTCAATTCCACATGGCTGGGGAGGCCTCACAATCATGGCAGAAGCTGAAGGAGGAGTAAAGTCACGTGTTACATGGCGGCAGACAAGAGAGCACGTGCGGGGGAACTGCTCTTTAGAACCATCAGATCTTGTGAGACTTATTCACTATCATGAGAACAGCATGGGAAAAACCCGACCCCGTGATTCAGTTACCTCCCACGATACATGGGAATTATGAGAGCTAAAATTCAGGATGAGATTTGGGTGGGGACGCAGCCAAACCATACAGAAATTATCAAAAGAGTAGAAGGCTGAAGCCAGGATCACTGAGATTCTAGGTCACAAACCTCCCTACAAACCTTGAGCACCATGACTTGCTTGTAAGTCCTACCCCTTGGGAAGCTTCGTCCCATCAGTGGGTCTTTTATTTTTCCCCATGGCCAATTGCATATAAATCAAATTCCATGGACCAGGCACGAAGGAGAAGTCTTTCTTTAGAGAATTTTCTGGACTTAGGGGTTTTGACCTTATCTCCTATACTTTTTATTCCATAAAGTTCATCAAGTTAGTCAAGACATACTGGGGCCGTATGGAAATTAGTCTGTAACTGGCACAAGTTATGAGAAAGCATTTTATAAACCTGTGAATGACTTTAGAATGTCTTCCCTTAGAAGGGTGACCAAGGGGCTATAGAAACACATGTCTAAGCTTTGTGTTAGCTTTTATTAGGAATAAGACTGTTGGGAGTTCAGTGACTAGGAGTTCATATAAAATGAAGTTTCTACCACTGTCAACAAGCAGGACTTCTTTTATGTTTTATTTCCAAGGAGAGAAAATGCATTCTGAGTAGTCATCTGTTATTGGAAAACAAGGTTTTATAGCTGGTGTCCTTGAAATAGTATTCCTCATCTCCCTGCCTCACACCATATTAAAAAAAATAACTAAATCCAGGGTGGCTAAGAGAGCTAAGTAGGAGAGGGGGCACTCTCTATATACATGTAGAAATAAAATACAAAGAAATATTAAAAACAAACAGTAATGTTGAAGATGGAAGGCCTTACTAATCAAAACATAAAGCCTAGAAACCATAATGGAAGTAAATATTTCATCTTTCATTCAGTTGAACAACCTTTCAAAATTTCTGTGTACCATGAATACAGTCTAATGGGAAGCAAAAGACATAGAAATAATAATATATATATATAAACATATAATATATATGTTATATATATATTACATATTATTTCTATGTCTTTTGCTTGCAAGTAAACATAAATAGATATTTATTCTGTAAACTCATCAAGTTAGTCAAGACATACTGGGGCCATACAGAAATCCTTCTGTAACTGGCACAAGTCATTAAACACAAATAAATATCTATTTTCCTGTTTACATATATATATATACACACACAGGAAAATAATTGGTGCCTGAGTTATATGCCCTCCTCTTATAACTCAGTAAGAAAAATCCACTCAATGTAATAGGAAGAAAGGTCAAGAAATGATCCTTCTTAAAACAAATCCAACTTGGATTAATGCCTAAGCTTAAATCTAGCCAATTTAATGAGGCCTCATCTGCACCCTCCTACACCCAACTAAACCAACAGAAGGAGTCAGTAAGAAGTCACCCACAAGAGAAATGACCTGGTGACAAGTAAGGTCTAATGGCTTTAGCTAGAAAAACTTACCTATCATGAGAAACGTCTTAGGAAACATACATATCAGCTTCACTGATCTTCAAGGCATCCAAAATATGTGTTGTGTTTCTTATATACCTCAAGGAATGAACATATTTACTTTCACCCTGATATGAGTCACCTGGATCTAAAGACATTGTTGAATAATATCCTGATTTCTCTGATTCTGACTGTCAATGAAAATGAAAAAGTAAAGAACTGCTTCTCATGCCTGGCTCATACGCCTCTGGAAACACAAAGGGAAGCTCAGCACAGTGTGACCAAGTGATGGGATGTTCTCATTCTGTGAACTGTGGGTAAGGCAAAGTACTGCTTCAATACAGGAGGCATTCATTGCCATGGGCTCTGCTACTTATTTGCTTCTCTCTGAGGCATTATCTATTTTGTATGATGGAACTGTCATCAACAGATTCAATGCAACCTATTTTGTGGTCTTCCATATCTATTTTTCAGGAAAACAAAACCATTCAGGATAGAATTTTGATGTTTGGGCACTATTTTACACCTGGCTCATTCCCCCTCCTAACCACACCCCCCACCACCATTTCCATCTTTCAGGTTCCTGAATGGTGAATCCAAAGCCCATACAACACCCAAATCCAGCTGGAAAGTGGAAAATTAACTCTGTTTTCAACATGTGAATGGTCTTTGTGTGCCATGTGTTTAAGGCTTACAGCTATAAACCTCGGGAAAGAAATAAGTTGGATGCGATAATGTCTGTAGTGTATTCCAACTCTAAAATGTTAGAATCCAACAATAGAAATTGGCTAAATAAATTATGTTACATCCATAAGATGGAATATTATCTAGGCATTTAATGTGATGTGGGAGAATACAAAATGACAATGGGAAAATGTTCATGATATAGGAAGGGGGAAAACAGATTATAAAGCATTATGTACTGTAAAATAACAGTTTTGTTAGAAATGAAAATAAATACTGTGTGCACACACCCATATGCACATGACAGACTGGAAGGATCAAAATTTTAAAAAATAACTGTAGTTAATTTTAAGGAATACAGGTACATTTCATTTTTCTCTTACTGCTTTTGTGTGTCTGAAACCTTTAGTAGGGAACACATAGTGCTTTTGTAAACAGAGAAACATACAGTTCAGTGATATTAAGTATATTCACATGTGCAACCATTACCATTATCACTCTCTAGTTCTAGAATGTTTTATTGTCCTAAGAGGAAATCTGTACCTATGAAGTTATCACTTACCATCACTCTCTATCCCTAGTTTCTAGTAACCACTCATCTACTTTGTGTCTATTGATTTGCCTATTCTGGACATTTCATGCAAATGAAACCATGCAATATGTGATCTCCATGTTTGGCATCTTTCATATAGTGTAAAGGATTGAAGGTTCATCAATGTTTTAGCATGTATAAGTAATTCATTCCTTTTTATGGCTGAATACCATTCCATTTTGGGGATATACCACATTTTACTTATTCATCAATTGGGCATTTGGGGTTTCTACCTTTAGCTATGGTGAATTGCACAACTATATATATTTATGTACAAATTTTTGTTCAAACACCTGTTTTCAATTCTTTTAGATTTATACCTGGGAGTGATTTTGCTGGTTCATATGGTAATTCTGTGTTTAACTTACTGAGAAACTGCTAGATTGTGTTACACAGTGGCTGCATTGCTTTACTTTTCCACCAGTAAGGTGGAAGAGTTCCAGTTGCTTCTCATTCTCACCAACACTTGCTATGCTTTGCTTACTATTATTATTGTTGCCATCTTAGTGGGTACAGAGTGGTATTATCTTATTGTAATTTTGATTTGAATTTCCCAAATGATATTGATGGTGAACATTTGTTCATATGCCTGTTGACCATTTGTACGTCTTTGTAGTAATGTCTATTCAGCGCTTTTGCCCATTTTTAATCAGGTTAGTCTTTGTTGTTGAGTTATAATAATTCTTTGTATTCTGGGTGTTAGACACTTATCAGATATGTGATTTGAGAATGTTTTCTCATTCTGTGGATTATCTTTTTACTCTTGATAGTATCCTTTGATACAGAAAAGATTTTAAAACTGATGAAGTCTAAATTATCTATTTTATGTTTTTGTTGTTTATACTTTTGATGTCACATCTGAGAAACCATTGCCAAATCTAAGGTCATAAAAAATGACCCCATTTTTTTTTTCTAAGAGCTTAACAATTTGTCTTAACAACATTAAGTTTTTCAACCCATGGACACAGGATATCTTTTGATTTATTTAGATCTTTGCTTTCATTCAGCAGTGTTTTAGCACTTAATTTCTGTTTCTGATACAATTTAACTTAGTTTTTGTATGTGACATGAGACAGGTCAAATTTCATTCTTTTGCATGCGATATCCAGCTGTCTCTGCACCATTTGTTGAAAAGATTATTCCATCCCATTGAATTATGTTGAAACCCTTGTTGCAAATCAATTGACCATATATTATGCTTTTTTCCCCTCTATTCTCAATTCTATTCCCTTGATCTCTGGCTATATGTATGCCAGTGTTATACATCCTGATTAGGGTAGGATTGTAGTCAGTTTCAAGTCAGGAAGTGTGAGTCCTCCAACTTTGTTCTTCCATTTCAAGACAGATTTGGCTATTCTGAGTCCCTTGAATTTTTTTTTTTTTAATAAGAATTGTAGGTTCAGTTTTTCTATCTTTATAGAAAGCCATCAGGATTTTGATAGGGATTACAATTAATCTATAGATTGATTTGGAGAGTATTGTCATTTGTATTAGTCCATTTTGGGCTTGCTATAAAGAAATACCTGAGGCCAGCTAATTTATACAGAAAAAGAGGTTTATTTTGGGTCATGGTTCTGCAGACTCTACAGGAAGCATGGTGCTGTCATCTGCTGTCATCTGCTGTTGGCGAGAGCCTCAGGAAGCTTCCAATCATGGTGGAAGGCAAAGGGAGAGCTGTTGTATCACACGGTGAGAGGGAGCAGGAGAGATGCCAGGCTCTTTTAGAGGACCAACTCTCGTGAACTAACAGAATGAGAGCTCATTACCTTGGGAAGGGCACTTCATGAGGAATTCACCCCTGTGACACAAACACCTCCTACCAGGTCCCAACTCCAACTTTGGGAATTACATTTAAACATGAGATTTGGAGGGGACAAACATCCAAACCATGTCACTGTCTTAATATTCCCACCATGAACATGGAATGTCTATTTATTTAGATTTTCTTTAATTTCTTTCCACAATATCTTACAGTTTTCAATGTAATATCTTACACCTCCTTGGTTAAATTGATTCTAAAGCATTTCATTCTATTGAAATTCCACTATTATAAGTGGAATTATTTTTCTTAATTTCCTTTCAGATGATTCATTGCTATTCATTTATTTTTGTGTTGATCTTAATAAAGTCATTAAGTAGTTCTAATAGCTTGTGTGTCTGGGTTCCTTAGGGTTTTTACATAAAATTATATCATCTGTAATTTGAGATAGTTTTATTTTTCCTCTCCAATTTGGGTGTCTTTTAATTTCTTTTTCTTGCCTATCTTCTCTGGACAGAATTCCAGAACAATGCTGGAAAGATGGTGAAAGTGGGCACCCTTGTTTTGTCCATAATCTTAGGGGAAAGCTGTCAGTCTTTCACCATTGAGTATGAATGAGCTTTGATTTTTCATGAATGGCCTTTATCAAGTTGAGAGAGTTCCTTTCTAGTTCAAGTTTGTGTTTGTTTTTATTTTTCCTTGACAGGGTGTTGAATTTCATCAAATATTTTTCTTGTTTTTGCATCTATTGAGATGATCTTTTTTTTCTCCCTCCTTCTCCTACTAATGTGGTATCTTACACATTGATTGAGTTGGATATGTTGAACCACCCCTTGTGTTTCTGAAATGATTCCCACTTGGTTCTGTGCATAGCCCTTTCAATATGCTGCTAACTTGGGTTTGTTGGTATTTTGTGTCTATATTCATGGAGCAAACTGGTCTGTTTTTTTCTTGTGATGTCTTCCCCTGACTTTTGTATCAAGGTAGTTCTGGCCTCATAGAATAAGCTAAGAATGCTCTCATATCTATTTTTTGGAAGAGTTTTAGAAGAATTGGTATTGATTGTTCTTTGAATGTTTTGTAGAATTCACTAGTAGGACCATCTGGTCCTGGGCTTTTCTTTGGAGGTTTTTGTTTAATAATTCAAATAGTTAAACTTTTAAAAGGACTGTATCATAAGAGAAACTGAAGATTTTACTTCAAATGTTCAATTCCATCACTTCTAACTTCGGCCATGACACTAAGCTCAAATTATTTTTCCCTTTGGATGGACAACCTCGTCCTTCAACCAAGCAAGCTTCCTTATCAATCATGAATATTGCCTTTTCCAGCTAGTTCATCAAATTTTGGAAATATAAGTTTTCTTTGGCTTTTTATTTTGCACTCAATTCTTCTTCATTCTATGGACCTATTTTAGAGTAAATAACTCACTAAGCAAGAAAAAAGACAAACAAAATATGAATCACATATAATGTCATGGATTGAAGATAAATGAATAAAAATGTGATTCCAACTTTGACAAGTTAGGAGCGAAAAGAAGGCCAAAGTCAAACTCTAAACATTACTCCACTCTGTCAGTATAGGATATAACTGTTTATTCTGCTGAGTACCACAGACACCGTGCTGAAATACCTGTGCTATTTATAATCCAGCGCAAAGCTGATATGTCCTTGGCATCTTGAACCAATCACCACCACTCATCAGATCTTTACACACAGGAGAAAACTCATATTCCTTAACTACTAAAACACCTCTCAGCAATGCTGCTGCTGTTTGTAATTGAAATTGTTTGGTTATGGTGGTTCTTACCAGTCCCTCTCATGCAGTTTCTGATTTTATAATTTTATAATTTTCTTAGTAGCCGAATACTAGGGCATGTTTTCAGCTAAAATATAACTATTTTGAAAATGTATTTTATACCTTTGGCTGCAATAAAATTTGTGAGAAATCCAATTCCAATACAGAAGGCCAATTTTCTACCAAAAAAACCCAAAACAAAACAAAACAAAAAACCATTCACCTCGCTACCCAGCCAATTATTCAAAAAAAAGATGTTTTCCATCAAAGCAAAATGAAACTAAAGACACGATCCTCAAATAGACAGGAGAGATAATACATTTGGAAGCATAGAGATTAAAATGGTGGGCTCCCCATGGCCCACTTCCTAGCTGTAGAATGATGGCCAGTCCCTTGAATTTTCTCAGACTCAGTTGATTTCTGTGTAAAATAGGTATCACAATAGAACCAGCCATATTAGATTGTGGAGAGGATTAAATGAGAAAAGCCAGGTAAGTCAGTTCGCTCTGTATGTGGCATGTGGTAAACAGTCAATACATAACTGGTAGAAATAATATCAGCAATAGCAGCAGTAAGAACCTCAGTGCTTAGTATTTTTCTACATAGCAAACCTTCTGCAAAGGTAATCCAGTTGTGTCCACTGTCTGGCTTTAGTGCTGTGTTCCTCTGCCTGTGTGTGCAACAATCATTCATTTATTCACCCATTCAACAAATATCTAATAAATGACTACTGCTGGGCACTGTCCCCGGTCATAATGATGGAATAATGCCGGGATATATGAGCTAATTGTTTCTAGCAGAGATTAGCAAACTCATTCTGTCAGTGGCCAGATAATAATAATTGAGATTTGTGGGTCATATGCCTCCTTGTCACAACTATTCTGCTACTGCAGTGTAAAGGCAGCCGTAGACAATATAAACATAAATGGGCATGGCGAATATGACTTTACAAAAATAGATTTGGCTGAAGTCCATAATTTATGGACTTCTATATGTAGCCTAATAAAAAAATCAAATAGGGATAATAAAGTATGAAAAATACTCTGATGGGCTCCATGAGGGTCAAGGAAGGCTTCCCAGGCGAAGTGATATTTAATCTGATTCTTAGTAGATAAACAGGAGATAGCCAGGCAAGAAAGAGAAGAACAGGATCCTAAGCAAAGGGGATAGTATGTAGAAGGCCAGGAGATGGAGGAGGAAACAAGAGACAGAGAAACAGAGGGAGACAGAGACAGAAAGAGACAGAGAAGAGCACGGTGTTTTTGAGGAGCTAAACAAATCGACTAAGACTTGAGTGCTGGGGGAACCAAGTCAGGGCATCATGAGATGAGGTTAGTAGCAAGTAGGAGTCAGGCTGTGAAGGGCCTGGGACATAAGGATTAAAATGTTTAGGCTCAATCCTAGAGACAATGGGAAGTCCTTGAATGTTTGCAATGGAGAAGGGAAGGATGAGTTTTGCATTTCTGACTGCCACATGGAGAATGGGTTAGAGAACAGTGAGTGTGTAGGAACAGAACGTTGAGAGAAGGCTGCTTCAACCGTCCAGGAAGGAAGGAGTGGTGGTAGCTGAGCTACAATGTGGGAAGAGGGCAGTTTACAAGTGGATGTGGTCAAGAGATATTTGAGAGGTGAAAGTTAACAGATAAATTGGGATGGGGTGAAATAGAGGAGAGTTTCTGCCTTGGGCAACTACCTGTGTTAAGTCTCTCTGAAGCTTGCCTGACCTTCAAGGTCTTTGGTTCTACTTTATCCCGAGACCCCTCTCTGATCTCTTCTTCCCAGAGAGATGAACACTCATCTGGATGACTTTGCTCCTACCCCTCACCCCTGGAGCAAGCCTCTGACCAGAGTTGCAAGTGCTCGGCACCTCTCCAGGTGTGGCTGCCATTGGGGTCAGTCATCTGCATTATTAGCCCTCAGTAAATGCTTGGCTGTCATATCTTAACTTGTAATGGAGAATGAGCTTAAATGAAAAAGAGAGATTAATTAGGCCAGGTGTGGTGGCTCACGCCTGTAATCCCAGCACTTTGGGAGGCTGCGGTGGGAGGTTCACCTGAGGTCAGGAATTCCAGACCAGCCTGGCTAACACGGTGAAACCTCATATCTACTTAAAAAAAAAATACAAAATTAGCTGGGCATGGTGGTGCATGCCTGTAATCCCAGCTGTAATTGGGAGGCTGAGGCAGGAGAACTGCTTGAACCTGGTAGGTAGAGGTTGCAGTGAGCTGAGATCACGCCATTGCAGTCCAGCCTGGGCAACAAGCGCAAAACTCCGTCTCAAAAAACAAAACAAAACAAAACAAAAAAATTAAAGGCTAAATATTCAAGAAAGTAGACTTCATTTTCAACCAAAGTGTAATTTTTGACAGTGAGATAATTGTATGCCATAATCTTTTGGTTTCTGCAGGACCACAGACTTAAAAAAAAAATCTCTTTGTACTCATTAAGGAAAAGAAAATAGATTTGCAAGATTAGCATCTTCTACTTTCAGATGCATCATGTTCATGTTCATTATTGGCCAACACAACAGTTCATTCCCAAGAAAGATTAAATGATTTACTTTACTTGATATTTTGAGCTAAAAAAAAAAAAAAAAAAAAAAAAAACCTCTGAGTATCAAGTCCGAGGAGACATGCATAGCCCTGTCAGTTGGAAACAGGGTTAGCTTTGCCCCCAGTATACAGGAGGCCCCATAAGTCATCTTACACTGAGGTGAGCTCACGTGGCAGTTGTCATTTGTCCTTTCCATAGTCCCAGAGCCTAAGAAAGTGAGTGTAGGAACAAGAAGAAGACAAGAAAATTTGTAAGTCACAACAATCATACTTGGTTTGAAAATAAGCTGGTGGTGGTGATGAAACCTTGCTGGTAAGTAAACCTCAGGAAGACAATACAAACCTATGTGCAAGCCGTAAAAGCAGGAAAGAGGACAAATTCTAGCACAGGGAACTGGCTTTTCTCCTGAGGCCCTCCAAACCATCCAGATGTGATCACTTTCCCAATATATATGTAAGCCTATTCTCTTTATTCTATTTCCCTGAATTTTAAACCTAATTTAATTTCTAGCTCTTTGTAGCTTATTAACTCATACATTCTCATAAACAAAATGATGGAAGGAAAATCACACCAGAAAAGATTTCAGTGACTACACTTTTACATATAAAGAGCTATAAGCGCATCAAACCTAACCTAACATCTCATTCTTTTACTGGCATCCATGCTGAATTTGGAGAGCAAAAAGTCAAGTAAGAAATTTTGTTTTCATGGTAACCCATTTCTGATGCATGACATTAATACAAGTCTAAATAAACACAGCATCAACAGGAAATAAATCCAAATATGAAGTCTGAAAGGGCAGTCATATATCTTGAATATTCTGAATGTCAACTTTTTGATGGAAAAAATAATACAATAGCAGTGACTGTATACACAGGTCCACTCTGGGTGTCTTTGGTGTGTGTTCCAAAGTTTAATTTGTTGAATCCTTGTGTTTTCTGCTCCACGGTGTCTAGTAGCATTTATTATGTTCTCCTAAAACTGCAGCTGATGAAGGCATTGGAAAGGTCACTGTTTCCTGGTTGTTTTTGAAAAGAGGATAACTTAACGTATGTTCTCCAATAAAAGATGATCTTTCATGTGCATTTGTTTCTGAAATTGAAATGTGTCTTGCTCATGTTCTCTGGGAGCCATTGTTCATCTTCCGAGTATTTCTGAGAGCTTCGTGCAGCAGCAAGCTCCCCTGCATATCTGAAACGAAGGCAAGCTTTGTTCCCACT
Source organism: Homo sapiens (assembly GCF_000001405.40). Classification (NCBI taxonomy): domain Eukaryota; kingdom Metazoa; phylum Chordata; class Mammalia; order Primates; family Hominidae; genus Homo; species Homo sapiens. The sequence continues at coordinate 60,455,492 of NC_000020.11, read as the reverse complement.
TTTGTCTGCTGACACGAAAATAGCACTGAGGCTCCAAGTGGCCCCGGTCCTCATGAGACTCCCTTCTGAACACAACTGCACTAAAGTCCCCTGCCGCGAAGACAGACAGAGGTCATGTAAATTAGTGCCTCACAATCCTTGGTTAAGAAATGAAAGAAATCATTTATGTTCTTTTAAAGTTTTGTGAGCTTATATGATTATTTGGCCTACTCTGAAAAAGAGAACTCCACCATTGAGCTTTACTGCAATCAGGAAATGTTGCTATTTATTTTGTATTTTAGAAGTCTGGTGAGATGATATTTTTACATGCTGGTCATTTCAGTTTTAATTGTGAGATTTTTTTCTTCTTTAACATGGGGGACGATGACCATCTGTCCTCTGGTTTCACTGAAAATGGAGCAGGAAAAAAAAAGAGCATAGTTTTTACAGGCTGCCTTTCTTCTTAGGAGGAAAAGTTCTCTAAAATATCGCATTCCGCTGCTAGGTGGGCAGCAGGACAAGGCCGCTGTGGTAAAGGCAGTGCTGATAGAGACAGGATAGTTGCCTGGCAGGCTTTGCTGTTACCAGGTAGACCAGCTGTCCCACACCAGGACATTGGTGAAGACAAAAATACCAGAGGAGGTTTGGGGTCTGATCTGGGTGCAGGACGTGGGCAAGGACAGGATCAGGAAATGAAGACGAGAACAAAGGTGTGGCCTGAGACTTAGGGCTCAGTCACAGACAGGACACAACATAGGGTGGAGAGCCTGTCCCTCCAGGAGTGGAAGTAGGTGGGAGGTCTGAGGCGGGCCGGGTGGAGACATTGAAAGGACAGGGGACTCGAAGTCAGATGGTCAGATCCAGATACGGGGCAGTGTATTTTACAAGAACCCCTTGGACTCCTCAGCTCACGTCAATAGCATGCAGACACTGCCCTTCCATGGGGCTTCCAGCATTTCTAATGCGTCTCTGGGGTCTGAGCTCCAGCATGCCTGTTCCCTCCATCTGGAGTACTCTTCCTCACCTTCATTACCTCAAAGGTCTTCAGTGCCCATGTGCAACCTTTCATTAAGGCCTTACGAGCTCAGAGACTTACCATGGGCATGTCCAACTCATCATTCAGTGTAAAGGAACAGGGATGGGGAATCAGTGCAGCTACTGCAGATCAGTTCAGGGATACCTTTTGAAAGGTGTATTTATTGAGATAACGAATGTGTGATGAATTTTCTCAAACTGCACAAATTCATATAACCAGCACCCAGACCAAGCAACACAACATGACTGGCACCCCTAAAAGTTCCCCTCAGGCTATATTCCAGTCACAAGGACAGCCACTCTCAAGGTCAGGAATGGATCAGAGTGGACACTTGCAGACCTCCCTGTAGTGCATGGCCCCCAGAACCACAGCAGCACAGCCTGTCGGCCAGGAGGCGGCGATGCTGGACAAGCTGGGATCTAAGGTGAGCGTGATCCCACCCTGAATCCAGCCCGGAGCAGCATCCTCCCTCTCATCACAATGCTCTGGCTACAAAAGCAGGTACGCAAGGCTGAGCTTCAAGTGGAGAGGAGGACAGCTGGGACTTCAGTCATGCTCAGCTGGATAAAGCCAGGGGGCTTGAGTGCGACTTTTTCTTGAGGCTTCAAATTGCTCATGACAAAGCTTACTGCAGCTGTCCCTAAGCCGAAGAGCAAATTCTACCAACCCTCCTGCATATGATTTTGTGTTGGTTGTTTCTTGATTTAGCCCCTGAGTGTTCACATTCAAGAGGAAAAGACAAAGTTTTGCTTTTCTCCTGCCTCAAGCAAAAAGACACAGAAAGCATCCTCAAGGGTTTGTGCTTAATATCTTTGAGGCAGAGAACAATAGAGCTATTGCCTCCCAAATGTCAAGGAGCCCTGGAAGAGCTGTGGGCCTCTATTATGCAGCAGCCTTTGGTCCAAAGGATGCTTCAGACATTCTGAAAATGAACACCAGATTGCAAGTAAACACACTGCACCCTGAGAAGGGCGCTTTGTTCTCTGGGTCAAGGCAACTTGCACTAGGCACTTTCGTCCTTCAGAGAAGGGACTGTCATGGCCATGGTTCCTACGAGCCACTGTGTGATTGATAAATTCCAAGGCACCTGTGAATCTCACTGCCTGTGGGCTGGGAGAGCCTCCCCAAGGACTCTGTGTGTGTGAACACCAGCTCCTGTGTTTCTGAAGCTGATGCACGTGGCCCGTGGGGAATCAGTAGAACAAAATCAGACCTGCCATAGGGCCCGGGAAAGCAGAGGGCATTTGCTAAGGAAATTATGTATGGGGGAGTTTGGGAAGGTCCCTCAAGACCATGTGCTTACACCTTACTGCCCTACTGAGTAACCTGCATGCTCTGGAGCTATGTGGGGCACAGCACAACCTGACCTTTACCAACAGGGTCTCTGTGCCATGGCAGAGCACTGACCTGTGAGGTCCCACTGGCTGGGGGCTCACTGGGAATGTGTCAGGCACAGTACTGGGTCTTTACATACCTTGGTTCTTAACCCACACAAAATCAGTAAGAGGAAGATATTGCCTCACAGGTGAGGAAACTGAGGCTTGGAAGAGCCTAGGAAGAATTGCCCATCTGGGAGGGGTCTGGGCTAGATCCCAGCCAGAGCCTGAGCTCTCTGCAGCTGTGCTACCCTTGGAGGCGATAACCTTGGCATGGATCCCTCGTACTCATCCCTGACGACCCACTTCCACCAACAAGTGCTAATTCAGACCCCAAGTCAAAATTTGCAGGGATGCCCACCTGGTCCTATTGCAATCCCACAGCATGGCATCACAGGTTAGAACATGGCCTAGGCCTTGCCAGTGCAGAAAGCAGCCGCCCTTTCTTCCGACTCACCAGATTAGTGGGGAGTTCTATTGTTTTTTTTTTTCTTTTTAATTGAGGCAAATTTCACATAACATAAAGCCACCATTTAAAGAGCACAATTCAGTAGCATTTAGTACATTAGGATGTTGTGTGTCCTTCACCTCTGCGTAGTTCCAAAACATTCTCATCACCCTAAAAAGAAACCTCAGATCCATTAGCTGTCCCCACTTTCACTTTCATCCTGTCCTGGGCCACCACTCATCTTCTTTCTGCTCCTATGGATTTGCCTGTTGTTGATATTTTGTTCCAACAGAATGACACAACATGTGACCTTTCATGCTGGCTTCTTTTACTTAGCATAATGTTTCCAGGGTTCATCTGCACCACAGTATGCATCTGTACCTCATTCCTTTTATGGCTGAGTAATATTCCCTGCAATCTGCTTTTTTTTTTTTTTTTGAGACAGAGTCTTGCTCTGTCACCCTGACTGGAGTCTAGTGGCGCGATCTCGGCTCACTGCACACTATGCCTCCCAGGTTCACGCCATTCTCCTGCCTCAGCCTCCCGAGGAGCTGGGACTACAGGCACCCGCCACCACCCCCGGCTAATTTTTTATATTTTTAGTAGAGACGGGGTTTCACCGTGTTAGCCAGGATGATCTCGATCTCCTGACCTCGTGATCCACCCGCCTCGGCCTCCCAGAGTGCTGGGATTACAGGTGTGAGCCACTGCGCCTGGCTGCAATCTGCTTTCTTAACAGTGAGGAAGAGGCAATGTACCCTCATGAAAATAATACTGACCCAAGAATCTGTGGAAGTCTTGCCCCCCTTGTGGGACCCCATGTTCCACGTCAGACAGAACTGGGTTCAGATATCAGGTACCCTATGGTGTGGACTTACTGGAGATATTTAATTGTTATAAGCCTCCGTATCCCTGTCAATCCAGTAAGCGTAACGATTCTGCCTAACTCCAAGATCTGTTGTGAAAATTAAATAAGAAAACATATACATAAAGATTGCCAAATTGCCGGACACATAATCAGGATACATAAGATAATATCTCTACTTCCCCTCCCATTCATGATAAATTAATTTCTGCTTCTACAGATGTAAACTGGGCATTCAGCTGTACATAGTAGATGTGTGCCTGAGTTGCTCATGTAAACCGACTTTGAAGGAATCAAATCACATTTCGTATTCACTCAGTAAATGAATTCTTAGGTGGACAAAATCTATTAACGAAGGAAATCTACTCTCAATTCAGTGTGCAGATTAGCGACTTGAATTAACGTTTTTGTCCCAGTGTCTGGCACAGTGATTGGTGCATAAGTGGTGGCCAATGTGTGTGTAGAGAGGAAATAGGAGAACTGGGTTAACAAAGGAAGGGATCTTATACCTGATAAGCTTCAAAGGAAACTTCTCCTAAGCCCACAGATTCTCAAAGGCCAGCACTGCTAGCTAGCCTATGGGAAATGCAGTTAGTAAGTAACAGATACAAATATCTTTCTAGCCAAGCCAACAAAGACGTACATTGAATATCTGCTCAGTGCCCAGCACTACAGGGTGAGGTTAAAGGGGACCAGAAGCTGTGGCTGTTGCCTGCAGAATTTCACTCTCTTTGGAGAAGCAGAAGTGACAAATAGACTACGTGAGGAAAAAGGCTCTTGTGGCTCAGATCACAAATTCTGGCAAAAGCTAACAAGTCTAGATTTGGCCAGAGAAGGCCCAGCCCAGTGCCACAGGAAGTCACCTGGGTCTAGGCCACCCTTTGTGCCTCTTCTGTGGCTGGAATAATCAAGAACACACTGTCGGAGACTGTTAGGTTTCAAGCATAAGGGATCTTGAGCAAAAGCCGAGTCTTTATTAGAGATGACGCCAAGCCTTTCGAGGAGCCCTTGGGTTCTGAACCACGGACTTCTTTGTATCTTTTCTGTTTCCAACATCCCCACTGGGCACACTGAGCAGTGGGACTTGAGGCTGTTCTGGAAGATCAGTGGCCTGCCTTTCGCTCAATCATAATGCAACATTTGGTTTGGAATTCACACCAACGACAACCCACAAACATCGTAATTCCTGCAAGAAGTGAACAGGCTCTCCTATAAAGTTCAGAATATAAGTATACAAAATCTTATATAAATGAAAATATAAATAACTAAAAAACAATGGTGTGATTCAAAGCAAAAAAAATGTACCAGATAGAGTTTGACAGGCAAGGAAGACTTTATTCAAAGCTATCGCAATTCGGGAGAGGCTAGAACTCAGTCTGAGCTTAACCCAGCTGAAACAAAAGGCAGGAGGGTTTTTGGCGCTGGGCTGCACTGGTGGAAAGAAGGTGGGGAAAGGTGGTGTGGGGAAGAGTTGATCCATGAGATGTGCCCAGCACGTTGACTTATTCCTGAGTGTACACATGTTTTTCTCTATGATTGGGCCATCTGTATTTGCTAATTGGAGCCCACTGATGTTAGTTCCTACTCTCCCACAGAAACTGGGAGATAGGGATGCCATCTCCTTTAGTGGTTCCCTTTCCAAGGGATGGCTCCTAGCTTCTTGGAAAAGGCATTCCTGAGCTGCCAAATTGGCAAGAGGATTTTAAAAATATTTACATCTCAATGGGGCAGAGAAAGAATTTGCAATTATGAGTTCCCCATAGTAGACGCTCTAGAAAAACAGGGAGGTCAGGGCCTAGTGGTATGAAGAGGTCCCTCTAATGTCTAGTCAAGCTGAGGGGAAGGTTAAGGCCTTCTTGGTCAGGGTTTCCAAAGCCCTGTTCCTGACAATAAAACTCTTCTACAAAAACACTTGCTCGGATTGCATGGCGTGAGTCAAAAATGCTTCTTCAAAAAATTGTTTAACCAAAATGTTTAATTTTTCCAACAATCCCCCAAAAAACTGAGTGGAGATAGAAGCCCTTCATTTCCAGATACTGATTAATGCTACAAGCTCCGGCTAAATAAATTTGTCTAGATGCTGCCAGTTGTACTGCATATTTCAACTTTCAAAATATTTCTAAAGGTTACTGAACTGTATTAAATGGAAAGAATAAATAAGCATTGCCTTTGCAGCTCAGAGTCAGACCCCGAAAACCTCTGAGCATTGTCAGTCTCTAGCATTTATGGTCTTCGTTTGGGCTTTCTGGTCAGCAATTCCTAATTTCCGAAAATAAGACACACTGTTTCCTAACCGTGCCACCAGAAGGTCAGCCTGGCTGGGCTTCATAGCTTTGCATACAGCTGTGGAATGGAAATGTCCTTTTTTGAAGTCACCAACAGAATGGGAAGCAATGAGAGCAGAGAGAAGAGCAGGTTGGCAAGAGGGCATGCCTTTTGTTGCTTGGGTTCTCTGCATCCCAGTGTCAATCACACTAACTAGCTCTTGCCCCAGGAGTGGCGTGCAGGCAGTGCATGTGTAGAGTCCTGCTCACAGAAATTGTGTTTGGCTCATCCCAGGGTTTTCAAAATAAGGAAATTACTTCCAGTTTCTTTGGGGCAGTGACGAGCAGAAAAGCACCTTCTGTGGTCTCCCACGGTCCCCACTATCCTCTCGTGTCTCCTATGCCTGGCTCATTGTACAGAGTTGCTGGTTGTTTGCATAATAAGCCAACCCTAGCTTAGTGGTATGAAATAATACCAGTCATTTATTATTATTATTGAGACAGAGTCTTGCTCTGTCACCGAGGCTGGAGTGCAGTGGTGTGAGCTTGGCTCACTGCAACCTCCCCCTCTTGGGTTCCTGGGTTCAAGCAATTCTCCTGTGGCAGGCTCCCGAGTAGCTGGGATTACAGGCATGCCTCACCACTCCTGGCTAATTTTTGTATTTTTAGTAGAGACAGTGTTTTGCCATGTTGGCCAGGCTGGTCTCAAACTCCTGACCTCAGATGATCCACCCGCCTCGGCCTCCCAAAGTGCTGGGATTACAGGCATGAGCCACTGCACCCAGCCTATTATTATTAATTATTATTTCTCACGAGTCCTGGGGGTTGGCTGGAGCTCTCCAGGTGTTCCTCACTTGGGGTTTCTCACATGGTTGCAGTTACGCAGTGGCTGGGGATGGAGGAATCTGAAGTTTCCTGGCTTACAGGTGATGATGGACATTTGTCCTCAACAGGAACCCCAGCCAAGGCTCCTTGCTGGAGCCGCTGTACCTGGGATCTGCACCAGCCTGGGGTTGTAGGATAACAACTCGCTTCAAGGGCAACTATCTTTAGAGAGCCAGAAAAGCTATGTTACCTTTTCCAACCTAGCCTCAAAGTTCACTTTGGCTACATTTTATTCACAAGAGGAAAGGCACTAGGCTAGTCCCTATGAAAGGGAAAGGGATCCGAATCAGACTCCACCGCTTGGTGGAAGAAGCATAAAGAATTTGGGAGCATGTTCTCAGTCTTCCTCAATGTTACCTCTGGCCACAAAGCATTCATATTTCTCCCACATGCACAAACCATTCATCCCATTCCAAGACCTCCAAAGGGCTGCGTATTACAGGTATTACACACCAGGCTCAAGCTGGAGAAAAAGAGATGTCAACTTCTCAATCAAGTTTAGGTTCTGATGAGGCTGCTCCTGGGTCACTCTTCAGTCCAGCTCTTAAAGCATTGTTACCCTCCATCTGAAGACCCACGAATGGAAATAAACACATCACCTGCCACCCACACACTCAACACAGGGGCAGGACAGGCATAAAACCACCACTGGAGACATTCCTTTTCCAAAAGAGGGAAAGGCAGCCTGTGAGTCACTGGTTCACAGAGATCCTGAAGTCCAGCCACGCATGTGTGGCAGTTCTTTGTGCAGGGCTAAGTCCAACTGCTCAGAAAACTTTCCATGGCTCTTGGCTCCACCCTGGGCTCTGGAATCCACTCTCTGAATGGTCCTTCCTTCACCACGAATATGTGGCACTTGTCTGCACCAGAGCTGTTTTCTCTGCTTGCTTCTTAAGTGTAGACATTTGAGAATCCAAACCCTCCTTTCATTGTTTGCTGTCTCCATCGCTTTTAGTCCCAGTGGACAGTGTTCCTGTCAATAGGATTCCTTCACAACTCTGCAAATATTTTCTAAAACTTAGTGGACTTCATGCCATTTGATGAAAGCCACACCCACACGTCTCCTCTAGGCCACGCTTACCAGGATGCTGCTGAGGAACAACATCCCAGAGATGGCTGGAGACGCCACTCATTCACAGAGAGGGTCCTGCAGTCCTGCCCTGACAGGGCTTAGACAACCTGTTTCTTTGAAAGGGTCTTCAGGTGCCACCCTAAACCTTTCTGAGATTTTACAGAAGGGTAAAGTCAAATCCATGCTTTCTTCTTCAACCATGCTTTACCCACAGAGTCCTGGATCAGGGCTTTGCCTGGAGGCAGTTCCATGATTTGAGAATCATTGCTCTCTGAACAAGCTGGGAATAAGAAATAGTTTATTTTCTAGACTTATCAGGTAGTGACTCCTATGTATTTAATAGGTTCTTCTTTATCTCATCTATTTCCTCTCTCATTTTGTTATAGGCAACTAGAAAAAGGGCCAAGTGGCACCTTTGACACACTGCCTGGACATTTTCTCAGTTAATCATCTTATTCACCATTACTTATTTTTCTATGAGCAGCAGTGAGGCCAAACCTCCTGCCACCTCATATCAAGGGTCTCCTTTCTCCAGCTTCAGGCATTTTCCCTTTAACGCTCACTCACAGCACCCTCAAGTCCTCCAGCCTCTGCTGGGAGCTTACTACCCTCCCTGGTCCCATGTGGCCCCTGGCTCTGAAGCCAGTGCTGCACATACTTGGCATCCCTATGTCAGCACCCCACGCTGCCCATTACCAGTTCTGTTCTAGTTACTTCTTGTTGCATGACCAACAACCACAAATGCAGTGAAGTAAAACAACAACAATTGCGTGGTATGATGAGCTCTCTTGCTTCTAATGTCAGCCTGGTCAGCCAGGCAGTTCTCATTCGGGGCTCCTCATGAGTTTGCACAGTGTCTGCGGCTGCAGTAACCTCAAAGACTTCCTCCTTTACATATCTGGTGGTTAATGCTGGGACCAGATAAAGGGAGGTCCCTCTGTTGTTTTGCAAAGAAAATAATCATTTCTAGTTGTCTTGAGATAATTTGAATTGTTGTGTGTTTGCCAGGGTGGTTCTCCTGAATGACAAAAATATATCCTTTTCATCGACTTGGAATCATCCAAGCTAGACTGAATTCCTCACTCCATCATTAACACATTGTGCAACCTCAGACATAACGAGCAAACCCAAGTCCTTGTGCAGATTGCTCATTAGTCATTATTATAATAAGGCTGACAGACCTCGCTCAGGACCATGACAAGGCTCCCATTCTAGGATTTTAAGATAATTGGTTTTGGGTAAGACGTTGTGCATTGGTTGCTATAAGCATGCATTTTTAAACAACACCCAAGAGCATCTATGTGAGGTACTGTTTTAGATGCTAGGACAGAGCGTGGAAGAGAATTCTTGCCCTCACAGAGCTTAAATTGAAAAAATGTCCTTTATATAAAAGAAATGCATTGGGGGAAGAAAAAAAGAACTCCTCTACGTTTTCTCTGATTTTCAAAGAGTCAAAAACAAAGAGTTATACTTATTACCTTGTCTGCAGTGGAGGAAAGGGTGGAGCAGACAAAGAAGATGGGGGCAGACTCCCGGTCAGAATGCCTTAGGCTGCAAATCCTAGGCTCCAGAATAGAATTTTACTATTATGTATGGTTTACGTCCAGTCATGTCAGAGTCATTGAAATCTAAAACTAAATAAAACAAAGACCAAATGTTCTATGAGCCCAGAGGTGAACATGGTATATGATATATTACTTAGGAATCTTTATTAATATTAATACGCATTTTTAGGTACATTGTTTTAGTGACCTTCACATGTGGTGATGTTAGAATGTCACAAAGACAACTATAAATGAAAATATTTGCAAATCCCATACAAATAATTGTCTTATTACAGTTCAAATTATGTACCGTACAGAACATTCAGAAGAACTGGAGTGCTTTGCAGCAGACTATAGAATAGGGGCTTCACATTTCATAGTAAATACATCAGCATACACTTCCCAAGGCATAGAGCCACTTCACTACGTACGCTTTTGAAATTCAAATCTAATTTTTCCAAGCATTGGTAATATTGTGTGCCTTGCATGTAACATTTTCTTTTTTTTTTCTTTTTTTTTTTTTTTTTTTTTTGAGACGGAGTCTCGCTCTGTCGCCCAGGCTGGAGTGCAGTGGCGGGATCTCGGCTCACTGCAAGCTCCGCCTCCCGGGTTCACGCCATTCTCCTGCCTCAGCCTCCCAAGTAGCTGGGACTACAGGCGCCCGCCACTACGCCCGGCTAATTTTTTGTATTTTTAGTAGAGACGGGGTTTCACCGTTTTAGCCGGGATGGTCTCGATCTCCTGACCTCGTGATCCGCCCGCCTCGGCCTCCCAAAGTGCTGGGATTACAGGCGTGAGCCACCGCGCCCGGCCGCATGTAACATTTTCTGAAAAAAAAAATTAATCAACGTTTCAAGGTTGATTCTATTTTTAAGAAGAAATTAACTAGATAAAGCCCTAAAAAGTAGAAATATTATGAATATCAGCATTGCTTTATACTTCTAAACAACTCTTTGCAAACAATTACTGAGATGAGAAGCTGTGGGAAAACCAGCAACTTTGACAAGTTGAGCTGAGATATGTGTGTTATCAATACTTTGGTGCTTAGTAGGGACAGGGAAGAGTCTTCACATTGCACCATCTTACTGGTCATAATATTTGTAAATGCAATGGGCTTCTTTGTTTTCACCTGGTGGACATCTGTTCCTTCTCCTCTGTATAACAGCACTCCTATCTCCCACTGGGAACCACATGCACTGTTGTGGCATTATTGATAGGATTATCCATCCGTGTGCAGAGTAAACCCGACTCAAGCGATGAGCCCATGATCCCAGCTAGGACTATGAACTCTCTGATCCTTGATGATCAACACAAGAAGAAAAATGGCTTAGTGATGGTGACCCCTCATTACTAAGTGCAACAAAAACATACTTTTAGTTCTATGTGGATTCATATTACTGCCTAACTCCTACCTTTCTGCAAATCAGTACCTTGGATGTTATATTAGTCCATCCTCATGCTGCTATGAAAACATACCTGGGACTGGGTAATTTATAACTGAAAGAGGTTTAATTGACTCAGTTCTGCAGGGCTGGGGAAGCCTCAGAAAGCTTATAGTCACAATAGAACGGGAAACAAACACGTCCTTCTGGCCGGGCATGGCGGCTCATGCCTGTAATCCCAGCACTTTGGGAGGCCGAAGGGGGTGGATCATGAGGTCAGGAGATTGAGACCATCCTGGCTAACACGGTGAAACCCCATCTCTACTATAAATACAAAAAAAATTAGCCAGGCATGGTGGTGGGCACCTATAGTCCCAGCTACTCGGGAGGCTGAGGCAGGAGAATGGCTTGAACCCGGGCCAAAAAAAAAACAAAAACAAAAACAAAAACAAAACAAAACACATCCTTCTTCACATGGCTGCAGCAAGGAGAAGCACTGAGCAAAAGGGGGAAAAGCCTCTTAAAAAGCCATCAGATCTTGTGAGAACTCACTATTACATGATATTCAAATCTATCTTTTTCACACGAGGGTAACTTCCCCAAGGATTAAATTGCCTCCCACGACCTGTGGGGATTATGGGAACTGCAATTTCAAGATGAGATTTGGGTGGGGACACAAAGCCTAACCATATCAGGTATGAAAAGAACAAGTCTAACACCTTAACAACCCAGACGATCAAAGTTACTGTGGTGGGGAGGAAGGCACTTCCATTTAGAAACAGTGATACTTTTACCAGCTTTGTTATTGAAGCCCTTTTCTATTCTTGAAGCCCTTTTCTATTCTTAGAGGAATCAATTGACTGGCTTATTAAGAAGGTGTATCAGCTTTCAAAGTCAAAGGTGTATTTGGAAGGATAGAGAGGAAGACAGAAAGGAGGCCACCTTCCAGCAGTGGGAAGTGACCTGGGTTTCCTTCATTAGACTATGAGTTTCCTGAAAATAGGCCCTAGGACCTACATGTTATGTATCTGCATATCTCTTGTGCCCAGCATCGTGCCTCATACACAGGATTTAGACCGAGTCTAGAGATGAAGAGGCAGATTTCACAGTCCAAAGATCTTATTTTTCCACCTACCAGTACTCAAATGTGAAAGTGACTTAAAATATTTAGTTCCAAAGAAATATTACATATAGGGAAATAAAGGTAAGATGATAGCAGTTTTCTCATCAAAAGACGACAGGTGAGAAGACAGTGGAAAAAAAAACTCCACAGAGGGAAAACAACCAACCACCAACGTGTCAACCCAGAATTCTATTCAGATCCAAAATATAGTTCAACAATGAAGGTAAAATAAAGACTCTTTTATACATAAAGAAGCTGAAAAAATTCATTGTGAGAAGACTTAGTACAAGAAATGTTAAAGAAGGTACTTAGGCAGAAGAAAAATGACAATGGATGGAAATATGGATTTTCACAAAGGAATGAAGAGCACCTGAAGTGGTAAATACATGAGCAAATATACAATGTTTCCTTATTATTTAAATATTTTCAAAAGATAATTAGCAACAATGTAGAATGTAACAGCAATGTGGAATGGTGTTTACAATATATGTTAAAGAAAACGTAGGACAACATTAGCACAAAGGCCAATAGAAGAGAAATGAAAATATCCTACTATAATGTGCTCTCTGTGAAGACGCATCATATTGCTTAAAGGTAGATTGTGATAAATCAATTTTATATACTATAAATGCAAAAGGCAACCGTTAATGTAACAAAAGAGTTATAGGTAATAAGCCTTTAAAGGAAGTGAATTGTATCATGAAAACACATTCAATGCAAAAGAAGGAGGAGCAGGAAGAAAAAGAATGAGACAAAAGATGAAGCAAATACAGAATAGAGGGAGGTAAATTTAAGCTTCACCTTATCAATAATCACAATTGATATAAATGTTCTATATATAAAATAAAAGGCAGAGAAGTCACATTTGATTTAAAAAGTAATATCCAATATATGTTGCCTAGAAGAAATGATGTACTTTAATCTACAGACAGAACTAAGTTTAATGTAAATAATGGAAAAGATATATCATGCTAACATAATCAAAAGAAAGTTGGAGTATCTATATTCATGTCAAACCAAATAGATTTTCAAGCAAAGAATATTACTAAGGACAAAGAAGTTCATTTAATAATGACAAAGGGTTCAATTCACTAAAAAAAAAATTCTACAGGTTTGTACATTTAAATAACAAACTCTCAGAATAACTAAAGCAAAAACTAAAAGTAGTATCTAGGAAAAAATAGAAAACTCCACAATTATATTCAGAGATTTCAGTACCTCTCCCTCAATAATTGATAAAGTTCACAGAATATCAGTAAGGTTATAGAAAAAGGAACAATACTATCAACAAATACCCAATTGGCATTTATAGAACATTTCACCCAACTACAACAGAATACATGTTCTTCTTAAACGCACAAAGATTTACCAAGTTAGACTATAATTGAGGAATAAAACATGTCTGTATATATTTAAAAGGATTCAAATAATACAAGATATGTTCTTTGACCACAATAAAATTAAACTACAAATCAATTACAGAAAGATATGTAGAATGTCTTCACATATTTGGAAATGAAATACTTCTAGAAACGACTTCAAAAACACAAAAGGGTAATCATAAAGCACTTTGAACTGAATGAAAATTAAAATAACATTACAAAATTGGTAGGATGCTGCTGAAGCAGTATTTAGGGGCAAATTTATAGTACTGAATGCCTCCATTAGAGAAGATAAATGTTCCAAATCAATGACTGTAGCAACACTCACTTTAAGAAATTGTAAAAAGAATTATTTAAATCCAAAGTAAACAGAATGGAATGAATTTTAAGAATTAGAAGAACAGAAAACAATGAAACCAAAACCTGATTATTTGAGAAGATCAATCAATAAAATGATAAAACCATAGTCAAACTGAACAAGAAGAAAAGAGTAAAGACACACATTACCAATATCCAAATTGAAAGCAGTGTTTTCATCACAGATACTACATATAGTAAGAAAATACTATGGATAACTTTGTCAGTAAATTTGAACAAATTAGGCGAAATAAGCAATTTAAAAAAGAAACAAACTATAAAAGCTCAATCAAGAGGAAACGAATAACCTACATAGCCACATATCTTTTCAAGAAATTGAATGTGTATTTTAAAACCTTCCAACAAAAAAATTCTAGGTCCCAAGGGGTTCACTAGTGAACAGCACAAAACACTTAATCAAATCTACACAAAATAATCCAGAAAATCCTAGAAGAGGGAAATACTTTCCAAACCATTCTCTGAAAGCAACATTACTCTCATAACAAACCCAAATACATAATAAAACTACAAACCATTATCTCTCATAAATATACCAGCAGAAATCATTATTTTAGGAAATCAAATGCAGCATTACATACAAAATATAATCCATCACGACTAAGTCAGTTTTATCCCAAGAAAGCAAGAAAGATTTAATATTTAAGAATAAATGTCACATTAACAGTCTAAAAATGAAATCCATATGATCTTCAATAGGTGAAGTAACATTTGACAAAATCTAACATCCATTCCAGATAAACAGTCTAAGCAAATTCGTAATAGAACCAATTTTTTTTTTTTTTTTTTTTGAGATGGAGTTTCACTCTCGTTGCCCAGGCTAGAGTGCAATGGCGTGATCTCGGCTCACTGCAACCTCCGCCTGTCGGGTTCAAGCAATTCTCCTGCCTCAGCCTCCCTAGTAGCTGGGATTACAGGCGCGTGCCACCACGCCCAGGTAATTTTGTTTATTTTTAGTAGAGACGGGGCTTCGCCATGTTGGCCAGGCTGGTCTCGAACTCCTGACCTCATGATCTGCCCACCTTGGCCTCCCAAAGTACTGAGATTACAGGCATAAGCCACCGTGCCTGGCGAAACGATTTTCTAATTGATACAAGGGATACTTGAAATCTTATAGCTAACATCGTATCTAATGGTGAAAAAATGAATATGTCCCTCTTAAGATTAGGAAAAAGGCAAGTATGTGTGCTCTTACTATTGTTATATCATGTAGAAAATTCCAAGGAATCTACAAAAATCCCCTAGAACTAGTGCCTAAGTTCAGCAGGATATCAGGATACAAAAACAACAAAAATCAATTTCATTTCTATATGCATACTAAGGACAACCAAGTTTCCTAAATAAAAAACACAATACCATTTACAAATGCTTCAAGTAAAATACTTAGGTATAATTCTAGCAAAACACACCCATGATCTAGATGATGAAAATTACAAAATATAATAGAAGACATCAAAGAACTAAATAATTAGACATCTGTGTTCATGGGTTGGAAAAGTCAGTGTCGTAAAGGTATGAATTCTTTCCACATTGGTATGCAGGCTTAATATATAATTCCTGTCAGAATTCCAGCAAGGTGGTGGTCATAATAGACAAGCTTATTAGAAACTTCACATAGAAAGATAAAGGCTCTAGAACAGCTAAAACAAAATTGAAAAAGAAGAGTCAAGGGGGAGGTACCACCCTACCCTACGGTAAGTCTTCCTGTATAGCTACAGTGATAAATACAGTGTAACACTGGTGTAGGAGCAAGACAAACACATCACTAGAACTGGGAATCCAGAAACAGACCAACACAATTATGCCCAATTTATTTTTGGCAAAGGTGTGAAAGCTGTTCAATGAAGGCATTGTAGTATTTTCAAAAAAATGGTGGTGGAAAAATTGGACACCCATAATAAAAAATCTGAACCTCAACCTAAACAATTTTTTAAAAACCCGAAATGAATGGACATAAATGTGAAACAAAAAACTATAAATTAAAAAATATATATACATAGGTGAAAATCTTGGGGATCTAGGCTTAGGCAAAGAGTTTTTCCACTTTACACTAAAAGCACTTGCTGAATGTCATTGAAATGAATCATTTTGCTATGCAAAAGAGCCTGTCAAGAAAATAAAAAGACAAATTAGAGAACAGGAAACATTTTTGCAAATTATATTTTCAAAAAAAGCCTCATTTTTTAAATGTATAAAGGATCTGTAAAACTCAACATTAAAAAAATCCAATTAAAAATTGGGCAAAAGGCATGAACAGACATTTCACTGAAGAGGAGACATGGATGTCAAATAAGCATCTGGAAAGATGTTCAACATCATTAGCCATTAGGATATGGAAATTAAAACCACACCCAGAATTCACTGCACACCTCTCAACAGGGCAGAAATCTTTAAAAATAATGATTACGCCAAATTCTGTGAAGCTGCAGAGAAACTAAATTGCTCCCAGATTGCTCATGAAATGTAAAATGCTATAGTTATTCTGAATAGTTTGAAAGTTTCTTTTAAAACTAATAACGGAATTACCAAAGACCCAGCAATCATACTCTTGGGCGATTATACTAGAGAATGAAACTTATGTTTATGCAGAAACTTGTACATGAATCTCACAGCCTGACAGCCAAAAGCTGAAAACTACCAAAATGTCCTTGAGTGGGTGAATGGTGGAGCTAACTGTGCACATTCCTGCTGTGGGGATACTACTCGAAATAAAAAAAGGAATGAACGAATGATACTTGCAATAATTTGGATTAACCTCACGGGATTTATGCTGAGTGAAAAAAGCCAGTCTTTGAAGGTGACATACTGTATGATTCAATTTATATAATATTCTTGAAATAAAATTATAGAAATAAAACAATTTGTGGCTTCCAAGGTTTAAGGGGGTGATAGGAGCAGGAGGAAAGTAGGTGTGGCTATAAAGGACAACATGAGGACTCCTGTGGTGATGGAAACATTCTGTATTTGGTTTTATCAATATCATATACTGGTGGTAATACTGAAATTTTGCAAAATGTTACCAATGAAGGAAACAGTAATGGGTACATGAAGTCCTTCTGTGTTATTCCCTACAACTGCATATGGACCTACGTTTATCTGAAAATATAAAGTTTAAATTTAAAAAGAAAAAATATAGATATATTGGACTTCAAAGTTAAGAACATTTGTTTTTAAGACATTATTATTAGGAAAATAAAAAGGCAAGCCACAGATTGAGATAAATATTTCCAAAACATACATCTAACACAAGGCTTGTATCCAGAATATATAAACAATCCTTAAAACTCAATACTAAGAAGATATTAAAAAAGAAAAGACACAATCAGGCACTTCACCAAAGATACATGTTACCCAAGGAGCACATTAAAGAGTGTTAAATATAATTAGTCATCAGGGAAATACAAATTAAAACAATTGACACCTTTGTGCAACTGACACATAGCTTAAAATAAAACAAACATTGAGAATATCAAGTTTTGGATGGGATTGGAACAAATAAAACTCTTATACATTGTCAGTGAGATAGAAAATGTTTCAGCCACTTTTAAAAGTTCCTTGGAAATGTTTGGAAAATTCCTTGGAAATTCTATAAAGTCAAACATATACTCAATGAATGACACAGCTATTTCACTCCACAAAGTTTTGTACACAAATGATTAATCGTCAAAAACTAAAAGTAACCCAAATGGAGAAACGAATTCCAGTATATTTACATGATGGAAAACTATTCAGCAATACAAAGGAACTACTGATATATACAAAACATGGAAGAATTTAAAATGCATTATGCTAAGTGAAAGAAGCCAGTTTCAAAACACTACATACTAAATTATTCCACTGATATAAAATTTTTCAAAATATGTAAGTTTCAAAAGAATTAGATCTTACAATGTTCTCTGATCACAATGGAACTAAATTAGAAAGTAATGTTAACTAATATCAAAATAACCCTAGAAAAACCCTGAAGATTTGGAAATTAAAGAATGCACTTCTATGTAAGCCATAGGTTGGGGCAGAAATCACAAAGGAAATACATTATTTTGAGTGAGATACCACTTCACACTAAGATGGCTAAAATAAAAAAGAATGTAACAAGTGTTGGCACGGATGTGGAGAAGTTGAAACTATTTACTTGGCTGCTGTGATTATAAAATGAGGCAGCTGCTTTGGAAAACCTATTGACATTTTCTCAAGATAGGTTCTTACGACTCAGCAATTCTACTGTTAAAACCTATACGTAGTATTCCTAGTACAAACCACCCAAATGTCCATCAATCGATGACTGGAAAGATAAAGTGTGGTCTATTCATAAAATGGAATATAATTTGGCAATAAAAAGAAAGGAAGTACTAGTATATGCTACAATGTCAATGAACTCTGAAAACATGTTGAGGGAAAGAAAAGGCACATATTCTGTGACTATAAAATAAAATGTCCAGAATAATCAAATTCATAGAAATATAAAGTAGATCAGTGGTTGCCAGGTACTGGGAGGTGGGAGGAACAGGAAGTGACCAAGGAAATTAATTTTATTACCTTACAGAAATTATAAGAGAAGTAATTAGTGAAATAGGAAACAGACAAAAGTAGGATAAAAATTAAATCCAAAAGTTATGTCTTTGGAAAGAGTAATAAAATGTTTGGACCCTTTATAATACTAAACAAGTTAAAGAGAGAAAAGATAAATTACCAAAAAGAATATATGTCCTGACAGATCCCGCAAACATTAAAAAGATATTAAGAAACTATTATAAACAGCTATGCCAATTAACTCGACAACTTAGATGAAATGGAAAACACAACTTACCAAAACTGATGTGAGAAAAGAGAAAATCTTACCACAAAGATGTTAAATATTTGAAGTGATGGATACACTAATTAGCCTGATTTGATATTTCCACAATATGTACATGCATTGAATCATCCCCAAAATATACACAATTGTTATTTGTTGATTAAAAATATAAAACTTATTTGAAAGGAACTGGGAAAAAAGGAGAAACAAAATCTGAATGGTCTTGCTATTGTTTATCTAGGGTAATGAGTTCCATATCTTAATTTGGTTGTTATACATTTGTCAAAGCTCATGTAATTACACATTTAAGATACATTTCACTGTATGTAAATCTTACTTCAGTTTTATAAAAATAGCATATAGTGAAGGCAACACACCCAACATAAAGCCTGGTGCATTGTATCAGCTCTATGAATACAATGCAGCTCTTCCTATTATTAATAGTATCAAGGCCTAGGATACAAAACAAAGGCTTAGAGACTTCTCCAGGCCCCTGGGATACTGGAAAATTTCAGCAAATATGTGAGACATTCAGAGTTTTGAAATTGTAACAGCTCAACATTTTTCAGTGAGAAGATTAGTTTGCTGGGAGATAGATTAGACAAGTGAATGAAGAGCAAACTGTCTATCGCGGAGATAAATAGGCTTCCACGGGAGAGAGGGGGTAGAAAGACCTTGTCTCTTCTCGATGATTGCACTTCTTGCAAAGCACCAAGTACACAAGCGCCTTAGCTACAACAAAGGGCTCCTTAGCTTCAGGCATCTTGCTAAGGAGTTGTACTCAGTAGATATAAACAGGACATTGGAAGACCAAGACACCCAGCCCCTTGCAGACAGGAGGAAATGCCCCCAAGGGACTCTCCACATCCTGAGATTCCACATTCTGTATCCCCGCTCTGTGTGATGCCCCGATGACACTTAACCGACATAACCAGGCACATCTGAACACTTTCAGCTTAACAAGCTTCATGTAATTAGGATATGAAACATACTCCTCTGCAACATCACAGGCATCTGAATGCATCCCTCTGCACACATATCCTTCACACAAGTTCCCCCTGGAGCTGCTTTCAATTGGCCAGCAGCCCAAAGGAAGATGTCAGGGGAGAGTCAGTTCACAACCAGCAATCCCTGGATTTATGACCACGGGGTCAACACCAAACTTCAGAAACAGGTTCAAGTGCCCTAGAATCCACTTGGAGAGAATGACATTAGCACCAGATCACTCTGGGGAGGTAAAAACAGTACCTGATTACTTTCTTCCAAAGTAAAATGTACATACAGTGAAATGCACAGATCTTAAGTGTTTGATTATATGCATGTCGTTATATAGGCATAAGGTCACATTGAGATCATGAGCCCCTTTGAAACCCTGTAGACTCAAGTTTTGGGGCAATGTTGCACCATACATGAAAGTGTGGTTGCCTCTGAATCTGGTTTGTTTTCTACACATATAGCAATATTGAAGAGCAACATGGAAAAGTTTATGTCCAGCACAACAATTGCAGTTTTATTTTTCCATCCAAGGCAACTTTGATGACTCCCATTAAAGGTTTCTACTCAGCAGTCTTCTCAGAACTTTCTGCACATTCAGATCACCTGGGAAGCTTTCAAAAATACAGCTGCCTGGGTCTCACCACTAAAGATTCTGATAGCATGGATGGGGTGGGCTCAGGTGTGGTAATTTTAAAATGTTTTCTCAGGTGATTCTAATCTGTAGCCAGGGCTCACAACCCAGCTGTATAAAAAAACTCCCAGCCTAGAGGAGGCAGGGCAAGGGTTGGGAACAAAAAGCTCCAGATCCCAGTCTAAGGATCTGCCGCCATTTCCTGTATAGCTGAGAGTTTTCTGTCCCTCAGTTTTCTTACCTATATAAAATCATAGCGTTTGATCTCTTCAGCAATTTTCAACCCATTACACAGTTGTATATACTGTGAGACTTAAAAACATGACAGCCCAGGGGACCCCATTATAGAGAAAAAATAAACTGAGAGAACTCTGATTAAGCAGAAATGGCAAGCCCTGGTTCCATCTTTTCCTTCCCCTTCCCATGTTCCTTGGAAGCATTTTTGCAGGCTCTAGGTCCCTTAGAGAGTCGCTGGCTTGATAGCTCTAAAGTCCTTGTAGCATTGTCACTATGCATTTTCTTCCACTTGTGAAATGAGAACACCCACCTCCAGTCCACCTCACATGGCCACATACATCCAGCCCGAGGCAAGACCAGGCTGACATCTGCAGCCAGTTGTTGTTGGCATCTGTGGCTACCTCACCATATAAGTCTATTCTCACACTGCTATAAAGAACTGCCCCAAACTGAGTAATTTCTAAAGGAAAAGAAAGAGGTTTAATTGACTCACAGTTCACATGGCTGGGGAAGCCTCACGGTGGAAGGCGAAGGGGAAGCAAGACACCTTCTTCACAAGGCATCAAGAGACAGAGCATGGAGGGAAGATACCCTTATAAAACCATCAGATCTCGTGAGAACTTACTGTCACGAGAACAGCATTGGGGAAACTGCCGCCGTGTTTCAATTACCTCCACCTGGTCTCTCCCTTAACACGTGGGGATTACGGGGATTATAATTCAAGGTGAGATTTGGGTGAGGACTAACTGAGGGTAAAGAAGAGACTTCTTTCTTTTCAGTGATACCCGCAAGCCATACTCAGAAGGTCCTTAAGGAAGAAAGGAGTTGGCTGGAAGTCCAGTAAGGACACAAAGGTGGCCTTTCCATGCAAGCAGTGAGGTTAGCTTGGCTCTGGCCAGAAGAGGGGAGGACGAGTAGTCTTCCTTTGTGGGCCAGTGAGGCCCCTCTTGTTTGTGGCTCATTGAAAGTGTGAAAGTACTCAGAATCAAAATAGAGTCACTAGTGTTTTTAAAAATCTGAAAAATAGAGCCATGGAAGGCCATAAACAAAAGGGTTCTTGTGCAGGAACTATCACAAAAGACTGCAAAACCTGCCATCTTGCCCAGAGGCCCTTGTAACTTTACACACAAAAAGATATTTCTGCAAAGACACCTGCCCAGCAACTTCCTGTCCAACCTCCGACTGGCATCATCCTTGTTCTTTATCCTTGCAGCCAAGGATAAGTATCTGAAAACAATTGTGTAATCCTTTTCATCTTTCCTTTAAAAAGCCTTTGTTTTCTTTGACCTCCCTGAATACACACATAGTTTACTAAGGTGAGCATATTTCTGTTGCAGTACCCTATTCTCGAATAAATACCATTGTCTTTTAGAGAGCCTCTCTCTGTTAGTTAGATTGACAAAATGTTCAATGTTCAAGCTCCGACCCAGCAAGTCAAACTCTTATTTATCATACAGAATGTTCACACCTGTGTGCAAAAGGGACTATGCAAAGATGCTCCCTGCATCATCCTGGCATCTCTTCCATCACCGCCATCCCACACTTACCACACTTTCTCCACCCTGGGCCTTTGCTGTTTTGGGGCTTGAGAACTCTTCCCTCCTCTCCATGCCTAATTGACACCCCTCAGAATTCATGTGTTGCTTCCTCCAGGAAGCCCTCTCTGATATCCCTGTAAGGCCATAGCCAAGGACACATCCAAACTACAGGCAATCCTTCGAGAATTAATCTGTGGCTCCCTGTCTGTGTGGAGAATTAGGGCATTGCCCTGGGCCAGCACAGTGCTGAGGGATTGCAGCCTAGGGAGGGGAAGGGAGTGCCCCCTGCCAGGCAGACACAGTTCTCCACTCGAGTGCAGTTTGGTCAGTGAAGTGTGGACTAGATTGCAGGTCCCTCTCACTGCACCCCACAAACACGGGGAGCCCCTAGTCAATGAATGGACTGCACAACCATGCAGGCAGCCCCATGACACATCTCCATAGTGCCCTGGGCCTTCCTGTTTGCAGCAATTCCCACACTTGTCAATTGACATTTGATTTGCGAGGTCCTTTGATGAAATTCCGTCTTTCCCTCTGGACTGTGGTCTCCAGGAGGGCAGAGCCACATCTAATTTTGCTCACCTGATATTCCTAGCCCAGTGCTTCGTTACTGGTAAGTGCTGAAAAACACATATTGACTAAATACCCAGCAGATAGAAGCATTGGGAGACAATGGGGCATGTTGTCACCTGGTCTGAAAGAATCACTTGCATGGAGGTGCCAAATGACTGTCAGACTCAAAGGCTGGGATGCGTCATGAAGGGGTCTCAAAGGAGATCCGCTGCCCCAGACAGGAAAGAGTTCATTTCACTTCACTTCCAAAGCCTGTGCACCTCCTGCTTGCAAAACATACCAACATCAGATGCGTCAGTTTAAACCCCTGAGAGTCTGAGCCTTAGACACAGCCATCTCCACTATCTTTGCCATTAAAGAAGCAATTTTAAATTATTGAATGAAACCGGACATTCTTACATTATCATGAAAATGAAACACAGTGAGAATTTAAATAACAAAAGGACGTGCACTTACACATATACATATACGCATACCCCTAGCATCTTTTTCAAAATACAAAGCCCCTTACATTTTTCACAAAGCAACGAGTCTTGGTGATCTTCCCACATCGGCAAGTGTAGATTTATCTTGATTCATGGTGCTTGTTTATTTATATGCAGTCACCTCATTCTACCTGAATTTATTTACCCTGTCTCCTATCTGTGGACATTCAGAAGGCTATTACAGACCACGTTGTAATGAATATTGTGAAATATGCATCTTTGCATACATATGTGAGCATCTCCTTAAGATAAATAACTAGAAGCAGAATTTCTGGGTCTAATTGTGCACACAGCTCTAAATGAAGCAATAGTAGCCAAAATCTACAACACTGAGCCACTAGTTTGATGCACACATTTATGTTTTGTTTGCATGTTTATACATGCATATATGTGTGTATGCATCCATAGATACACTAATATATACACAATTTATTTTATTTTTCTCACAGGTCCTAACGCTGAGGTGCCCATGATCACAGCACACTAAGAATGGCATGATCTCTCAGGAATGGGGATGTGGCTGCCTCCCAGCGCTCACAGAGCCCATTTCCACCTTCCTGAAGGGGCGTGGCATTCTTCCCCTCCGTCTCATCCTCCACCACTGGTGTACTGTCTTCAAAAATCACTCTCCTTTTTTCACAGAACTTCTTGATCCCAAGCTGTCTTGCGCCTCTTTACTCAATAGAGTTCCATTTCCAAAGACGAATAATAGCTCCGCATGAGAAATGCTATAAAAGTTTCAGGAGGGAGCAGGTGGAGAAGAAAGGGGGAAAGAAATAGGGAACTCTTATTTGAGA
This sequence comes from Homo sapiens, assembly GCF_000001405.40. NCBI lineage: Eukaryota > Metazoa > Chordata > Mammalia > Primates > Hominidae > Homo > Homo sapiens. The sequence goes on along the minus strand of NC_000020.11, from coordinate 60,431,709 downwards.
AGGTTGGCATGAAAGGAAAAGAAAGGAGACGCTAGCTAAAAGGCACAGCTGGGGCAGGTGAATTGGGTGTTTTTCAAGCTAGGGGACACCTGAACCTATTCAAGCGCAGAGTGGAGAGGAAGCAGGAGACCGGGGCATGGAAGGGGCCAGGGAACACGGAGGAGGGGACACTCTTGCCCACCTATGCCCTGCCCTGCCTCCCTGGGCTGATTCCAGTTGTCCTCAGAAAAAGCTCACATCTGCCTCCTTTGGAAAGGCCCCCGACCCTCCTAGCCAGAGTTACCACCTCTGGTTAAAACTCCATTTGTTCATTCATTAATTAATTCATTCCTTTACTCATTCATTTATTCAAATTACACATGTGTACTGAGCACCTACTACTGTTCTGGTCGCTGATATTATCAGTGCAATGCCATTATATATGGAAATTAGACCTATACAAAGGTGAGGCTCCTCTCTTATGGGGATGAATAGCAGGTGTGGTAAGATCCTGGCAGGGCGGGCTGGGTAGTGGGAAGAACACAGGGTTTGGAATCAAAAATACCTGGGCTTTGTTTATCCAACAAATACTAGCTGGTGCTAGCTCAGTGCCACGGTGTGGTGGGCACTGAGGATCCCAGAGTTGAGCTGGCCCCTCCCCACTGCATGGCCTTCTAGTGACAGACACGTGCAAAGGCAAAAAGTTTGTACACCTGCAAAAAGGACATGGTGAAGGTCGACGGATGTAGAGTAATAGGGCGAGAGGGCCATTCGGAAAAGAGTAAACAAGGAAAGATTCCATGAGAGGCGACTATTGAAGCAAGACCAGAACAACTAGGAGAAACCACCCACGGGACCTTCTGAGAAAAGCATTCCAGGAAGAGACAACAGCAAGTGCAAAGGCCCTGTGGTAAGAAGAAGCCCCGCAATGATGTTTGCTTCCAGAATTGGATGAAGGCACGCGTGGCTGGAGAGGAGTGAGGCTGTGCAGGGGTGAGAGCGGCAGGAGGGAAGAGTGTGGAGGGGAGATATAGGGGGTTAGGAGATCACATGGGGTCCTGCAAGCCGCCGTGAGAATGGGATTCTACTCGGAGTGTAACGGGCAGGTGGCAAAGGATTTTGGAGCAGAGGAGGAAGCTGGTGAATCTCATCCATGTTGTAAAGTACCACTCAGGCTGCTGTGTTGAGAACAGACTGTAGGGGTGGGTTGGGAGGGGTCTTGTTCCTGATCCGTGATGTCAGTGGGTTCTGAGTGTGTTTGATTATTAAACGCCAGCCTTTCTAGACATGGAGCTCCAAGGTAGCAAGTGCATCCCATTCATCTCAATTTCCTGGCCTTCAGCACAGTGATGGCCAGGCGGTGAATCTGGGTTAAAGCTTTGCTAAGGGAGGGAGAGAGGAAGAAGGCAAGGGCTCTAGGGAGTCAAAAAAGGGCAGGCTCAGTGGCATTGCATTTATTTCTGCAATTCTGTTTGGACCTGCCTGTGGACTTACCTTGCTTATTTTGCACATGACAAACTGACGGCCATTTAGCTGAAACTCAGTTCTCTTCTGGGCAAGACCTGCACATAGCAACAGGAACTATTACCCAGAAACGACTCCTTAACCAAGCTCTAGCAAGCATGCAAAAGCTCAATTCAACAACCATTTGTAAGGAAAGGCCTGATCACTGATGGAAGAGGGTGGCATAGCCCTTTGCATCTTGATGTTCACAGTTTAATTGCAGGGGGAGGGGAGGGCAGATGCAGCCACCATCACACAGTCAAAGCATCTGTCCTTCCACTCACCAGGTATACCAGAGTCACAAGCATCAGAAGAAAACCACACCCTTTGCTCTAGGGAGTAAAGCTTGTGGGTTTTAATATTTTTGTTGACATATCTGTGCTTCAGTGGGAGGCAGAGGGACTGTCATTGAATACCTTGAGGGAGAGTCTGAAAAAAATACAGACTCTCTCCCCAAAAACCGCATGTTATGGCCACCGACCTTGCATAAAATTTCAGAAAGCATCTAAACTCTTTTTGTGGATCTCTGGTGAAGAATGTATTCCTTCAGGACATTACCAAGGCAGCAAAACTGCAGCAGTCAACAGAATCCATGGTGAAATTTCCCAGAAACAGTGTTTTCTGGTGGGAACTGAGAGAACATACAGGCCTTGGCTAAACAGACCAGCAAAATAGCAAGCTTGACTTTGGTTTCATAGATGCTTTGCAGAGCTGACCTCTTTGTTTGATGGAGAAATCCTCTTGCTCCCCTCTGGCGAGGCTAAAACACACACCTTAATGTCAGAGCTGAAGTCCCTGGACACAGCTGTCTAAATTTCAGCGACTAAGCTCCACGTAGGTGAGGAGTGTGCATCCACACTGACTGATGGATGGAATGGTCTCACAGTGTAAATGGTCAGTAAAGGGAAAGTTCACAGTTCAGCTCCACCAGGCAGACTGAAGAGGATGGGGAGGATTAATTTTCATAATTCACAACTGAAAAGATGAGAAGGTTTATTTTTTTATTTACATGAGAGCTCAGAGTCTAGAGAAGACAGAAGACCAAGACACAAATATACTAGGAAGGCCCTCCATGTCTGGATCTTTTGTTCTCTTTATGATGTCCACAAGTTCTTGGATAATTCTCACTTTAAAAGTTGGAGGCTAATTCCTCCCACCTCAAGTATGAGATATACTTAGTGCTTTGCTTCTAACAAATAGAATGCAGTAAAAGTGACACGTGTGATGTCCAAGATTAGAACATAAGGGGCATTGTGGCTACTCCATCTCTTGTATCTCTCCCTCTCCCCTCCCTGTTCTCTCTTGGGCAAGTTGCCAGCCACCATATTGTAAAGACACTCAAGCAGCTCTATGGAGAAGTTTACCATGCTGAGGAGCTGAGGCCCCAAGCCTACAGCCATGGGAGGGACTCATGGTGGCATCGAGCCTCCAGAGGGCTACAGCCCCAGCTGACATCCTGCCTGCAGTCTCCCAAGAGGCCCTGAGCCTGAATCACCAGCTGAGCCACTCCCAAATTTTTGACCCACAGTAATTGACAGATACTAAATGTAGGTTCTTTAAAATAACCAAGTCCTACAGTGATTTTTTTTACACAGCAATAGAATGTTCACTCTTGAAAGTCCCTCTCTGACATGCAAATAATCCCCTGAAATCTAACTGTTTAGCAAAGCAGAAAGGCCATAGGAAAAATAGTAATAAAAAAAACAGAGGGACAAATCCTTCCCTTCCTTAGCCCTAGAGTATAAATGATTAAGCATCGCAATTGCAGGGTTCTTTATGCTTTATACAGTAAAAAAATAAAAAATAAAAATAAAATTAAAAAAAGGAAGTCCTTCTCTTGGAGAGAGAATCATACTCTTACTGAGCATTTACTCCCTGCTAGACCGTGCACCAAATATTGTATGAAATGTTTCTTTTCATGACAACACTATCACGTAGGCAAAGGTACACCCATCTTAGGGTGAGAAAACCGAGTCTAGGTGATGCCAAGAAACACACCCAAATATCATAGCTCTCCATCTCTGGGCCTGATTGCAAGCTCATGACTCTTACCAAAAATCTCAAGGGTTCGATTTCTTTGCTTGACGGTTGCACTTGGCTTATTTGCCCACAGGAGAGCAGAGACTGGATCTGCCTTGCATGTCACTTCATCCTCAGTGCCCAAATAAGATGGGAGGCATCAACATGCCTGACAGAATGGATTCATGGCACAGATAAGTGGTGGAAACAGAGCTGGCACTACACGACCTTCTCCAGCCAAGGGTTTTCCTACTCTTGAAATTATACCCAGATGATAGCTAGGTTTGTTAGCAAAGTAATAAGTGGAATTAGATGCAAACAGAATCCAGTAGCAAGGAGCACTCAAGATAAACGGAAGTAGCTGAGTTCAAGAGCCGTGCTCTGGTGGGCAGGTGACCATCAGCACCAGGTCTCCTGGGTAAAAGCTCATTGTGTCGGTGAGGTGTGCCTGCAAGGAATGGACCCTGGATACCTCCTTTCAGCCATGCTGAGCTAATCCTGGGGATGTAGTGAGGAGCAGGAGGGAAGGAGGGGTGAAAGCAAGAGCTGCTTCTCTCTCAGGAGAAGTCTTCCCACCTGTGTCTTCCCACACCCTGTCGCCACTCCCCGCCATGCTCTCTGTCAAGGACTCTTCCTTTCCCCGTCTTCCCCATCAACATTACATTAGGGTTTTCAGAGGCTCTAAGGACAGAGAAGACGATGGTGTCCCTACCTGATTTATAATTCAAATTAAATCCCTCTAATAAACTGTAAGGTATAAAACATCCAACAAAGAGCTCTGATGTTTTTTCAGAAGACTCACCTTGATGCATTTTTGAAAATTCTAAGATCTTTTATTTTTTTCAACAAGTGCTTATAGCATAATGACAGCTAACACATCAATGGGCACTATTTTAAGTCCTCACATATATTAACTCAGGGCATGCTCCTGACAGCTTAGGAAATGGGGGTTATTATTTGCATTTTCAGATGTAGAAACCAAGGCACAGAGAGGTTAAACAACCCGGTGAGTGGCAGAGCCGTGACCAGACCCCGGCAGCCCTGCTGTGGGGGGTGTGTTCTTCATCACTGCACTGGGCTCACTGCCCTCCCCTGGCCTCCCTCTCCCCCACCCTCCCTTCCTTTCCAATCAGGATTGGAAACTGAAACACTATTTAAAATGTGAGAAGTCAGAAGTTTGAATTACTCAGGAGATCCAGGAGGGCATCCTCCGAGCGTCCACTGTCCAACAGCAGTGAAGGCACCAGGGGATGCTCGACTGCTTCCTTCTGTCTCCTGGAATCTCCTTCCTCATAAGACATGGGCTCAGCACACATTGATTGAGGGCCTCCTCTGTGCCAGCAACTGTGCTAGGTGCTTCACTACAACAAGATCCCTGTTCTCCAGGTGGTATTGAAGGGTGAAGATAGTGCAACAATCATCACCAGTCATGAGACAGATGTCTCAGGTGACCCCTGTGGGCCTAGAGGATTTACATCTCTAGAGGAACCAGTGCATGGTTATCCTCCTGTCTTAGGAGCAGTGGGCAAAGGACAGCCCAGAAGCAAACACTAGACACAAAGGGAATGTTTTGTGCTCAGGAGCTGATGGACAACTCTGGTGAAGACTAGTCATCAACACTGGACAGGGAAAGGTGGGTCCTGCCACACAGAAACCAACTCCTCATGTATTACATCCTAAAAGGAAACACATCACTTGGAAGTTGCATTTTACCCCAATCATCCAGGGCAGACCACCCAGCTGCCAGCTACGGCAGCCTGATGGACAGATGTTTCTGGCATTCAGAGCTATGGAAGAGAGGTGTGAGAGCAGTTGGCAGAGAAGACTTGAGGTACCCCACGGGAAAGGGGACACTATGAAAGACTTTAAAAACGCACATACAAAGAATGATGATGCTCCTCATTAAGATTTGTTTAATTCAAGGTGGTTTGGATTTGGTAAGCCTTTGCACTCTGTAGAGTACTTAGAAGACCAGGGCAGCTTACTTGGAGTTAGAGCCAAGGCATCAGACAGTGCCCAACACACATTAATGTTAGCTTCTTTCTGAGGAAAAAATACCTCTTCCAGGCCCTGAAACAAAAAATACATTTGCTGTGAAGATTGAAAATGAAAAAGTTAGAAAAAAAAAACAGCAAAGTCAGTGATTTAGTCAGATGAGTTTTTTTTTGTAGGAGCACTTGATTTCTAGTGTGTTTTGTATAGTATATAACTACAAGATAGTACATTTTGTAGCAGTTCAAAGCCAAAGTTGCTAGCATCATTTTGCTGTTTTGCCAGTTAATCATAGGATCCCATTAAATAAGTGCTCTAGTATCTATTGTAGAGAAAACTGTTTGGTAAAGAACATTCCAGTAGGAAAAGAAAAGAACAATCTTCCATTTCTGGGTTTGGCCACCATCACTCTGGTCGGACCTGTCCTGGGCTTCCAACCTTGACTGCTGAGCTCCTGGCTTAGCTTCTTGGGTCCCTAATTCCTGGTGTTTAATAACTCTCTCCAGGATCATGTTTTTCTGATTTTTTTCAGAAATTATGTTTTTTAAAAGACAAAAACAAAGAGAAGAATATTTAATTACTGAGCAGAAGTAAATACTATTGGTATTTTGTACATAATCTAATTTTTATATGCATGTTCGTGCTTTTTAATTTTTTTATAAAAAATGAAGTCATCACCTACTACTTGTAACCAGCTTGTTTCATAACATGTTATTTTCCTGTGTCATTAAATAATTACCTCAATGTTGTAAAAAAACAAAAAACAAAAAAACTAACAAAAAAACTCCACTAAGGCTCCTTGTCACTGACAGGATTGAAACACTGCCACTGCTTATGGCAACTGGTGACTTTGAGTTCCTTTCAAACTCTCAGGTTCTGTTTAAATAAGTGAAATTCTGACTCTCTGCCTGGCTAAGGATGCTGAAGATGCATTTTTGGAGGGCAAATCAACTTAGCCAAACACTAAAAGAAGAGTAAAGATTTGGGACATGGGGATGGCCAAGAGAAGAGGGAGAGGGCGAGTGGAGTGTTGCAAGTGGAGGTCTACGCTGGGGAGCATGGGCCACATTTAGGAAACAGGTGTTCAGGATGAGACAAGGGCACATGTCCACACAACACCACCATCACTTGCCCTAACATGGCTCCATTCTAGGGGATTTTCTCAGCAAACACTTCTGCACATGAGTAGCCACTGTCCATGCAAGTGAATAGCCAGAAGCACAGGAGTCACATCTGCCAGCTCCTTCTCATTCAGCCCCCAGACTACAACTCCAAGACCTTTGCATCCTAGCTCTGAGGTGTCACAGGAATGCATCCACCCCTCCCCTTGCCACTGCCACCATCATTCCCTTCCCAACAGAATTCAAACTGGTCCCCTGCCTACTCCAATCCACTGTCCCGGCAGGAGCCAAGAGGTTTTCCATTCATGTACCTGACTATGTCCTTCTCCTGCAGAAACTTCCCTGTCTCTCTTTGCTTGTGAGATCTGAGATGCTGCCAGGATATCCTGGGTGGTGGGGGTGAGAGGGATGAGTAATGCAACATAGTTGGCAGGAGGTTCTGCAGAGAGTGCTGCTGTGATGGGGAAAACTTTCTTACTCCTATCATGGGTGGGGGATCTCTACTGCTGGCAATTAGGGAGTTAAGTTAGGAAGGAGAGATAAGGTCCCACCTCCCAGCCTTTTTGGCCCTGCCTCACTTGGGATGCTTAGAGTGAAATGCACGATTTCCTGTCATTGCACTCTCCTCCTAGGCCTACCCTCCAGCACAGAGTCATCTTCTTCCACCCCCAGCCTGCAGGCTTTGGCCTCTCCCACCCCACTCTCCACAGCTCCTGGAGAAGTCCCTCATCCTTCGTGGCAGGCTCGTCTTCACTGTCACAGCCTCAGCTGAGCTTTCAGTGGCCTCCTGGCTGCACCAGACCCTGACTTATTTGCAGTGGTAGCACCTGCCCTTTCTTCTTCTCTGCAGCTCTTTTCTCAGTTTAATTTCACTGTTATGGGTGTATTTTTAAATTAATGCCCTTTGGCCAGGCACTTTGGCTTATACCTGTAATCCCAGCACTTTGGAAGGCCAAGAAAGGAGGATTGCTTGAGCCCAGGAGTTTGAGACCAGCCTGGGCAACACTGTGTTGAAAAAAAAAAAAACCCTCGGCCAGGTGCGGTGGCTCACACCTGTAATCCCAGCACTTTAGGAGGCCAAGGTGGGCAGATCACAAGTTCAGGAGATTCAGACCATCCTGACCAACATAGTGAAACCCCAACTCTACTAAAAATACAAAAATTAGCTGGGCATGGTGGCATGTGCCTGTCATTCCAGCTACTCGGGATGCTGAGGCAGGAGAATCACTTGAACCAGGAAGTCGGAGGTTGCAGTGAGCCGAGATCGCGCCACTGCACTCACTGCACTCCAGCCTAGCGACAGAGCCAAGACTCCGTCTCAAAAAAAAAAAAAAGCCCCCACTGGACTCTACACACTGCAAAGGTAGGAACGAGGTTCACCTGGTTCATAAGTACAAGGCCAAGCCCAGGGAGAGCTGAAGATGGGGCAGGTGATCAGGCATATATTCTGGAACATCCTGGAGGGTCATTGTTGAGTGCCAGGGCCTTGACATGACCACACATGACATATGGCATCAGGGGAAGACAGGGGTTCTGTCACGAGCACCCTTGGAACTTCTCTCTCCATAGCTCAGGCTTGGAGGAAGAGGTTGCTGTTGTGCCTGGGTTGGGGGCCACAGCTCTCTGGAATCTAAGAATAGGGCAGAGCAGAAGGGCACCCTGTCATTAACAATGGTACCATCTTAGTGCTGGCTCATGGTAAAGCAAGTGAAAACAATCTAAATCACAGGCCAATTTGCCATGCATTAAAAAGTGGGATGCGGCCGGGAGCAGTGGCTCACGCCTGTAATCCCAGCACTTTGGGAGGCCGAGGCGGGCATATCATGAGGTCAAGAGATTGAGACCAGCCTGGCCAATGTGGTGAAACCCCGTCTCTACTAAAAATACACACATTAGCTGGGTGTGGTGGCATGTGCCTGCAGTCCCAGCTACTTGGGAGGCTGAGGCAGGAGAATCACTTGAACCCAGGAGGCGGAAGATTGCGCCACTGCAATCCAGCCTGGTGACAGAGTGAGACTCCGTCTAAAAAAAAAAAAAAAAACAAAGAAGTGGGATGCAGGCCATAGAAGTGAAAGATGTAGCTATAGGATGGAGGCATGGCCCCGGTCTCAGGCTGGAGACAGTGAAGACTTGATAATCTAACCTGTACCATTGTTCAGTGCCAGGGCCATTTCAACGGCCAATAAGCTCTCCTTCTACATCGTCACTTAAGCTGTAATTTGGGGATGTATTCCTTTTGTTTGAACTTTTAAAAGGAAAAATAACATAAATTAGGATATAAATTTTAGAAGCTGTGAACTTCATCCAGGGTTGATAAGGGCTTTAAATGAGTATGTGAGGAAGGCATTGCTGTTTTCGAGAGGAGAAAACTAAAGCTTAAGGAACTTAAGAGACCTCCCAGCTGCGGACCTGGTAGCTGGTAGGACAAGGACTCACCCCGTCGCGACATCCAGGACAGAGCACATGTGTGCACAGCAGGGTCAGCTGCCGCCCTGTGCTGACATCGAGGAGCCTGCAGTCCAGAGAAGGACACCAGAGGAGGCAGAGTTACTGACACTTCTGGCCTGGTGGTTCTCTGTGGGGAGCTGGAGGGTGGGGTTACTATCCTGGGAATTGTATGATTTTTAGCCGCATTCCTGGTCTCTATTCATTAGATGCTTTCACCTCCAATTGTGACAATCAAAAATGTTTCCAGACATTGCCTAAGTCCCCTGACAGAGGGGAGGAAAATGTATGCAAAAATCCTACCCCACTGCGGGAGACAAAGGAGATGTAAGTAGGAACAAACCTCCAGGGTTTTCTGCAAAATGGTCCCTGCTTATGCTCCTTGATACAGCTGTTTTGAGCTTATGATGGTGCAAATTTTAACTCAAAATTTGAGCTTTCCACAACTTACTGAATGTTGAAGTGAAGAAACATGATTTTGGGTAAAGAGAGCTATAAAAAGGAAACATTATTTTTCTATATCTAGAACCAATGTCCTAGGGAGTCCTCCATGCTTTCAAGAATTCAGCTTAACAAACTCTTCCCTGGGGCTTCTTCCCATAAGATGACCATACAGAAGTACTCAAGTGCATTTTTTATGAATCATGCCTGCAAATGGTTATGAGTTTAATGTCCATCTCTTCTGGAAAATAAAAAGTTCATGAAGGCAAGAATAGGTCTGCCTGGTTCATCTTCATATAGCCCAGGTCTAACCTGGGTCCTAGCATTTCTTAGCACCCCAATAAATATTGTTGAATAAATTTTTGTATATTAATCCTTACAAAATATTTCAGAAATTATCAGGGTAATGTGCATATTATGTATCCTTAATAATTAAAAATAAAAATATTTGAAAAAATAAAAAATTGAAGTCAGATACAGTGGCTCATGCCTGTAATCCCAGCATTTTGGGAGGCCAAGGCGGGCAGATCACTAGAGGTCAGGAGTTTGACACCAGTCTGGCCAACATGGTGAAACCCCATCTCTACTAAAAATTATAAAAATTAGCCAGGCATGGTAGCACACACCTGTGGTCCCAGCTACTTGGGAGGCTGAGGCAGGAGAATCAGTTGAACCCAGGGGACGGAGGTTAGAGTGAGCCAAAACTGCGGCACTGTACTCTAGTATAGGCGACAGAGCAAGACTCCATCTCAAAAAATAATAATAATTTTAAAAAATTAAAAATTGAATGTCTTCATTACCCAGGGCAACAGATAAGATGTCTGGGAAGGGATGCATCTCTTCTTCTGTAGGCATTAGCCACAAACTCCCAGTCATCTTGGTAATATCAGGTTGGATGTCTAAAGCTACAGGAAAAATACTAGAACTTTCAGAACCAACACAAGAACTTAACAGAAAACCTGAAAGAAACCACCCACCCTTTGACAGAAGCAATGGGCAGCAGCCTACAGTGTGAACCAGGCGAAAAAATAACACAGTGCTCAGAAAGGAGAAATCTTTTGCACAACCTCAGCTATCGCCGTCATCTGCATTACCCTGGCTAACTGGGAGATCTGGAGTCTGTCTAAGTGCCCAGTACATTAGGACTACAGCTGGCATTTGAGAAAGCTAACACACTAAGTCTATTTATAACCAAGAAAGTCTCACAAAGTCGATGCCACACCCCTCCCACTCCATTAGAACTGGTGCTGGTCCCCACTGCTGGGAGACTAGAGAACAGTTCTCATCACTGGATCCCTGGGAGACATTTCCAGCACCAGCCTGGAGGGTGGCGGCCCAACTGGGTGGCTAGACCCAGGGACAGCAGGGTTCACAGTGGTATGGCCCTCAGGGACTGCTACTTCCAGGGGTAGAGGGAGTGAAGGACAATAAGGGAGCACTCCCTGGGACAAAAGTAACCAGACTGCAGGCCTTGGGTCCCTGAACTTCCTGCCTGTGGGAAGTTTCTTTCAGCAGAGGCACAGGTGCAGTGCTGAGCTCAGTGGGGAAAGTCTGCAGCTCTACAACAGTCAGGCAGCCCTGGTGCTCATGAAGGGTCTTGGATAAGGGGGCTTCTTCTCCCTTTTGCCCACCACTACAGACACAGCTGGGGCTTCTCTCATGAGACCTCCATACGGGTGTGTTCATAGACAGCCTTTCTGAAAAGCTTCAGGGTGACTGTGTCTTCACAGAAGGAGTGCCCTCCAGGTTCAGGCTTCTATGAGAGGTGGAGTCATAATCCCTCTCTACATGGAACATCAGCATTCCTGCAGATGAAAAGAGGTGCTTGTTTGATCTGAATAGCTGGAACTCTGGATCAGGAGTGACTGGGACATGGATTACTTTTCTGCTGGCCTGGAAGGAGCTATGGTGGCACCCTCCCTTCCCCCTGAAAACACCCTGGTACATTTTACTAAGAGGTTACACAGCTGCTTTGTCAAGGCTAGGAGGTCTGCCCACCATTGGGCTACTGCATTTATCCACCTTCTTTAGCCACAGCCAGGTTTTACCCATGGACACCTATCACTGACCTAAAGTCTGAATTGTTCAACCCAGTGATTAAAACACTGGGGCAAAAAAAAATTTTAAGTACATACCACTGGGGAACAAGATATGCTTCATGAAACGTCTTCCATTCCAGCCCATAGGAGGCAGTGAACCTCCTCACATACCCAGCACATTGCTACTACAACCAGCATCTGAGGAAGCAATTGCACAAAGATTCTCTATAACCAAGGAACTCTTACAGAGCCTTCATCACTGAAAACACCCAGATCCAAAGCTAAGTGACAATAAACGGTAAACATTAAAGTCACATCCCCAAGGGGAAAAATAAGAAATTAATTTTTGAAAACCCAGTCAAATAAAAAATAAATATTCAAAATAATTAGAAGAAATAATCTACCCAAATGAGAAGGAGTGAGAAAAATAATTCTGGCAAAAAAAAAAAAAAAAAAAAAAAAAAAAAACAGCGTTCTATAACGCCCACAAAAGATCACACTAATTCTCCAGCAGTGGATCCAAACAAGATGAAATCTGAGAAATACCACATAAAGAATTCAAAATGTTGCTTATTAAGTTACTCAAGGAGATACAAGAGAAAAGTGAAAACCAATATAAATAAATTGTTTAAAATAATTCAGGTTATACATGAAAATTTTTCTGAGATAGATATTTTAAAGAGAAACCAATCAGAATTTCCAGAAATGAAAGACAGATTTAGGGAACTACGAAATGCAGTGGAAAGTTTTAACAACAGACTAGACAAAGTAGAGGAAAGAAGTTTTGAGCTGGAAGACAAGGTTTTCAAATTAACCTAATCAGACAAAATTTAAAAAGAATGAAAAGAAATGAGCAAAGTCTCCAAGAAATGTGGGATTGTGGATGGGCACGGTGGCTCACGCTTTTAATCCTAGCACTTTGGGATGCTGAGGTGGGCAGATCACAAAGTCAAGAGATTGAGACCACCCTGGCCTACATTATGAAACCTCGTCTCTACTAAAATACAAAAATTACCTGGGTGTGGTGGCACATGCCTGTAGAATCAGCTGCTACGGAGGCTAAGCCAGGAGAATCGCTTGAACCCAGGAGACGGAGGTTGGAGTGAGCCGAGATCGTGCCACTGTGCTCCACCTGGCGAAAGAGCGAGACTCTGTCTCAAAAAAAAAAAAAGAAAGAAAGAAAGAAAGAAAGAAATGTGGGATTGTGTAAAATGGCCAAAATTAAGAGTCACAGGTTTTTATGAAGAAGAAAAAACAAAAAGTTTGGAAAACATATTTTGAGTGAATAATTGAGGAAAACTTCCCTAGCCTTGCTAGAGATTTAGACATTCACATACTAGTAGTTCAAAGAACTCCTGAGAGATTTATTGCAAATAGAATATCACCCAAGCATGTAGTCATCAAGCCATCTAAAGTCAACATGAACGGAAGAATTCTAAGAGCAGTGAGAAAAAAGCGTTAGGTCACCTATAAAGGAAAACCTACCAGACTAACAGAAGACTTCTCATCAGAAACCTTACAAGCCATAAGGGATGGGGGTCCTATCTTTAATCTCCTTAAACAGAAGAACTGTCATTCAAGAATTTTGTATCCAGCAAAACTATGTTTCATAAATGAAGGAGAAATAGTCTTTCTCTAACAAGCAAATGCTGAGGAATTTTTGTCAATACTAGACCAAACCTATAAAAAATGCTGAAAGGAGTACTACATTTTGTAACAAAATGTTGATATGCAGCAGAGTAGAAACTTCTGAAAGCATAAAATTCACAAGGCTTATAAAACTATAAGACAATGAAGAAAACAAAGTCACTAGGTAACAATCAACACTGTGACTAAAATAGTTCCTCACATCTCAATATTAACGTTGAATTCAAATGATCTAAATGCTCTACTTAAAAGATACAGACTGGTGGAATGGATAAAAAAAACCACACACCAAATATCTATTGTCTTCAGGAGGCAGACCTAACATGTAAGGATTCTTACAGCCTCAAGGTAAAGGGGTGGAATAAGACATTTCATGCAAATGGAAATCAAAAGTGAAAAAGAGTAGCTATTCTTATATCAGATAAAGCAGACTTTAAAGCAGTAACTGTGAAAAAAGAAAAAGAAGGTCATTATATAATGACAAAAGGATCAATCCAACAAGAAGATACAAATGCTGCTAACTCTGGAGCTCCCAAACTCATAAAACAATTACTACCAGACATAAGAAAAGAGATAGACAGCAACACAACAATGGTGGGGGGCTTCAACAATCCACTGACAGCACTACACAGATCATTGAGGCAGAAAGTCAACAAAGAAACACTGAACTTAAACTGCACTCTAGAACAAATGGACCTAACAGGTGTATACAGAACATTCTTCTCATCAACACATGGAAAATTCTTCAACATAGACCATATAATAGGCCACAAAACAAGTCTCAATACATTTTTAAAAAGTGAAATCATATCAAATATCTTCCCAGGCCACAGAGGAATAAAACTAGAAATGAATTCTAGGAACCCTCTAAACTGTAGAAATACATGGAAATCGAGCAATATGCTCCCAAATGATTTTTGGGTTAAGAATGAAATCAAGACAGAAGTTAAAATTTTTTTTGAAATTAAAACAGTGACACAAGATATCAAAACCTCTGGGATACAACAAAAACAGGGCTAAGAGGAAAGTTTATAGTGCTAAACATCTGCATCCAAAAGTCTGAAAACTCACAGATTCACAAACCAAGATCACACCTCAAGGAAGTAGAGAAACAAGAATAAATCAAACCCAAAGCTAGCAGAAGAAATGATAAAAATCAGAGCAGAACTAAATGAAATTGAAACCGAAATCAACGCAAAAGATCAATGAAACAAAAAGTTGGTTTTTGAAAAGATAAACAAAATTGATAGACCACTACCTAGATTAACTAAGAAAAGGAGAAAGAAGATTCAAATAAGCTTAACTAGAAGTTAAAATGGCAACATTACAACTGACACCCCAGAAATACTAAAAATCGTTCAAGACTTTTATGAACACAGCTATGTACACAAACTAGAAAATCTAGATGAAATGGATAAATTTCTGGAAATATACCATGCCTTTAGCTTGAATCAGAGAAAAAGAAATAGAAATCCTGAATAGACCAATAACAAGCAGTGAGATTGAATCAGTAATAACAATAATAATAATAATAAAAACTACCAACAAAAAAGTCCAAGGCCAGATGGATTCACAGCCAATTTCTAGCAGGCATTCAGATAATTGATACCAATTCTACTGAACCTATTCCAAAAAGTTGAGGAGGGAATCCTCTGTAAATCATCCTACCAAGCCAGTATCACTCTGATACCAAAGCCAGAAAGGACATAACAAAAGAAAAAAAGAAAACTACAGACCAATATTCCCTGATGAATATAGATGGAAAAATCCTGAACAAAATATTAGCAAACCAAATCCAACAGCATATGAAAAAAACTATTTCACCATAATCAAGTGGATTTTATCCCAGGGATGCAGGAATGGTTCAACATATGAAAGTCAATGAATGTGATTCATCACAAAAACAGAATGAAAACTAAACTATGTGATAATTTCAATAGAGGCAGAAAAAGCATTCAATTCAGTCCAGCATCCCTTTATGATAAAAACCCTCAACAAACTAGGCATAGGTGGAACATACCTCTAAATAATAAAAGCCATATATGACAGATCCACAACTAACATCATACGGAATGGACAAAAGTTGAAAGCATTCCTCCTAAGAACTGGAACCAGACAAGGATGCCCAGTTTCACCACTCCCATTCAACATTTTACTGGTAGTTTTAGCCAGAGCAATCAGGCAAGAGAAAAAAAAAAAGTAAAGGGCATCCAAGTTGGAAAAGAGGAAGTCAAACTGTCTCTCTTTGCCAATATAAGCCCTGAAGACTACTCCAAAAGACTTACAAATCTGATAAATGAATTCAGCAAAGTCTCAGGTTACAAAATCAATGTACACAAATTAGTAGCACTGCTATACACCAACAATGTCCAAACTGAGAAACAAATCAAGGGCTCAATCCCTTTAAAAATAACTACATAAATAAAATAAAATATCTAAGAATATACTTAACCAAGGAGTTATTAATAAAAGATTTCTACCAGGAGAATACAAAATATGGCTGAAAGAAATCATAGATGACACAAACAAATGGAAATACATCCCATACTTATGGATTGAAAGAATCAATATTGTGAACATGACCATAGTGCCCAGAGAAATTTACAGATTCATTGCAACGCCTATCGAAACACAAACATCATTTTCCACAGAATTAGAAAAAACAATCCTAAAATTCATACGGAACCAAGAAAGAGCCTGAATAGCCAAGGCAATCCTAAACAAAAAGAACAAATCTGGAAGCATCACATTAACTGACTTCAAACTGTACTAAAAGGCTATCATAACCAAAACAGCATAGTACTGGTATAAAAGTAGATACATAGACCAATGGAACAGAATAGAGAACCCAGAAATAAAGCCAAATAATTACAACCAACGGATCTTTGACAAAGCATACAAAAATATAAATTGGGGGAAAGGACACCCTATTTAATAAATGATGCTATGAATATTGGATAGTCACATGTAGAAGAATGAAACTGGATCCCTATCTCTCACCATATACAAAAATTAACTCAAGGAGAATTAAAGACTTAAATATAAGATCTGAAACCATAAAAATTCTAGAAGAAAACCTAGGAAAAATTATTCTAAACATTGGCCTAGGCAAAGAATTTATGACTAAGACCCCAAAAGCAAATGCCACAAAAACAAAAATACATAAATGGGACCTAAATAAACTAAAAAGCTTCTTTACAGCAAAAGAAAGAGTCATCAGAGTAAAGAGATAACCTACAGAGTGAGAAAAAAATATTTGCAAATTATTCATCCAACAAAGGACTAATATCCAGAATATACAAGGAACTCAAACAAATCAGCAAGAAAAAGATAAACAACCCCATTAAAAAGTGGACAAATAACATAAATAGACATTTCTTAAAAGAAGATATACAAATGGCCAACAAACATGAAAAAATGCTTGACATCACTAATCATCAGGGAAATGCAAATTAAAGCCACAGTGAGATACCAACTTTCCCTAGCCAGAATAGCCATTATTAAAAAGTCAATAAACAATAGATATTCTCACGAAAGCGGTAAAAAGGGAAGGCTTAGACACTGTGGGCGGTAATGTTAGTACAGTCTCTATGGAAAACAGTATGGAGATGTCATGAAGAACTCAAAGAAGGTTTATTTCCCTCATATTGATATATTGTTTCCCTCATATTGACAACAACATTAATATATACTAGCACTATAGATCCCTAAGAAGCAGAAACTGTGTGGACTCTCTTGCCCACTATAATCCTAATGTTAATTGCCCTCCCAACCCTACGTATCCTGTACATAACAGATGAAATTAACAACCCCTCTCTCACTGTCAAAACAACTGGCCACCAATGATACTGAAGCTATGAATATACAGATTATGAAGACCTAGGCTTCGATTCTTATGTAGCCCCTACGACAGACCTGAAACCAGAAGAACTACGTCTCCTCGAAGTTGACAACTGAGCAGCTCTCCCAACAGAAATCCCTATTCACCTATTAGTGTCATTAGAAGATGTTCTACACTCATGGACTGTCCCATCACTGGGCCTCAACACAGATGGAATCCCTGGGTGCTTATATCAAACTACCCTCACTGCCACACAGCCAGGCCTTTACTATGGCCAATGCTCAGAAATTGGATCCAGCAATCCCACTACCAGGTATCTACTCAAAGGAAAAGTCACTATATCAAAAAGACACCAGTGTGTGAATGTTTATCGCAGCACAATTCACAATTGCAAAGATATGGAACCAACTGAACTGTTCATCAACTGATGAATGGATAAAGAAAATGTTATACACACACCATGGAATACTGCTCAGCCATAAAAAGGAACAAAATAATGTGCAGCAATTTGGATAGAACTGGAGGCTGTTATTTTAAGTGAAGTAACTCAGGGATCAAAAACCAAAAACCACATGTTCTCACTTATAAGTGGGAACTAAGCTATGAGTACGCAAAGGCATACAGAGTGGTATAATGCACACTTGAGAATCAGAAAGGGGGAGGGCGAGTGAGGGATTAAAAACTGCCTGTTGGCCGGGCAGAGTGGCCCACGCCTGTAATCCCAGCACTTTGGGAGGCTGAGGCGGGCAGATCATGAGGTCAGGAGTTTGAGAACAGCCTGACCAACATGGTGAAACCCCATCTCTACTAAAAATACAAAAATTAGCCGGGTGTGGTGGTGCGTTCCTGTAATCCCAGCTACTCGGGAGGCTGAGGCAGGAGAATTGCTTGAACCCGGGAGGTGGAGGTTTCAGTGAGCCAAAATCGTGCCACTGTACTTCAGCCTGGGCAACAGAGCAAGACTCCATCTCAAAAAAACAAAAACAGAAACAAAAATAAAAAATCCTGCCTGTTGGGTATGATGTACACTACTTGAGTGACAGGTGCACTAAAATCCCAGACTTCACCAATACAAGGTTCATCTCTGTAACAAAAAACCACTTGTTCCTGTAAAGCCATTGAAATAAAAATAATTAAATAAAACAAAATAAAGAAAAGCAAAAAAATAAATAAATACCAAATCATCAGAATAACAATTATAAATATCTAGGTATCTATACTGGAGAGTCACTATAAAGTGAGTATTTGCAGAGAAAGTGGTGTGAGACCTCAGCAATGTAAAACTTGAATAAATTTAGCTGTAACCTAACGGCCATGTCATTGATTTTTGTCACTCTGCATCTCTTCTATTTTAGAAATAATAGTCATCAGCTTCTGTAATCAAAAGTCTCCCTGTAAATTTAATGATTTGGGGAGTATTGGTTGTTTTTGAAATAACACCTGCAGAACAATCATTAGAGCCTTGATTAATTCTGTCTGACACACAGGAAAAAAGTGAAATACATCTTTTAAAAAGCTGCGGGGTTTTTAGTGTGAATAATCTGCTGAATATTCTAAGAAGGGATTATACTTCTAAATATTTAACAGTGCAAATATTAGAGAAGATTGTGTGTGTGCATGTGTGCTTGTGTGGGCATGTGCCTTCAAATATGTGTGTTCATGTTTATGTGTGTATTCTGTGTATGTGCATGTTTGTGTGCATGTATGTTTACAAAAAAGTAGGTAACTAGACTATTGCAGAAAAAATCAGAAAACTTGGCATTTTGCAAAAGATGATGAACCTTACATTTGTCTACGTGGGCTCCAGAGTCACCATCTGGAGTAACTTACCCAAATCCTGTTTTCAAACCATCGCGAAGGGAAGAATATATAACAGTTAAAATAGATGATAGAAAGCCCTTGATAAGCGTAGGTACAGCCATTAAATACCCTGGTTGCAGCTTAACTCTTCCAGGCTACATAGAACTCTACAACTATAAATAAGAAGCTTAAAGGCAGGACCACCCACTGCACAGGGTGCCCCAAATCACAGGCTTCCTAGAGGAGGGAGCATTTCAGCTGAGACCTGGAGACTGGCAGGAGGAAGACAGGGAAGTGGCCTCCCTCTCCATGATGCTGTCAGAGCACTAACCCTCTCTCTGCAACACTTAGGCCCATTTGGTGGTGGTGAAAAATATGGCTCATGTCCAGAAACAGATACACACGGAAACCACTTGATTCATGGCAAAAGTAATCCTGTGGTACAATGGGGTTGGTCCTTCTTCTAAATTAATGTGCTAGGTCAATAGAATTTCTATGTGGGCAAAAACTGGACCTGCACTCTTCCCTCAGATGATATGCAAAACTCCATTCCAGTCTACTGTAGATCTAACTGTGAAAGGGAAAAATCACAAAACTCATAGAGGAAAATATAAGAGAATGTCTTCCTGACATTGAGATCATCGATGATTTTCTAAATGGAACACCAAGAGCACCAATGGTAAACAAACACGGACTGATACAACGCAAAAGGCGGACAATGCAACAGGAAGGCTTGACTCAGTGCCTTCTGGATTTTCAAATGGCCAGTAAACACGGGAGGGAGTTTCCCTTCATTTTACCTCCAGAAAATGCAAACTGTAACCACGCAATACCACCATACACCCATCTGATGAGCTGAAGTGAAAAAGACTGACAATTCCAAGTATTGCCGAGGGTGTGGATCTATGGAAACTCATACACTGTGGGCTGAAAGGAAATTGGAACAGCCCTGTGGAAAACTAGCGGTATTTTCGAAAGGGACCTACACATACCCAGTAACCAAGTGAGTCCACACCTGGGTATATTCCCAGTGGAAATGCAGGGCTGCATTTACCAAAACCTATAGAAAAAGTGCGTCTCAGCAGCACTGTGTGAAAGAGCCCCAGACTGAAAACAACCCCAAGGTCCATCACACACCAGTACTAGAGAGTACTGCAAATGCTCAATTTCCCTGTGCAATAACCTGCTGGACTCTCACAGCGATGTTGAGCAAAAGAAGGCAGACACAAAACCATGTTTGCTTTACTAGGTGTGGATTTTATTTATGCACATTTACAAACAGGCAGAGCTGATCTATGGTTTAGAAGTAAAACAAAAGAGGGTGCTATGGGCTGAGTAGTGTACCCTCCAAATTCATGCGTCAAAGTCCTCGCTCCCAAGGTGGATGGTGTTTGGAGATGGGGCTGTTGGGAGGTAAATAGGTTTAGATAAGGCCATGAAGGTGAGGTCCTTGTGATGGGATTAGCATCCTTATAAGAAAAGATCAGAGAGTGCCCATTCTCTCTCTCTTTTTTTCCTGCCATGTGTGGATGCAGAGAGGAGATGGCCATCTTCAAGACAGGAAGAAGGCCTTCACCAGAATTCACTCCCCTGGCACCTTGATAGTGACCTTCCAGCCTCCAGAACTGTGAGAAATAAACTTCTGTGGTTTAACTTGCTCAGCCTGTGATATTTTATTGAGGACCCCGAACAGACTCATACAGAGGGTTCCTCTGAGCAGGAGGTAAAGCCTGGGACTCAAGGGGTCATTCTGGGGTAAGTTTTTTCTTGATTTGAGGTGGTTCCATGGCTGTGTTCAGAGTGAAAATTCGCTGAGCTGTGCACTTAAGCTCCATGTGCCTTTGTGCATGTATGCTGTGTTTCACTCCATAGTTCACATGCGCACGCACGCATGAGCACACATACACATGTCACCACTTACTGGCTACAAGACATTAGGCAAGTTAATAAAACTCTTTTTCAGTTTCTTCTCCAGTAAAGGGAAATGATAGGTGTCCCTCCCTCAGAGGTTGCTAATGAGGATAATAGAATTCATGCGTGTAGAGCTCTGAAACAAAGCCTGGCACAGAGTAAACACACAGCCACTGTGATGTTACGACTGCAGCCTCTCTACTGCAGATATGTATAGAGTATACATATGTATACATATTACATATATGCACACATGTACATGGTGTATTCTACCCACACCCATCTCTCTCATGCACCTATTTTTGGTCTATTTTGTTCACTGCAATAATACCAAACTAGAAGAAAAAAGCCAATCAGTATCATGTCTCAGAGACATTGTTTAACAGAAGATTCCCACGATCAGTATCATGTCTCAGAGACATCCTTTAACAGAAGATTCCCACGATCAGTATCATGTATCAGAGACATCCTTTAACAGAAGATTCCCACGATCAGTATCATGTCTCAGAGACATCGTTTAACAGAAGATTCCCACGATCGGTATCATGTCTCAGAGACATCGTTTAACAGAAGAGTCCCATGATCAGTATCATGTCTCAGAGACATCCTTTAACAGAAGAGTCCCACGATCGGTATCATGTCTCAGAGACATCGTTTAACAGAAGATTCCCACGATCGGTATCATGTCTCAGAGACATCGTTTAACAGAAGATTCCCACGATCGGTATCATGTCTCAGAGACATCGTTTAACAGAAGATTCCCACGATCAGTATCATGTCTCAGAGACATCGTTTAACAGAAGAGTCCCACGATCGGTATCATGTCTCAGAGACATCGTTTAACAGAAGATTCCCACGATCGGTATCATGTCTCAGAGACATCGTTTAACAGAAGATTCCCACGATCGGTATCATGTCTCAGAGACATCGTTTAACAGAAGAGTCCCACGATCGGTATCATGTCTCAGAGACATCGTTTAACAGAAGAGTCCCACGATCGGTATCATGTCTCAGAGACATCGTTTAACAGAAGAGTCCCACGATCGGTATCATGTCTCAGAGACATCGTTTAACAGAAGAGTCCCACGATCGGTATCATGTCTCAGAGACATCGTTTAACAGAAGATTCCCACGATCGGTATCATGTCTCAGAGACATCGTTTAACAGAAGAGTCCCACGATCGGTATCATGTCTCAGAGACATCGTTTAACAGAAGAGTCCCACGATCGGTATCATGTCTCAGAGACATCGTTTAACAGAAGATTCCCACGATCGGTATCATGTCTCAGAGACATCGTTTAACAGAAGAGTCCCACGATCGGTATCATGTCTCAGAGACATCGTTTAACAGAAGAGTCCCACGATCGGTATCATGTCTCAGAGACATCGTTTAACAGAAGAGTCCCACGATCGGTATCATGTCTCAGAGACATCGTTTAACAGAAGAGTCCCACGATCGGTATCATGTCTCAGAGACATCGTTTAACAGAAGAGTCCCACGATCGGTATCATGTCTCAGAGACATCGTTTAACAGAAGAGTCCCACGATCGGTATCATGTCTCAGAGACATCGTTTAACAGAAGAGTCCCACGATCGGTATCATGTCTCAGAGACATCGTTTAACAGAAGAGTCCCACGATCGGTATCATGTCTCAGAGACATCGTTTAACAGCAGATTCCCACGATCGGTATCATGTCTCAGAGACATCCTTTAACAGAAGATTCCCACGATCGGTATCATGTCTCAGAGATATCCTTTAACAGAAGAGTCCCACGCCATTTCACAGGAGCCAGAAATTTCATCAACAAAGTGAATGAGGAAGTTGTGCCATGGGGGCCAGTGGGCTGCTGAACTCAGCTTCTACCCCAAGTCCAAGGAACCTGAGACACACAAGTAAGGTCAAGAGGGAATAAGATTCCGGCCATCTGAGAGGGTTGCGGAGCTACACAGAGATTCATCTTAATTTAATCAAATTCAGTTTCAATCAGAACACCATTTCTTTATCCATTTCGGACACTTTTTAAAAAGAAGCATATCTTTTAAATCACCAAATGAAGGCTTCATGGAACAAGTATATGATCCACTCCGACCTCAGGCACAATGAACAGATTTTGGCAATAATTGGGGAAATTCACCACAGTAATAACATCCAACCATATTAGATGTCACGGGTTTAATATACCTGGAATGCTTGTGCATATCTCACTGGAACAAAATGTGTGATGTTCATTCTCTCAGAGCTAAGATGATTATCCCCTTGTCAGGACAGGTTCCCTGCAGCCCAGGCCTCTTATACTTGAACAATGCATGCTTTGTTCTTCTGTCAAATGAGTTGATTTCCTGCAGAATCGAATGTGGTGAATTAGGCTATCTCACTGAGATTTCAAAACACGCAGTGCAGTGTCTCTGCTCTCTCTGTCCCCATCTGATCCACGTTGTTGCTAACTCATGGCTTCCATGCTCTGAAGAACACCTTTTCCTGGGGGCAAGGGTCCCATTTGGGAGCCTCCAGCTGGGTCCTCCAGCTATATCAACCTCAAAAAGCCTCCCATTGTGTGCTCCAGCCTCCAGAGGACCTTGGGTGACTCAGCGTCATTGACTGATGTCCTATCTCATCCAGACTGGGATTGCATTGATGTTTGGCTCCAGGTTGTCTCTCACAAGCTATGGAGATTTTCTCCACAAGATGCTTATGGAGCAATTGGTGTGAAGCACAGCTCTCAGCGTGCAGTCCATGCATGGGGGAGCCCTCCAGCTTAAAAATACTGGAGCCTCCAGAGTATGAAAACAACAGGGTTTATGAAATCTGGTTGAGCATTAACTGTCTGTGGTGAGTTTGGTTTCCCCAGGAAATGGGCTTTCTGACTTGAGAGTTCTGAAAGTGCATTCCCAAAGACAGGGTGGGGAGCTGGCTATTTATCCTTTCTTCTTTTACACAAGCCCTTCTGCACTGACCCAAGGAACTGACACTAATCTACTCCTCAGAGCAATTCACTGACACATCTAATTCTGTGCAGAAAGAAACAGAGTAGAATGGGCCTTCCCTTCTCAAGGAGCAACAGCACTCAGAGGCTGTGAGAACGTGGTGCATAGCTTCCTACTCCATCATTGGCACACACAGTGGGCAGCTAGCTGTTGCTGCCACTTTCTTCCTGTCCCCCTGCTTCTGGAATCTGCACCTGAGCTCATATGGACTTTAGGCTCCTTAAACTTCCAGTCTAAACATCTGATAAAATGAATGTTTTCATGACCACTTCCAAACAGCAGGATGCTGACCTTTTCATGCTACACATATGCACGGGGCACTTGCCATAGGCACTGTCTGGGCACTGGGGAGCACTGAGGACATGGTGGTGACAAGGGAGTCCTTGTTTTCAGCGGATCTGGGGCTTTTGAAGAAAACAGATCGCTGTCATCGTCATCATCATCATCATCATCACCATGGTAGTAGAAATAATGGTGGTTGGCAATTACTGAGTGCCGTCTGAGCATCAACTTATTGAAATAAATAAACCATAAGTGTTGCTATGATAGAAGGCACACAGGCTTCTAGAAGAGCTAAAGGAGGAGCACTTAACTCTGAAGAGTGGACAAGCAGAGGAGGCTTCCCAGAGGAGGCGGTGCCTGTACTAACCCTTGAGAGGCAGGCAGCAGTGGCACTGCTGGAGGGAATGGCTTGGTTCTTAAGTCCAGAGAAGAGGACCTGGGCCCTCATGGGTGTGAGCAGGCCCAGGATTGCATGGGGAGTGTGGAGACTGGTGAGAGGGGAAGCCGAGCACTGAGAAAGCAGGCAGAGGCCCGGTCAGGGAGGCCTCAGTTTGCCATGTGAAACAGCCGAGGGACAACGGACTGGCCTTGGGGAGATTTGATGGCAGGAAGGACACTTTGAGGCATGTCACTCTGGCTGCTGTGGGGATGAGTGATGGGAGGGCTCAGGGCTGGGTCAGGGAGCCATGTTGCCACAACTGACATTGTGTAATAATATTTAACTTTAAATTACCTAGCTCTTTTTTTTGAGAGGGAGTCTTGCTCTGTCTCCTAGGCTGGAGTGCAGTGGTGTGATCTCAGCTCACTGCAACCTCCGCTTCCCTGGTTCAAGCAATTCTCTGCCCTACCTCAGCCTCCCAAGTAGCTGGGATTACAGGCACCTGCCACCATGCCCAGCTATTTTTAGTAGAAATGGGGTTTCACCATCTTGGCCAGGTCGGTCTTGAACTCCTGACCTCACGATCCACCCACCTCGGCCTCTCAAAGTGCTGGGATTACAGGTGTGAGCCACTGTGCTCAGCCAGCTCTCTTTATTTTTTCAAAATAATCATCATTTATTTATAAACAAGTGTGTTTTTTTCTCATTTTTTTTTTACCTAGAAAATGCTGCAATATTCATTTAAAATCCATGCATCTGGGACCTCTAGTTGCTGACCAGCCAGGACCCTGCTGTAGTGCTGCATGGAGAGGCCACGAGGGCCTGACTCAGTGTAACAGCTGAGGGTGAAAACACAGCACAGCACAGCACAGATTAAGGAATGGAGTCGACTAGACTTGGTGTTGATACCTGGGTCCTTGAAGATGCAAATAATTAAACTGTGGTGCATTTATATCACAGAACACTATGCAGCCATAGAAAGGAACAACCTATGAGTACACACAAGAATTTGGATGGATCTCAAGAGCATTATGTGAGTAGGGGAAAAAAGCCAGTCTCAACAGGTCACTTACTAGATGATTCAGTTTCTGTAACATTCTCAAAATGACCACATTGATATACACAGTAAACGTGAGGCAGAAGCCAGAAAGGGCTAGATGGCTTGGGTAACTGACGCTGGCAGAGAAGCTCATGAAAAGATAGCAGCAGGCTGGAGGATGCACCAGTTACCTCCTGCTGCATAACAAACTACCCAAACATTGAGTGGCCCCAAAACAACAGACATTTATTATCTCAGCTTCTGTGGTCTAGGCATCTGAACACCATTTAGCTGGGGGTCTTGACTCAGGGTCTTTCATGACAATGCAGCTAAGTTGTCAGCCGGGGCTGTCTGTGGTCATTTCAGAGTCTATTGGTGGGTCTCAGGAAATTCACCTCCAAGATCGCTCACATCAGTTTCTCACCAACTGGGCACCTCCATAAATTGCCTGAATGTCCTCAAGACATAGCAGCTGGTTGTGAGAGACAGACAGGCAGAGATGAAAACAAAGAGGCAGAGAGGGCTGGAGAGAGCAACAGACAGTGAATAAGAAGAAAGCCCAGGTCATTCTGTAACCTCATCTTAGAAGTGGCGTCTCATTGCTTTTGCCATATTTTTTTGGCTAGAGGCAAGTCACTGGGTTCTGTCCACACTTAAGGCTTGGCAATTAAACACAGGTGTGAATACCAGGAGGTAGGGGTCATCAGGGACCCTCTCAGTGCTGCCCTCCACACGAGGGAGGATGTCAAGTCCAGGTGTAGACACATCATAGGAAAATCTTCAGTGTGCAGAATTGAGTACCATTGGAGATTTTAAGAAGTGACCTCTGCCTGGGAGAAACAACAGTAATTTTTGAAGTAGCTTTCTCTTCCCTCCCTTCTCCTCTGCCACTTAGCCCTTCTCCTTCCCCCTTCTCCATTCCAAACCCGTATGTACGGAACTCTTCCTAGAGTCAGCAGGAAGTACCAGCTGCTAACTGATTAATCGGAATCAGCGACTCCTGGAAAAAACAGGGTCAGCATTCCCACCTGCAGCGCCGGATACAGTGGCTGTGGCTGTGGCATGTGTGCCTGTGCACACCCACCCCTACCTGCACCTTGCCTTCCAAAGGCTCCCATATGATCACAATCTGAAAGAAAGGTTGAACTGGAAAATGGCAGACTGTCCCAGGGAAGAAGTTAAGGTAAAACACAGAGATTAGACTGGGGGCAGGAGGGGAATAAATAAAAACACCTAAACACTTGAAATGCCAGGCCAGCCACCCAAGAACCACTGTGGACCAGTCTTCCCCTAGTGGAAAGGGTGCTTCAGAACTAGAAGGGAACAATGTTCTAGGCACATCAGGGGCTTTGGCTCATTTTTAAGCATATGGCAGCAGGGAGTCTAAAACACTGTTAGGTCAGGTGTGATGGCCCATGACTGTCATCCCAGCACTTTGGGAAGATTACACTGAGATGGACCGCCCACAGATGTGGGCTTCTGTGCAGGACAGGAGAGCCACACCTGGTGTGGGGTTATGGGGAGAGTTTTTTGTTTTTGTTTTGTTTTTTTTTTTGAGATGGAGTCTCCCTTTGTTGCCCAGGCTGGAGTGCAATGGTGCAACCTCAGCTCACTGCAACCCCCGCTTCCCAGGTTCAACTTATTCCCTGCCTCAGCTTCTCCAGTAGCTGGGATTACAGGTGCCCACCACCATGCCTAGCTAATTTTTGTATTTTTAGTAAAGACAGGGTTTCGCTATGTTGGCCCAGCTGGTCTTGAACTCCTGACCTCAGAGGATCCACCCACCTCAACCTCCCAAAGTGCTGGGATTACAGGCATGAGCCACCATCGCTAGCCAGGGAGAGCTACTTTAAACCACCTTAAAACAAAGTCTGAGCTTCAATGCATCCTGAGAGTGGCTCTCTGGAACCAACGGTGTGTAAATGGGGCATCTCCCCACTCTTCATGGCCTCTGGCCAGACTCCAGCAAAGAAACAGTGACCAATCTTCCTCGGTTCTAAGAGGTCAATCAAGTTTTTTCAAATGGGTAAAAACAACAAAAAAATCGATGTGGCTGCAAAATCTTCCCCCAGTTTCTGTGTCGATGGGTACACAGGAGGAACCACATGGTGATAATGTATCTTTGTTCCAAGCTACATCATTAGCAGAAATATTTCTTAAATTTTATCTTTTAACCTAAATAGTTATTTCATGACCATCAAAGATTCTCAAGCTCTTCGTAGAGATGGATTTTGTCTCAGAACGAAATTTCATGCTTCATTGTCTTGAGATGATTGTGACTTTTAGATGATCATTATTTGCTTTTTTTTTGTAATGGGGGCATTGGGGAGACAGCGACATTGTAAAAACACTGGGTTATTTCTATTATGGATGGATTCAGGGTGAGTGTTTCTGAAGATATAGCTATCCCATTTCTGAAGTTGGTAATGAGAGTATTGTTAAACAAAGGTAGAAATTAAAAATTCAGAATATATTTTACATAATTAGTATTTTAAAGTTGTGTGATTTAAGCACCATTTTAAAGAATGATTTGCCATACTGTAATTCCCACTGTAAATCTCGCCTGTAATATATACATTAAAGCACTCTGAGATTGCTCTAGAATGTGAATTACTAAGTGCTGATGAATAATTTTGAATAATGTGACTGCTTTCACCATTGAGTGGAAAATTAAGATTGTGGTATTGCTCTATTTAGAAATGATTGGTTTGTGAGAGTGAAACTCACAGCTGTTGGGCCCCCTCCAAATCACGGTGCTTCCAAGGCAGAGCGGAAACTGGGACTCAAAAGGTTTTTCACGCTCAAATGCTTCTTTGTTGTAGAAATGTTTTTCTTCCAGTTGCTTAGAATGACCAGTTCCCTGGAAATTATTGAGAAAGGAATGAAACTTTACCTTCCAATGTGTTGGGGGGTGGAATGGGTGCTGGCCTGGTCGCATAAACTCTGTGATGACTGTAATGACCTAGTCTGGCTTATGAGAGTGGGCCGTTAACACCAATGCTGGCAGACTGTTGACTCATAGTCCAAGGGAGAGCTCGACTCTGTTGTGTTTTTTTCCAGAACTTAGGAGTTTCCCAGGATCCGAGACTTGGTGCTAAAACCAGGAGAGTTTAGAGCAAACCAGGACTGTTGGTCACCCTACATGGTGATGATAAAGATCATAATGACAGTATGATGAAGGTTTTGATAGCATTACTACAAACAGCAATAGCTCACATGTGCATGACACTTGCTATGGGCCAGTCCTGTTCTAAGCGTTTACAAACACTGCCTCTTCAACCCTAAGGACATTCCGTAGGTATTATTGTCCTCATTTTCCAATGACTTGTGTGGTTCAGGTAAGTTAAGTCACATACTTGATAAATAAAGGGGTTTTGATCCAGTCCCTGACTGTCTGGGTTCCACGTCAAGGCGCCTGACTACTCTGCTCATATGAAAACCAGCAAGAACAACAATCATTTCTTGAGTGTTTAATATGAATCAGAGGTTATGCTGGATATTTGGCATATTTATCATTTTTAACATTCATAAATGTTGTTCAAGGTGAGTACTTACAGCCCTGTATTACAAATGAGGAAGCTGAGGCTTTGAGGGAAGAAATATTCTACCCACAGTGACAGAAGTTCTAACCAGCAAGGCCAGGATTCGAATCTCAGCTCCTTGTCTTGAGCTCAGAGCTCTTAACTCCACCACTCTGCTTTGCTGTATGTAGCTCTCCAGAGCAAGGACTTCTGTATTTGGACTTTTCCTACTTGTGGGGAATTGATATCAAGGAGTGATTTAGGGTAATTTTACCCTAACAGACTCAGATTGATGCAGCTCTTCCGCCTGCTCTTAACTGCTGAGCACCTGGGTGGCTGGAGCTAGTGAGGCATAAGGACCTGCTCTCTCAGGCCGTGTGCAAACTCCCAGCTTGTCTTCACCATGTGGCAAATTCGTTTCCCCCTTGCTGCCAATTGCCTAGTATTTACAGAATATATGCATACTTGAAGACTGAATAATTAGATTCTTCTCTCTGCTTAGATTGGTCTAACAAATTTGATTTCTTCTCACCTGCTGCATTGTACTCTGTTAAGATGATTTTTGAAACTATGTAAGAATCAGCTGAGAGTAATTTGGAGCAGAGTCAGAGTTCAATATAACAGAAATGTTGGATTTCTGGAGACTGGATTATCGAAATAATCTCTTTCTTCAATGGTTCTCACATTCTGGTCCACAGACTTCTCCCCCTAGTAGAGTCCTCAAGGTAATCTGAAAAGGCAAAGCTCGTTTCATTGCCTTTTTTTTTTTCTGTACTGTGATTTGCACTGATGGAGGAACAGCCATGGTGGGTAAAACTTCCGGAGCCGTGAGTGTGGATCAAGCCACCAGCAACTAACTGCAAGCAGTCACTGCATTCCCCACTACCACTTGCCCACAGCTGAACAGCAACACAAAAGCACAACAGCCAATCTCACTTAAAAATGTTATCGATACAGTGGTAAAAATTATTAATTATTGAATATATTAATTGCATTCAATCCCAAAATTTGATTACACATCTTTTTAATATTCTGTGTAATTAAATGAAAACATCTCATAAAGCACTTTCACTACACAATAAACAAAGGTGTCTGTGTCAAGAAAATGTATTTTTGCAGTTGTTAGAATTGCTAACTAATCTAGCACTTTATTCATGGAACATTGTCCTTATTTGAAAAAGAAATGACAGACAAACTATGGCTTTTTTAGACTTAGGTATTTGGAACTGGTATTAGAATTTGAAAAGCTTGTATTTTCCACCATGAACTTTACAGATTCCCAGTACTTCACAATGTTTCTGATGAAATCAGTGGTGTTATTAATGAATATGGTTATTTTATACAGTAGAATGGAATATATCAATATTTGAAAGATCTGCCAAAGACTTAATAGTAGTAGTTCACACAGTGTGGAACAGAGGCCACTGAGTTTAAATATCCCAGATGCCCCTGTGAGTTCATTGCAGCACCCCAGGGAGCCTCAGAGCACCCTCAGGGAATTGCAGAACCATAGAAAGAAAGAAAGACATGGAATAGTATGAACAGCACTAGCAACTACCTTGACCTAACTGATATGTAGAGCACCATGCCTGACAATTGCAGAATGCATTTAATCTTATGCATTCTTTCCAAGTGCACATGATCCATTTAACAAGATAGACTGTACACCGAGCCAGAAAATATCAATTAATTTAAAGGTATTGAAATTATACAGAGTATATTACCTGACTATAGTGTAATTAAATTAAAAATCAATCACAGTAAGATATCTAGGAAAAAACAATTATTTGGATATTAAACAGCACACTCCTAATTAATCTATGGGTAAAAGAAGAAATTAGAAAGCATTTCAAAGTAAATAGGAACAAAAATGCAACCTATCAACTAAGGGAGTACTTGAGGGAAATTTGTATCCTTAATGTCTATATTAGACAAGAAGAAAGGTCCAAATCAATGACTGAAAGTTCCACCTGTAAAAACTATCAAATAAAGAGCTGAGTAAGCAGAATAATTAAAATAATGAGGAAAGCGATAGAAATTAATGAAACAGAAAATGGATAAGTGACAGGGAAATTTAACATAGCCAAATTAACATAGCTCTATCTAAACTGATCAAGGAAAAAATAATAATAATCAGGAAAGGAAAGGAAGATTAGAGAAAGAGAGAGAATTTCTAATATCAGGAATGAAAGACAGGTCTCAACTTATATTCTACATAGTTTAAGTGGAAGACAAATAAATACTTAGGGTAAATTTGTATGAATAAAATTTGAAAATTTAGATTAGATGGACAAATTTCTTGAAAAATACTATTTTTACTAAAACTGACCCAAGAAGGTGCAGAAAGTCTAAATAGACTTTCATGCAAGAAATTTATATGCAGATTTGAAAAAACAGAAAAATGCTGGAGGACTTACACTTGACCTCAAGACTTGTGATAATGCTCCGATAATCAAAACCGTGTGATACTGGGATAGGAGTGACACGTAGACCAATGGACAGAATAGAGAGCCCAGAACTCTTGAAACTCAATAGTGAAAAGATAATCAACAGAATTTACTAGCTGGCCAACACATTTGAAAAGACTTTGCAAACAAAGATACATGGCTGGTCAATAAGCACAATGCCATTAGATATATTGAAAAGGCAAATTAAAACTCCAATAAGAAATAACCAGACCCCATCAAAATGACTAAAATTAAGAAGATTGACAACATTAAATGTTGGTAAGTATGTGGAGGAACTGGAACTCTCACACACAGTTCATATAAGTTTCTGATAAAGCTAAACACAGACCTACACCATGACCTAACAATTCTACTCCTAGTTATTTTCCCAAGAAAAATAAAAGCATGTGCCAACAAAAGACTTACACAGTACATAATTGTTCCTAGCAGCTTTCTTTGCAATAGCCAAAAAAATGGGGAAAAATTCCTGATAGCAGTCAACAGGAGAGTGGATAAACACCCTGTGGTATGTCTATACAATAATGTACTCAGCAATTGAAATGAACCAGTCTATGGTGCACACATGAGTGAATCTCAAAATCATGATGCTACGTCAAGGAAGCTTACACAGAAGAGCACAGTGTATGGGTTCATCGATATGCATTCTAGAACAGGGAAAAATAATGTATGGTAAGAAATAATCAGAAAGGGGTTGCCTCTTGGGATTGGGTAGAGAGTGGGTAATAGGGAAGAGGCTGGGAAAATTTTCTGTGGGGATGGAAATGGTCGGTATTGTCACAGGGCTTTCCATTACATACGTGCAGGCATTTGTCAGAATTCATAAAATGATATGCCTACAATTTGCGCATTTAATCTTATGCAAACATTACCATAAAGGAAAAAAACTCTAAATAAATATTGAACGTGAGTTTATGATCTACACGTTGAAGTGTTTAGGAAAAGGGGCACGACTGCCTGTAACTTACTTTTAAATGTATATAAAAAACATGATGGATTGATGCTTGGAGACAGTGGGGGATGGGTGGATGAACATGCCATAAAACAAGACTCTTTAGGCCAGGCACGGTGGCTCACACCTGTAATCCCAGCACTTTGGGAGGCCAAGGCAGGTGGATCACCTGAGGTCAGGAGTTCAAGACCAGCCTGGCCAACGTGGTGAAACTCCATCCCTATTAAAAATACAAAAGTTAGCTGGGCATGGTGGCGGGCGTCTGTAATCCCAGCTACTCAGGAGGCTAAGCCAGGAGAAATGCTTAAACTCAGTAGGCAGAGGTGGCAGTGAGCAGAGATCTTACCACTGCACTCCAGCCTGGGTGGCAGAGTGAGACTCTATCTCAAAAAAAAAAAACAAAAAAACAAGACTCTTTAAAATGGTCATAGAAGAATCTGGGTGGTATATAAAGGTATTCCTTATAAATTCTGTCAATTTTCTGTATGTTTGCATTTGTTTCTAATACATATCGAAGGGAAATGTAGTACTGAGTGGATACCAAGTTCACGGCACAGTGCTGGACCCTGTTCTGTCAGACACCATTGGCCATGCTGAGGGTCACCCTGAGCCTTCTGCTCACCAGAGACGCACTGCGGTCTGGGGCATGGGGAGGACAGTGCTCTTGAGTGCTGCCCAGGCTCTGAGAGCATCACACCAATTCAGAAACTCACTTCCACAGCCCCTGGATGGCATCTGCTGTCAGAGGGGTGAAAAAGTCGTGTCAAGCGGGTGAGCTTCAGGAACAGCCAGGACATGAGAGCACCAGTCTCAAAACCCGATCACCTGGGTTGGGGAACTCGTTCCACGTCTGATTGTTTGAGCTTGGGCAAGTTATTTAACTTCTCTGTGCCACAGCGTCCTCACTTGTAAAAAGTGCATAAGACCGTACCTTCTTCATCAGGGTGTCATGAAGAACACACCAGACCAATGCATTTAAATCACAGCGAGAGCAAGAAGTGTCTGAATGCACAGCACAATTGTTATTTGCATTATTATCATCTCTCTGTAACCCTCATTTTAGCCTCCTTTAATCTCCAATACCAGGGCGCACAATTATGCCTCCAACTTCTTCAGCTAGGTCCCCAAATCCCCACAAAAATCAACTCCTGGGATTGGAAGCCTCAGCACTAACTGGCCACCTGTCCCTCCAACATTCTCAAAATCCCAGCATTTATGTAGATGGTGTTTACACCCCAGCTTCATGATTCTCTTACCTTGTTTCCAATAATTTGGACCTTCTCCCTATCTCAGCTCCCACTCACACACCTGGTCTTCCTCTAGGTCCTGTCACTGCCAAGAAAAACACACCACCTTTATCATCTGAGTACAACAGTACCATTCTCCAGAAAATCACGCAGGCAGGTTCCCTGGTCTCACTGCAGGTTCAGTTCCAGTGCCCTCGCAGGAGCCCTGGGCATGGCCCCCTGGACACCCTACAGCATTTCTCCAGACCACTGCCACCCACTCCCCGAGATAACTCACTCACACTTTCCTCCCTCCAATCCCCAACTCTCCATGCCCTGTCTTTGCTCTCAGCTCATGGCCTTACTTCCTAGTTCACAGAGAAAAAGCAGAAGCAATCAGGAGAGAATTACACATTCTCACCAGCCCTTCTCTCACCTTGACCTGGCTCCTCATCTCTCTCATAGCCCTCTTATCACTATAAATGGGCACCCCACACTCTTTCCCAAGCCTGGAGTGTCTGCACATACAGGAAGGACCCCAGCCCCTGTCACCAATGCAAGAGTGTCATTCGGCAATTGTCACCTTTGTTTCTGGATCATCAGCTTTCTCCCCTCTGTAGAATCATCCCCCTCCATGGACAGTATGCTGAGATTCCTCTAGTCTTAATGAGCTTGAGCTCATATCCTCCTCAAGCTGCCAATTTCCCTTCTCCCTGTCTGGAAACACATCCCGGAAGGGTGGCTGTACTTGATGTCTTCATTTCCGTTCCTCCTGTTCTCTCTTATACCTTCTCTCAGTTGGATGCTCCTACCCTCAGCCCAGTATCAGCTGCTCTAGAAAGATCACAATGAATCTCCACGTCAATAAATCTCACAGTCAGCCTGAACCTCACCCCGTGGATCGATCTTACGCTTTCTTTACTGGGCTCCCCTGATACCGCGCTCACCTGGGCTTCCTCCGACCTTCTCAGCCACTGCGTTTTATTCTTTTCTCTCTCTCTACTCCATCCCTCCTGGGGGATCTCATCCCATGCCCTGCTCAAAAATACCATCCATGTGTCTCATCTCCTTCTGGAACTCTATCCTCTGCTCACTAATGGACACCCACTTTTATTAATTCATTCAGTGACACAATACAGATTGATTTAGTACCTTCCAGGTGCCAGAAACTCCTCGGGATCATAGAGATGCATCAGAAAATAAACACAATTTCCCACAAACAAGCAAACAGAACAAAATTCTAGTAGGAACTTTCACTCTGGTAGAAAAGACAATTAACATAAATGACTAAATTATATAATACATCAGAAGATAAGTAGTAGTATTGAAAATTTGTAAATGCCATATATGTGTATCTACCTCTATATTCTGTATTCCTTCTATGTTCTCTAATCTACTTTGTACAAATCATATATGTGTCGTTCACTTTTAAGGTATTATTATTTTTCATTTTATTTTATTTTTCCATAAGTTATTGGGGTATGGGTGGTATTTGGTTACATGAGTAAGTTCTTTAGTGGTGATTTGTGAGATCCTGGTGCACCCATCACCCGAGCAGTATACACCGCACCATATATGTTGTCTTTTATCCCTCACCCCCCTCCCACTCTTCCCGCTAAGTCCCCCAAATCCATTGTATCATTCCTATATTAAATAGCGGTCAAACATAAAAATCCACATGCAATAATCTTATACTCTGCAGGAATAATCAAAGTGATAGTAAAAGTTTGGAATTTTTTGCCAATAAATAATAATGACAATCTTAGAAGTTGCCCTGTGTTGCAGTTGAGCCCCTGTGGAGCTGTGCCCTCTCTTGTCGCTCCTTCCCATGTGGGGGATCCTGTGCAGCTGTTTCCATCCCCTGGATGTAATATCTCAGGATGAGAGCAGGGCAGCTGCTCCGTTTTGGCCTCTTGCCAGGCTGGAACAAGGCCTGTCAGGGTCTCTTTATGTCCAGAGTATATAAAGCCCCATGCTGGACTGGAACTTGGCATCCTGGCTACGTTTGGCTCATTGAATGAGACCTCAGGCCAGAAGCCATTGACTCCACTAATTTGTTTCAAAGAAGGCTAGGGGGACATTAGAGTGGTCATTTCAGATCACAGGTGTCATGAATACAAATGGGAAAACAAATTCCAAATGTCTTCAGGTTGTGAAGCCTCTCATGCTTGGCTAATGAGGAAGCAGAACTGAATTTAAAACCAAAATCAGACCTGCTAATTAATTACGTACTGCCAATGATTTGAAAAAGCAAACATACTAATATGACTTTGATTTTTCTACAGGATTTTGTCTGTGTACCCAGATGGTAATGTACAGAGACAATGGAGAATGTTCATGGAGGAGAGGAGAGGTTTTCAGTTCAGAAAACATCAGATAACATACTGTTTTAATATTTAATGTTTTCTACCTCTCAGAGACAGCTGCTTAACTTTTACAGACATTTTCCAATACTTAATTAGAACAACTTTTCTAAATGTCTGCTGGCCCATCCAGAAGGGTGAATAATAAAAATAATTTTTAATGATGCTGAAATTAAAAACAAAAACAAACTTTTGTCTTCACAATTCCTGGCTGCTTGGAAGGGCCTTTACATGGGGCCATGTTAATTGGGTCACAATAGCAGCATGAAAACTCATTGCCTTAAAGCATTCATAAAAGAACAAATGATTTTGAACCCATTATAACTCAACAGAGACCACAAGGCTACAGGAATGAGCTCTTAGGAGCAGTATTTGCACACGGCATAGCCAATCTTTCCTACAACCCCACAAAGTGGATTTCTCAGGCCCGTTTCACAGATGACAAAAGAGACTCAGAGAAGTTAAGCAAGTCCTTTGGACAAGCCAACTAGCACATATCCAGCTGGGATACAAACGCAGGACCTCAGATCAGCCTGTACTCCTCGCAGAAGTCCACCCACACTGACTTTTAGCATGGTCTCCAAACATCTTGCTTTTCTTTATGGAACATTCTAGAGTTGATGTATATTCCTTTGGCCCTGTAAAGTCAGTAAGTGCCAGCCCACAGAATGACAGCTTCCTTAAGACGCCTAAAGCCCTAGCTTTACTCTCTTGTTCAAAAACTAAAGAAAATTAGTGTTGTTCCAAAGCCCAGTGTGTAATTGGTAAATCAGTTCAGTTAAACCAACATCAACCTCACTCCCGACTCTTGTCTTCCTCCTCCCTCTCAAATTAAAGGCATCACCACGAGTCCCGTGGCTCAAACTAAAAAGTGGGCAGTCCCTCCATGTATTCCTCAGCTCTCCCCCAGTTGTCTCTCCAAGCCACTAGGGTCTCTTCCCTTCCACAACCCCTACCATAGTTCAAACCAGGCTGCTTCACACCTTCAACAAACAGGGCCTTACGTGGGTGTCCTTAGTCCCTCCCTGGTCCTGCCACTCTCTGGACAGTATTGCCATGTTCATTTTAAACATATCAGATTGGCAGGCAGATCAATTTCCCCTGCAAACATGTCCACGTCCTGCTCCCTGGAACCTGTGAGTATATTAGGTCCCATGGCAAAGAGGTATTGAGGTTGAGATAGAATTCAGATTGCTGATCAGCTGGCTTTAAAATAGGGAGAGTATCCTAGATTATCCAACGGGCTCCAATGTACCCACAAGGATCCCTAATAGTGGAAGATGGAACCAGAAAGAAGGGAGGGAGAGAAGGACTTGGCCCACCATTGCTGGCCTTGAAGGTGGAGGAAAGGGCATGAGCCAAGGAGTGCAGGGGCCACTAGAAGCTGGGAAAGGCAGAAACTGATTTTCCCCTACAGCATCTGAAAGAAATTCAGTCCTGCTGCCACCATGACTTTATCCCTGTGGGATCTTGTAGGACTTCTGACCTTCGGAGTTGAAAGAGAATACATTTATATTGTTTTAAAGCACTGTGTTGTTGGTAATGTGTTAGAAAATCAATAGGAAATTCATACACCAGGTGAAGTCACTCAACTCTTAAAATGGCCCAACACTTCTTAATTGCTTTCTGTTGAAAATCCAAGCTCCCCACTGTGACCTACTGCTCCCTGTGTGAACTGGACCCACCTGATTCCAACTGTAGCTCTCTATGACCTTCCTCCTCACTCATTCTACCCCAGGCTGGTGGGCCACTTGTGTTCCTTGACTGGGTGACCCTGGCCTCAGGGACTTGGCCCCTGCTGCACCTCTGTCTGAAACTTTCTGCCTTTTTCTCTTCCTCCCCCAGGTCTCAATGAAAAATCTCAGCATGTTCAGTTCAGCAGCAACAGCATCACCTCAGAGCTTGTTCCATGCAGATTCTTAGGCCCTACACAAGACTTGCTGAATCAGAAACTCTGGGGTGGGCCCCCATGACTCCTAAGCTCGCTGAAGTCCAGGAAGCATGACACCGATTATTGTCTTCAGGGCCCAGCTGCAAGCCGCACTTGCCTTAGCTGTTGTCTTCCTTGTTTACTGGGCATTCTCCCCTGCCCTGACACATCCAGGTAAGTCCAGGAGGGCAGGGACCTCACCGGTCTTGTCCCCACTTGACCGCCAGTGGTGAGAACAAGGCAAGCCACGTGGCAAGAGTTCAGTAAATATTTGTGGAATGAATTACTGAATTTACTTTCTGGAAACCACCTCGCAGGCACCATGATGTGAATGAAAAGATCAAAACAGCATGCGTACTGTCCCCTTGGTGGGGGAAGCTCTGTTTGTGCTGGGATCTCATCGGTCTCCTTCAGAACATCATCTATACCTGGCACTTAGGACAGAGCCTCACACCTGGAGAATATCAG
Organism: Homo sapiens; assembly: GCF_000001405.40. NCBI lineage: Eukaryota > Metazoa > Chordata > Mammalia > Primates > Hominidae > Homo > Homo sapiens. The sequence goes on along the minus strand of NC_000020.11, from coordinate 60,393,358 downwards.
TAAAGACTCATTAAGTGAATGGATGTGTGTAGACTCAGAAGATAGCGGGATATAGACAAGTTGACAAGATTTGGATTCTTTCAGGTAAGCTGGCGTGTTCCAGACAGAGCACAAAGCACGAGAAAAAGCACTGAGTCGTAAGCAGTCTGAGAAACGGCCAGCAAGGTGAGAGGAAGGTGGGTCTGAGAGCACCCTGCTCTCCGATGAGAATGAGGTTGGCAAAGCTTAGGTTCCAGCTGAGGCGTGTAATCCCAAACCCAGGCAGAAACCTGCTGGGGGCTTCCACACCACGTCATGGAGAGACTTCATAGTCACAGTTTCATGCAGAGCATGAAGGATCCTGGGGACAGATGAGGTGCTACGTGGGACAGGTGGGGGCTCCATCAGCTGACTGAGCCTGTGGAGAAGCCAAGACTGGCTTTCCCTCCCCGCACCCAAATGACAGCACTTTGCAAGAAGAGACTTCATCCAGAGGGCTCACTGAAACTTTCTATTTTAACTCGGAAGATAAGGGATGTGGTGGTTTGAACTCTGCTTGAAACCATGGAATGGGAGACATTTAGTGCTTCCTAGATTATGGGCTGAATTATCTGAACCCTTTTCACAGAGCAGTGAGTAACTGGAGATAGAGTCATCATTGTGCATCACCAGCTGAGCGTATGGGTACTAATTTGATAACACGTCTCCCTTCAGTGAATTTCCAATAAAGGATTTTCTAAATTTCTATTTCTTTAAGATCTAAAAAATACAATAAAATTCTTTATTACCGAACATATCCTAGCTCAATAGAAGGCCTACAGGTAAAATATTCATGTGAGCATGTGTGTTAACAAACATGGATATTCCATGTGTGAATACAGAACGAGCAATGTGGTCATAAATAAGATTACACCAAAATCCATAGCGCTTTTTATCTCCTTATCAAAGATGCACTGAGCCATAGCTCAGTGAATAGATTCAGTGATCTAAGCTATTCATTCAAGGTAATAGAACAGAAAAATAACTTTTGATACACAGTCATTCCAACATGTTATGTTTTAGAGTCGTTGCTAAATCATATTGTCAGAGTTCACTTTATTTTACCATTGAGTCAATGGAAAAGAATGAACTCTCTCGCTCTGAAATTTCTCTCTTTAATACTCAGGACCCGCTCTGCTAGGTTTAATACCTCGACAGTTCCAGGCTTAATTTACTCCTTGGAACAAGCTATTAAGTATGCATTGCTGCTTTGCGCTTTCTCTCTGAACCGTTTCCTTTTTTAAATATACAACCACATAGTAATGGTCTCCTAGGAGAGGATTTTATCGGGGTTTGGTATTTAACAGGAAATCACGATGTCTAATTTGTGCGCCCATCCAGAATCCCTCCTATGACATGCAGGTATTTTGCATTCATTTAATAGTCAACCATATGGCCATTCAGATGATACTTTCACCTACATAGATGGATTGAGAATTAATAAAAATGATTGCATTATTTAACAGATGCAGTAACTCTATTCTCACAAGGTGAATGCAGTCACTTTGAGGTCAAGAAATGATAAGGCCATGGAGGACTCTCTTGGCCAGCTATATAAGTGGATTTCACTTTTTTGAGAATTTTTTGAGAATCCTTGTGTGCATCACTAAATGCTGGGGCAGCTTCTACCGGGCAAGCTTCAGTCGCCTTTGGAAACAACTTATTACTGCATTCTGACTCCAAGGATCCCTGGCATGCAGACTGATTCTGATTTAAAATGCTGAAAAAAATCAATAAAAATTAATTTTAAAAATGCAAAATTGAATAGACAAATGAATAATGAGCAAAAAAACCTCTTTACTTCTCAGTAAATTTTATTTTAGAGCATCAAAACATGCATTTTTTTTTCTCAGATGAAAAAAGCCAGAGTTCCCAAGGTAAGAAAATTTGGCATAAAATATGAGGAGAAAAGAATATCAAATTTAGAGGCATGTCAAACATAGCAAATGCAAAAACTAAACTAAACGGTCAGGAAGTCCCCCAAAGCCCAAATCAAAGCAGCACCACCGGCATGCTAAGGGCAGAGATGCGACTGTTTGAGCTCTGGCCGACTTTCCTCCTTTCATTCATTCACTCATCTCCAACTAATGGGGAATGCGTCAGGATCTCGAACAGACCATGAGAATCTCTTGCAAGGGAATGAGACACAGTCCCTGTTCCCACGAGGTCCATGGTCATAAACAGAAAAGCACACCACTGCCGAGTGACTTTTGACATCTCCTGCCAACACCCACCAACAGCTCTACACTGCAATTGGAATAAAATCCGTGGTTTTCCAACCTTCCCCTCTATCCTCACTTTGTCCACTCTCTCTGGCACTTTCTCCTCCAAAACGCTCATCTTCTTTGGCCCCCAACGCCAAATTCATTCTAACCTCAGGGCCTTTGCACTGGCTATTCCCTCTGCCTGAAATGCTGTTTTCTTCATCACTGTAGGACTGACTTGCTCTTATTCACCTCACCCTGTTTTATTTCCTTTGTAGCGCTTTTCACCATCTAAAAGAACTTTTTCATGTTTACTTCGTTTAGTAGCAACCCTCTACTACTCTAATCTCCATGAAAGCAAGGAGTCTGTCTGTCCTGTGCTCTATTCCCACTGCTTGCAACTGTGCCTGGCACATAAAGGTGCTCAATAAAGGGAAGGAAGGAAGGAAGGAAGGAAGGAAGGAAGGAAGGAAGGAAGGAAGGAAGGAATGGATGGAGGGAGGAGGAAAGGAAGAAAGAAGAAAGGAAGAAGGAAGGGAGAAAGGAAGGAAGGAAGGAAGGAAAAGTAGTGAGGGAGGAAGAAAGGAAAGGGAGGGAGGAAGAGAGAAAGGAAGGAATGAAGGGAAGAAGGGGAGAGGATGGGAGGGGAAAGGGAAGCAGAAGGGAAACGGAAGGAGGAAGAGACTTAAATAGGTATGCCAAATACAAAACATGGATGAAATTAATCAGGTGCTTTGAGAGAAAATGAATGTAGCTGGGGGCAAGAAGTAAAGAGACAGGGAAGCTACTCTCTGAAAATGTTTTATTTGTGCCACATCCTGAATAATGAAAAGGAGTGATCCATGAGCTATGCCCCAGTCTGGGAGAAGAGCACCCTGGAAGACAAAGTAACAAGTCTCCGAAGTGGGAAAACCTGACGACCTCAGCATCCACATGGGAGACACATCCAATGCCCTGTTGCTCCAGCTAAGGGTCCACCTCCCTCCACCTTCCCTTCTCTGTCTCGCTGAGCTAACACACCCACGCCCTCCCACTGACCTTGCTACCATTCGTAACTCTATCAGCTACAAAATCGGGTCTTTGAGCTTACTGCCCACTCTTTGACCTCCTCTCCGTCTAGCATGTTTTTTTAATTACTCCAACTATGACCACTCTTCCACTCTCCAGACTCACAGCCTTCTCCTTTCTTTGTTTCTTTTATTAACAGTTCTAGGACCTGTGAGCTGGACCCTATGCTCATCACCTCACTTGTCTAGATAAACTGGTCCTTGATGAAGCGAACCATTTCATTTCTCCATGACCACACCCAAAAAGCCAAGCCTTGTTGCAGAAAGTCACATAGGAGGGAAAATGATGTTATCATCAATTTACAGTCATCAACTCAATTGCTCTCAACCCTGCTTCCCAGTTGGCTCTTGCCCTGACCCCCACAGTATCTATTTCTAATGCTCTCCAGTCCCCCAAATGTCCATGCATTACCCTCTTTTCCACTCTTCCTTAAAGATGACCTCATCTCTAGTCTTAAAGACTAGAATAGAAGCTGTCTTTCCCAACATGTTTGTAACAGTATCCATACTCATTCTTCCTTTCTCTCTTTTTGTTTAAAATTGAGATGTTTCTCTGAGTATCCTAAAACTTGCTCTGATGTTTCTCTGAGTGCATTCTTCCCTCTGCATGCAGGGGGATTTGTTCCAGGACTCCTCAGATACCAAAATCCACCAATACTCAAGTCCCCCAGGCATTCCTCCTCCACATCCTCAGTAGAACCCTGCACAGGGGGCAGAACATACATCCTACATCAGACTCTCTAAACCTTGGAGTCTATCCCTTCCTGCTCATTCAGAAGCCTTACAGGATTGACCAGCTTGGGTGCATGTTGTTATTTTTTTCTTTCTTTCTAAACCTATTTTTATTAAGATATAATTCACATATCATAAGATCACCCTTAGAAAATGTACATTTCAGTGCCTCTTCATAAATTCACAAGGTGTGCAACCATCACCACTATTTAATCTAGAACATTTTCATCACCCCACAAAGAAACCTGTATCCATGAGTAGGCACTCCCATTCTCCGCCTCCCCACAACCCCTGGCAACAAATAATCTACTTTCTGTCTCTACGTATTTTGCCTATTCTGGACATAAATGGAATTAAATAATATTTGGCTTATTATGCCTGGGTTATTTCACTCAGCATATTTTTAAGATTCATCCATGGTGCACATATACCAGGAATTTATTCCTTTATTTTTGGTGAAATAATATTTCAGTGTATGAACATCCACATTTATTTATCCATTCATCAGTCGATGGACATTTGGAACATTGGTGTGGTTTCTGGATTTTGGCTATTTTAAACAATGCTGCTGTGAACATTCATGTACCAGTTTTTGTGAGCATATATTTTCATTTCATTTCTCTTGTTTATATTTCTAGGAGTGAAATTGCCAAGTTACACAGATGTAACTCTATGTTTAACATTTTCAAAAACTACCAGACTGTTTTCCAAAGTTGTTTGTACCATTTTACATTCCCATCAGCAATGTATGAGAGTTCCAGTTTCTTCACATCCTCACCTACATGTCATTTTCCCTTTTTTTTTTTTTTTTTTTTTTTGAGACAGACTCTCACTCTATCCCCCAGGCTGGAGTGCAGTGGCATGATCTCAGCTGACTGCAACCTCTGCCTCCTGGGTTCAAGTGATTCTCCTGCCTCAGCCTCCCGAGTATCTGAGATTACAGGTGCCCGCCACCACGCCCGGCTAATTTTTGTATTTTTAGTAGAGATGGGGTTTCACCATGTTGGCCAGGCTGGTCTCAAACTCCTGACTTCAGGTGATCTGGCTGCCTCGGCCTCCCAAAGTGCTGGGATTACAGGCGTGAGCCACTGTGCCCAGCCATTTGTTCTTTATTAAGCCCATGCAGTGGTTCGAAATGGAATTTCATGAGGACGTTGATTTGCTTTTCCGAAATAACTAATGATGTTGAGCAGCCTTTCATGTGTTTGTTTGCCACTTGTATATTTCTTTGAAGACATGTCTAGCTAGATATTTTCCCAACTTTTACTGGATTATTTGTCTTTTTATTGTTGAGCTTTTAGAGTGCTTTCTGTATTCTGACTACTAGATTCTTATGAGAAATAAGAATCATAAATATTTTTCTCTTACTATATGGGTTCTTTTTTCACTTTCATAATAGCATTTTTGACACATAAAAGTTTTAAAATTTGATGAAGTCCAACTTATCAATCTTTTATTACTTGCTTTTCTGTTAGGTGCTACATCTAAGAAACCGTTGTCTAATACAAGTTCACAGAGACTTACGTGCTGGTTTTTTTCTAAGAATTTCATCGTTTTAGCTCTATAAAACTCAATAAGCCATTTGTTAAAAGCTAGTACTTTATTTTTTAATTTAATTTTTAATGTACAAATAATAATTGAATATATTCACAGGGTACATAGTGATGTTTCAATTCATATAATGCACAGTAATCAGACCAGGGTAATTAGCATAGCCATCATCTGAAACATTTGTCATTCGTTTGTGTTAGGAACATTCAATATCCTCCTTGTAGCTATTTGAAACTATGTAATATTTTATTGTTAACAACAGTCATCTTACAGTGTTATGGAACACTGGAACTGATCCTTCCTCTCTAGCTGTAACTTTGTGTCCTGTAACAAATCTCTTCCTAACCATGTCCCTTCCCTTCCCCCTTCCCAGTCTCTAGTATCCTATATTCATTTTATTTCTATGAGATCAACTTTTGTTTAGCTTCCACATGTGAGTACGAACATGCAATTAAACAACAGGCTCCCAAACAACCTATGGATGAAGGAAGAAATTAAGAATGAAATTTAAACATTTCTTGAAACAAATAAAAATAGAAGCACAGCATACCAAAACGTATGGGACACAGCAAAAGCAGTGTTAAGAGACATATTTATAGCAACAAATGCCTACATCAAAAATCTAGAAAGATTTCAAAAAACAACCCAAAGATGAACTTCAAGGAATTAGAAAAGAACAAACCAAAACCAAAATCACTAGAAGGAAAGAAATAATAAAGATAATTAAGCCATCTTGAAATAATTTTTGTACATGATTTGAGAGGTAAAGGCCCAACTTCATTCTTTGGCATGCAACTATTCAATTATCCCAACATCATGTGTTTTAAAGATTATTCTTGTCAAAAACAAATGAACATAGACGTATCGGTTTACTTCTAGATTCTCAATTCTAGTCTACTGATGTATATGTCTATGCTTATGCCACACTGTCTTGATTACTGTAGCTTTGTATTAAGTTTTGGAATTGAGAAATGTGAGTTCTCCTACTTCCTTCTTTTTCAAGATTGTTTTGTTTATTGTAGGTCTTTTGAATTTCTATGTGAATTTTAAGATCAGCTTCTCAATTTCTGAAAAAATGACAGTTGAAATTTGTACAGGGATTACATCAGCTCTAAAGATTAATTCAGGGAGTATTTTTGTCTTAACAATACTAATTCTACCAGTTCATGAACATGGAATATTTATCCATTTATTTGCATCTTTAAATTATTTCAACACTGTTTCATGGTTTTCAGTTCTTTTGTTAAATTTATTGCTAAATATTTTTATCATCTTGATGCTATTATACATGGAATTTTCTTGAAGTTACTTTCTAATCGTTGATTGCAAGTGTATAGAAATACAACTAATTTTTAATATTTATCTTATATCCTGCAACATTGTTGAAGTCATTCATTAGTTCTAATTGTGTGTGTGTGTGTGTGTGTGTGTGTGTGTGTGTGTGTGTGTGTGTGTTCCTTAGGATTTTTTGTTTATAAGATTGTTTCATCTACAAATGGAAATAGTTTGACTTCTTTCTTTCTTGTCTGGATGTCTTTAATTTTATTTTTTGCCTGAATTTCCTCTCTAAAAACTCTAGTTCAATGTTAAATACAAATGATGAGAGTGGTTATCCTTGTATTGTATATGATCTCAGAGAGAAAGTTTCAGTCTTTCACCACTGAGGATTTTATCAGCTGTGGATTTTTGATAAATGCCTTTTATCTTGCTGAGGAAGTTTTTTCTATTCCTAATTTCTTGAATGTTATTATCATGAAAGGGTATTGGCTTTTGTCAAATGCTTTTGCACATTTATTGAGATGACCATGTTGTTTTCATTCTTTATTCTATTAAATGGTGTATTACATTGATTAATTTTCATGTAACAAACCAACCTTGCATCCTGGGATAAATCTCACTTAGTCATGGTATATAATATTTTTACTATGGTGCTAGATTCAGCATGCTAGTGTTTTTTTGGATTTTTGTGTATATGGTCATATGGGATATTGGTATATCATTTTCTTTTCTCATGATTTATTTGTCGGGTTTAGAATCAGCATAACACAGATCTCATGGAATGACATGGGAAGTATGCCTTCCTCGTCTATATTTGGAAGTGTTTGTGTAGTACTGATGCCAATTCTTCTTTAAATATTTGGTAGAATTACCCGTGAAGCCATCTAATCCTGAGCTTTTGTTTGTGATAAGTTATTATTATTATTATTACTGCTAATTAAATCTCTTTACTTGTTATAGGTATACTCAGATTCTATACTTCTTATATCAACAGTTTTATTGCAACATAATTCACTTAGCATAGAATTCACCCACTGAAAGTGCTCCAGTCAGATTTTCAGCATATTTACAGACACATGCAGCCATCAATATAGTCAATTTAGAATATTTTCATCATGTCCAAAAGAAACCCCACGACCTTACCTATCACCACCATACCTTCTCACTCCCAAACCCTAAGCAACCACTATTCTGCTTTATGTCCCTATAAATTTTCCTGTTCTGTATACTTCAAATGAATAGCTCATAATATGTGACATTTTCTGACGAGATTCTTTCACTTAGCATAATGCTTTCAAGTTTCATCCATGATTAAGAATGTATCAGTACTCCATTCCTTTTGATTGCTGAATAATATTCTGTTGTATGGATATGCCACATTTTATTTATCCATGTGTCAGTTGATGGACATTTGAGTTGTTTACTCCTTTTTGCTATTATGAATGACAGAATGCTAAACATTTGTGTACAAGATTTTGTATGGATATATGTTTTTATGTTTCTTGAGCATATACTTAGGAAGGAATTGCTGAATCATAAGGTAACTCTATGTTTAAGTATTTGAGGAATTTCCAGACTACTTTCCAAGGAGCTGCACCACACTAGCAGTATATAATGGTTTTATTTTTTCTACATCCTCAGTAACACTTGTTATTTTCTGATTCTTGATTATAGTCATCTTAGTGGATGTGAAGTGGTATCATATTGTGGATTTGATTAGCGTTTCCTTGATTACTAATGATGTCGAGTATCCTTCATGTCCGTATTGGACATTTTTATATCTTCTTTGCAAAAACGTGCATTTACATACTTTGCTCATTTTTAAATTGGGTTATTTATATTCTTGTTCTTGATTATAAGTGTTCTTATATATTCTAGATATAAGTCCTTTATGAGATATAGTATTTGCAAATATTTTCTCCCATACCGTTTATTGACTTTTCACTTTCTTGATAGTATCTTTTGATGCAAAAACTTTTAGAATTTTGATAAGTCCAAATTATTGATTTTTTTATTTTGCTGTTCATACTTTTATTGTCATATCTAAGAGTATTTTATCATATCTGAGATTGGGAAGATTTTCCCCTATGACTTATTCTAAAAGATTTATAATTTTAGTTCTTACATTTAGGCCTTTAAACTACTTTGAGTTCCTATTTGTGTTCGGTGAGAGGGAAGAGTCCCATTTCATTCTTTGGCATATGGCTGTCCCTAAACCATTTGTTGGTAAGACTCTTTTTTCTCTATTGAATAGTTTTGACATCCTTGTCAAAATTCAGTTGACCATAGACACAAGGTTTTATTTCTGGACTCTCACTTTTACTCCATTTATCTATACGTCTATCCTTATGCCAGGACCATACTTTCTTGATGACCATTTCATTGTAGTAAGTTTTGAAGTCAAGAAGTGAGTCTGCCTATTTGATTCTTCTTCTTCAAAACTGTTTTCGATATTTATGGTTCATCACAATTCCATATAAAGTTTAGAAACAGCTTGTTAAAAGGTATGCATACTGATTGGGATTGCTTTTAACCTATAAATCAATTTGGGCTGTATTGCCGTCATAACAATACCACTTCTTCCTGTCCATGAACATACATTTTTTCCATTTGTTTGGCTCTTCTGAAATTTCCTTCAACACAGTTTTGTTGTTTTCAGAGCATGAGTTTTACACCTCTTTTGTTATTATTCTTAAATATTTTGTTCTTTTTGGTGGTATTGCAAATGGAATTGTTTTCTTAATTTCATTTTTAGATTGTTCATTGCAAGTATATGAAAATATATGTGTCTTTTGTGGGAACACGGATGGAGTTGAAGGCCATTATGCTTAACAAACTAACACAGGAACAGAAAACCAAATACCGCATGTTCTCACTTATAAATGAGAGATAAACGATGAGAACTCATGGATACAAAGAAGAAAACAGCAGACACTGGGGCCTACTTGATGAAGGGCGGGAGGAGAGACAGCAGCAGAAAAAATAACTATTGGGTACTAGGCTTAGTACCTGGATGACAAAATAATCTGTACAAAAAACTCCATAACATGAGTTTACCTGTATAACAAACCTGCACATGTGACCCTGAACCTAAAATAAAAATCTGAGAAAAGTACAACTGTTTTTCATATATTGATCTTGTATTCTGAAACCTCGCTTAACTAGTTTATGAGATTTTTAATGGATTTCTCAGGATTTTCTACATATAAAATCAACTCATCTATAAGTAGAGATGCTTTTACTTCTTCCTTTCCAATCTAGATGTCTTTTATTTCATTTTCTTGCCTAATTTTCCTCTCTAGAATGTCCAGTATGGTGTTGAATGGAAATAGTGAAAGCAGCCATCCTTGTATTTTTCCTGGTCTTAGGGGGAAGGTCTGGTCTTTCACCATTAAGTATAATGTTAGTTGTGGTTTTTTCATAGATATTCTCTATCAAGTTGAGGTGGTTCCCTTCTATCGCTAGTTAGTTGAGTGTTTTCATCACCAAAGAATGCTAGATTTTGTCAAATGCCTTCAGTATTTATTGAGATGACCATGTGGATTTTGTTTATTTTATTCGACTAGTACATTACAAAGATTAATTTTCACACATTAAACCAAACCTTGCATCCTGGGATAAATCCCACTTGGTCATGGTGTGGAATATTTTTGATGTTAACAGATTCAATACACAAATATTTTATTAAGGATTTTTACATTTTTATTTATAAGATATATTGCTTTATAGTTTTCTTTTCTTATGATGCCTTTTCCTGTGTAGTATTGGTATAGTAATAGCCTCAGAGAATGAATGGGAACTGTTCTCTCTTCTATTTTTTGAAAATGTTTGTGAAAAATTACTATTAATTATTATTTAAATGTCTAGTAGAATTAAGAGGTGAAACCGTCTGCTGGACCTGTCTTTGTGTGTGGTTTCTTGATTACTAATTTAATCTCTTTGCTTGTTTTAGGTCTATTTCGGTGTCTATTTTTTCTTGAGTCAGTTTCGATAGTTGGTGTCTTTCCAGAAATTGTTAATTTTATATGAGTTACCTACTTTATTGGCTTACAACTGTTCATAATACTTCTTTATAATCCTTTTTATATCTGTAAGTTTGAGCCTTTTCTCTTTATTTCTTGCTAGTCCAGCTAGAGACTTATCCATTTGTTAATATTAAAAAAAGTTTTGTTTTGTTATTCTCTATTTTTAAATTAACAAATAAAATTTGTATATATTTATCATGTATAACAATGTCTCGAAGTGCATATAATAAACACTGTGGAATGACATACATTCCTCACATAGCTGTCATTTTTGTGGTGAGAACACTTTAAATCCACTCTTACATTTTCTGATAATACAGTATACTGTTCACTATAGTCATCATGTTGTACACTACATCTCTTGGACTTATTCCTCCCAACAAATTGAAATTTTGTTTCCTTCGACAAACATCTCCCCACCACTACCCTTCACCACACCCCCTGATAACCACCATTCCACACACTACTTCTGTAACAGTAACTAATATTGACCTTTTCTAGATGAGTATGAGTGAGATCACGTACTATTTGTCTTTCTGTGTCTGAGAATTTCACTTAACATAATGTCCTATGACCCATTTTATTTATTTTGCTCTTCTATTATTTCCTTTTTTGCTTGCTTTCTGATTAGTTTGCTCTTGTTTTCCTAGGTTTTTTAAGCTAGGTTATTGATTTAAGACAGACCTTTATTCTTTTCCAATGTAGGCATTGATTTCTGTAAATTTTTCTCTAAGCACTACTTCAACTGCATTCCATAAATTTTGGTATGTAGGGTTTTAATTTTAAAGTATTTTCTAATTTCACTGTGACTATTTCTTTAACCTGTTGGCTATTTAGGAGTGTGTTGTTTACATTTCTAATTTCAATCGTTGTTGAAGGAGATTTGTTATGATTTCAGTTCTTTTAAATATATTGAAACTTGTTTTATGGCCTAAAATGTAATCTATCCTTGAGAATTTTCCACGTACACTTGGAAATAATGTGTATTATGCTATTGTTGGGTGGACTATTCTATAGCTATGTCTTATGCCTAATTGTTTATAGTACTGTTCAACTCTTTTATTTCCTAGATGATCTTTTGTCTAGTTGTTATGTCCATCATTGAAAGTGGGGTATTGAGGTTTCTGACTATTGTTGAATTTTATATTTCTCCCTTCAATTTAATCAATTCCTCCTTCATGTATTTTAAGAGTTTGTTACTTGGTTCATACATTTATAATTATTATATCTTCTTTTTGAATCCATTCTTTTATCATTATCAAGTATTTTTCTCTGTATTTACTACAAATATTTGTCCTAAAATCTATTTTAATATTAGTATATCCACCTCAATTCTATTTTGGTTACAGTTTGCATGAAGTATCTTTTTCCAGCTCTCTTTTGCTTACGTTTGCATAGTATATGCTTTTCCAGATCTCCTTTTGTTACTGTTTGCACTATAGATCTTTTTTCATCTTTTGATTTGAAACATACTTTTGTCTTTGAATCTAAATTATGTTTCTTGTAGAAAGCATATAGTTGGATTATGTTTTTTATCCATTAAGTCAATCTCTGCCTTTTGATTAGAGAATTTAATCCATTTCCAATTAGTGTAATTACTAATACTATTGGATTTACCTCTGCCATTTTGCATCTTCCATTTTGCTATTTTCTATATTATTTTCAATTTATTTTAAATAACTAATTTAAAGTCTCTCTTTAGTAAATTCAACATCTACATTCTTTCAGGGATAGTTTCTATTGATTGCTTTTTTCCTTCTTGTGTATGGGTCATACATTCTTTTTTCTCTTATTTTTTTAAAACTTGATGTTTAAATAATATAATGTAGCAATAGTAGATATCAGATTCTCTCTTTGCCCTCTTCTGTCCCCAGGGTCTGCAATTGCTGCTTATTGTAGTTGCTGGGTTTGTTTTTTTTGTTTGTTTAGTTTAGTGACTTTTCTGAACTAATTCTGAACAGTCTGTATTCATTGTTGTGTTTGATCACCGAAGTCTTTAGTGGTTAGCTAACTACTGGACATAGACATATTTAAATAGATGGAGTCAATATATCTCTAAGTGTTGCTGAGAGCCACTGTTTACTTGTAGGGGTATGCCTTCAACACTCAGCCAGGTAATTAACAACTCTGCCTTAGCCTTCACTTGCTGTCACACATATTCTCAAGATCAGCCAGAAGTGAGACCTTAGGGTCTTTTTAGGTCTTTCCTGAACATGTTCATGCTCTATGTATGTGCATGGTCCTCTATTTTTCCAGGAATACTTTCAGAGCTTTTCAAAACCTCTATGGATTTCTCATTGCTCCATGTTTCCTTTTTATGTTTTTACTTAGTAGGATTTATTTTTTAGAGCAGTTTTCAGTTTATATGAAAATAGAACATAAAAGTACAGAGAGTTCCCATATACTCCTCCTCCCTCTTCTCACATAGTTTCCACAAATATAAACTTATTGCATCACTGTGGTAGTTTTGTTACAATTGGTGAACCAATATTTATACATTATTAGTGTTGCCTAAAGTCTATAGTTTACACTAAGGTTTACCATTTGTATTGTATTGTTGATGGGCTTCTATATGCCCACTGCATGATGTCAGATGCATAATATCAGGTATTCACCATCACAGTATTATACAAAATAATTTTACTTCCCTAAAAATCCCCTACGTTCCACTTACTCATCTTCTCTCTTCATACTGCCCCCTGGCCCCCAGCATCTACTATCCTTTTTACTATCTCCATTGTTCTTCCTATTTTAGAATGTCATATGGTTGGAATCATATAGTATGTAGGCTTTTTAGACTGACTTATTTCACCTAGCAATATGCATCTATGATCCCCCCCCCCAATGTTTTTTATAGCTTGATAGCTCATTTCATCTTAAGGATGAATAAGACTCCATTGTACGAATGTAGTACAATTTTTTGTTCATTCACCTACTGAAGAACAACTTGCTTTCTTTCTGTTTTTGGCAATTATTAATAAAGTTGTTATAATCATTTGTGTGCACGTTTCTGTGTGGATATAAGCTTTCAAATCAATTGTGCAAATACCAAGGAATACAAGTGCCAAGTAGTAGGACATGACTGTCACATTGGGCCAATTTCTTCTTTTGTAAGAAACTGCCAAACTGTCTTCCAAAGTGTCTGTCCCATTGCTTTTTATTCGCGTTACTCCTAGGAAATAAATGAGAATTCCTGTTACTCCATAGCCTCACCAACATTTTGTGTTGGTGTTGTTTTGAATTTTAACCATTCTAATAGGAGTGCGGTGGAAACTCATCATTTTTTTCATTTTTAATTCCCTAATGACATATGATGTTGAACGTCTTCTTGTTTGCTTCTTTTCCATCTGTTATCTTCTTCGGTGAAGTGCCTGTTCAAATCTTGTGCCCTCTTTTTAATTGAATTATTTGTTTTCTCAATGTTGAATTTTAGGAGTTTTAGCATTTCCTTTTAAAGGTTTTTGTTAGAATACTTTTACATAAATGGTTATCTACCACCTTAGGCAGCTACAAAGTTAAAAGAACTGCCAGTAATTATTTTAAATAATCACCCCTAGAGAGGAGGTTTTTCCTACTGTGTAAGCTCCAAATCAATCACATACAGACAGCCTTGTAAGAAGGGTCTTCCAGGGATTACCTGACATGTCACAAGTGACAGTTCCTTGAGAATGAGGCTTTGAAGAGTTCTAGCTCCCCTCTGCATTCTCTAGTGACTTTCAGTTTGCACTGGGGATGTGAGCTGCTATTTTTCAAGATCATTATGGAATTGGAGAGTGGGAGATGAGACAATGGAAAATTAAAATACCACAAAGCTCAATCTTCTTACTGAGATTCAGCCACTTTTCTTGGGGAAAAAACAAACCCTTCCTGCATTGCTGCAAGCTTTGGTTAATTTCTCGAATTCTGAAAAAGCTTATTCTGATCTTTTCTGCAAGTTTCTTTTTTTATGGAAGAGGGAATTTTCAGAGGTCTTTACTCTGCAATTTTCATGTCCCTTTCTTGCTTGCATATTTTAACTGGATCATTTTCATCAATGTTAAATAGCTCAAGTATTTTCTGTTTAAAAAATTTCTCACATTTTACTTGAGTGTCCAATCTAGCTGTCATCTCTTGAAATATAAGACTATTCCCCTGATCCATTTTCTTATCTCACATTTACTCCTCACTCTACTCTGCTCTGCCCCTCAGCCCTTCACCTGGTCACAACTACTCCCTCCAATGGCCCCACCTGCCAAGATACAGAAGCATTCTCCAGTCCCTTACTTGACCTCGCAGTGGTAACCTCCTTCTGGAAACATTCTCTTCCCTTGGCTGCAATCAGCAATATTCTCCACGTTTTCTTTCTCCTTCTGGGTTTTATTTCTCATTCTCCTTTTAGGACACATCCTCTTTGACCCAGACAGTAAATGCTGCATTCATAGAAGAAAGAGGGAGAGAAAAGGAGAGATTGGAGACCCCATTCACAGGTGAAGTTTTTACTTTCAGGCTAGGTAATCTCCTCTCCATTTTACTTACACCTGTATGATTCTCATATGTATATCTTCAGCCAAGATCACTCCTCTTATTTTCTTTTTCTCTATTCTTTTTAAAAAACGGAGACAGGGTCTTGTCCAGGCTAGAGGGCAATGGCATGCTTATAGCTCACTGCACTCAAATTCTTGGGCTCAAGTGCCTCGAATTCCTGGGCTCAATTGATTCTCCCACCTCAGCCTTCCAGCTAGAATTACAGGCATGCACCACCATGCATGCCTATTTTTTAAAATTTCTTATATAAATGGGGTCCCATTATGCTGTCCAGGTTGGTCTCAAACTCTTGGCCTCAAGTGTTGGGGTTACAGGCATGAACCACCATACCTGAACACTCCTCTGATTTTTAGCTGGCATATCCCACCACCTTCTTGACCCACCCTCTAGGACATCTCACAAAAGCTTCAAATTCAATAGGCTTGCAAAATAATCATAATAGAATTCCATCCTGGGTTAAAAAAAATTCATGGAGCTCTTGGTAAGCGTAGACCTAAAAATGTTGACACACAATTTGAATTGATATACCATCCACTCAGGCTCTGGGTCCCCATTCAGATTGCCGGTCCCTGATAACTTTGACTAATACTCCCCCATTATTGTTGGCTTCACGGGTCTTTTTCCCCCACATCTGTTCCTCTTCATTGTTTCTACCTGTGGACAGTTCCATCATTCATCCTATTCAGCAAATCAGAAGCTACCAGTCATTCTTGGCACCTCTTTCTCCCCTTCATTCCCCACACCCAATTCATCACCATGTGTTGTCCATTTCCCCTTCTAAGAGCGTGCTGTGACGAAGCCGGCTCATTCCAGCTATTTTGTGCATCTCTCCTGAAATCTGCATTCAATGATGTCAACTTGGTTGCTTGAAATTAGTAAATGCCAGAAATTGCTATCTTTTTTCTCTTAGAGAAATAGTTGTTAACATTTACCAGCATGCCACTGCTTCTGAATTTTTTCCAGGTTCCCTCACCTTCTTCCCTCTGCTGATAAACTACTACTACTTCTGGCCTGGTTTGTACTCCAGAAGACATTTAAGAGATCCTTCTTCCTCCTCCCTTGCCACATCCACATTAAAGACATCATGTCTTTAAATAAAAACAAATAAGAGAGAAACATGCTCCTGATTAAGATAGTTTAGTTTCCATTTATTTTTCAAAAAAAAAAAAAAACCTCCACTGTGACCAATGACATCCCAAATGGTCTGGATCCTACCTACCTCTCTAGAATTATACCACACCATCGCCTTCTCTCTGGTCCAAAAGAGAAGGGTGTTTCAAAAAGGAGGAATGCCCCACATAGTTAAGTGTGGTGCATCAAGAAGTATCAAGGAAATTTGCAGAATGGTGGTCTCTGGGGTCCTGGAGCAGAACAGATTCCAATGGCTGTGCCCGTCATCAGAAAGTAAGCCCTGTGAAGGTAGGAAATGATTGCTCACTGCTTTCTCCTCAGCACCTGAATCATGTAAAACATGCAGTTGGTGCTCAATAAGCATTTGTCAGTTGAAGAAATAAATGAGTGAATGAATGAAGATGGGATGTGAACAGACCATGTTGGAGAATGCCTGGCATCAGCACTCTGACTTGCAGATAAAACAGTCTACCCTAAGAGACATTCTAAGTTTTTTAGATCTTCTCCATACATTTTGTGGATTAATTCAGGAAGCATTTGACATGGTTGCATCTTTTTGTCAACTTCCTTTTGCTTCTTAACTGTATGTTTCTATGCCTTGCAATATATTTACGGGGAAGACTTTAGAGACTTATCTTTTTTATTTTATTTTTTGATACATAATAAATGTACCTATTTGGGGGGTACATATGATAACTTAATGCATTCATATAATTTGTAAAAATCAAATCAGTATAATTAGGGTATTCATCATGTTAAATATCTTTTCATTATGCTAGAAATATTGGAATTATTTTCTTCTAGCTATTTTGAAATATACAATAGATTATTGTAAACTATAGTCACCCTACTGACCTATCGAACAGTAGGTCTTATTTCTTCTATCAAACTGTGTAGGTATACCTATTAATCAGTCTCTCTTCAACCTTCCCCTTTGCCCCCACCAGCTCTTCTTGGCTTCTGGTAACCACCAATCTATTATCTTCACAAAACCTGCTTTTGTAGCTCTCATATATGAGTGAGAACATGCAATATTTGTCTTTCTGTGCTTGCCTTATTTCACTTAACATAATGACCTGCAGTTTTACCCATGTTGCTGCAAATGACAGGATTTCTGATGCTGGGGATGGGAGGCAGGGTGATTTTCTGGTTTTGATGCCCAGACACAGTTTCCAGTCTTTCTATATTCACACCACATTAAAAAGAAAACGATGTATTCTTCTTTGTAGAAAAAAAAAATGGGTTATAGACTTGAAAGGGAAGAAAAGCTGGGCTTCGTAATAGACTTCTTAGAGGAATCTTGTCATTTTCCAACATTCACCTTCCACAGTTCATGATGAATGTAACTAACCTAATGGGTAAATAGACGGGTGAGTTTTCTGGAAGATGCACCAAAAACAAAGCATGCACTGGCTAACTTTGTAAGTCAGGAGAGTATTGGATGTCGAGCATTCAATCCCTTAAAGAGAGAGGAGGCTATACTTTAGAAATCATTGTCAGTGCTTATTATGACAAAGGGCCAATCAGGGGTCTCTAAAAGCAATGGTTGTATTTAAGCACAGAAAAACAACAAGAATGATCAAACACACATTACCTAAGAATGGAGATAGCCACTGTGTTTTTCTAAACATGTAAACATAATGTCACTGTTTCAGAGGAGGGAGGAGTTGCAATCTCTCATCTCACTATCTGTGCTTGGAATAAGAGTGACACAGTGATGCCTTTGGCCCCAAAGACCCGAGTTCATCTGTAAGGAATTAACTTTTTTTTTTTTTTTTTTTTGAGATGGAGTTTTGCTCTTATTGCCCAGCGTGGAATGCAATGGCACGATCTCGGCTCACCGCAACCCCCACCTCCAAGGTTCAAGCGATTCTCCTGCCTCAGCCTCTTGAGTAGCTAGGATTACAGGCATGCACCACCACGCCCAGCTAATTTTGTATTTTCAGTAGAAATGGGGCTTCTCCATGTTGGTCCGGCTGGTCTTGAACTCCCAACCTCAGGTAATCCACCCGCCTCGGCCTCCCAAAGTGCTGGGATTACAGGCATGAGCCACCACCGCTGGCCAGGAATTAACTTTTCTGCAGTGCTCTTTCATAACTTAGAAAGAGTCTGATCTCCTAACTATTGCCAATGCTTTGTCAACAGCTCGTATGGCATTATAGCATCTTATGTTAACTATATTTTCTTATTTTCTCTATTGCTGATGCTCTGGCATCTGAGGCCTTGGGGACCTGGAAAAGGACCACTTCTCCTAGGGTTAGCTAATTCCTAGATAGCGAATGTCTTGCCTGAGAGCACACTTTGCATATGCAAATCAGTCAAAGTTCATACCCACATCTTCTTAAGCTCCTGAAGTCTGAGACACAATTCTCCTCCCCTAATCACCCCAGAGCTAGATACCAAACAACTAGGATAAGTTCCTCATATTAGTCTGTTCTCACACTGCTAATAAAGACATACCTGAGACTGGGTAATTTACAAAGGAAAGAGGTTTAATGGACTCACAGTTTCACGTGGCTGTGGAGGCCTCATAATCACGGCAGAAGGTAAATGAAGAGCAAAGTCACATCTTACACGGCAGCAGGCAAGAGAGCGTGTACACAGGAACTCTCATTTATAAAACCATCGGATCTCGTGAGACTTATTCACTACCATGAGAACAGTATGGGGGAAACCGCCCCCATGATTCAATTATCTCCACCTGGCCCTGCCCTTGACAGGTGATTATTACAATTCGATGTGAGATTTGGGTGGGGATGTAGCCAAACCTTATCACTCCTATAGCTCAGAGACTGCCAGAATTATTCAAAACTTCCAATGCAAAGCCTGCCCCACTTGCTCACTTTGTTTCTCCCATTCCTTCCCATGAAAACACAGTGAAGGTTCCCACTGCAGCTCCTCCTTCCCGCTGCCCGCTCATCTCCCTTCGTGCTTCTCCCCATGGCCCCACATGGTGAGTCTGCTCCCTGTCTCTCAGGACCTTGAGCATAATACAACTTCTTTCTTAATGACAATCATTTCTGTGTCTGCATGTGTTATCATACCTGCTTAAGCCAAATCCCAGGCACATTTTACAACCCACCTGCACACCCAAGTCCCCACATATCTGCAGTGTGTTCACTCATTCATAACACTGGAATACGATCTTGTGCCCACTTTATAACTATGTGCCAGGCAGTTTTATTTTACTAAAATGGACCTGCAGGTTGTGGAGGTTGAGAGCCGGACTATGGTGTCAGACTGCTCACCACCTGCATAAAATGTTTCAAGTCATTGCATCTCTCTGGACATTAGTTTTCTTTTAAGCATAATAATATAGATAGGCATAAATAATATAGAATAAATATGGTTATTTTGAGGATTAAATAAGTTAGTTTTCTCAAAAATCCTAGGCTATAGTAAGTGCTGAGATATTGGGATATGATATTTGATCCTCAGAAGTCTTCTACTTTCGTAAAAAGGTAAATTGGGAATGTGCTAGAAGAGTTCTTAAAGTTCTTACCCTCAACACTTATTCATTTTCCATCACTAACTCCACCAGCTAATCTCCTTGCTTTACATCAGGAGCCTAAAAATTTTGCCTTGAGCAAACTCTCAGAAAGAGTAAAGTGAAATTAATTTTAGTCCCTGGTCTACCATTAACTACCTGGGTAACCACAGTGGGTTATTTTACCTGCTCTATCAGTTTATTGCTGTGTAACAACTGACCACAAACTAGTTCCCTAAAACAACACATTTTTATGATCTCGTGGTTTCTGTGGGCCAGGAGTCCAGCACAGCTTAGCTGGGCCCTCTCTCTGCTTCCGGGTCTCTCAAAGGCTGCAATCAAGGTGCCCACAGTGGCTTGCTTGTGGCAGGGTTCGTCTCTGAGTTCACATGGTTGGATGGCAGCCACACTCCCTTGCAGCTGTCAGACTGAGGTCTCCCTTGCTGGCTGTTACCCAGAGGATGCCCACAGTTCCTGCCACAGAAGCATCCTTAGCATGGTCGGGGGGTGGGGTTGTTCTCAAAGCTAGCAAGGGAGAGAGGGTCTCCTAGCAAGACAGATGTTGCCATCTATTGTAACACAATTACATAAATGACATTCCATCCCCTTTGCCATTTTCAATTGCTAAAAGCAAGTTACCAGTCACACCCACTTTCAAGGGCAGGGATTACAACAAGAGATCATCTTAGAATCCAATTCACACCTCTCCAGATCCCAGTTCCCAGAAGAGTTTTGAAGAGAGAGAACCAAAAGCTCCCTCATACATCTCACATTAAATCCAGGCTGAGTAAGAAACTCATTGCCATGAGCCTTTCATGCAAACATCAGTTCTAGGAGGACATGGCAAAGCAAACATTGTTACAAGCCAGTGCCTAAATCATCCAGATGTTTCTAGCCAAGTGCAAAGCTACTTATTTACCAAGTGAGAAAAAAAAAAAAAAAAAAACAGTCCCAGCCCTTGTTAACTTTCAATCCAATGCCAAGTAGCACAATTCAGTATACCTAATTGAAGATCAAACAACGGAAACACAAAATAGCTGCAATGGCCATTTTTTTTAAAGAAAGAATTTTGTAAATTCAAAGTCCAATATAGATGCTAATAATTGCTTTCTTCACTCTGAATAACAGATCATCATGCCAAAGACTTGGCTCATTTTTCCTGTCTGTTCTGTGAAGCATGTATTTATAAATACATGTTGTGATTCCGGGAGAGCAGAGTGCGCCGTTCTTCATTCTGAGAGACAATTGATTAGTAGAACCTTGAAGTCATTTTTCAGGGAATAACTATCAATATTAACAGCTGCCAGCATTTCCCATTTATAAGCAGCTAAAACCACCTCTTCTCCATGGGGACAATATTTACATTTCGACCTGGAATTAGTTTGCAGTTCCCAGGGTAGAAATCAGGCATTATGTTGTGATTCCTTAAGGTTCAGCTGTCTAAATACCAGGTGACAAGGAGGGCTTATGTGCAGCTTTAGAAGGGAGCTGATCAGCATAGGCTGCCGCCCACCCTGCACAGCAACACCTGCCTTCTGCAGGAGGTGGGCAACAGGGCAGACCAGAAAGAACCAGGATTTGGGGGGCAGAAGGATCTGAGCTTGAATTCCAGCCCCACCACTAACGCACCCACCCACACAGGCAATTGCTCAAACTCCAAGTCCCAGTGTCCTCTGTGGAAGCCAAGGAGGCCCCTCGGTGGTCTCGTGGGGTACTGTGAGGAGAACAGACATGTAGGGCCCGTCTGAGTTAGATAGCATTGCCTGAGCTGTGAGAATTTGGCCGATGTAACTCGGCTTTTGGCACTGTTTGTTTTTGAAAACATTTTAGTATGGAAAATTCCAAACATAGGCAAAAGTACAGAGAAAGAATATTGAGCCCCATGCATTCATCAACTGGGATCAACTCATGCCAATTTAGTTCCATCTGTAATCACAGACTCTCCTCCCTCCAATTATTTTGAAACAGAATTCAAACATAATTTCTTCTGTGGGTATATCAAAATATATCGCTAAAAGACAGAGACTCCTTTATACCTAACCACAATATGATACTGCATTAAAAACAATAATGTTTTAACACCATGAGATATTCAGTTTCTGTTCACCTCCTTAATCATCTTATATCCAGTGGCCTTTGTATCTGTGTGGGTTCTACGTCCATAGATTCAAGCAAATGCAGATCAAAACTAGTTGAAGAAAATAAAACGTAACAATGCAACAATAAAAATACAAATAAAAAACAATACAATATATCAACTATATAACATTTATACTGTGTTAGGTATTGCAAGTAATCTAGAGATGATTTAAAGTGTATGGGAGGATGTGTGTAGGTTACATGCAAATTTTATGCTAGAGGATTGAGCATTCACACATTTTGGTGTTGGGGGTTGGGGGTGGAAGGTTGTCCTGGAACCAATCCCCTGTGAACATCGAAGAATGACTTTTTTAGTTTGGTTTTTAGAAATGAGGTCTATACATTGCAATTCATTGATATGTATCTTGTCTTTTATTTTCTTACAGGGTTTGGTAAGGTCACATGTACTATAGACTTTTCTAAAGTCTAGATTTTGCAAATTGCATCCTCCTGGCCTCATTTTAACAAGTCCTACTCTTCTGCACTTTCTGTGAATTGGTAATTAAATCTAGAGGCCTGTGTGATAATGTTTTATTTTTCTACTCTTAAATTGATATACAGTAAAATTGACCTTTTCAGTGGACAATTCTAGATTTTTGATGATCAGCTTTTTGTTTTTAAACTTCAAACAGGATTTCTCAATCTTTGAACTATGGACATTTGGAGCCAGATTATTCTTTGTTGTGAGGGTCAGTCCAGTGCATTGTAGGATGTTTAGCAGCCTCCCTGGACTCCACTCACTAGACGCCAAGAGCACCCCCCTCCCCCTTGTGACAACTAAAAATGTCTCCAGATGTTGCCAAATGTCTCCTGGTTGGGAGGGGAATCGTCCCCAGTTGAGAATCACTGTTTCGGAAGATTAGAGGGACCATGTCAGAAACAGTAGACATATTCCCCTGTCCCACCCTGTCCTCCAACTTTATCGTAGTTGATTGGTGTATTAGCCCATCCTCCCACAGCTATAAATACCTGAGACTGAGTAGTTTATAAAGAAAATAGGTTTAATTGGCTCATAGGAAGCTATACAAGAAGCATAATGCTGGCATCTGCTTGGCTTTTGGGGAGGTCTCAGGAAACTTTCGATCATGGTGGAGGGTGAAGGGAGCGGCAGCCTTTACATGACTGTAACAGGAGGAGGGACGAGGGAGGTGCCACACACTTTTAAATGTCAAGATCTCATGAGAACTCACCCACTGTCAGGAGAACAGCACAAAGGGAGAAATCCACCCCCAGGATTCAATCATTTCCCACCAGGCCCTACCTGCAACATTGGGGACTACAATTCATCATGAAATTTGGGCACGGACACAGATCTAAACCATATTAATTGGCAATGAGCTTGAACTATCCACATTTCCTCCATGATAATCCCTCCAACTACAGATCACAGTAGTGACTTGTAAGATCATCAGAAAGCTTGGTCAGGAGCAAATTCAACTCTACTAGAACTTACTAGAATTTACAGCTGTTCAACAAATGCAAATCAATAAATGTAATCCATCACATAAACAGAACCAATAACAAAAACCACATGATTATCTCAATAGATGCAGAAAAGGTCTTCGATAAAATTCAACACTCCTCATGCTAAAAATTCTCAGTAAACTAGGTATCAATGGAACATATCTCAAAATAATAAGAGCTATTTATGACAAACCCACAGCCAATATCATACTGAATGGGCAAAAACTGGAATGATTCCCTTTGAAAACCGGCGCAGGACAAGGATGCCCCTCTCTCACCACTCCTATTTAACATAGTATTGGAAGTTCTGGGCAGGGCAATCAGGCAAGAGAAAGCAATAAAGGGTATTCAAATAGGAAGACAGGAAGTCATATTGTCTCTGTTTGCAGATGACATGATTGTATATTTAGAAAACCCCATCGTCTCGGCCCAAAACCTCCTTAAGCTGATAAGCAACTTCAGCAAAGTCTCAGTATACAAAATCAATGTGCAAAAAACACAAGTATTCCTATACATTAATAACAGACAAACAGAGAGCCAAATCATGAGTGAACTCCCATTCACAATTGCTGCTAAGAGAATAAAATACCTAGGAATACAACTTACAAGGGATGTGAAGGATCTCTTCAAGGAGAACTACAAGCTACCAGTGACTTTCTTCACAGAATTGGAAAAAACTACTTTAAACTTCATATAGAACCAAAAAAAGAGACTGCATAGCCAAGACAATCCTGGGCAAGAAGAACAAAGCTGGAGCTATCACGCTACCTGACTTCAAACTATACTACAAGGCTACAGTAACTAAAACAGCATGGTACTGGTACCCAAACAGATATATAGGCCAATGGAACAGAACAGAGGCCTCAGAAATAACACTGCACAGCTACAACCATCTGATCTTTGGCAAATCTGACACGCACAAGCAATGGGGAAAAGATTCCCTATTTAATAAATGGTGTTGGGAATACTGGCTAGCCATATGCAGAAAACTGAAACTGGACACCTTCCTTACACCTTTTACAAAAATCAACTCAAGATGGATCAAAGACTTAAATGTAAGACCTAGGACCATAAAAATCCTAGAAGAAAACCTGGGCAATACCATTCAGGACATAGGCATGGGCAAAGACTTCATTTCTAAAACACCAAAAGCAATGGCAACAAAAGCCAAAATTAACAAATGGGATCTAATTAAACTAAAGAGCTTCTGCACAGCAAAAGAAGCTGCCATCAGCATGAACAGGCAACCTACAGAATGGGAGAAAAATTTTGCAATCTATCCAGCTGACAAAGGGCTAATATCCAGAATCTACAAGGAACTTAAACAAATTTACAAGAATAAAACAAACAACCCCATCAAAAAATGGGCAAAGGATACAAACAGACACTTCTCAAAAGAAGACATTTATGCAGCCAACAGACATATGAAAAAATGCTCATCATCATTGATCATTAGAGAAGTGCAAATCAAAACCAAATGAGATATCATCTCATGCCAGTTAGAAGGGCCATCATTAAAAAGTCAGGAAACAACAGATGCTGGAGAGGTTGTGGAAAAATAGGAACGCTTTTACACTGTCGGTGGGAGTGTAAATTAGTTCAACCATTGTGGAAGACAGTGTGGCAATTCCTCAAGGACCTAGAACTGGAAATATCATTTGACCCAGCAATCCCATTACTGGGCATATACCCAAAGGATTAGATATCATTCTACGATAAAGACACATGCACACACATGTTTATTGCGGCACTATTCACAATAGCAAAGACTTGGAGCCAACCCAAATGCCTATCAATGATAGACTGAATTAAGAAAATGTGGCACATATACACCATGGAATGCTATGTAGCCATAAAAAAGGATGAGTTCATGTCCTTTACAGGGACACGGATGAAGCTGGAAACCATCATCCTCAGAAAACTATCACAAGATCAGAAAACCAAACACTGCATGTTCTCACTCATAAGTGGGAGTTGATCAATGAGAACACATGGACACAGGGTGGGGAACATCATACACCGGGGCCTGTCAGGGGGTTGGGGGCTAGGGGAGAGAAATACCTAATGTAGGTGATGGGTTGATAGGTGCAGCAAACCACCAGGGCACGTGTATACCTAAGTAACAAGACTGCACATTCTGCACATGTAACCCAGAACTCAAAGTATAATAATAAAAAAAAATTTTAAAGAATTTTCACATCTAATTAATCAAAAGTGATTTTCCTATAATACCTTTTTTCTTATTTGTTCCCTAACTAGCTTTGGGATCAATGTTATTCCTGCCTAATAAGGTGAAAAAAAAAATAACTGAGTTCACTAAATGTATTGGGTAAGAAGTTTTATAAAAGACAAATATACTTCTGTATTATATTTTATTAGTGAATATAGGATGGTTTTTACTCAGTTTTCCCCTCTGGTCTGGTGGCAGCCACCATGAACAAGTCAAGCTTAGGACCCCACACTAGCTCACCTGTGGGAAGGACATTCCCTTGGTGGTTTTGGGCTTACATGAGTTGCTTGACAACAACTACGGCGGGTCAGTGCCTTGTTTGGTCTCTCGTTCAAGAGCCACCAACAAGAAAGCTCAAGTTCACTTCATGGGGGCAGGAGACGTGGACCTGGCAGCCCGCATGGCTGAATTTGAGAAACACTGTTGCCAGAATATCTGACATTCTAATGACCCATTTCCAGACCACCTGTCATGCTGACCTACATATTCTAAATTGGGGTTATCTTCCTTTAGGAATGAGAGCACCAAAGAATGGCAGAGAAGCTGGGAGGATGTTTTAAGATTAAGAAGAAACTCGGCTTCTCAAGCACCTTAATTCATCGCCTTGTTTGACTCTTACTTCAGTGGCAACCCTAGGCAGGTTACTCAACCTCTTGAATATCAGCTTATCCATCTATGAAAATGTTCATAAGAACATCCACACCACACACACACAAACCTCTCACAGACAGTCACTGTCAGTAAGGACTGAGTATGTGTTAGTTCTCAGCACATAACAAGCAAATTTCAGGAAAGTTTTGTTTTTAAGAAATTCAGCAATGTTTTAAGAAAAAATAAAGATACAGATGTTTATCTCTGTCTTGTCCCCAAATTGGCTTGTGATTAACAGCATAGGTGAGAAGAATACTCTCGAACATAGACTATCCATTGAATATTGAGGCATTTGCAAAAATTGCACCTACTGAAGAAAGAAAAAGCAGAGACAACTGCAAAGTAGCATTTCTTCTGTACTCAAAATAATGCTCAGTGCTTTTTAGACTTTATTATGTCATTTAATCTTCACAATCATCCTAAAAACCAAATATCCTTACTGTTCCCTTTTCACAGATGAGAAAATCACGGCTCAGAGTTTGGGGCCCTTTCTCTCAATCTGACAGCTAAGGAGTGAGACAGGAACTTGAATTCTCTTCTGAGACCACTTCTGCTCTTATTTAATAGCTAGGCTGCCTTTGGGAACATGCACAAAAACAGCAGCAAGCAGGGCATATCCTGATTTATAACACATGTAAGATAAAGATCGATTTGATGGCAAGGACGCTTCCCCCCGTCCCCTGGGAGATCTAGCTTTTTGCTTTTAGCATTTTTTCTCTTTTACCGGAGGAGGGGAGAGACGTTGGCATATCACTTGAAAAGCTTACAAATGACTCTTGCAAGCATAATAATGCCACTGATCAGTAGACTTGGAGACAGACATGCGCTGGGATAAAATTATTTTTTTCCCAAAGGGACAACACACTTAGCCATAAAGTGCCCATTAGCAAATCCTGCCCAGCAGTGAAAAAACAGGCTATTGCCACATGACTAGCGAGTGAGTGCATGGAGTTCTCAGCTGGAATACAGAATTATTTTATTATGAAAAGATACTTGAAGCGAAATTTTGCTGAGAGAAGGACTTAGCCAGGAGTGAGAAGCACTTTCCACTTAGATTTCTTTATTGCTACGCCATTGAACTCAAAGCATTACCCCAACTGTCATTATCAACTCTGCATTTTGGGGGGTCAGAGCAAGCTGTAAAAATGGACTTCATGCAGGCTGCAGCTTGGTAATCATCCTGTAAATGGGTAACCCGTTTCTTCCATCATTCCTGGTGGCAACTTAAAAAGTAACACTCTTTAGAGTTCCAGATGTTCAAAAGAAAGAGAAAATAGAATCCTCCTTCCAGTCCCCTTCCAAACCCTGTATGCCTCAGGAAATAATGAGTTTTTTATACGGCCTGCTCCACACCCATGTGTTTTGAAACCCTTTCGCAGCTTGCCACTGCCGAGGCCCTGCAGGGCAGGGAGGGGCTGGCCGGCTGACGGGTCCTGCACTTTCTCCCTCCTACCTGGGCTCCAGCCACATTGGTCCTCTGTAAGGGTCAAGGTTCTGCACTGCCAAGAAGAGAATCTGCCTCTGGTTAACTTAAGTTACAGAGCAATGGGAAGTTACTGCTGGGCTCAAGGCTATTGGAGAGCCCATAGGCCTGATGGGGGTGCTACAGGACCAGGCTTAGGACGGGGAAAGCAGCCGAGGGAGCCTGGCTGGCACTAAGGCCACCAGATGCCATTACCTGCATCATCATCACCTGGATGAACTCTAAAGTCCCTACTGCACTGAGCTAACATCCCCACCCCTGCCTCAGAGTCATGAACCTCATCACAGACCACAGGGGCAAGGGAGCCAGGGCCTGGCCTTGTCCGGCCCTTTCGTGGGAGACAGGACCCCAGCTCCAAAAGACTCACATGGGGTGGTTTCCCCAAACCTCTGGAGAATGCTCCACTTCTGGGGAGCCTGAAGTGGATAGATGACAGCAACACCTTCTTCGGCACTTTGAACACTTCACTCTCCCGCTTCGCGCCTTTGGTTTCCTCCCCCTGGAATGACTTCTCCCCATCTTTGACACATTCCTACCCATCCTTTAGAAGTGACGACTCAGGCCGGGTCCACTGGGATCCGCTCCAGGAGTGCCCCCCATCCCGTTTCATAGAAATGACCACAATGCAATTCTATGCTTATGCACTTCGCTGTCAATATTCCATTTTCCCAGTTAAAATGTAAAACTCATGAGGGCAGGACCACGTCTTGCTCACTTCGCATCCCCAGGGCTTAGCTCAGTAGCTTTTCATGATGGCCTCTTGACCCTTAAGGGAGAGTACAAACCTGGGCTCTACCAGGCTGAAGACATTCAGGGAGGGGATTGAAGTGACACCACCTGCAGGAAGGCACTTTTCTTAATTGGGGTTAAAACATGGAAATTAGTGAGGCTGGTTGCTGATTATCCTTTGCTAGTCAAAAAGATGCCTGTGAGTTCAGTAGCTGGTCATTTTGCTGTTCTGTGTTGCTGATGTAGTTGCCTATCTCTCTCTTTCCATCTATCACATGTACACACAAAGGAAAATTCCTCCATAATGCAAGGAAAAAAAATCAATCACGTATAAAACTTGAGTTTGCATAATTACAGAGTTAAAACGAAAATCAGAATGAGGCTGTGGTGGAGGATAGGAGGTAGTCGCCAATCATGTCATATCCAAAATTATCAGCAGGTGTGTTTATACCAGGGCATCGCTAAACATATTTGAGAAAACCATTTAGCGTAACTATACCCTGGTGAAGTAGACCCAGGAGGCGACTGAAGACCCTGGGTAAAATGCTCTGTGGGGGACGTTGTGCTCATCATCTAATTCATTCTGCAACACGGGGACATGGAGCAACTCCTCTGCACCGATCACTGTTCCAGGTGCAGGAAATCCAGAAGTGACAAAGAGATGGACGACAGAACCACTTGCAAAACTCTCTGTTCCACCCTGGGAGCATGTGTCTGCAATGAGCCGGAGTGGGGGGCTTGTGGGAGCACGTGTCTGCAATGAGCCGGAGTGGGGGCTGTGAGTCTGTGATTTCCCCAGCTGAAGGGGGCTGTAAGTCTGTGACTCCCCTGCTGAGCGGGGGCCGTGAGCCTGACTCCCCAGCTGAGCGGGGGCCGTGAGCCTGTGACTCCCCAGCTGCCCTGTTTCCCCTGTGCCTCTTCCAGGGAAATAGCTTACCGTAGTCTCTGACTCCGGTACTTGAAGATATGTGTTTTTCCTACAATATGACTCCAAGGTGCCAGCCAAGACCTTTCATTTTGGAGAGAAACAGCACCAAATTCAGACTACCTATATTCAAATCTGGCCCCACCACTGACAAGCTGTGTGACCTGGGCAAGTTCCTTCACCTCTCTGTGCCTCAGTTCTCTCACCAATCCACGGGCATGATGCTGGCACTTTCCTCAGTGGGTTGTTGTGAAGATTAAATGCATTACTTAGGGTATTTTAGAGTGCCTGGCACGTAGTCCATGTTTAATGAAAATAAACTTCTATCATTTTATATGGGATTCAATAAAGACATGATAATCTGTTCTCAAATTGGAAGGGATTTATTAAAGTTACTTGTATTTTCCAAAGTGATTTTGCCTCTATGAGAGTTATGCCTTCTGGTCTGACCACAAACTTCCTCAGAAGGATGCCCCTCTGAGGTCAGCAGGTGCTCAGCCAGCATGCAGAGGTGTCATGCAGAGAAAGGAAGGATGTCCAGAGATAGGAGAAGCCCCTGCGGGCTATAGCTGCCGTGCCACGTTTCTACTATAACACCAGTTTTCAGGCCGAAGAAACCTCTTTTCACTACCAGCATCATATGAAATATTCCCCCGAAACTCAGCATCCTCCGTGTGTCCTCTGGGCACTTGAGGATGGTCATTGTTATCCACAAGGGTGTGCCATGAATTCTGGGGATTAGGACATGGATGGTGACCTCATCAGAGCAAGGAAAGTCAGGACAAAGCCTGTTGGAAGGAGATGTGTCTCGGGCTGCCTGTTGAGACCTCACATCTGTCCCCCTTCACTCGTGCTAACACCATCCTGATTTTCTTCAAGGCACAATGTTCCCAGTCTCAGATGATGAGTCCTGATGCATTCAAGGCATTGGCTTTTAAGCGGAGCCTGCAGGCTGGCAGCAGCAGCAGTCCCTGCAGACTTGTTGGCCATTTAAATTCTCATCCCCCACCCCAGGCCTACTGACCCACGAGTGACCCAGTTCTGACTCTGCAGAGCTAAAAGGAAGGGGTCTTAGAGGAGAGTCACATGAATGAGTCACTAAAAGACATCAGCAACTGCCAGGCCTCAGATTCCGAGGCAAGAAAAATAACTTTTCATTTGTTTAAACTGAATGTCTGTTCCTTAAATCTGGTCACATTCCTAATTTAAACGGAAAGGATGATGGTGCATTTGTTTTTTGACGTGTTGCTATGGAAGAAGATAAGAGCACTGTTGAGATCTGTTAAAAATGGGAGAAGAACTGAAAATTAATTCAGATAAATAATACTAACAACAACAAGGAGCGCTTAGTCTTGGCCAGGAAAGCTTCTAAATGCTTCACTCAACTGATTTAACCCTCCAACAGCTGCATAAGGTAGGCGCTATAGATGAGAATTTTATGGAAGAAGGAAACAAGATACAAAGAGATTAAGGAACTTAGCCCCGATCATGCAGCTGGATGCAGCGGTGCATGCGCTTGACCCAGGAGGACTGGCCTCAATCTCTGCTCTGTAACCACCAGTTACTATAATACTTCCTCCCCTGCCACTGCCCTCCAGGGCTCAAGTTGTTCCTCAAGGCGTGGAGATTTGAATAGCCTTCATTTATGTAATAGCATTCCTTCTTCTTTTAATTCTCAGCTAATTTAGAGTGGTTCAGTTAGCAGGAAATTTAGAGCCCTCCGTAAATAAGATTACGAATGCTGGTAATGTGGAATGTGTATCCCAGTTGTTCTCAAACTTGAGCATGCATCAGGATCCCCTGCTGGCCATGAAAGCCGGATTGCTGGTCTCACCCTGGGCTTCTGATTCGGGAGGCCTGTGGGGAGCTGATAATGTGCATTCCCAGTAAATTTCCCAGGTGATCTGCTGCTGCTTGTCCAGGAATGACACCTAGAGAACCACAGGACTGTCCATCTAGATTTAAGAATTTGAAGCTCCCACTTGGAGCCCCAGAGAGTTTAGACACAGTTTATCTGCACTACTGAAGAATAAACCTAGACCACTCAGGACACTCTGTGAAGGTTGCCACTCTCTGTTGATACTTCCTTCCCTCCATCCCCCATGTCCTTCAGGAGTTGGTGGTGTTGACTGGGAGTGAATTGACGGAAGGGACCATGGGAATTTATATATCATTTTGAAACTTATGAAACCTTTTGTCAAAGTTTCACTTTCTGACTCAGGCTCAGTCCAGGACATTGTTCAATTCCCCTGGTGTAGGCATCATATGGCAATAAAACCAATTCGGAGGCTGCCAGCCACATGGTTTCCATCTTAATTTACTCGGTCCCAGGGCCCACAGGCTACAGTTGTGGAGAAAGATCCAGATCTGTAAACATCACCTCTCATCCCACCATCTTGCATTTGCTCATTTTGGCTTCAGGAGGCACTGGGATACATGTGAGCTCTTGTTCTGACCTCCCCACTACAGAGTTGAGTTCTTCTTTACTCATCAGCTGTCCTGTTAAGATCATGATGCAGGCACCAAGTCACTGGTTTGGCCTGTGTGCATGTAGACAAGAATATAAATTAAAAATAGTTTTCATAAACAAAAGAGAGTTTTGTTTTCATACGTTTTAAAAATAAGGCTCTTACTCAGACCTGTCTAACCATGTTACCCTGCTCAAGCAATGAGATGTAATTATTTTCTTCTATTGAAAACTGGACGATCCCTATTAAATGAATGCCATTTAAAACAGTAGTCCTTGGGGAGATGAGATAGCATTCTCCATGACTTAATTACAGTAGACCCTCTGCTTATCCACAGGTTTTTTTTTTTTTCCCATGGTTTCAGTTACCTGGTGACAACTGAGTTTTGGAAATATTAATTAGAAAATTCCAGAAGGAAACAATTTATAAGTTGTAAATTGTGCATCATTCCGAGTAACGTGATGAAATCTCGCACCATCCTGCCCTGTCCCACCTGGGATGTAAATCATCCTTTGTCCAGGGTGTCGTGGGAAGGAGTCAAACTCTGTAAAATATTTAATGCAGTTTATTCTGCCCAAATATGAGTGACCAAGGCCTAGGGCACAATCTCAAGAGGTTCTGAGAACATGTGTCCAAGGTGGTCAGGCAGTTTGGTTTTACATGTTTGAGAGAGGCGTCAGGCATCAATCAGTGCATGTGGGTGTGCATGGCTTCTGTTTGGAAAGGTAGGACAACTTGGAAAAGGAGTCTTACAGGACACAGGTGGATTCAAACATTTTCTGATGGGCAATTGGATGAAAAAGCTAAGTTATTATTGAAAGGCCTGGAATCACTAGAAAGGCGTGTCTGGGTCAAAATAAGGGGTCGTGGAGAGCAAGTCCCTTGTTGTATAGATGAAAGCTCATAGGTGACCACCCTTGGAGACAGTAGATGGCAAATGTTTCCTATTCGGGCCTCTATTAGGTGCCAGATGCTCAGTTAGTCTCTTCAGGATTGGGAGGGCCTGGG
The DNA here is from genome assembly GCF_000001405.40 of Homo sapiens. Classification (NCBI taxonomy): domain Eukaryota; kingdom Metazoa; phylum Chordata; class Mammalia; order Primates; family Hominidae; genus Homo; species Homo sapiens. The sequence goes on along the minus strand of NC_000020.11, from coordinate 60,360,244 downwards.
ACGGGGAAAGATCCAGCTGTTTTAATAGAGATTCTTTGCAGAGACAATTGTCCCCTGCAAAAATAGCTTTGCAGGTCATTTCAAAATATGGCAAATAAATATATTTAGGGGTAAAATATTTTGATTTCCTTCTTTATCTATAATGTGATATTATACCAGAGTAGGGTTGGAAAGTGAGCTATGTTAAATAGGACCCCTCTAAAGAGATGTGGAGCAGACTCCCCAGGCCCCTTAGATAGGAATTTGGGCAAGAGAAGTAAAATATCAGAGTTTAGTCCTCAAGTGCGTCCACACTGTATACACTACCCACGCATTAGTCATCCACATCCTCTGTTCCTGACATTGGTCCATCGGTAGGACATCGTCATGGCTCCACAATCCAAGATCCCCCGAAGCAGATGATCTTTCTCCTGACTTGTGGTCAAAAGGTCAATAGCAGCCTAACAGTGACTCACAATGCCTACACCACTCACCTCACCTCATCTCATCACCTGGGGGCTTCATCGTCTCACATCAGCACAAGAAGAAGGGTGAGTACAGTACAATATCTATTTTGAGAGAGAGAGACTGCATTCACATAACTTTTATTAAAATACATTGTTATGAGGATTCTATTTTATTATTAGATATTATTTATCTCCTTCTGTGCCTAATTTATAGATAAAATTGTCTCACAGGTATGTGTTTGTAAGACAAAAGCATATTATATATAGGGTTCAGTACTATACTTGATTTCAGGCCTCTAGTAGAGGTCTAAGAAATTAATCCCTGCATATAAGAGGGGACTACTGTAGCATATTTAGTGAGCACCTACTATTTTATGGCCAAATGAGATTTATTAAGAAGGTTAAGGTGAGACTTGTGTTCCTAAAGCACTCACAAGGAGCTGTGGCTGGTACCAATGAGCACCGAAAGCTGGCATGCAAGGATCTGGCTTAGCTCACAGCCAGTGACCCTTACAGATGGAGCCTCCCTTACATGCAGAGGAGAAGCACATTCTCCAGGATCAGCCGCCCCTGCACACCTGCACTGGATACATGAGGATGAGGGAAGTGAGAGGTGATGTCTCCACACAGCTACCCCAACCATGAGTCTATGTTGGGAGAAACCCCCAGATCCCAACATAGAGTGGCACAGTGGACTCCACCTCCCATCCGCACAGTGAGATATGAGGGCGGCTGTGAGGCTGGAGTGACTGACCATTGTGGGAACTCATGGCAGGAGGGGGACGTAAATTCCCTTTAAACATGGGGCAGCAAACTCCCCAGGAGGGGATTCGGGATGTGGACAATTCATGCTTCTACATACCCACAGCTCCTGGTACATGTGCACAAAGAAGATTGCAACACAGAAACACAAACACAATTTTAGCAGAGAGAAGAATATTGATCAAAAGGGGCATGTATTGACTAGAGGAGGGAAAAGCTTCATAGCTGGTGAAAATAGATTGATCTAAATCAGCAAACTTAGAGGAAAGGGGAATCTTGAAGAGAAGCCACCTAAATAAGGAGGAAGAGGCAGCAGATCTGCAGAGGGTTTGTGTTCTTAAGACCTCAGGTGGGAGGAGAGCTAGGAGCAAATTTTGGAGGCGTGAAGTGCTGTCTGGAATTTCTCTGCTCTCGGTGACCTGGTAATTAAATCCCTTCCTGATGAAAATGAAGTAATCATGAGCAAAACCTCATGTTTATGGATCAAAATGCAGGCGAGGCAGGGCCGTGGTGGGGCTTGGAGGGGGCTGGTCACAAAGCATGGGTGAGACGTCAGGTCAAGTCTGGTTCCTCACGCCCAAGCCACTGCCAGCTGGAAGACCTACTTTTTGTTAAATTAGTTTTAAGGAGTCCCTTCTCATCAGGCAGCTGCCTGTGCAGTCACCAGCTCAGCCTCATCTGCCCCTTTTGAGGACCCAGTACTGGAGCCTGGCTGAGTTCCTCATGGGGCTCACGCTAGGCCACTGGGCTGTGCTATGAGGCCACTAACTGCTTCCCCTGCTGTAATAGTCTGTTTCCACACTGCTAACAAAGACATACCTGAGACTGAGTAATTTATAAAGGAAAGAGGTTTAATTGACTCACAGTTCAGCATGGCTGGGGAGGCCTCAGGAAACGTACAATCATGGTGGAAGGGGAAACAAACATGTCCTTCTTTACATGGCATCAGCAAGGAGAAGTGAGGGAGTAAAAAGGGGAAAAGCCCCTTATAAAACCCTCAGATCTCACGAGAACTCACTTACTATCAGGAGAACACCAAGACTGTAACCTCCTCCATGATTAAATTACCTTCCACCTGGTCCCTCCTAGGACGCATGGAGATTATGGGAACGATTTGATGCAATTCAAGATGAGATTTGCGTGGGGACATAGCCAAGCCACATCACCTGCCCTCCTGGGGCTCCCTTCAGCCAGGAGGGATGTGATGACCAGAGGGAAAGAGAGGTTTACAAAAGATCGCAACTCACGACATAGCATCAGCATCTTTAACTGCCTGGTGATTTCAGGCCGGTGCTGGGCAAAGCTACTAACAGGCAAACTTAATTGTCCTGTGGAGAGCTCTTTCTGCCCATACCCATCACTCCAAGGATGGCCCCAGACATCTGCATATCACAGATCAGATCCTCTGAGACCTCACACTCCCCCCATTTCCCCAAGTAGCCTCTCCTTGGAAGGAGAAGAGGATAATTTGTTGTCATATATGGATAAACACCTCTGTGAAGGACAGTATACAAAACTCTATCAAAAGAATTAAAAATATTTAAACAATCTGAATTACTAATCCCACTTGCAAGACCCTAGCTCCAGAAAATAATCAGATGTGTGCAGATATATGGAGGTCAAGCAGTGTTTCTCAACCAGCAGCAATATTGCCCCAGGGGCATTCAGCAAGGTCTGGACAAATTTTGGGTTGTTGCAACTGAGGGGAGGAAGGTAGGTGTTTCTGGCATCTAGGAGGTAGGGGCCAGAGGTGCTGCCACACATCGCACCATGCCCAGGGCAGATCCCATACAAAGCATTATCCTTCCCAAAGTGTCAACTGTTGGGAAACCGTGATGTGAAGGGATGTTCATCACAGCAATGTGACAGTAGAGTGAAAAACTGAAAATGGCCTAAATGCCCAACCGTAGATGGTGTGAGTGTTAATACAGGGTGTCAACTTGAGTGGATTGAAGGATACAAAGTATTGATACTGGGTCTGTGGGGGTGTTGCTGAAGGAGATTAACATTTGAGTCATTGGGATGGGAAAGGCACACCCACCCTTAATCTGGGTGGGTACAATCTAATCAGCTGCCAGCGTAGCTAGAATATAAGCAGCATAGCTAGAATATAAGCAGCATAGCTAGAATATAATCATCTGAGATGGTATCTCAGACTCCTTTTTCACATTTTTCTGCCTGCTTATATTCTAGCTATGCTGGCAGCTGATTAGATTGTACCCACCCAGATGTAAATGACGAGTTAATGGGTGCAGCACACCAACATGGCACATATATACATGTGTAACAAACCTGCACATTGTGCACATGTACCCTAGAATTTAAAGTATAATAAAAAAAAAACAAAAAAAAAAACAGAAAAAGGAGTCTGGCCTAACCTCCCAGCCTACATCTTTCTCCTGTGCTGGATGCTTCCTGCCCTCGAACATCAGACTCTAAGTTCTTCAGTTTTGGAACTCAGACTGGCTCTCCTTGCTCCGCAGCCTGCAGATGGCCTATTGTGAGACCTTGTGATGGTGTGAGTTAATACTTAATAAACTCATATATATATATATATATATATATATATATATATATATATATATATATATATGTGAGTGTATATATATGAGTATATATATGAGTGTATATATATGAGTATACATATATATATTCCATCAGTTCTGTCCCTCTACAGAACTCTAACTAATACAGATGGTTTAATGTGTTTTGTTTTTGTTTTTTAAAGACAAGATCTTTCTCTGTTGCCCAGGCTGGAGTACAGTGGTGCAATCATGACTCACTGCAGCCTCAAACTCCTGAGTTCAAACAATCCTCCCGCTTCAGCCTCCTGAGTAACTGAGACTACAGGTGTGCACCACCACACCCAGCTAATTTTTAACTTTCTTTTGTAGAAATGGGGTCTCACTATGTTTCCCAGGCCGGTCTCACACTGCCAGCCTCAAGTGATCCTCTCATGGTCTCCCAAAGTGCTTGGATTACAGGCATGAGCGGCTGTGCCCAGCCGGTATGTAACGTACTCATGTAACAAATCTGCACATGTACCCCCTGTATCTAAAATGAACATTGAAATTAAAAAATGCATGTCTTTAAAAATATATATAATAACTAGAGAACATTAAAGTAAATCTTTAAAAAGCTTATTTTTAAATAATATATAATGGCATAAGAAAATGTTCATGGTATGTTGGAAATGAAAAGATCAGTGGTTGCCAAGGATTCTGGGGGAGGAAGAAAGGAAAGAACAGGCCGAGCACAGAGGGTCTTTAGGGCAATAACGACTCTGTATGATCCTGTAATGGTGGATACATGTCATTATACATTTGTCAAAACCCACAGAAGTATAACACTAAGAGTGAACCCTAATGCAAACTATGGGCTTTGGTTAATAATAGCGTATCAATATTGGCTCACAGATTGTACCTAATGCAGCACAGTACTGCAAGCTGTTAATAATAGGGAAACTGGTAGGGGGTGAACTTGGCATGTGGGAACTCTTTGTACTTTCCACTCATTTTTTCTGTAAAACTGAAACTGCCCTAAAAACAAAGTCTATCAACTTACAAATAACCAAATAAATAAAGCAGGTTACATACAGCACCGTGGTGGCTATCCCATCATCTCTTTGATGGCATCAAGACTCCGGGCTTAGCCTCTTCCTTCTTCCTCCCCAAAGGTGACTTGGGTCTAAGGGCAAGACACACTGATCTGTACCTTAGAAGAATTGCCTAAGTTCAGAAAACTTGAGAAAGTAACCAAGGTCCCAGCACATGGCATCTCTTGTTTTCCTTCCATAGGACCTGTGAAGAAAATCACCGCCTCTCTCTTCCTTTGCATGCGAGGCCTCATGGGACAAGTGGTTCCAGGGTCTCCCATTTTGCTGGGAAGACCTTGGCTCTGCAGCTAGCGTGCCCTGCCCCAGCCACCCTCCTGGACTCCATCAAACCAAGGACTTGGGTGGATTTACTGAGGACAACAGGCGTTCCAGCAAACCTTGACCAAGTAAAGAAGGCCGCCACTAGTGTGAACCAGCTCACTGGGATCTGTGTTGTTTTATGGTGAAGGAGTGTCTGGGCTAAGGGAGGATTTGGGTGTTCATGGGTTCCCTGTGTAAATATCACCATAGTTTCATTTTACCCTTTCCCACTCTGAGAGCAACTTTCAATATATCTTCTACACACACACACACCTACACACATACACCCACAGTAGGAAGGAAATACTACAGACCAAAATATGAACAGAAATGGCAGTGTTTATTTTTGGAAGGTGGAATCATGGTTAATTCTTCTTCTTTTTGTCTGGAAAATTACAAACCTATAGAAAAGTTGAAACAATGGACTTTCACTTAAACACTCATTTGCCACATTGTGTCTGCTTTATGTATCTATATATAGATATTTATATAGAGATATTTTTGCTGAAGAATCATTTATAGCATGCATACACTGTTTTATTTTTCTTTTCTCTCTTTTTGTCTACTTTTTTTTTCTTTGCTGCAGCATTTGAGAGCTAGTTCAGACACCATGGAACTTCACTCTTGATACTTACGCAAGTACTGTCTAAGAACTAGAGCATTCTCCAGCAGTGTATGAGTGTGACAACTCCCCCATCTTGTCTCTGATGGTGACAGGATGGAGATGTTTTTAGACTCCAGAATCCACCTGCGGGATCAGGGAAGCCTGCTCTGTGTCTGCATGGCTTTACCTGAGATCACACCCTGCTCGCTTCCCCCCATCCTCGTGCTGTTCTTACTCCCTCCTGCCAGTCTCCCCAGGGATCACTTTCTTGATAAAGCCCTTGCACAGGCATCCTCTTATCAGGTTGTACTTCTGGGAGACACACCCTAAAACTCAACAACACCAAGAAAGCAGCCACTCTGTAAATGAACTGCTGAAAATGGAAGCACTTTTTTTCTTCAATCACTTTATTGTATTATCTTATTTTTATATATGTTGAAATTATGAAAGAAAGCCAAACTGTACCCAGCAGTATGGATTCAGGGCTTCTCGGGGCAAATAACAAACATTACCAACACCTTCAAATATTTGAAGTCGACTCGATAAACATGGAGTTCAATGCCAACAGCTTTCAGAAACAGCTTAAATCATATATTAAGAAGTTACAGGGAAAGAACACATGGCTATCTCAACATGATTGTAGACTCAGACTTACCATCAAAAATAATAGTGGGCGAGCCTAAATCTGAGGCACAAATCCTTCTAAAATAATCCTCATATGTTCCCAGCTCTGGAGGCAGCGCATTGCTTGTTGAGCTGCTACCAACTGCTAGAAAAGCCTATTTTATCCTGAGCTGAATTCCTCTTCTACAACAAGCCCACCCATGGACCCCACTTCTGGTTTCTAAAGCCACAAGGAGTATAACTAATCCCTCCCTTCACACCACGGCCCTTCAGAGGCCACAGAAAGCCTGCCTGCTGCATCAATTCGCCTCACTTCCATGCTAAGCACATGTGGCCTCATCCGTACACCATTCACTGCCTCTTTCAACAGGCTTCCATCCAGTGCCAACCACGCATCGGCATCGTGGCAGGTGCTGGAGACAGAGCAGCAAATGAGGCAGGCAGGCATCTGCCCTCCTGAAGCTGGCAGATAAGCAAGGTAAACAATGGAACCCTGATTCTCATGCTGGACTTTTCAAGGCTACAGATGCACCCCAGGGAGGGGAGAAGATCCTTTTGCATCTTCATCCTTGAGACATTCTCAAGGAGTGCTCTGCAGAACATGTAATCCCCAGAGACGCTCTCCAAGCCAAGGTCCTATGGGCAAGTTGGGTTGGCAAAAGCTGCCGGCACCCCTGCCTGGTCAGGTCACAGCCCATGTGTGTTAGCAGTTAGCAGCACCACGTTGCCCCTGCAGCACAAAAATCTACTCTGTTGCAACCAGCGTTTCCCAGCCTATTGGAACCACAATGCTCTGTATGTTTTGCAGGAAGAGTTTTCTGTTTTATCATTCACACACTGGAATTCCTTGCAACATATTTGATTTACTCTATTTTTATAAATAAAGACAAAACTAAAACCCAAGCAGGCAGCTTCCTGGTCCTATTTCCACAAGAGGGCCTGTGAGGGGAGGTGCAGCCAGCCATTTGCTGGAACCAGGGCCAGCGTGGTTGGCAGAAAATGAATGGCAGAACCTCTGAACAGGCCTTGAAGAGTCTCCAAGTAGAGTTCTCTGCATCCTTGGGAAGCAACAGGAGATGGGGCGACCAGCTGTTCTGAGTTTTGGCTCAGGATGAGGCTGGTGGCACCATCTGCTGAGTTAAACCAACCACCTGCGTGAGACGATCCCTGGTGAACGCGTTGGGCATCTTGAGTCACTTGGCCCAGTGTCACAGGAACACTACCTGCAGGGCTGCCAATCACCTTTTAGAAACACCACCATCAGCTCTGAGCACCAGGCCAGCATCACAAGCAATCTGTGAAACCCAGATTGGGGAGTGAGACTCAAGATGCATCAGCCAGGGCTCTTTTGGTTGTGACAGAAACCTGATACAAATTGGTCTATTAAAAATGAGAAAACAATGGACTCTCATAACCCAACGACCTAGGACCAGGCCAAATACAGGTGCCCCAATGTCATCATTCAATTTACATTCATTCCCATTGACTTTATTCTGGGGCAATTTCCCCCTTTATTCTGGTGGCCACTAGCAGCACCAGGCTCACCTCTGATCAGCTTGTTGTTCCGGCAGAGAGAGCTCTTTCCCAAAAAAGGAGTCCCCTAAGCACAAGTCTCAAGTCTTCTTTGCTTGATGAGTCATGCCCATCCCTGAACAAATTACTATAGTCAAAGAAACAGGAAAAACTGGCTGTCTAGGCCAGGTCCAGGGAGGTTCCCTTATGGATAGGGATGGAGTCAGCCTCTCTCAAACCCCCTGGACCAAAAACAGGAGAAGCGTGGTTCCATAAAAGGAAAACACACATTCCATTTCCCAGGTACAGGTGCCAGGCAAGCACAGATGTCCAATGCAAGGGAAGGGACTTACTCCTGCCAGTCCTATCTAAGATCATGAACAGAGGAACAAACACATTCTTTTTTTTTTTTTTTTTTTTTTGAGACGGAGTCTCGCTCTGTCTCCCAGGCCGGACTGCGGACTGCAGTGGCGCAATCTCGCTCACTGCAAGCTCCGCTTCCTGGGTTCACGCCATTCTCCTGCCTCAGCCTCCCGAGTAGCTGGGACTACAGGCGCCCGCCACCGCGCCCGGCTAATTTTTTGTATTTTTTAGTAGAGACGGGGTTTCACCTTGTTAGCCAGGATGGTCTCGATCTCCTGACCTCATGATCCACCCGCCTCGGCCTCCCAAAGTGCTGGGATTACAGGCGTGAGCCACCGCGCCCGGCCCAAACACATTCTTATCATCCCTCTTCAACTTGAGTTTCTTTGAAACTGCTGAAGTTCCAACTTGACCTTCATACTCCCTAATCACCAAATGACAGCATCACCATACAGGTGATCAAAGTTGAGCCCAGGACTGCGGAGGTTTAATAATCACTTACAGGGCTTATTATCACACTACTGCCCATTCCATGGGCCTCAACTTCAGAGTGCATAAGAAACTCCTCCTGGAGTTAAGCATGCCTGGGTCCCGGGCCCGAGCCCTGGTGTTTCATCTCAGCAGGTCTGGAGACGGCTCAGGCATCTGAAGGCTCAAAAAGAAACCCAGGCAATGCTTACGCCCATGGTCCTTAAGCAACATTTTGAAAAAAGCTCGGTTTAACCCAAGGAGAAGTACCTGAGCCCTGGGAAATTATTCCAATCTAAAGAAGAACAAAATAGCCTGAGGATAAACACAAAACCCAAGGAATCAGAGGGAAGGAAAGGTGCAAAGACAGGCACAGAATGACTAGTGCCTCAAAAGAACTGATGATATTTGAAATACCTTCCTGGGCCCTGCTCCAAGCATAAAAAGAAAAATCCCCCATCATCAGAAGAAACAAAGAAATAAAGAGAATGGTGAGTCGTGGTGGAGAGAGCCTTTCTGGGAGAACAAAGACTTGTTTTTTTGTCTCAGGCAGCTCTGCTCTTAAACTCCAAGACCTTGGGTGTATCGAGACCCCGCCTTGGGCTCAAATTCACTTACTTGACAGGTTAGAAACTCGGAAATCTAAGGACTGGCCACAATGATAAAGTCAGAGTCAGGTGCATAGATACAGAGGCCTCTTTCTTTGTCTCTTATATTTATGTCCACACATCTAAATAGACATACCTTTTCCTCTCTCTACATGCCCATACACACGCACACACCCTGGAAGAATATAGGGACATACTCTGAAACATTACAAACCTCTTAGTAGTAAGAATTTGGGTGAGTTCAACAAGTTTCTGTCATATTAAAATGTTGATGTTATACTTTATTTTTGCATAAAGAAGAAAACAGTATTTTTTATTAGTCACGGTGGGCGAGGCTATGCTATAGTAACAAAAAGCTTCCTAACCACAGTGGCTCCAAACAGCAAAGGTTTATTTCTCCTCTAAGCAACATACCCATCATCATTTGAGTGAAAGGACTGCACCAGGGGACTCTCACCCAAGCAGGTCACAGGCTGAGTAGGTAGAGCCTTGTTGCTCCAAGCAGCAAAGAAGGGCAGAACTTTTTCAGTTCTCACACCAGAAGGATGTGCTCAGGCATGAAAGTAACACAGGTCAATCCACTCACAACTCATTACTAGGGTTGGTTACATAAACCCATCCAAGCATGGGGTAGGGTAGTGAGAACACCAGAAGTATAATCCTACCATATGCACAAGAGCCAGAAAGCTAGACAGGTTTAGCAATCCACACTAATGATTACTGCACTCTTTAATGAAAGGTTTAGCAATCCACACTAATGATTACTCCACTATTAATAACGTGTTACATGTATACGTGTCTGTGTTTCACACGCATGTGTGTGTGTGTAGATGGTAAGAGCTTTATCACAGGATTGGGCTCCAAGCAAATGTTTACAGGATTAAAAATTCCAGCCTGGGCAACATGGTGAAACTCTATCTCTACAAATATACAAAAATTTCCTGGGCATGCTGGCATGCACCTGTGCTCCCGGCTATCCAGGAGGCTGAGGTTGAAGGATCCACTGAGCCCAGGAGGCTGAGTCTGCAGTGAGCTGTTATTGCACCACTGCTCTCCAGCCTTGGTGACAGAGTAAGACCCTGTCTCAATAAATAAATAAATAAATAAATATTAAAAATAAATAATGACTTCAATCCGTGGACCCTTCTGCAGATTCAGGGTGGGGTCAGAGCCTCGACTCACTGGGAACTCATCAATGTCATGAGCACTTGCACTCCCTTAAGGAGCAGACTGGTGTGGATGAATGTTCGGTTTCAGGATCAGGTGGAGCGTTCCATCCTTGCCCACTTGTTCATTCGCTAACACACAATTACTGCGAGCCCAGCGCTGTCCAAGGTACTGGTGGGAGCGCAGCGGACCTCAGGGAGTTTGCATTCTACTGGAGACCTGGCAGCGCAAAAAAGAAAATTATTCAATAGGACACTTTCTGATGGGGATAAAGGCTCTGAAGAAGATTAAAGACGGTGATGGGTAGGTGGTGAGGAGGGGCAAGAATGGAAAGTTCTTTAGGTAGATAGGCAAAAGGCCTCTCTGGGGAGCTGACAAATGAAGGAGGTGCCAGAACAGGAAGGCCTGCAGAGCCACTCTGTATCTGCACCCATACCCAGGAAAGCGGGCCCCAGAAGGATGCCCTCAGCCCTCCTGAACCTGGAGGAAGAGCAGCCAGGCCTGCTGTGCTTGGTGAGCTCCCAGAACCTGTCTACCCAGGTGACTGCCCAACTGGGGCTGCAACCACTTCCTGCCAATTCTTGCCCTTCTCCCTTTCTCCTTAGGACCCTAGTCAAAGATGTGCAGGACCACGTGGTCAGTCATGAAGGAGCTTCGCTAACCAGCTTCCCCATACTTTGAGTCATTGTTGTCCATTTGAGACAAATAACCACGTGGTTTAGCCTTTTCCCAGGCAGCTTTCCATTCTAAAGAGGCACCTGCACATTAGAGCCCATGATGCATGGCATGGAGGCTGCTTAGAGCTTCTTTATGGCCTCATCAGCAGTAACTGGACGATCACAAAGCCTTCTTCTGTTTTTAAAAACAATGATTTATTGAAGCTCTTAAACTCTTTCTTCCTGAGTATGTATATTCCATGGGCATGTTTTGCTATAATTAAATTCCTAGATTACTGTCAAGCCAATTGTTTTACCCCGCCAATCTGTAACAGCACATTTTATTGCCTCTTCTTATTTTTTAATTAAGATAGAAATAGATGTATTCTATGAGATCCAGAAACAAAATAAAACAGACCACTTCTCTAGTCAGTCAACTCTACTCACAGGGATGCTTCGGAGTCAGGAGTTAGGAACCCTAAGTGTATTGTACCTAGTGTGGGAGCAGCCAGACTTTCTGAATTCATTCGTCCTTCATTCAACAGGTATTTATTGAGCACCTACTATGTGCCAGAGGCTGGAAAGGTCACCAGGGATTCAGTGGTGAACAAGACAAAGTTTGCCTACATTTGCCTACATTCTTCTAGGAGAGACATGTGATAAACAAGTCACCATCATACGTAAGATGCAATATTTTACGATGAAGAAAAGCAAACACGGTGTAGAATAGAAAGTGATGAAGGATGAGGACCATTAAAATCAAGTGACCACAGAAGGCCCTTCTGTAAAGATGGCAATTGAAATGAGGCCAAAGTTAGGCTGACACAGCCATGCAAAATCCAGGAAAGAACACTGATAGTACAGGGAATAGAAAGTGCAAAGACCTTGAAACAGGAAGGAACTTGGCAGACATTAGAAGTGGGCAGAGGGTGGGAAGAACACGAGGAGAGGATGTTGGAAAGCTGGAATGGAGTTGAATCTGCAGGACTGTAGGAAAGGAGTGCCTCCTAGGAGCAGATAGATGAGGAGGATGGGAAAAGAGGATCCATAAGCAGCAGAGACCCCAGCGCTGGCTACAACTTAGGACACACCTGTATGACACACCTGCCTTGCATCCCAGAGCTCCTGGCCAGTGATTCCTGGAGCCCAGGACAGCACCTGCAGCAGAGCCCCTGGACCTCTCAGGTCTTACCCTGGCACACAGGCACCTTTGCCTGATGGCAATGGCCAGGGCAGCCTCCTCAATGCTTGGTGCTGCCTAAAACCCTGCAACTTCTATGGGGCCTGCAGATGGGGGGTAATTCCTCAAAACTAATGAGGTTGCATTTTCCTCTTGCCAGGAAGGATGAAGACTCAGAGTTTTCATTCCTTGATATAAAGAAAATGAGGGCTTTCAGTATTCTATGTGCATGTGAATATGAGGATATTATTCAGCCCTGCTATATTTGTAGCTTCAATACCTAGAATGGTTCCTGGCATATAGTAGGTACTCCATCAATGATGAATAAATGAAAGGCTGACCTGGAAGGAAGATGTGGCCCTTTCCTGGCCCTTGCCACCCATCCCAATGTTACCTCACAGTCCAACATTCCTTCCCACATCTACTCTGCAGTGAGGGCTCTCTCGGAGCCCAGCACAGCACCTGCCCTTCTCTGGGTCCCTGCAGGGATGGCAACAGCATGGTCGGTGCCTGTCACGCTTCCCTCTGGACCCCTCCCTTCCCTGGGCCCTCTTGTTTCCTTGCTCCTCAGTCCTCCCTTGGAATTTAGCTGCAGTCTCTGTCCGTGGCACATGCCATGTTCTCCCCTCTAAGTGCTGCCAGGTTGCTCAGAGATTCAGTCTTGAATGAAGAGCTTCAGCCACTGTTGGGCCTGGACACTTGTGTTCAGACTACATCCAGTAAGGAGGCAGAATGAGGACCAGCGCCCTCTGGGCGACCTCTACACAGCTGTCAGTCTTCATGCTGTTATCTCTGGGTTTGCTACTGGATGGAGTAGGGAAAAGACAGTGACTTAAACCAAGGGCCTTGTGGTGATGCAACTTTGGGGCAAAACATCTAAAGACAGTGAGATCTCGTGCACATCCTTCTCCCTGTGATGCCTACAGAATGTCTCTCCATCTCAGGCTTGATCACACAACTAGAAGGTCTCCTTCTAGCCTCAGTGGGTGCCAGCCTCCAGGAAGTAGGAGCGGGGAGATGAAGCTTGTCCATTCTAGAAATGCAGACACTGGGGTGACCAACTACCCCAGTTTGCCTGGGACTGTGAGGTTTCCCAGGACACAGGACTTTCTGTGCCATAACTGACATTTTCTTTAGAGACAGGATCTCGCTCTGTCATCCAAGCTGGAGTGCAGTGGTGTGATCACAGCTCACTGCAGTCTCAACTCCATGGGCTCAAAGGGTCCTTCCACCTCAGTCTCCCAAGCAACTATAACTACAGGCATGCATCACCACACCCAGCCTAGTCAGTCATCTTAATACATTTACATATTGTGTGTGCGTGTTTGTGTACGTATGTATACACGCTAGTTATATTCTTAGGCAAATCTCCAATGCTGCAGTGGAGGTGAGTCTTCAGTGCAGGTGAGTCAATCCCGGCTGGCTAAAGTAGGCTGCTCTATGCTCCTTTCCTCATGGAGAAGAGGGGATGGACGCTAAGTGGTCCACGACATAAAAGAACTGAAGCTTTTCACAAACCTGCTGTCACAGAACTGCTCAAATGGGTCCAAAGAAAACTGGAACCTGCAGAATGCCTTTCCATCATGTTCTTGGACAAAATATAAAGCACAGAGAGGTGTGTGTGTTTGTTTTATATTTTTAAAAATGTATTTGGAGCTCAACCTAAGTGTTCATGTCTTCATGCTGGGAGGCAGTGGGAAGAGTTTCTCTCCTTAAGTCAATTCTCTTTTCCATTTAGGGCCTATGTTTGTTCTGGATGTGGCCACTTTCAAGGACCCAGCAGGCTTTTTTGTCAAAGTGAAGATACCTTCCTGCTTATCTACTTTTTCTTCTATGTAGAAGGTTTCCTGAATTCTGAGCCATATTTTCTGATGGTACTCATCCTGCTCTTAGCATTGAAAATCTCAGGTATCTCGTAAGAGAGGGCCTTGTGGACACAAATGCTGACCCACCTGCATGAGATGGGCTGACATGAGGAATTTATGTCACTTCTGAAAATACAGATGAACCTGGAAGACCTTATACTAAGAGGATTAAGCCAGGTACAAAAAGAAAAAACACTGCATGACCTCCCTTCTCTGTGGAACCTAAAACAATCAAAACACATAGGAGCAGAGAACAGAATAGTGGTTACCAGGGGCTGGAGCGTCGGGGAATAGGAAGATGCTGGTCAAGGATGCAATGTTTCAGTGAGAGGCGAAAGGATGTTTCAGTGAGGCAAAAGGAGAAAATACACATTTGAAGTGATAGATATGTTAGTGAACTTAATTCAAGCATTCCACATGGCATACACATGTCATGACATCACTTTGTATCTCGTAATATATATAATTATAAATATAATCTCATAAATATATACAATTATAATTTGTTAATATCCAATAAAAATAAATTAACAAATAAAAAGCTAGCTATGTGGTTGTCCAGGTCCTAAGGAAGTGAGGACACCCGTTGTGGCCAGGCTGAAGTCCTGACACTGGCAGGCCCCAGCCTGAAGAGCCACGGTGTTATCTGGGGAAGGAGCCCCAGGGCCCAGCACAGACTGCAGCACCTCAGTGCACAAGGAACCGCCTGATATGCCGGAGGTCAGCCAGATGCTCTGCTGTTGCAGTTCCAAAGTAAAACAGATGGGGGTGGGGGCTGCAAGCCTGCAGTGGCAGAGGCCAGCCCTCAAGGAATTTTGACAAATCCATCACTCAAACGGCACTGAGGTGCTTGATCATAAAGGTGAGATGTATCACTATAGAGGGACATGAGTATTTATTATTTAGATGGATAAAGACAAGCCTGGAAAGAGCAAAAGCATCTTAATTTTGGTCTTGCCTGAGTGCAGAAGTTCAGGTCTCCCCAGGGAGGCTTCAGCTGGGTGGCTTGTTTGAACTTCCACAAAACTGCACATTTCACGTTGGAAAGCAAGGGGTGAAAATAAACAAAGAGGTGAGTTTAGAAAGTTCTTGTTGTTGGGCGCGGTGGCTCATGCCTGTAATCCCAACACTTTGGGAGGCCGAGGCAAGCAGATCGCAAGGTCAGGAGTTCGAGACCAGCCTGGACAATACAGTGAAACCCCATCTCTACCACAAATAAAAAAAAAATTTAGCCAGGCATGGTGGCGTGCATCTGTAATCCCAGCTACTCCAGAGGCTGAGGCAGAAGAATTGCTTAAACCCGGGAGGTGGAGGTTGCAATGAGCCAAGATCACACCACTGCACTCCAGCCTGGGTGACAGAGAAAGACTGTGTCTTGGAAAAAAAAAAAAAAGAGAAAGAAAGAAAAGAAAGAAAGAGAGAGAGAGAAAAGGAAGGAAGGAAGAGAGAGAGAGAGGAAGGAAGGAAAGAAAGAGAAAGAAAGAAAGGAAAGAAAGAAAGAAAGAAAGAAAGAAAGAGAAAGAAAGAAAGAAAGAAAGAAAGAAAGAAAGAAAGAAAGAAAGAAAGAAAGAAAGAAAGAAAGAAAGAAAAGAAAGAAGGAAAGAAAGAAAGAAAGGAGAAAGAAGAAAGTTCTTGTCACCTATATACATGGTGACTGATCAGGAAAGAGGGGAGAAGAGGGTCTGTTTTCTATGGAGCTGCAGCTGTGTCACTGCAGTAGGGCAGCCTCCGAAACCCCTGCTGGAAGCCAAGACTCTGCACTGGCAGTCCTTGGGCCCCCACTCAGCTCTCTTGGCCCCACTGTCCTTGTGTGTAGAATGGGAATAGAAATTCTAGTACTTAAAGTGGTCATTGTACAAAATAAAAGAAACAGTTTAAGTAAAGTGCCTGTTACATTGTAAACATACAATAAATGCTAGTTATTCTTTTCACTCCTTTGATCTACTAATATTTTTTTACTTGATGGATATATTTCCTTCCAACACAATACTTATCTTGTCTATATTTTTATAGTCATGGTTTATTTACAGAGATGTTTCTTATAATCAGAAAAGAGGCATGCAGTATTCTTAAGTTTATCTCTCCTCGTTCTTAGGGCTTCTTGGAGACAGAGTTGCATTGAGACCTGAGCAGGAATTTTTTACCTTCATAAGCACATGGGTGATCACCTCCCTGGACCCACTGTGGACTAAGGCTAGCTGGGTCATGGCACACCAGAGGGTGTCACTGAAGCAGGGAAGACGAGCTAAGGTAAAATGTTTCATTACTATTAGAGATACAGGGAAAGAATCCACAATTTATAAATAGAAAAGAAATATGGGTATGCTGGCAGGTGTACCTTATTGTATACTGTCTTGATTAGTTTCTGGAAACCTTTTCAGATGTCTTATGTTAATTGTAAGGGCTCATGCCAAAGTACTCAAATCTTATTTTCTCCTTCCCTGCCACATATCTCTCTAGGCTATTTCTCTGACATAGATCTTTGTAGACAATGCAAACTCTTCAATGTGTCTATTAGCAAAGTCTTCAAAGGCCACCATTTCTTCTTTTTTTTTCTTTTCGTGGCTTGTACCCTTCAGCATGCTGAGCTTTTGATGTCAGGTATCAATTTTTAACTTTTAATTTTGTCTCCACAAAGTCATGTAAAGAGAAATACAAAGGTTAAAATAATACTTCTCATAAGCATACAGCTACAGATTTCATGGCTAAAAATGGAAAATTAATAGTACCTTTCTCTTTTAACTCTTAAAGTGATAACCACTTCTTGACTTCTGCCTTTCAATGAGGTCCTTTGGGAAGAGGGTTTGGCTGCAGTTGTACAGATTCAGCTTCTAGGACAGGAGTCCTTCTTCCCTGGGACATAATAGTGCTAAATAGAAAACACCCCTTTTTAATGTAATGCTTATTTATTTATTTATTTATTTATTTATTTATTTACTGAGACAGGGTCTCACTCTGTCACCCAGGCTGGAAGCGCGGTCGCACCATCTTGGTTCACTGCAGCCTCGACCTCCTGGGCTCAAGCCTCCCAAGTAGCCTGGACTACAGCACGCACCACCATGCCTGGCTAACTTTTTGTATTTTTGTTGATATGGGGTTTTGCCATATTGCCCAGGCTGGTTTTGAACTCCTGAGTTCAAGCCATCTTCCCACCTCAGCCTCCCAAAGTGCTGGGATTACAGGTGTGAGCTACCGTGGCTGACCAATGCTTTTGGATGAATGTCTAACATCTGTTTTTCATCCGTTAAAGATTTCAAATGATTGGTGGGACCTCCTAGTGCCATCAGGGAGAGGTTAGAGAGGTGGGTAAGGAATTTATCCTGGTTGGTTTTTTTGTAGCTAGTCCGTCAAAGGTTCTCAGATTGGATAATGAAGGGGCCAGAGGAAAGCCTCCCTGCTCTTGCTTCTGAATCGCCATGTCTTTCTAGAGGTCTTGGGATTCCATGTAGGAGTAGGCTCTGGGACCACAGAGGATGGAGAGGAGAGAGGGGAGGGGTTGAGGAGAAAGATAGGAAATGCAAGTGCCAAGGTGGAAGGGCCCCAGGGCTTTTCAGAGTGGAGGCGCTTTAATTGTCAGGCACCTAGGTCTCATATAGGAAAGCCCTCCAACTCCCTCCATTGTCAGTAAAGCCTGTGACACACACAGATGTTTTGTGAGTGAGTGAGTGTGTATATGTGTGTGTGAATCAGATGACAAGAGCCTGATTTTACATTTAAGTCAGAAGAGAGAGACAAGAGCAAGTGAGATTTGGAAAAGAGAAACCCAGCCCTGAAGTGGACTGTAAGGAAGTAAATTCCCAGGGTGTGCAGAAATTTCAGAGCTGACGGGAGATAGGGGGCTGGAGGCAACATCTGGGGTGCACCCAAACAACCTTGGAGAATGCTGGGATGAAGGTGACCAGTGAGTAAAAGGCAGAACTGGGCTCTTAGCCCATATCTGTTGGACTTAGGTTATGAATATAAATATAATAATCATGATAATGACCATCATTAATATGGTTAAACCTGGACTTGTAATCTTCAGAACAGCTCTAGGACATGGCTCTAAGATGACTCTCACTTCAGACACGAACGCAAACACTCTGAGAGCTTAAGAAACCTGCAGAAACCGAGCAGTGAATAAGAACCTGAGCTGGGATTCAAACCTGGATCCATCTGATCCCAGAGTTCTTGAGTTCTTGCTTTTTTTTTTTTTTTTTTTTGAAACAAGATCTTGGTCTCTCACCCATGCTGGAGTGCAGTGGTGTGATCAGAGCTCACTGCACCCTCAACCTCCTGGACTCAAATGATCCTCCCGCCTCAGCCTCCCAAGTAGCTGGGTACTACAGGCGCACACCACCATGTCCAGCTTTTTTTTTATATATTTTTTATATTTTTTTATAGAGACAGGGTCTCTCTATGTTGCTCAGGTTGGTCTCAAACTCCTGCCCTCAAGTGATCCTCCAGCCTCAGCCTCCCAAAGTGCTGAAATTGTACACATGAGCCACTACGCCCAGCTTCTTGCTTCTTCTTAACCTCTTGCTTTACCTGAATGCAGATTAAAAGCTCTGTGTTGGGTTAAGTGGATAAGGATAAGCGAAAAGTCTCCTGTATACCTTGTTAACATTGTGCATTTTATTAATACTGTCTAATGGGCAGGTTGGCTGCCACCATCAGATGTTAAATAAATAAGTACAAACAGCATCCTGATATAAACATCATCTGCCAGCTTTGACAGTTGCTCTGAAATTGCTCTCAGAGTGCTTGGAGATGGTAGAAGACACAAGAAAATCAGCAGAAAGCTTTCCGGATTGAGCCTTTGATCTCAGCAGGGCTCAGATCAAGGTCCACCACGCGTACAACGCCTTGGTTTAACCAGCGCCTGAAGGATTAACACAGAACAAAAGCTCAAAGCACACTACCTGCGTAATTTCTAAATGAACACATTTGCTGCTGTCTCTGTATGTTGCAGGGTTTACACTGAGGTTCATTACTTCTCTGCCTTACTATAGACGGAATATTTATGCATTTTTCAGCACAGGCTACTTCTCCTCTTGCATAATAATTCAGTAGAAAAACGGGGCAGAGGAAAAAAAACGAGAAAAAAAATCTGGTTAGTTTTTATGTTTTGTTTTGAATAGATTTTTAAGAATTAGCAAATTTAGCAGCTGGACCTAGAGGAGAAGGTGGGCCCTTTCGGGTCAGAAGGCCTGCATTTGAGCAGTTCAGTGTTCAGGTAACCCCGAGCATATTTTCCACCAGTCCCAGTTTCCTGATCTCTGGATTTCCAGCCCAGCACTCTTGTTGCTACCACTTACTGCACAGATCTCTGCATAACTATGTGAGCAGACACTTAGCGAGCAGGGCCATGTGCTTGTGATAAGAGACTAATCAGGTAGAACCAACACCATTGCAAGAGGTTTCCAAGGGGAGAGACCTCTGTGGGCTGGTGGAGACACCTGTGAGGGCAGGAGCTCCAGACAGCCTTTCTTTGCAGGTCCTCTGCCCCACTCACAAATCTGTGTCCCTTGCAGTCTTGTACCTTCCCAACTGAAGGAACTGCCATTCTCAATGACTCAAACCAAACAGTGGGAGACTGGTCAATGCACAGGCCTCAGGTTTCTCCTCCCAGCCAGCAGGGGGAAGCAGCTGGACCGTACATGAGGCCTCTCACCTCGGCCATGACCTCGCACTGGTGACTAGGGGTCAGCCCATTGTGGGAGTATTTACACCATGGAAATCGGCAAACCCTAACACTAAGGGCTTTGTTTATTCCAGAGAGCTGGCTTACTGGCACACCACTTATGTACCCCAAATTGCTTTACCTCTCTCCATCCCCACTGAGACAGGAGTAATACAGGGTGGTCAGGTGGTCACCGGAGACTAGAAACTTCCAGGCAGCAGTGTCGCATGATTAGCAAAAGGAAACTGCTGAAATAGCTGCAGAAGAGAGGGGCCAATGGGACCCTGAACAACAGGATGTGGGCCACGCTGGCTAAGACCACTGGACCCAGCGTGGCACTGGATTTGACCTAGGTTTCACCTAGGACCTCATTATATGCTCATTAACATTCTGAGTCACACACCCATCAGTGCCAGGACAATTCTGGGAACACACATGTTTGGTGTAAAAACGGGTGGCAACACAGTTTTGAGAAACCTTTACATTTTTCTAGGAATTTTCATGAATATTCCACCCCCCGTTAGAGAAACCCATAAAGATGGAAGTCCCAAGTTGCCTCGGGTGTGACTCTCTTGAGTATTCCTGAACTCCCGTCTTGAGTGCAAGCTTTTCTCTTCACAATAAATCTCTGTAGTTTTTTCCAACTCATCCTTGAATTCCTTCACATGACAGCATCAAGAGCCTTGACACCGGCCGGGGTCGAGGTCTCACTGGCATTTGGAGACCTCCCCTAGCCCGCTGGTATCACCACCGCAACCATCTGAGTCCAGCCTGCCATCAGCCCTCACCAGGATAACTGCACTAGTTAGCTTCCCCCACTCCTGCCCCTTCTAGTTCACTCCACTACAGCTGAAGAGGAGTCTTAAACCTAAAATGGGCCATAGGTCACATCCGTACTTAGCTTCTTATCAAACTTAGAAGAAAATCCCAAACCCCCACCTGTCCTGCAGGACTCTGCATGATTCAGTTCTGTTCACCTCTTCCCCTTCTCCCCTAGGATCCCCGGGAGGAACCGCACTGACTTCTACTCCGTGCTGGACCATCCCATTTCCTCCCAACCTCAGGACCCTTGTCCTCATCCTCTCTCTGCCTGGCTTAAATGCAACCTCCTCACAGAGATCTTTCTGGACCAGCATTCTGAGTAAATGACCTCCCATGTCAGCACCAGTTCATCTCTATTAGTCATGATTTGGGCTTATTTATAGCCCTTGTGCATTTTATAACTCTACTTGTTCATTATTGTCTTATAGTGTGTTCTCTCTCAACAAACTGTAATCTCCCAAAGGACAGGATCCATCTGTTTTGTTCACCCAGATGTCACCAATGCCTGGTACCTAATACACTCTCAATTGGTATTTGTTAAATAATCAGGGGATAAATAAGCATGCTTGTTTTCAGAGCAGATTTAAGAGAATAAGAGCTCTGAACTTAGGGTCTAAAGTGAGGCTTCAGGAAAGTAGAACCCCTTTGAAATCATGTGGAAAATATCTTGTCTGTGGATCTTTCCTTTTCAGTCCTTTCAAACTGTTGTGCTCCGAAATCAGCCACCTATAGTAAAAACTGCGTGGGGGCTCGTGTTGTTTGGACAGCAGTTACATTGGAATCAGCCTCCACATGGCTCTTCACTGCCTCGTTGACGCTCTACTCAGTCATGGGCGCAGCAACAATCAACAACGCTCCAACAAGGACCCTTCACCATTGTTTTCATAACTGTTCTTTGTAAGTCAGTGAGTTCTTTAGTCCTGGTCAGATGTCTCCTGGCACCTACAACTCTGAAGACAGTGTGCAGAGGCGCACAGGACAAATGTGCTTCTGAAGAAACAGTTCAGGGTATGCACATTCCCTGAGGATGTGAGCTCCTATTGTATTCAGCAGAGCCAGAGAGATCTGATGTTATTCAGTCTTTTCAGGCCTGCGGCCCCCCAGGCCTTATGGGATGTGGGATGGGGATCCTGATGGCCCAGGGGATGACTTAGAGTCCAAGAGAACACTGCATAGAGAAGCAGCTGCTGGCTGGTCCCCTTCATGGACTGCTCTGCCTCTTAGATCGATGCTTAATGCCCATATTGATTGCAATTGGTTTACTGACTGAAATCAGCAGTTCCAGAAGATGTGGTAAACATTCCCAAATGAAGAGGAAGAGGAACCAATCTGTGCAGAGGCGCGCACACGCGCGCACACACACACACACACACACACACACACACAAGGTTTTCTCTGAAATCATAAAATGTTTATCACAATAGCAGATAATGGAGTAGCATTATCTTCAGAACACAAAGGTACCAGTTAAATCTGTTGGGCAAAATGTCCCCCACCGCTAGGGACACACACAGAAGCTCAGAGCCAAATCTCCTCTGTTGTTTTGATTTCCTACCTCTGTGATTACAGAAACTGCAAAGTCTTGACTGGGGGTGGCAGAGAGAGCTCATCTATTAAAAAGTACTTTTTAAAAAATCAGAAAAATAGAGAACAGAACCCAGGAGGGACTAATTATAATGCATCTCCAGACATGGGTGGAAGAAGAGAGAAAGCATTTTGCCAAACCAACAGATCTCCCGACATGTAGACCTCTGAGGTCCAGCTATGATTCCCTGTGAACAGGCAAAATCGAGATGCTTTTCTAGAAAACATCATGCCACATCACAGGTCAGTTCTTCCCAGCAGAAAATAGATTTTCACAATAATTTAATTTTAATATTTCCTTGTGTAAACTGGATATTCTGAGACTCAACCCTGTATTTTTGAATACTTGATGGGTATGAAGGGAGACATGCTGCTATTTTTAAGCTTGCAGAAATTTTTGAGTTTGTCCTTAGGAGGAATATCAGTCCTTTATTTCAGAAAAAAAAATTAACCAAAAAAAAAATCACAAAGCACTTCAATGAGCCTTTTGATTTGGCAAAGAGGAATCCCAAACCCTGCGGAGGAATGAAGAGATTCTGATCAGTGAGAAGTGAAATCATGCTGCACGATCATCTGAAGAGCTGTCAGCTCTTTGGACAGAATTCACCTGGAGTTGGTGGTGTGTCTCGGGAGCTGGGCTTGGTATTTGAGTTTGTGTGTATCGGGCTCGGGCTGCAGAGGTCTTTCTGTTGTTTCCCAAAGATTTAAGGTGGTCAGACCCATAGTAGGAGTTAGGATTCAAGATGCTTCTGTTGATGGCAGGTGGGACGTGGGATACAGTCCTGGAGAGTCGGTGTAGAAACCTGGTGTCCGGTTGAGGGTTTAGGAGAAGCACGTCTCGTGAAGACCGACTTCTATGATGGAACTTGGCTTAAAATCATAGCCTTCCTTCAACTTCTTCCTGTCCCTCCCACCTTTCCATGAAGTTGTGATAAATACCAAAATAGCATGATTTTAATCCTATTTTGAGAAACTAGGAGAGGCACTTAATCCACATTTAGGATAAATAAATACAAGGATGCTACACACCTACTAGAGTGCCCAAAACCCAGGACACCGATGACACCAAATGCTGGCAAAGAAGTGGAGCAACAGGAACTCCCATTCACTGCTGGTAGGAATGCAAAAGAGTTAAGCTCCTTTGGAAGACATTTTTGCAATTTCTTACAAAGCTCAACACACAATAGTCTTCTTTGTCCACAGTTTCACTTTCTGCTGTTTCCGTCAACCATGGTGTGAAAAAAAAACTGGAAAATTCCCCAAATAAACAATTCATAAGTTTTAAATTGCATCCCATTCTTCATAGCATGATGAAATCTCTGGCTGTCCTGCTCTGTCCCACCTGGGATGTGAACCATCCCTTGTCCGGGGTCTCCACACTGCCTATGCTGCTTGCCCCTCGGCTACTCAGTGGCTGTCTCGGTAATCAGATTGACTGTCACAGCCTCACAGTGCTAGTGTTCAAGTAACCCTTATTTTACTTAATAGTGGGCCCAAAGGGCGAGATTATTGATGCTGGCAATTCAGATATGCCAAAGAGAAGCCATAAAGTGCTTTAAGTGAAAACAGGAAAGCTCTAGACTTAATAAGGAAAGAAAAAATATGGTATGCTGAGGTTGCTAAGACCTACAGTAAAAACGAATCTTCTATCCACAGAATTGTCAAAAAGGAAAAAGAAATTCATGCAGTTTTAGTCATCTACTGTGGGTCTTGGGACTTGTCCCCGTGGGATAAGGGAGTACTGTGGTCTTACCATACAATCCAGCAACCTCAATCTTTGGTAATGACCTAAATGAGATAAAAATGTATGGCCACGCAAAAACCTGCATATGGATGTTCATGACATCTTCATTCATTATTGACAGAACTCGGAAGCGACAGTGATGTTCTTCAGTTCGTGAATGGATAAACAAACAGTGATGCATTCAGACAATGGAGTTAGTGTTTGGAAGAAACTTTTTTTTTTTTTTTTTTTTTTGAGATGGAGTCTCACTCTGTCACCCAGGCTGGAGTGCAGTGGCACGATCTTGGCTCACTGCAACTTCCACCTCCCAGGTTCAAGCAATTCTCCTGCCTCAGCCTCCCAAGTAGCTGGGACTACAGGCACGTGCCACCATGCCTGACAAATTTTTGTGTTTTTAATAGAGACGGGGTTTCACCATGTTGGCCAGGCTCGTCCCAAACTCCTAAATTCAGGTGATCCGTCCGCCTCGGCCTCCCAAAGTGCCGGGATTACAGGCGTGAGCCACTGCAGCCAGCCTTGGAAGAAATTTAAATGCATGTTACTAAGCAAGAGAAGCCAACCAAAAATGCTACATACTGTATTACTTCAAATATGTGGCATTCTGGAAAAGGCAAAACTTTTTGGAGACAGAAAAAGGATCAGCGGTTGCCAGGGTTTAGAGGGAGGGCAGGATGCATAGGTGGCACACTGAGGATATTTAGGGCAGTGAAACTGTTCTGCATGACACGGTAATGGTGGATGCATTCCATTATACATTTGTCAAGACCTATAGAAGGTCTACCACCAAGAGTAAGCCCTACGTAGACTATGGACTTTGGGTGATAATGACCTGTCAATGTAGGATTAGCAATAGTAACAAATGCACTGCTTTGGTGAAGGACACTGATAATGGAGGAGGCTGTGCACATGTGGGAACAGGGTATATATGTGGGGAATCTCTGTATCTTCCACTCAATATTGTTATGAGTCTAAAACTGCTCTAAGAAACAGTCTATTCTTTAAGAAATAGGAGAAAAGAGGAGAAGAAAGAGGGGGCGGGGGAAACAGGGAGATCTGTAGGCTCCTGCGGAAGGTCATTGCAAAATACTGGTGATTCCAGGGAAGGTTGGAACAGCCTCTTTCTGAGAAAAAATGAGTGTGGCAGATGTCAGCAGATACAATCATCCTCTGCCGCCTGCTGCTCTTCCTTTATTCTTGGGTCTCTGAGCTTCTCTTTCTTGTCTGAACCCCTTTGCACACAAGGATTAGCCAATCAGAATGCTTTCTCCCACTGGCAACAGTGAAGACTCCATCCTGGAGAATCAGAACCTTCTCTAGGATTTTTGTTGAACTTTCAACTGTTGGTTGAAATGGTTGCCGTGGAGATGGTCTCAGCCTAGAGCGGCTGCTGTTCAGCTTTGGCCCCTGAAGGGAGAACACATCTGAGGATGAAGAATGGTTGAGGCATTTGTTCCTCTGGTTTTCTCTCTGCTCCAGTGCAGTAGGTTGGCCTTGCCCTTCTTCTGAAGCCCCCGTTTCCATCGGGTGGCTGGTTTCATGCAGCTGTGGCTCCTCACAGATTCCCTCTCTCAGTTGCCATAACTGCTACCCTCCTTGCTCCTACAGGCACTGGGGCAGAAGTGGTTCCTCCATTATTAGCAGCCCAGGGTTCTTTCAACCTGCCTACATCTGGAAAATACCTCCTTATCAAACTCTTCATCACCAGTGTCAGTTCATGGTCAGTTTCTTTCCTGAGCCCTGACCCACACCCAGGGAAAGGCCAACCTTCCGTGGCCAAGATGAAGCCTCTTCCACTGTCAGCTGGGCACTTCTAGGGGCTGTGAGCGCTGAAGAATGGAGAGATTCAGGCCATGTGTGTGGCTCTACCTCCTGAGAAACAGGCGTTATCAGGCCTGGGCTTTGCTCACAGCACCTGCCGGCTCCTGGGAAGAAGCCACATCTGCCTCGAACTGCCCTGACTGCCTTTGTTACGATACCTACCCGTGGCTTGCTTGTGCCAACTCTGAAAACACAGGGCTGCCTGAGGGAGCTCTCGTGTTAGCAAGCAGCAGCTCGTGGGTAAGGAAAGCCCCTTCATTTATTAACATTAAAGTGATTGCAAACTCGTAGGTGAGATACTTATGCATTGGGCTCTGTCTGGATAATTCACCTGTATTAACTCAGCCGATCCTCTTAACTCCATAAGGAAGGAATCCTTATTGTCCCCATCTTAAAGACCTCCGAAACGAAACCAGAGATACTGAATGATTTGCCTGGGATGACTCCGCTACCACTTGGCACAGCCACGGTGCAAACCCAGTTGGGCTGGCACTGAACACCCAGACTGTAGATCCCTCCTGCCTGACTCAAGAGCCTCTGTCTATATGGAAGCAATCAACTTAAGGTGCTGGCAGCTGATAAAGACTTGATCTCTAACTTCTCTCAGATATCTACATCTAACTTAGTTTGGGACAAGGGATAGCTTGCTGGGGTCAGCAAACTATGGCTTGTGGGCCAAATTGGGTCTATTGCCTGATTTTTACAAATAATTTATTGAAGTGAAATTCATATAACATTAACCATCCTAAAGCCAGCAATTCAGTGGCACTTAGTACATTCCCAGTGTACCCCTCTATCTAGTTCCAGGCACTTCCAACACTCCAAATAAAACTCTCTTATGGACTCAATGCTCATGTTCCTGTGAAATTCATACACTGAACCTTCATCTTCAGTGTGATGGTGTTAGGAGGTGGGGCCTTTGGGAGGTGATTCAGTCATGGGGGTGGGGCCCTCTGAATGGAATGGGTGCCTTTATGAGGGGCTGCAGAGGCTGGAGTTCTCCCCTTCCCCCATGCAAGGACACATGCAACATCATCCATGAGCCAGAAAGTGGGGCCTCCAGACACTGAATCTGCCGGTGCCTTGATCTTGGACTTGGCAGACTCCAGAACTGTGAGAAATAAACTCCCGTTGTTTACAAGCCACACAGGTTATAGTGTTTTGTTATAGCAGCCCAAAGGGACAAAGACAGACCCTTCAACCCTTCTGCAGCCCCTCCCCATCCTACGGCCTGACTTGTAAATAATGTTGTCTTGGAAAACAGCCGCACCCATTTGTTCATTGATTGTCTATGGCTGCTTTTGTGCTACGGTGGCAGAGTTGAGTAGTTGAGTAGATACAAGAGAGACCTGTGGTGATATTAGGTTATCTATAGATATATAAAACATATATGATAACTATATATACATATGTGTGTGTGTGTGTACGTATATATATGTATACATCGAGAGAGAGAGGTTTTCATTCATGGCTCATAACTCCCATAGCCTTTCTTACTACCTTGTGTGCTTTAGGCCTCAGGAACAGGCCTAGAAACAGAATCTGTCTCTCTGATCTTCCCCTTCCCTCCTTTCACTTGCTTCCTTTTCTCCCCAAAGCAGGAATCTTCCCCTGCCTCTCTGGGAACTAGCAACAAAAATATTTTCTGACCTATTTTGTCTAATTACAGGTCACAAGAGGCCCATTTCAGAATGGGTTCTGTCCCACACTCTGGAGGAAGGAATGCTGTATGAGGAGGCCTAGAAGAATCTGAACAGACAGGCTTTACTGGAGTTCCCCACTCGGCCCGTTAGTATTAGACCAGATCTTTTTGTCCAGTCACATTTCTACGTGGTTGCCTATCAAAGAAGTCTCTATAAAAAGTCCAAGAGAACAGGGTTTGGGGAGCTTCCAGGAGGCAGGAAGGTGAACAAGAATTCATCCACATGCCAGACAGCTGGTGCATCCCAAATCCATGGAGACAGAAGCTCCTGCACTCAGACCCTTCCAGACCTCACCCTACATGTTTCTTCATCTGGCTGTGTATTTGTATCCTTTGAAATATCCTTTGTAATAAACTGTTAAACATAAGTTCTGTGAGTCACTCTAGCAAATTCACTAAGCCCAAGGAAGGGCTTTTGGGAACTCCAATTTACAGCCCCTCGGGCAGAAGCCCTGGTAAAACAACCCGGGGCTTGTGATTGGCACTGAAATTGGGTGGGAAGCAGTCTCGGGGACTCAGCCCTCAACCTGCGGGACCTGGTGCTATCTCCACGGAATTGCATTAGAGGACACCCAGCTTGGGCCTGCTGCAGAACTGATTGCTTGCTTTGTGTGTATGGGAAACCCCTCCCTGCCACATTTGATCACAGAGGTCTTCTGTGTTGATTGTTGTGAGTGACAGAATAGAAAAAGCACTTTCATTGAGTTCTTGTGTTCCACTCAGACCTGCCAAGCTGAAAATATTTACAGTCTGGTGCTTTATAAAAACGCGTAATGAGTTAGAGCACCAGCTTAGATATGGGTTGGAGTCCTGGCTCCTTACTGCGCCAAATGACCTTGAGTGGGTTCCCTCGCCTTTCTGTGCCTCCCTATCCTCCAATGTAAAGTAGGAGCAAATCAGTGCCCTGCCTGCAAAGCACTTAGCATGGTGCCCAGGCGTGGCAGGCACTCAATCAATGACAGTCAATGCTATTATCTTGACCGACACGACCTTATTTGATCTTCCAAACTACCCAGTAAAGCATTATCCCCATTATCTCCATTTCTCTGATGAAGGCAGTTGGCTTAGAATAAATCAGAACTTGCGCAGGTTAAAAGTGAGTGACTGGCACAGCCATGGCAAGGGGCCTTGGACTGATTTTCTTCATTTTCTTGCTGTCTACACCCACTGGGCAAGCAGCAGCGTGAAAGAAAATGAAGTCCACCAACCCAAAACCAGCGAGTCTGAACCCTGCGTGCCGGGCTCCTCAGTGAGAATGTGCAATGCAAACCCAGCGAGTCTTTACCCTGCGTGCCGGGCTCCACGGTGAGTATGTGCATTGCAGTCGAGTATGTCTTTTATCTTGTTTCCAAAATTCCATAGATTTCACTTAGAGAGTGTCTGCCTTGGAGAAACCCTGGCCTCCCCAGGGTGGGGAAGATGGAGGGAAACAATATGCTTTCATTTCACCAATGCCCTGGTCTCCACAGCTGCTCCTTCCTTTGTGCCATAGTTGCAAATTAAAGATGAGCCCACTAGAAAAATGCTCCTTCTCTAGGCTGGGTCTGTGCTGAGCTGGCTCTCTCACCCTGTTGGAGGACTTCAAAGCCGCTCTTAAGCAAATCCTTCAAATCCTCTCCCATTTCCTTGCTGTCTTCACAGGGCAAGTACTCAAGTGCTCTGGGGTGATTCTGGCACTTTCTGAAGTTCAGGGGAAAATGAGTTCAGCTGGCTCCACAGGTAGTTACTACAGGAGGCAGCACCAGACCTCCCCTTGCATGGGCACGCAGGCAGGAATTGCTGGGAACTGGCCGGTTGATATATGACAATGTTTATTTTCCTCATATTTGAAGTTTGGTCAGGGCTGGAGGAGACATAGCAGAATTTACCCTAAGAAAGAAGCAAACCAGCAAAATTCAGTTCTGCTTCCACCCTTTCCTAGGGGTATTTGCACACAGGAAAACAGGAACTGTAAGACTTTGAAAAGTTTGCCTAAAACCAGAGGTGCTGAGTTTTGGTTTAAACTCAGTGAGCTTCTTACTTAGCAAGTGATTTCTCATCCTTCCAGACACATGCCCCCTTCAGCTTTCTCTCAGGAGCCACACTGACAAGTGGCTGGCCGGCTCACTCCTGGAGGTGATTTAAGTGTTTTAGTCACTCGAGTTATAAAAACTGTAATTTTTATTATGTGACTAAGAAAAGCACAAAGCCTTCATGTTACTCTAAGTTTCCCTCTGAAGACCCCAGTAGGGGTGCTGGTGACACGATTTGTTTTTTCCCCAGCACCAGGTGGGCAGGCAGAGGCACACACAGAATCACAAATCACTATTTGCATCTCACATACAAGGAGGAGAAGCTAAAGCAGTGTGTTTTCTGTGATGAAAAGAAACATGGGGGCTTTGGTTTTGGGGATGATAGGGATGGAGCAGAGCAGCTGGTAGGCCTGAGAGAGGGACAGTCTCCGTGTTCCTGTGGCTACCGTGACAAAGGGCCACAAGGCCGATGGCTTAACAACAACAGAAATCCATGGC
Organism: Homo sapiens; assembly: GCF_000001405.40. Taxonomy (NCBI): domain Eukaryota; kingdom Metazoa; phylum Chordata; class Mammalia; order Primates; family Hominidae; genus Homo; species Homo sapiens. The sequence continues at coordinate 60,330,231 of NC_000020.11, read as the reverse complement.
CTTGCAGTTCTGGGGGCCAGGAATCTGAAACCAGGGTTGGTTCCTTCTGGGGGCTTTGAGGGAATATCCCTTCCATGGCTCGTTCCTGGGTGCTGGTGGCTGCCAGCAAACCTTGGCATTCCTTGACCTGTAGAAATATCACTCCAATCTGCCTCCATGTTCACATGGCTTTCTTCTCTGTCAGCGCCTCTAAACGTCCCCTCCTTTCTCTTATAAGGACAGCAAAGAGACCTAAAGCCCTAAAGAGATTACGTCTCACTCTAAATCCAGGATGATCTCATCTGGAGGCCCTTGATGGCATCTTCAAAGGTCCTATTTCCAAAACAAGGTCACGTTCAGGATTACCAGGGATTAGGACTCAAGACATATTTGGGGGGACAATATTCATGGCACTGTAGCAGCCAGAGGGACCTATTCACCCCAATGCTAGTGCACACTAGTTCACTTTTCTAACCTCACAAGGCAAAAAGGCTATGCTCTTGAAGAAACGTAGGGACAAAAGTGCTTCCTATGGAAGATCTAAGGACCTGGGCTGGGGGACCCAGACTGAATCCTTCCTGCTCTGCTGCTTTCTGGCTGTGGGACCTTGGGCTGGTCACCCACCCATCTGCTGGTTTGTGTAGTTCAGAAAATAATAGAAACTAGCCAGTGAGTTTTTCAAGAGACTAAGGAACCCATGATGGTGTCTGCCAGAGAATATGCTCAGTAAAGGCTGACGATTCTTGTTTTCTGGGTCATAAGGAAGGCAATGATGGTGCAGTCTATGAAAATGATGATGAGGTGATCTCTCAAACTGTTCTGTTTATAAGCAGGTGAGCTCTTTGATTTTTGTTTCTGATCCGAGTTAATCATTTATTCATGAGCATTTGAAAATTAGACACAGGCTAATTGAAAGCTCATCAGAAGATTAGGTTCTATACTTCCCATTAATTACCAGAAGGCTGGGAGGTATTTTTACAGACTGTGGAAAGTGGAAATGGATCACATTGGCTCTGAGGAAGTGGGCCAAGGAATAAACAAGTTTAACCACCTGGGGTCTGGGTCTTTTGGCCTCCCTCTGCAGGAGTTTCCTCTTAAAAGCTGCCTCCTTGTTACTCTTTCTCCTCCCTCATGTCCAGGGATGATGATCAACATATTTTTAAATGGGCATTCTGCATGGAGTAGGTTTGCCTGATACAATGTAAAAAAGCCCAGTGAAAATTGAACGTCAGATAAACAAAATTTTTAGCATAAGTATATCCCAAATATCACATGGGCATAATTATACTTTAAATCATTGTTCATATGAAATTCAAATTTAACTGGATGTCTTGTAGTTTTCCTTGCTACATCTGGCAACCCCAGAATAAGGGTTGAGCTGGAAACCACCACTGCATTCCTGCTGAGGACTGGCCTTGCCAGGATCCTAAAAGAAAGTGGCGGATTGTTTTTCTGAAGACGGATGCCTCAGGCTCTCCCATCCTGCAGGCTCTTCTCAGTCCATGCCACTCCTTCATTAGGAGATGAAATCTAATATTCCTCACTGTGAATTAGGGAGGTGGAGGGGATGGGATGGTAACTTTCTTAAAACCAACAGATTGTGGCAGAAATGCTGTGGTGTGACCTCTGAGGCAATGCGGATTCCACCTCTGTGGCTGGAGGCCTTTGGAGCCCTCAGCCATGGCACCGGAAGCTCCACTTCCCAGAAGTGGCCATATTGTGAGGACACCAAGGCCAGGTGGAAAGGCTGGCTGTAGCTGTCCCAGCTGCGAGCCAGAAATTCCCATCAAGGTCCCAGGCAATAGCCAGCATCCACTACCAGACACACAGACAAGGTAACTTCAGACGTCTCCAGCCCCCAGCCATGGAGCCACCCCCATGTGTGAATCTTCCTAGCTGAGGCCTCAGATCTCATGGAGAAGAAACACAGTGTCCCTGCCACACTCTGGCTGAATTCTTGACCCAGAGATTCTGTGCACATAACAAAACAGTTGTTTTATGACACTAGATTTGCAGGTGGTGTGTGACACAGCAGAACCAAGGGTCAATTGTGCCTCCAGCCACATCCTGTTTGGTACCAGATCTTGCAAATTCCCCATGAGTAATAAGCCTTTGTTCTGCACTGGTGTATAGAAGATGGAATAATGGCTCCAAAGATACCTAGAGCCTAACAACCACATCTTGTGGCTATGTCACTATACATGAAACAGAGGGCTTAGGGTTACAGGAGGGTTTCCATTTGTTAAGCTGATTTTGGAGATGAGGAGCATATCCTGGACTGTCTAGGGGCGTCCAGTGTGGTCACGGGTCCTTATAAGTGGAAGACAGCAGCAGCAGGTCTCTTCCCAGGGTTGCGGGCTTTAGGAATGGAGGGTGGGGCTGTGACCCAAGGAAAGTGGGCAGCCCCTCAGAGCCAGAGACGCCAGGAAACGGATTCTCCTTCAGGGCCTCCAAGAGGATCACAGCTCTGACAACACCTTGATTCTAGCCAGGGATGCCCATTTCCCACTTCCCATTTCTGGAACTGTAAGATACTAAATCCGCACTCTTTGATGCCACTGAGCTTGCGGTCATTTTTTACAGGAGACACAGGAAACTAACACGAGCCTGGTGCCCAGTGGCCCCGGGATCAGCACTTTCCCTCCCCTCTTTCCCTGGGCTCTGGCTTCCACTTCCTCACTTCTTACCCAGTCAGCCCACTGGACATTAATGTCTGCCCTGGGCTCTCCCTTCTCAGTCTTGCCTCCCCTCAAGGTTTCCAGCTATTTATTTATTCATTATTTTTTGAGATGGAATTTCACTCTGGTTGCCCAGGCTGGAGTGCAATGGTGAAATCTCGGCTCACTCCAATCTCTGCCTCCCAGGTTCAAGCCATTCTCCTGCCTCAGCTGCCCAAGTAGCTGGGATTACAGGCGCCCACCACCACACTGCTAATTTTTTGTATTTTTAGTAGAGATGGGGTTTCACCATCTTGGTAAGGCTGGTCTCGAACACCTGACCTCAGGTGATCTGCCCACCTCAGCCTCCCAGAGTGCTGGAATTACAGGCATGAGCCACTGAGCCTGGCCAAGGTTTCCAGCTCTTAATGGGTAAGGTGCCCACCTACCTGCCTGCCCACCACCTTCCTACCTGCTGTGCCAATTCCTCTCACCTGTCACCAGCCTTCCCAGGTGACTTGCCTGGAGGGGCCTCCAACTGTTCATATTTTCTGTGCTTTCTACACGGGTGCCAGCAGCTCCTGTTCCGACAATTTCCGTCAGCTGCTGATCTCGTGAGCTCTTATTCTGATAAGTTAGGAGCAAAACAGTCTCATGGAGAGAAACAGGTTGAATCCTGATGGTACTTTGAATGAGGCTGCAGGAGGAAATTGTTCTACTGCAAACTAGAATCCCTAACAGAAAAATAAAAGATAGCACTAAAGGACACGCAAACTTATTGTGAGCATGCAAACTTATTGCACGCAACATGCAAACATGCAAACTTTTTGCAAACATGCAATGTTATCCTCTGAAAAACTCCTCTGAATTCATCAGAGGGTAACAAATACCCAAATTGTGTTAAGCAAATCCACCAATAAGACAATTGTGAAATGTATTTATCTCAAAATGTGTTGGGTGGAACACATTTGGGTTGTATCCTTCTGATTTCAGGTTTAAATGAGGAGAAAGAGCTATTTTCAGACTAGAGGTTCATTTACTGTGAACTTACTCTTAATTTTCTCTATAAAATGTAAGGTAATGAAATCGTTTACAAATTCAGCTGCTTACATCCAGCAATAATTTACTGAAATGTGTTGGATGAGACCTCACAAGTGACTTGTTTCTCAATCTGCTTTCCATTCCCTCACGTCTTTTGAAAATAGACATTGAAGGTCAGTTTTTAAAAAATAGTTGTAAATATATCACCAAGACTGAATATTACCAAAGATTCCTGTAAGGACTTGTCTTATATTATTCAACATTTTAAGCAGAGTTGCTGAGGTTAATTAGAGTTCTGACCCTGAAAAATTTTAAGTGCCTCTGATGACTTATTTCGAACTGATAATTTTGTGTTAGAAACAGAAAACGAATAATAAATAGACAGTGAACAAATACACTCTTCATATTCCTTCTTATGAGTGCAGAGAATATATTTCTGAAATTTAATTAAATAGCGAGATGTCCACAAGATCTATAATAAACCACTTTGCAAGACCTCTAAATGTCAAGGAAAAACACATTTTACATGAAACGCCCCTTCCCCCCCAGTAAATCTGTGAAGATTCAAGACTTTTTAAAAACCTGCAGAACCCATGAGTACATATTTTATCTTGAAAGTACTTTTTCAAAGACTGGGGAGCAGCTACTTGTTTGCAGTATGACAGAGTGGGATGTATTTTAATGTATCACAGAGTGGTTTGTACCATTAGTTTTAGAGATCTGCCAGACGGTTTTAAAATAATGCAAGAGCTGTGGAGTTAAAGCTTAAAGTGGTGTAACTTGGTACAAGATGATAAACAGTCACTTCAGTCACTTTTCCACTTTGCTGATATACCACGCTAGGTCCTCAGCGCATAGTCAAATCACATGCAAAAGCAGACGGTCCTTTGGGGGAAACACATGGGGGAAAAATGAAACATTTGTCATCCCGCTAGCTTTATTATCTTAATAAATCATAACATCTTAGTGCAGTGGCTCCCTATGTTTGGGCTGTCCCAGTTGGGACAGCAAGATTTGAAGTTGGACATAATCACAGCACTGAACATCACTGAATCCCACAGGGTGAAAGTTATTGCATTTTCAACTATCATTTAATCCTTTCTACATGAAGGACAAAGCCTCATTTTGCTGCTAACTCATCTTTGATGCCTCTTGGACTCTTGCTAATATGTGTTTAGAGCAAAAAAAGAGGCCTCTGACTCAGAGTCTTCAGGCCCCAGATTCTGCCCAGAGTTTTGCAATGTTTTCTTGGTCACCTTGCTTTCCTCTTACAGCATCTGCTATTGAAGGCAAGCGCTACCAAGTTTCCATTCAGCTGTGGTTTATGGTTGGAGGCTGGGACCAGATGCCGGTGATTTGGTGACTGGCGCGTTAGCATTGGAGAAGCATCAGTCTAAAGTAGGAGTTGCAAACTTTCTCTAAAGAGCCGGAGAGTAAATATTCAGCCTTTGAAAGTTGTGCAGGTTGTGCAGGTTGTGCCGGTTCTGTCCTGACCACTAAACTCTGCTGCTGTAGAGCAGCCGTGGACGATACGGAAATGAATGAGCATGGTTGTCCTATAAAACTGTACTTAGGATCACGCCTGTAATCCCAGCACTTTGGGAGGCTGAGGCAGTGGATCACCTGAGGTCAGGAGTTCGAGACCAGTCTGGCCAACATGGTGAAACCCCATCTCTACTAAAAATACAAAAACATCAGTTGGGCATGGTGGCATGTGCCTGTAATCCCAGCTACTTGGGAGGCTCAGGCAGGGGAATTGCTTGAACCAGGGAGGTTGAGGTTGCAGTGAGCTGAGATCACACCATTGCACTCCAGCCCGGGCAACAAGAGCGAGACTTCATCTCAAAACAAAACAAAACAAAACAAACAAACAAACAAAAGACAAGTAATGGGCAGCTTCGTTCTGTGGAATGTAGTTTGCCGACCCCTGGTCTAAGGTATCTTTGCAAATTGAGTTAAGCAAATCTGCCAATAAACCTTTTCACTTAACAATGTGAGGTTTTTTTTTTTTTTTTAATGTTGAGCAGATATGAGCAGATAGTAGCTCTGGAGTCCTCAGGTATCCAGCATGTGTTGGGAAATGTGGATTTCCCTGGGTCAATGCTCCCACCATGGCCACTTGAAGGCTACCAGTATGATTTTCCTGAAAACAGATTTAAGAAGAGATGTCACCATCAGCTTCCTCAAACCATGCGATCAATCCTGAAAATGAGTGTCCTGTGTTGACTTTGTCCTGCCAAATAGCATGCCCACCCAGAACCTCAGAATGTGGGTTTATTTAGAAATAGAATCTTTGCAGATGTAATTTAGTTAAGATGAAGTCATCCTGGATTAAGGTGGTCTCTGATCCAATGACTGGCATCCTTTTACAAAGAATAAAATTTGGACACAGAGCATCTCAGAAGGAAGATGACGTAAAGGAAGGTAGGTGAGAAGGTCAAGTGAGGACGGAAGCAGAGTACGGAGTGATGCATCCATAAGCCAAGGAACCCCAAGGATTGCTGCAGCCACCAGAAGCCAGAAGAGAGGCCAAGAAGTATCCTTTCCTGGAGCTTTTGGGGAGCTTGGTCCTGTTGATACCTTGATTTAAGATATATGACCCCCAGGGCCAGGTGTGGTGGCTTACGCCTGTAATCCCAGCACTTAGGGAGGCCAAGGGGGGGCAGATCACCTGAGGTCGGGAGTTTGAGACCAGCCTGACCAAAATGGAGAAACCTGTCTCTGCTAAAAATACAAAATTAGCTGGGCGTGGTGGCACATGCCTGTAATCCCAGCTACTCGGGAGGCTGAGGCAAGAGAATTGCTTGAACCCAGGAGGCAGAGGTTGCGGTGAGCCGAGATCATGCCGTTGCACTCCAGCCTGGACAACAAGAGCGAATCTCCATCTCAAACAAATAAAAAAAAGTTTTCTGACCCCCAGAACTATAAGAGAATGAATTCCTCTGGTTTTAAGCCACCTAGTTAGTGGCAATGTGTTATGGCAGCTCCGGGTAGCTAGTGCAGTGGGACACAGTGGTATGTGGATATGCAGGCATTTGGGAATCACAGTGTAGGTCACGTAGCCAGTAAGTGTCAGAATGGGAATCTGAGCCCAGATCTACACCCTCCGCAAGCCCAAGTCCTTAAGTGTTTGACTGTGTATCTTCTTAGAGAGGAGTGTTGAAGGAGAGGACTTGCGTCGTGCACTGAAAGTCAACAATATTCCAAGGTGGAGGCCGGCAAATTCTCTCTCAGTCTGGGACATTAAGGACACCTTGAGTTGCTTGGTCAAGTCTACATGGCACAGATGGGACCATCACTGTGGTGCCAATGAGCCCCACCTCCAAGTTCAGGGCACCTCACAACTTCCCACATCAAGTTCCCATCCAGAACTTCCCAGAGAACAAGAAGCCACCATGTTTCCACCTACAAGAGTTAGCTGCTGGGCAAAGTAGACCTCAAAGATGAGCAGAGGGCTGCCACTGAGACCGTCCTGGCACTGCTGGAACTGCTCCCAGGGGTTGTGAACCCCACAACCTCCTTTCCATGGAGTTCATTTTAAAAATTATATGTTAACCTTCATTAAAAAAAAAAAATCAGAGACAGTGCTTCTTTCTTAGTTTCTTTCTTCCTTCCTGTTTTGTTCCAGAAGACTTGGCTCTGGAGGTTGTTACTTAGTTTGGAAGGCAAGAGGAAGGTTAATTAGCTTTTGTGACCCAAGAGCTCGCAGGGAAGATGTCAAGCAATTCCCTAATTGCTCCTCAAAGTTCGATACGGTTGGAGGGGCAAGGTCCGGGAGAGAAGATGCTAAGCTGGTTGTTAGGTTGACTATGAATTCCACCCAGCATGGTGCGGGGGACATTTGCAGGGCATTGTTCTCTGTGAGGAGTCCAGATAAATAATTCATTCCTCTCTTGGGTCCCATCAGCTGGTGGCCTCCAGCCCAGCAAGCCATTGTGGATTTCAGGGCCAACCCGGGGCATTTCTTGGGGCTGAGACTCCCACTCAGTCATAGAGAGAATCCAGCCCCTACATCTGCATGGGTTGCATTCTGCTTCCTGAGCTCCTGAAAAACATAAACAGTGCATTTCTCTGCTTGGCAAAGGATACCAAGGCAGAGACTCAAGATATGTCAGCCATGGTCTTCCAAGTCCTCAAACCTCCAGACTGTGGTCTGCAAATGTGCCTCACCTGGGAGCTCCTTAGACAGAATGCAGAATCTCTGGCCCACCCCAGACAGGCTGAATCAGTATCTTTGGCATGGGGTCCAGCACTATGCATGTTCACAGGCTCTCCAGGTATTTTTTTTTTTTTTTTTTGAGATAGAGTTTCACTCTTGTTGCCCAGGCTGGAGCACAATGGCACGATCTCAGTTCACTGCAACCTCTGCCTCCTAGATTCAAGTGACTGTCCTGCCTCAGCCTCCCAAGTAGCTGGGATTACAGGCACTCACCACCACACCTGGCTAAATTTTGTACTTTTTAATAGACATAGGGTTTCTCTACTAAAAGAGCCAGGCTGGTCTTGAACTTCTGACCTCAGGTGATCCACGCGCCTCAGCCTCCCAAAGTGCTGTGATTACAGGCGTGAGCCACTGTGCCTAGCCTTATCCAGATAATTCTGATGCACACTAAGGTTTGACCAGTGCCCCTTAGGACCACAGCCCTTCTTGACTGTTAAAAACCTAGCAGAGAATAAATCCATTCTCTGCCCTCTCCCCCAGACTCTCAGTCAACCAAGACACCAGCTGGGGGATTCCGATGAGAAGCAAAGCCTGCATTAGATTCTCTTGCAGAAACTGATACTCACTGGTGATTTTCTTCAGCAGTTCCTGAAATCACTGAACAGGTGGATTTTTTCTTCCTGACTTGGCAGTATATCTTCCTCGATTCACTTACTGTTTAGAACATTTTGCTTGTTATGATTGCAAAGTCATTGTGGCAGGCAAAAATGCATTGCATGTCATTTTTCCTCATCTGCACATGGCTCTCAGGACATAAAGAGGATGTTAAAAAAAAAAAAAAAAAAAAAAGCAGGACACAAAGAATGGCCCTGCCACCATCTCCCTCAGTGGAGTCCTCTCTCTGGCCCCGGGAAGCCTCGCCAGGGGTGTTTCCCTTCACTGGGGCTATAAAATTTGCATCCTATTCATAATTACATGAAATCCCCCAAATGCACACTGGGGACAGCTGCTCCAGGGTCACATTGCCAAGGATGGCACAGAGCTAGCAACTACACCAAAAAGTCAAGCCATGGTCAGCTTGGGTGGAAAGCACCATGGGGTGAACATATTCTCCATGTGATGAGAAGTCACCTCTCCAGTCATATTCTAAGGCAAGAGTGGGAGCTGCCCATCACAGCCCAGATGTTGACCACTAGGGAGAGAAAGGGGCTTGATTCAGATGCGGTTCGTTTGGGGACACAGTGACAAGGCAGGAGCTCCTGGGGTCGCAGGGGTCGGGGAGAGGGGATAGGGTGTCTTTAGCTGATTGAAATCTCTTCTCATTTGACTGCAGGTGAAGTAGGATCAGAGGTGGATTCACTGTGAGGCCCTCATTTCCATGGGGGCTCCTTCCAAGACTAGGAGGGGCCCCAGTCATGTGTCCCTGTGGCCATAGCTTTGCAAAACTTGCTGATGGGGAGAGATTTTCACTGCAGTTGACTTCAGGCCACCATCTCTTTCTGCTCCAACTTCCCATCCCTAGGGTTTCCCTCACCTCAGGAGCTGTTAGAGGGGCTGCGGCTCTTCTGGAATGCACTTATTTAGGCTTGAGTGGCAGATTTGTACGAAGCCACTTTCACATCGAGTGCCATTGTGCTAGGTGTCCTGGGTCAGTGATGTCTCCAGGAACAACCCTGCTGCCCATGGAAATAGTGCTCCCAGTGTCCTGCCAGGATCCCGGGGCCAGATGAGCTTCTCATTGGTGCCCAGCACCAGAGGGTCTGGTGGAAGAGGAAAAGGAGCAAGGTTTGAAATGTATGGAGCCAGAAGCCAGTCTAAGAAAAATCTTCTTATCATCAGACACGCTATTATCAGGAGAGGATTCAGTTCTCATTATTACCTAGTCAAAATAAATGTTCTCCCTTGTAAGGAATAATTTGTAATGCATATACACAAATGTAAATGAATCTTTTTTTTTTATGGGATGAAAAAGAATCTAAGGACGGGTGCAGTGGCTCATGCCTGTAATCCCAGCACTTTGGGAGGCCGAGGTGGGTGGATCACTTGAGGCCAGGATTTTGAGACCAGCCTGGCCAACGTGGTGAAATCCTGCCACTACTAAAAATGCAAAAATTAGCTGGGTGTTGTGTGTACACCTGTAATCCCAGCTACTCAGCTACTTGGGTGGCTGAGGCACAAGAATCACTTGAACCCTGGAGGTAGAGGTTGCAGTGAGCTGATATTGCTCCACTGCACTCCAGGCTGGGTGACAGAGCAAGACTGTCTCAAAAAAAGAAAGAAAAAGAATACATCAAAATTCTTGTGTCTATAGGACAAAACCTTACCCAATGCCACATGAGTCTGTCTGTGTGACCATCTGCACGTTGCATGCCACCAACTATCCATAACTTTAAAAAAAAGCTTTATCTGACCACACTAGAGGAATTATCTTTCTGTCCTGTTAAAAGCAATACCAAACATTTTTGTCATATGAAAAGGCAAAATGTATGCAAGAGAAAAATGTAGGAAAACGTACAATACAATCAGGTAACTATTAAAATATTCAATACTGTATAGTTTTGTGACGTACAGAAATTTAGCAGCTTTTAAGAATTTAAATAAACCCCATTCCTAATTTTATATGTGTCATTTTGTATGTTGTTTTCTTTAATTTTGAGCCCCACACAGCCTGGATCTGAAAGGGCTCATTCATCCATGCGTTTGTTCAGCAGATGCTTACGGAGCCACCACTGCAGGCACAGGCAGCAACGCAGCCAGAAAGAAAGCTGGTGCTGGTGTCAAGGGGTGAACAGCCAGGTGGGGGACATGATAGTCAGCATGTAAACAATCACATTCACGGGAAGCTGCAGAGCTGCAAGGTGGAGGGAGCAACAGAACCGCAAGGAGGAAGGGGAAAGGGTACTTGCAATGGGCTGGTCAGGAGGACCTCTGAGGAGCTGATGCTTAAGCAGAGACAAGGGTAATGGGAAGGGAACAAGCAGGCCAGGAGCTGAGGAAACAGTGTGCAGGGGCCACGACACATGCAAACGTCCTGAGACTGTGCTGGGGCGGCTGGCGGGAGGTTATCATGTTCCAAAAAGAAGAGCAAGGCCAATGGGGTCAGACAGATGACAGTGAGGGCTGGGTGGTGGGTGGAGATGGACCGAAGGGCCCCGTGAGGAGATAGCATGAACTGGCGCTCTGTCCCCATGGCTGTGATGAAAGACAACATGTGAACATTACACCAAGCAGGAAGAGTGATTAAAGGCGATACAGAGACTCCCATGTTCTCCGCCAGCAAACTTCCTGCTTCTTCCTTGGTCTGGTCTAATTACACACAGACTCCCGTCTTGACCAGTCACCCCAGAACTCATGTGTAAAGCTAATATGCAGAAATGAGGCTTACAAAAGGACAGGGAGAGACTTCCAATTAAACATCTTCTGCAGCAAATGGGAAATGGGGCCCTTTAATGTCGACTCCAGCTGGTGCATTCTAAAAGAAAACCAGGCAGAAATACATGATGGTTGGGACACTTTCTCCAAATATCAAAGCTGAATACACTCTTTTTCAACTTCAGCACAGCGATCCTTCTCTAAACAGCACCAGCCAATGGAAGTCACAGCTCTTCTTACTCCAGAGAGTTATATAGAATCAATCCCTTTGTATATATTTTTAAGCCGAGAAATTTGCATTCTCCTTGTTTTTCTTTGGAAATGGTGACTCAAGTCTTTTGCTGGTCTTGTCCTCAAAGAACAGGAGGAGTGACTATTCTCACCGGACAGATAGCTTATTCTGAGGGGAGGGCTGGGGGGATTCACCACGCCTCTGGTGTCTCAGCTGCTTGAAAATCAAAGCGGAACTCTCACAGTGGCCTATCCCTGAGCAGGTCAGGGAGCCTGATGAGCATCATTTCAAAGCCACGCCATGAGCGAGATGGAGTCCGAGCAGGCCTGGACCAGAAGCAAAGAGCAGCCGTTCACACGAGAACGCATTGCCTTCCTTCATCAGGCGGAGGTGACCACTGAAGGAAACAGCTGCAGGCTGGGTCTACAGTGGGTGTCACATAAGGAATCCCCAAGCCAGCCCGGCTGGAATTAGCTGCCACCTGTGCCTGCCCACGGGGCACTCTGTGTACATCCACTACAGCTCACGGTGCTGGAGCTCCTAGTCCCCATGGCTGTCTGTGCTACAGATCTTGAACTCTTAAAAGGCAGGGGGCATGTGTGGTTTGACTTTGCTTGATAAAAAGTCACCCCCCACCACCACACACACAGTACCTGGCATGCAGTGGGAACTCAGGAGCTATTGAATGAATGCAGTGAGCTGACACCCTGGCTGCAGGACACGGAAATGCATACACAGGGCCATGAAGCCCCACTAAGCCCATGGCGCTGAAACTCCTGGAACACCTGCTGACCACAGTTCCTCAATGGCTTTCTCCAAGAGCACATCAGAATGGAAGCACCAGGCCTCTCCATCTCTGGGTGCATACAATAACTGCATCAATACACATGGTCCAATGGTCAGCCCAATTGCTCATCTTATCCAGGAAAATCTCCATAAGAAATCCAGCATTCTGGGGGAGAAGCCTACTGGCTAGAGGACACAGAGACACACGTGCTGTGGGGCTGGAACCTGCAGGATAGCTGGGCTGGGAGGCAGCCTGAGCTGTTGGCTGGAAGTGGAACCAGCTACCTTGGAAGGAAGTGAGGTGTCTATCCACAAGCACCCACACAAAGCCAGAGGGCCCTGTTGTACTGGGAGGGAAGCTGGATGGCATTACAGTTCGCCCCTCTCAGCTTGGGTATGAATCTATCATTGTTTGTTTGTCCTGAGAAAGCACACTGCCATATGTTAACTTGGCTACTGCAGTTAGAATGGATCAGGAAAAAAACCTTACTATTCCTATTCATCAAATCATTGCCTGGCTTATTGGTTGTACAGACTTCACGGATAGGGAACCTGAAGATCATATCCAAGGATCAGAACATTTTCTGCAGAGGAGATGTAGAGTCCAGGGATGAACCTCCAGGCTCACCTCATGCCTGCTGAGAGGCACCTGTTTTTCACTCCTTGACTTTATGCTGAGTCCTGCCATATGCCAGATGCTGCTTTGCAGTGCAGCAAGGATGGGCCCACAGAGCCTCTTCTAGCATGGAGATTAATTCTGGTAAAGGAGGACAGCAAAGAGCCAGTGACAGCATGCCCCCAAAATGAGCACAGCTGTGATAGGGCATGAAAGAGGACAGAGGACAGAGCTAGAGAACTGCACAGAAGGCCAACTTAGGGGTGGGGTGGGTGGTGCAACAAAGGCCTCTCTGGAGAGGTAGCATCCAAGTTGAGACCTAAAGAAGAGAAGGAGAGCAAGATGAGCCAGGCAGAGACCTTCCTGAAACAGGAAAGTATGTACAAGGGCCCTGTGGTTGACAGGGAGGGAAACCACAGCCTGCTGCGGGGCCGGATGGGTGAGCAGTGCTGCAGTGGCACAGGGGAGGGGAACCATCAGTGTGGGGTCCTCATGACCAACGCCCCAGAGGCGGAACACAGAGACACCATTCAGCAAGAACCAGCTTTGATAGGAGACTTGGGGAACACAAGGATAAGGCATTTGAGGTTCTTTTAAAGCTTTCTGCAAAAATCACATCCTCAGAGGTCTGGACGTGGGGATTTGGAGCAGGCCTGAGTCTGTCTGGCTGCTGAATATTTCATGCAGCCTCCTCGGCTGGCTGGCCCCTCGGTGCTGGGCATGGTCTTCCCCTTCATGCATGATTTACAGGGCTCTGCATTAATGCCCCAGCCCCATTTATCCTGGCCTGCTGACCATTAGCATGAGCAAATAAATATACATTTCCAAGAGCCCAGATACCCAGCCTGAGCCCAGTCTAGCTGACAGCTTTCCACTTTCTCCTAATCACAGGAGTTAGGGGACTGGAGGGCGGGGGACCACCTGTTGTGTGAGAAGATTCCAGAACCGCCTGTGGATTGGATTTTTTTCCTCCCTCTTCCAGAATTTTTACCTTAGAAATTCATCATTCTCTCTTTCCCTTTTGGGTGATAGACAGTTCTTTCATGTACTGCTGAGAAGATAATTCAGAATTCTGTTTATTCTAATGCAGTTCAAAATGTCTGTGACTAGCATCTGAAAATAGCTCTGTGTGTTAAATACTGGCAGCCAGAATGCTTTTGGAGCCTGTTTCTCACCGTCCCCGGGTCCTCCAGCTTGTCCATCAGTCTGTCTGTGTCTGTCTGTGTGAAAAGCAGCTCCTTTGTCTCAGGCTTTGTGGGACTGGGCTCTGTGGGGCAGTTTGGGGGAGGGGAAGGTCATGGTTGGATATCATTTATGGTGCATGTTCTGCGTGTTAAGCTTTGTGCTGGGCCCTGGGAAGGACTCTGTCCTTTTGCAGCTTTCAGTCGGTTGGGGAGACAGGCACTGAATGGGGAAATAGACAGTAAAGAGACATTCACTAACCAACACCACGGTGACGGGGCTTACATCCTACGTGGTCCTCGGATTCACTTCATTTGGGGAAGCTATTGCAGAGGCTGGGGCTGGAACCAATATGGCTCACAGGGAAAGGAGCAGCTGGAAACAAGGGAAGTGGGAAGCAGAGAGGTGGAGAGGGAGTGGGGAGGGGTCCAAGGTCAAAAAGCCAAAGGGCCAGGCTGAGGCATCATCGGTAGAGGTGTGAGTACCTGGGGCAGGTGTCAGGAGGGGAAGGAGTCAGGGGTAATCACATCAGGGACACAGGAGCTGGCTCTGGTGGATGTCGCCAGATTATGAAGGGGAAATCTGGGAACACAGCACTCATAAGAACAATGACCAAATCCAGCTCCTCAGTACGTCTGGGGCATGTGGGCAAGGTGGGCAGGGAAGGCCTCGTGTGCTGTGGCCCTCCCCACTCTCCAGCCTTATTTCTTGCCTTTTTCCCCTTACTCTGCATATTCCTAGCCACAAGGACCTCCTCCCAGTTCCTTGAATTCTACACTCCCTCCTGCCACAGGCCCTTCGCTCAGGCCACCCTCTTTTCCAAGAACACTGGTTCTTTCTCTCCACTCTCAAAGCAACCATCACCCCTCCAGGAAGCCTTCTCTGCCCTCTCCTTCCCCAAGACTATCCCAAATTCTACTATTAGCTACTCTTATAGCCCCAGGTACCACACCTCCTTGGGGCTTATTCCTGTTGAAATTTTACACACATTGATATATTTTTTAAAAATTATCTGTTGTTCCTATTAGATTTATGCTCCTTAAAGACAGGAATGAAACACATCTAGTTTTGTTCAACACAGAATCTATGTAACTGGCCTGAAATCAATATATTCTTTTTTTCATTTTTGGAGATGGTTTCTCTCTCTGTCACTTAAGCTGTAGTGCAGTGGCACAATTATAACTCACGGCAGCCTTGAACTCCTGGTCTCCTGCAGGATGGATGGATGGATCAATGGAAGGATGGATGGCAGGATGGATGGATGAATGGATGGGAAGATGGATGGATGAATGGATGGGAAGATGGATGGGAGGACGGAGAAATGGATGTATGGATAGATGGCAGGACAGATGTACACATGGGACGATGGATGGGAGGATGGGAGGATGGGAGGATGGATGGATGGATGGATGGATGGATGGGAGGATGGGAGGATGGGAGGATGGATGGATAGATGGATGGGAGGATGGATGGATGGGAGGGTGGATGGATGGAAGGGTGGGTGGATGGATGGATGGAAGGGTGGATGGATGGGAGGATGGATGGATGGGAGGGTGGATGGATGGATGGATGGATAGGAGGATGGATGGGAGGATGGATGAATGGGAGAATGGATGGATGGATAGATCGATCGATGGATGGATGCGAAGATCGATGTGAGGATGGATGGGAGGATGGTTGGGTGGATGGATGGGAGGATGCATGGGAGGATGAATGGGAGGATGGATGGGTGGAAGGAAGGAAGGAAGGAAGGAAGGAAGAAGGAAGGAAGGAAGGAAGGAAGGAAGGACAAATGGATGGGAAGATAGATTATGGGAGGATGGATGGATGGATGGATAGCAGGATGGGTAGGAGGACAGATGGATGGATTTTCAATCCTTCCACCTCAGCCTCCTGAGTAGCTGGAAGTACAGGTGTGCACCACCATCCTTGGCTAAGAAATGAATATTGTTAATGAATAAATGAGGAAACAAGTGAATGTAGAACTCAGACCTCAGAGGAGATAAAGATAACTAGACCCTGCAATGGCAGAAGGGCAGGTAGTGGATGACAGAAAAGTGCCTGAAATCTCCCTATGAGAATCACTGTAATCCCAGATTTCAGGATTTCAGACCTCTACTGAACACCCCCCACCCCCATCACTTAGACTATAACAACTTTGCTGAATTTGAGACAACTAAGTTGTACATCCAGGTATTTTATCCATAAACCATCAGGTAATGCAATACTTGTACTGAGCTCACCTGGGCAAATTGCTTTGAATATAAAAAGTCAGCATCAAAATGCAGCACGTGTGACCTCCCCACTCCTGAGAACTCACTTGATCACATTCCAGGCAGGTTTCTTCCAGCGCTATGTGGCTGGGACAACACGTAAGCTGAAGCTGCAGAGCAGCACCACTGCTGCTCAGCTGATGTCCTCATCCCACTCAGGCCACCAGGAGACGCCCCATGTCTCAACACACAGACCAATAACTCTAGGTAAGAGCTCTCTAGCCAGCGTCTGGCCCCTGTTCCACCTAAGAGGCTGCCAGGACTGAGCATCAGGAAACAGATGACCTGGTTCCTTCTCATTATTATTAATGTGGCTTGCACATCCTGAACGCTGAAGTCTTTTGGCTTGTTTCAGGCACCCACATGTATTTGCCAAATGACTTATTTTGCTTTAGATTTTTCAGGGCACAAGTGTAGAGGCTGCCTCCGTTGGATGGCATGCCCGTGGCTACAAACTTCTCCACGATACCAGGGCTAAGGGTAACTTGATAGGAGGAAAATGAAATCCCACCCAGCCCTGATGCCAGCACATTCCTTCGCTTACAAGCGGGCCAGATGCTCAGGGCTTCTCCATGAGTTACGGTGGCCTGAGAGTCTTCATTGTCAACCCTTTCAGCAGGGCCTGTGATGCGGGAAAGGGATTTAGTGGGTTAGTGGCTTCCGCACATCATCAGCTCTTCCCTCCATTGGCTACATCCCACGTACTTACAACATATTCATAATCACTTCAATTCCCAAACTTCAACCCTGCTCTTTCCTCCCAATACAACCCTTGACTTCTCCTCTTCACCTCCAAAATTCTCAAAAAATGTATCCTCCCCTTGCTACCTCAATTCTTTCTGTTCATACCTTCATCACTCTTTATATCTTTGCCTTGACTCTCAGTGGACTCACACAGAGGCCCACCAGAAGACCACCTGCAACTCCCTGTTGTCTACAGCCAATGTCCTCTCCCCCACCATTGTCCTCCTTGACCTTCAAAGCATTCAGTCCAAGAGCACAGCTTACTCATCACTGCCTGTACTTCATATCACACCTAGCACCTAGGGAGTACAAAATATGTGTTGACTGAGAGAATGATTAAGCAAAGGAGTAAATACATATACAGATAAGAATTTCCAACCCAAGGTCCTGGCTCAATTTCTTCTGTCTAATGTAGACTAGAGAAGACTTTAGCATCTCTTTTCCTTAAGGAAAATTTTTTAAATGTCTTTATACTTTTACTCATGGTTCCCTGAAAAAAAGATGTGAAAAGGGACAGCTCCGAGGTCATCTTTATGAAAGTTAATTCTGACCTGGTACAAAGCACTAGGATTTTTCACATTTAATTCTATAGGAAATTTACTCTAACTGAAGTTTACTTTAAGAAAATACATTATAGGGAAAATTGGAAAGACAGATTATGAGATATTTTCAGGGCCATCAGAGTGACAGATGCCCCTTTCTAAAGAGGTTATAAGCCTAATGTGTGAGCAAACTTGATCAGGACACCCACTCTTCATTCACCCATCTATCCATTTATTTAAGAATGATTTGTCAGGGGCTTACCCTGTGCCAGGTACTGTGAGCAAGACGGTGAGAACTCCTACCTGGATCCTCATAGGTAGAACCCCAGTGGACAATATAAAGAAATAAAATGCATAATACATTTGGTGTGACCACAGCTAAAGGGGAAAGCAGAGTGGAGAAGAGAGTGGGTGCAGGGCGTGCGATGGTGAATAGGGTGCCCAGAAATGCCCTTACTGAGAAGATGACATTGGACCTGAAAGAAGACAGGGCAGAGGGCAAGTCAAAAGCCTCACTGGCTGGTGGTAGGACCAAGCTCTGTCTCGTTCTCCCAGGTACAGGTGTTGTGTGTTTGTAGCCCCTGAGCTTTGGTCCTCACTAGTCAAATCTCTCCTGCCTCCTGCTGCCTCCCCTTCCTGGATAACTGCGGCGGCATCTCTGGGCAGCTCTCTCTCTAGTTTACGTGGGTGCTAGGCTCCTGCCTGAAGATCAGCTGGGGCACAGCCACCCTGCATAGTCCTTGTCTCCTTCCCATGGATGATGGATCCTGCTCCCCTATGCTCTGCCACAGGCAGAGAACTGAGCTAAACAGACTGACCACAAAGGATCATGGAGGGACCCATTTGACTTTGGTCTCACTTTCTTTGTTTGCAGAAACTTCTCAGACAAAAGGCCCCAGGCCCCTTTGCTGCATCCATTTATACATTTTGCCCTCCATCACTCAGTTCTCCACTTGAGGCTTAGACGAAGTGGGTGGGTCCCACTTCCATCTTCTCTTCCCGCACAGCCCCAAAATTGGGGAGGAAAAAGACCCCAACATGCATATTCCTAGTCTCCCTGGAATTAGGCCTGCTTCCCTTAAGTGTATGTACCTCCTGTCCTCACAAACACAGCCTAGAAGGTGAGCACAATTCTACTTCCAGATGGGGCAGAATGGAGCCAGGTAACTTCCCGAGGTTTGCACAGGTAGGAAGAAGTCGTGGATGCAGAACTGGGACTTAGACCCCTGGACTTCAGGTCTGCGTCCTCAACTAGCATGCTACGTTGCCAGCTGGAAGCAGAAACCAGGTCTCTCTTTTGGGTGGTTGTATCTCTGGTGTACAGCATAGCACCTGGTGCATTGTGGCTGCATTTTCAACATTTGCTGAATGAAAGAAGGAGGGAGGGAGGGAAGGTGGTAGGAAGGGAAAGATGTAGAGCAGAGCCTGGAGGGGTATCAATCCTCCTGCTCAGAACCAGAGACACAGCTAGCTGGAAATACCCAGACAGACGCTCCCGGGTCTGCCCCTACGTTAGTCAGATGCATAACTCACGCATAACTTATCCACAGGTCATAAAACTTGCGGGGGGAGGGGGTGTCGGCCTCCATCTTTGAATTTCATGCATAAAATTTGCATGCATAATAACCTCTGCCAGATGTTCACAGGTGACAGACTTACAACTCTCCTCTCTTTCTGCAGAGCCCACCAGGTCACATCCTCAGGTTACTGGTAAGAAAATCGTCCAACTGCCAGGGCAGACATTCTATTCTCCTCTATAATTTTCACTGCTGAGCAATTAAAAATGAGCCACAGGCCTGCCAGAGAGCTGCTCTGAGAGACTTCCCAGGTCTGAGTCCTCATCTTTCTAGCTGCCGTGCATCAATGGAGACAGATGGCCCCGGGGCCGGGAGGTTCCGTTTTGTGGAGAAAGGTCAGCATGTGCCGCTTTGATTCCCTGTCCCTGACACTTGAGAAAGGAAAATGTTTATGAAGGCAAAGCCATTCCCAGAAAAATCCAACAGATCTCTGCAGTGTAGGCTCCACTTATTCATGCTCTCCGTGTTCTCTTTTTTTTTTTTTTTTTTTTTTTTAAGATGGAATTTCACTGTTGCTGCCCAGGGTGGAGTGCAATGGCGCCATCTCGGCTCACTGCAACCTCTGACTCCCGGGTTGAAGAAATTCTCCCGCCTCAGCCTCCCAAGTAGCTGGAATTACAGGCATGCACCACCACACCTGGCTAATTTTGTATTTTTAGTAGAGACGGGCTTCTCCATGTTGGTCAGGCTGGTCTCAAACTCCTGACCTCAGGTGATCTGCCCACCTCGGCCTCCCAAAGTGCTGGGATTACAGGCGTGAGCCACTGCACCCGGCCATGTGGTCTTTCATGTTAGAGAACCAACCCAGAGATTGAAAAGAGCCATCACCATGTCCCTTGAGGTAAACTGCCTTGAGATCTCAGAATGGGGGAAACATTACAGAAGAAACCCTCTCTTGATCAAAGAGGGGTGAAAGCTGCATGTCGTAAGCATGAGTCTAATGCTGGGAGCTGAGGGCTTTGACACACGGTTGCCCCCTTCTGATTCATATGGAGCCCCCAGGACTCAGGTCAAGAAGCTGGGTACAGGTCCAGCACCCCCACTTCCTCAATCTGGAACCGTGTCCAATTTCTTCTTGCATCTCAACTTCCCCATCTTAAACTGGGAATAATACGTATTCCAGGATAGTTTGAAAAATTAAATGAGAAATGAAAAAGTATAAGCTGATGACCACTGTTGTCCTGTATCGTCTCAGCTGGCAGGCACAGCAATGTGTATTACCCTTTCACACATTTGACTCTTGAACACCGTGGGGGATTAGGGGACCAACTGCTCCACCGCCCCCTGCACAAGTGAAAATCCACAAGTAACTGTTGACTCCCCAAAAGTTTAACTACTAATAGCCTACTCTTGGCTGGAAGTCATACTAATAACCAACAGTTGATTAAAACATTTTGTATGTTATATGTATCCTGTGTTCTTGCAATAAAGCTAGAAAAGAGAAAATGTTAAGAAAATAAGAGAAAATGGATTTTCTCAATTCATATTCTCTATTCATTTTCTCTATTCATATAGATTTTCTCTATTCATATAGATTTTCTCTGTTCATATTCCACTATTCATTAAGTGGAAGTGGACTGTCATAGGGTCTTCATCCTCATGGTCTTTGCATTGAGTAGACTGAGGAGGAAGTGGAGGTGGTCTTGCTGTCTCTGGGGTGGCGGAGGTAGAAGACCACCAGCATGTAGGGGGACCCATGCAGATCAAGCCCCCTGTTGTTCAAGGCTCAACTGTAATTGCTTTTTGATCCATCTGATGAAAAAGGCTCAGTTTCAGAATAATGTATCTTTGACACCTCACTTTACTCATTTATCTTTTCAGTAAAGAGCACAGTCCTTGGACTCAGATCCTTTGATAATTAATATTTCATAAAGATGCATTCCCTTTTTATTGTATTAATTATTCCTTTATCTCCTATTAATACAAATGACACTGGCTTTCCATCTGTGTAACTGGTTCCTTTTGAAATAACTATTTCAGCTTAACAAGTCAACTAAGGTGACAAAAACTAGATCATAATAGAGACAATACTTAGACGTAGCAAAATTGCAGGGAAGAAATGCAGTGCCAGTGGATGTGGCCAAACCCTCAGAGAGGAAAGAGGCTGAGGCTGGACAAAGGCTGATGTTGGCGACACGTGTGGGGCAGCATCAGACGTGTGAGACTGCGTGTTTCTCGTGTGTGTGTGTGTGTGTGTAGAGAAAGAGGAGGAGAGGACCCACACCAGAACCAGATGCTGTATGGGGTGGAAGGGGTGGACAGGCCCCGCATCCAGGCAGCCTTCTCCCTTCCCCTCCACCTGCATCAGCTGAGCATGTGAAGTCCCCCTGGCAGGCCCCCGTGCAGGGACTCAGGATGCAAATTGGGCCCGAGGTGGAGGTGGAGGGGTAGGTAAGATCACCTCCTGCTTTGGCTGTTTTCTTCTTCCCGCTGGCAGCAGGGCAGGACCCTGGGCTGCTGTTCAGCTACATTCTGACCTGCATGCATTGGGGTAAAGATAGGCCACTGAGCCTGAGGCCTCAGAGGCAGCTGCTTCCTCTCCTGGGATCACAGGTGAAAAGCAGGTGTGCTGACTCCACTGGCAGACTCCTGATCTCCAGGCTTCTGAACTGTCCTGGCTGTGGTAGTCAGTGCTGTCCTGGCAGGTTTGCTACACAGTGCTCGAGAAAACCCGGAGCCAGCCAGAGCCCCTCCTCAGCACTTTCAACAATGACCTGTAAGCATCTGTTTCCCGGTCCTGAATCCCTTCCTGCTTGACCCAGCAGAGGGGCTCTGTGTCATGAGTGAACTCTGACAGTCGCCCTACCCCTCTACCTGGTGCGTGGAAGGCAGAAGGAAGGACAGAATTGTCATGACAATGTCATCTCCACCGGATCCTGGGTGATTTGCTCAGGGCTTAGGAGCGTGTGATGACTTACACCTGACCCATCCCTTTACCGCCTATAGGAGATCCCTATCCTGCGTCTTTTCACCTTCTTGGCAGTGTGCACCAGGCAAACCCTGGCCGATTAAAGCCCCCAGGAGTCCTGCCCTCACCTGCACACCTGTCCAACTAGAAAAGGCCAAGTGCACATCTCCCTCCATCCCTGAGGGTGGAAGTTGAAGATGCCATGACAAACATTGGGTCTTCTTTTTAAATGAATTTCCTAGCCTTTACCAATCCTCCCCGCCCCCCACAACAAATTTTAAAACCCCTTTTATTTATTTTGAGAAGAGAGTCTCACTCTGTCGCCCAGGCTGGAGTGCAATGGTGTGATCTCAGCTCACTGCAACCTCCGCCTCGCAGGTTCATGTGATTCTCCTGCTTTAGCCTCCTGAGTATCTGGGACTACAGGTGCCCGCCACCATGCCCGGCTAATTTTTGTATTTTTAGTAAAGACAGGGTTTTGCCATGCTGCCCAGGCTGATCTCCAACTCCTGGCCTCAAGTTATCTACCCTCCTCAGCCTCCCAAAGTGCTGGAATTACAGGCGTGAGCGATCACACCTGGCAAAACCTCTTTTATAAGCTAAAGTGTGAAATCATATTTCACAAAGAAAATACACAGGTAGGCATAGTTTCCATAAAGAAAGAGTGAGGGAGGAAGAGAGAAAGAACTATGACCAGATTGCAAAGGGCTAACAGAAACTTGATTTTTGAGACGGAGTCTCACTGTGTCGCCAGGCTGGAGTGCAGTGGTGCAGTCTCTGTTCACTGCAACCTCAGCTTTCTGGGTTCAAGCAATTCTCCTGCCTCAGCCTCTCAAGTAGCTGGGACTACAGGCGCTCACCACCATGCCAGCTAGTCTTTGTATTTTTAGTAGAGACGGGGTTTCACCATGTTGGCCAAGATGGTCTCAATCTCTTGACCTCGTGATCTGCCCACCTCGGCCTCCCAAAGTGCTGGGATTACAGGTGTGAGCCACCACGCTCGGCCGGGAACTTAATTTTTTTAGCACTATCAGAATAACCCTGGCTCCCTGCTCCCTCTGGTTTGCTTTGATTAACATTTCCAGGACAAGTCTATGGAAATAACCAACCCCAGGCCCTGCTTAGCCTATTTATTTTCTGTAGCAACTGTGGCATTGGCTCTACAGGGTCAGATTCGTAATTAGAACTCCTTGGGTGGCAGTCTCTGTTGCTACTGCAAATACATTTATCAAGCAACACGATGTTATTTATTTCAACTCCCATTTGTTTCTTGCCACAATTTCTATCTGGAAGGAAGGCCTGGCTGTTCATTTTGGTGGGAGAACTCAATACAAAGTTAATTACTAAAAAGAAAGAATATAAAGAAGCCTGGAGACTATCCAGGACATTTCTTCCAAAACACATTCCAAGGCAACTGGAACCAAGCAAGAGAGGCTCACAGTGCTTTGAATAAGGGAAAGAGGGCACGAGGAGGGACCAGGACAATCTCCAGATCTTGCCAATCCTCGTTAGGGACCGATACACAGAAAATGAACGGCAGGAACAGGGAACTGGCTGCTTCTCACACACTCATCATTAAGGCGCTACAACAATTTTTTTCTTCCGTTTGTTCCTTCTCTCTTCACACTCTAGGAACTGCAGGGGCAGAGAAATTTAGCTGTTAGTTTTCAATATAATTGGACTTCGTTGTGGTGTGTGTAATCCCCTCTTCCCTGGTGCTGGGAGGTTTATCTTGAGGCCACTGCTGCTCTGGTGGAGTGATTGGGAACTATGTAAATATATTTTCTCTCCAGGGAAGCAGTGTACTTTTGAAGGGCTTAATAACAGACACAAAAGGCTGGACAATCTAGGAATGGACTTGGCCATGGATTGGCTCTTTCCTCCTTCCCTCCACCTTATCTGGTAATGGGAAGGTTTTAAATAGTGCTGTGTAATCCACATGACTGAAGTTGCAGAATGTGTCTTACAAGGACATCAGGTTGCAGGCAATTATCCCACGAAAATGGATTTAATTGTTGTTCATATTTGTTGCAGTAAAAATGGAGCAGCGAAAATATCGATGCTGTCTATGCACCAGGAACGGTCTAGGCATTTCTAAGGCTCTGAGTGAGCATCTCTGGTACTTTCGATGCCTCTCACCGATCTCCTGTGCCCCTCACGTAGACAACATACAGCCGAGATGTGAGGAAGCTGCAGAGGGAAGCCTTGCAGAAACCCTTGTGAAGACAGATTTTGGATGACTGCATCAGAAGGGTTATTCCAGAGACTTGGCATTGGGACTCTCAGTGTGGGGGAATTCAGTAAAAATCAGGAGATTGTCTGGCTCCCAACGCCCAACGGCTAGCTGCCTTGCACATAAGAGGCTACGATTAAGATGTGGGAATGAGTGAAATAACCAATAATCAATAATCTAGACTCCTGGCTTAATGCTAGATTCAAAGGAATCCAGAAGTAGGGAGATAGAAAAGATGCAAGTGAACTCCGAGACGGCCTTAGATGTAACACTTGAGTTGCCTTGGGCTAAGTATGAAGAAAGCCAGATATTGTCTCCAAATTATTTTATCTTTTTGAGACAGGGTCTTGCCCTGTCATTTAGGCTGGAGTGCAATGATGTGATCATAGCTCATCCACTGTAGCCCTGGCCTCCCAGCTCAAGCGCTCCTCCTGCCTCAGCCTCTCCAGAAGCTGGAACTACAGAAGCATGCCATCATGCCCAGCTAATATTTTATTTGTTATTTTTGTAGAGACTGGGTCTCACTTTGTTGCCCAGGCTAGTCTTGAACTCCTGCCATTCTCCTGCCTTGGCCTCTGGTATCAATGAGTCCTCTTGTACAAGACTTGCCTTGAACCAAACTGTGTGTTGCAAGGTTGACACCTACCAGTTCAGAACCTTCTTGGAGGTTTTTGGCAAGTTTTCCAAACAGTAAGCTCTTTAAGAGCAACAGTAGCTTTGCATTGACAGTCTCAGTCCCTCACCTTCACCCCATTCACGGGCGGAGGGCAGAGGTCCTGGCACAAAATAGCAAAGACCAGAGGTCATTCCTAGCCTTTGCCTATTCCAGCCACTCTCTGTATTTTTGATGTGTTGGCTTTTCCTAGGCTAGAATATACTCAATGAGATTTTCTTCATCTGCCGTGCTACTCTCTCTCCCCTACAACCAACCCACCTTTGTGACCTCCAAAGCCCCACTGCACGGTGACCCTGCCCTAAGAAGTTTTCCCTGGCTGGCAATAGAGTGAACTGAATAAAGCACATGCTCTGATATCAGAGGGACGAGGCTGGAACCTTCAGCACCTGCTTACTGGCCGCATGACCTGTTCCTTTCATTATTATTCTCATTGTCTTTTATCTCCCCTTGCCCTGTAGTTCTCCAGCCTCAAGAGCCTGCCCTTTGGCATGGCTTACAAGGTCCTTCACTTATATTTTCATGTGTCCAGCTGAGTGAGAAAAGAGCCACTGAAGGGTTAGAAGCAGAGTGAGGTGATCCCGTCTACTCTTTTTTTGAGATGGAATCTCACTCTGTCACTCAGGCTGGAGTGCAGTGGTGCAATCTTGGCTTACTGCAACCTCCGCCTCCTGGGTTCAAGCAATTCTCCTGCCTCAACCTCCTAAGTAGCTGGGGTTACAGGTGTGTGCCACCATGCCCAGCTAATTTTTATATTTTTAGTAGAGACGGGGTTTCACCATGTTAGTCAGGCCGGCCTCAAATTCCTGGCCTCAAGTGATCCGCCCGCCTTGGCCTCCCACAGTGCCAGGATTACAGGCATGAGCCACCACCCCTAGCCCCGTCTACCTTTTAACAGATTCACTCTGGCTACTTTAGGCAATGAGGTGGTGGCAGGGCAGGAGCAGGAACAGGAAATCCAGTTTCCAGGCCAGGGCAGAAGGCCACATGCAGGCTAGACATCAGGCAGGTTGAATTCTCAACATATATTGAAGGTTGAGCTGAGTGGCATTGTGATGGATTCAGTGTGAGGTGTCAGAGAAGAATGAGTTGAGGATGAATCGTATTTCTGGCTGCAGGACCTGTAAGGACAGGGCTTAAATCTCCTAGAACATTTTAAGATAGGAAAGACTTTAGGAGAGAAAGTTTGGGGTGGGACTTCCACTCTAGACATGTCAGCTTTGAAATGGCCTCTAGACATCCAAGCAGAGACGTAGAGAGCATTTAAATGTGGAGACTAGAAGATCACCAAGAGAGTGTGTGCAGATGGAGAGGAGGCCCACAGACCGAGCCCCAGGGTATTCTAACATTTAGTGGCAGAGAGATGAGAGAGATTCAACAAAACGAAGTAACATCTTAGAAGTACTAGCCACGGACTTAGAAGGAAAACTTACAGAAGAGAAAAATCATGCCTCCAAGCCAGGTTGAGAAAGTCAAGAAGGGGAATGCAATATTAACTGGTCAGTGCTTTTGAGAATGGATCACTAAATTTTGCAATGCAAAAGGCATTGGAGATCTCCCGGGGTGGGCACAAAAGTGTGACCATAGAGATCCCTGAGAGACTGGGAGGAGAGAAAGGGGAGGCGATGAATACTGAGATCACTTTCCATGTGTTTCATTGTAAAGGGGTGTAGAGAAATTGGGCGATGAGAAAAGGGGCATTGAAACCAAGGGAGGTTTTCTGGTGCACGTTTGTTGAGTTAAGAGATGTTTCTGCATATTTTAAGGGATGAAGGAAGCACAATGCTGAGACATGCAGAAAACAAACCCCCTGGGGTGCTGTGCTGGAGAAGACAGGAGGCATAGATGCCAGTGCACACATGGAGATCTGGTCTCTGAGGGTCTTGGGGACAGGGAGGCAGAGTCTTGGGGCTCAGAGGAGTGTGACGGGTGGATGTGTTGATGGGATATGTGGCAATTATGAGTGTTTGTTTCTTAGTGAAATAGGAAACGAGGTCAAGAGCTAGAAACAGATGCAGTAGACAAGGGGTAAATGGCTCGAGAAGGGGAGGAGGTGTGAAGTCGTCATCTCAGATAGTGGATAATGGGCAGACTTAGGGAATAATATAGGCTTGATGGGCAGAACCAAAGACTCGTGACTCATCTGTGGTTTTGCATTTAAAATAAAAACAGAACATTGAGTGGTGTGTGTGTGTGTGTGTGTCTGTGTGTGTCCGTGTGTCTGTGTGTGTGTGTGTGTGTGTGTGTGTGTGTGTGTACATATTTACCTGCCTGGGTGCAGGAAGAAATAAGTGGGAGGTTGGATTTCACCTGCTTAGACCTTGCCATATTAATGGCATCAACAGAGGTGAGAGACAGCTGAGAGTGTCTTCGTGGGACTGATCTTAATATTGCATGATGGAGTCTAAACTAGATGAGGAAGGAAGTGAGGATGCAAAGGGGACTGAGAGCTGAAAAGGGTGAGAAGAATGTAGGTCATGATGAAATTGATGAATTGGAGTTGGGGGAGCCGGAAAAGGAGT
Source organism: Homo sapiens (assembly GCF_000001405.40). NCBI lineage: Eukaryota > Metazoa > Chordata > Mammalia > Primates > Hominidae > Homo > Homo sapiens. The sequence goes on along the minus strand of NC_000020.11, from coordinate 60,302,732 downwards.
AGGTGTAGTTCGGAGAGAAGGACACTGGACATCCAGCTCCAACGGGGATGCAGTGAGGAGCAGGGATTCGTGACCTTAGCTACCCAATGAAGTAAACTGGGGAGTTTTAAAATGCTGATGCCCAGCTCGTATCCCAATAGACTGTGCTCTAATAGATCTGGGGCACAGCATGCAGAGTGGAATTTTCTAAAGCTCCCCAAGGTTGAGAATCCATAGTCTAGAATATGACCCATGGGACTGAGTGACTGAGATAGGGAAAAATACAGTATCTTTGGAGGAGAGGAGGTCACAAAACTGAGAACTCGGGATATTGAAAAGATCATTCAAAAAGACACAGAAATCACCAAGAATATAGCAGGAGTTATATGAAGAAAGTGCAGGGAGGTGGCTGCAATCCCCTTCACGTATAAGGGGAGGGACCAGAGCATCTGTGGATGACAACAGGTGGAGTAGTGGGTGGTCTTGCTCTGAGATATGAACTTCAAAGTGAGAGACAGGTGCAGTTAGGGAGAAGGGAGGGATGTCCTAGCTAAGTGGCTCAGCCAGTGTCTCTAAGTCCTTTTTAAGTATGGTAAGAAATGATATCATCACAATTATATATAAAACGATGTCAATATTACCCAAACCCTAAATGTGGTCACTGAAATCACATTTCCCTCTAGAGGAGCAATCACTTTAAGAATCATTCTGCACAGACTCTCCCAGCTGGCTTTGCGAGTTGGCTGCAAACAGATTCTCGGAGAGCTCTAATTGGACTGAGTGTCCACTCCACTCAGCAACAGTTGGCCTTTTGCACCCTACCCTACACACCAGATGCAAAGTAATGGTCAACAGCCTGACAGTGCTGTCAGCAGCATCCCCTTCATACTCAGAGAGGAGGTCCGGCCACTTTGGAGACCCCATAGCTCCTTTTCCAAACTCAGTTGCATTCAAAAAGGCAAGAAAAAGTCACCCTAAGAGGGGAAACCAGCACTTTTCACCTGCATCCCTCCACCAGGGTCCACTCCTTTGCATTAAATCTCAATGACGCACTAGGAAAATGTGCCCCTTTATGTGCTTCTGTAAATCCCTCATTCATTTCAATGCCATATATATATATATATATATATATAAAATATAAAATCACAGAAGGAGCTTTAAAAAGTTAATCTACCTGAGCTGTATTTTATCTTTTAAAAGATAATGCCTTCTTACTAGACACTTTGTAGGGCAGGCCTTGCATGCAAAACATACCCATGCCTCGGTGCATGAGTGCCCAGGCGGCAGGATATGGTTGTTTAATTTCAAGAGGCCAATTGTCAGTCATCCTGGGGACCTTTCAGACACCTCATAGGCTTGCCAATCACAGCATATGACTTGTTCTGTCTACTCTTCCTTTTCTCCCTCAGGAAGTGAGTTCCCATTGTTTCAGGATTATTTTTTAAAATTGACTGAAATGTAAGTCATCTGTGGAGGTATTCTCTAAGGAATAAAGAAAAAAGAAAAAATTATATATATATATAAAAAATATGTATATAATATTTATATAACTATATTATACATAATTTTATATATAATATGTATATATTATATAATTTTACGTATGTATTATATATAACACATATGCATAATATATAATACATACATATATTTTATATGTATGTATTATATATTTATAATTATGTTATATATAATTATATAAAATTATATAATTATATAGCTATATATGTATAAATATATATAAATTATATATAATTATGTAATATATAACATATATTAGATATAATTTATATCTAATATATGTTATATATATAAGTAATTTGCTTGTTTCCTAGAGGAATAAATGTTCACTTCTCTTCTATACTTTTTTGTTCTCTCAACATCTAATGCTGGGGTGCTGATCATGTACCAGGCATGGCTGAGACCTTTCCACACGGCTGTCTCATAGGTAGAAACTGTCACTGGTGTTCCAGTTTACAGACCAAGACATGGATGGAGCTTGGAGCCACCCTGAGCTCTTAGGGGTGCCCTCTTCTTCCTGACCACAAACATTCTCAGCCCACACCCTCTTACCCAATACAACAGGAGACACTGCTAAAGATGATGCATCTTAAATACTGTAACATAAAACAGTTAAACATGCCTGCAGGTGTAGATTTACCAACCTTTGAGAAACAAAACCAAACAAAAAGATAAACCCTTTGCCCTCTGCTGTGGGCCTCGCATGCGCCACACCCATGAAACCACCTCCAGTTTGTTTATCCTGGCGAGAGAACATGAAGAGAATTTGAAGCAGCAGCAGGTATAGCCATCAGCTGGAATTTTGACTTATTTTTCCCTCAGTGCTTTATTGCTGTTTCACAGAAAAAAAAATTTGAAGAAAGTTTTAGTACCTTGCCTTGTTTGAGTCTTTCCAAAAATTCAACCTTTATTTATAGAAGCGACGGCCTTCTTATTTGCACTCAGATGTTCATTTTTTTATGTAATATTTAATTGCAGGGTGTATTTACACTAGCAAGTACGACTGGAGTAAACAGGTTTGGGAACAAATATAACCAACTCTCGGGAAGCACACGACTGCACAGTGTGGACGGTGCTGGGTGGCCCGGTGCTGGGGTGCAAGGTGTGAGTGAGCTCGGGGAAGTGATGGCACAGAAGCTGCAGGGCCCATACAGGGCGAGTGCGGCGGCCACTCTGGAGTCTGTGCCGTGGGCCAGTGGAGAAAGCTGCAGGGCTGGTTCTTGGGTGACTGACCAGGAGAAACCACACAGGAGCAGATCTTGAGATGTTTTTCACTGGTGTTAATCTGAGCCCAGCATGGAGTGATAAGGTCCCAGTACAGCAGGTGGGCCATTGTAAAAGGCTGCTCGGAGTATGTGGCTTTCCTGCTCCAAACACGTAGCCCACACTCCTCAGTACCTATGGGCCCTCCAGGATCCTGCCTGCTTGTTTGCTCCTACAGCCTCCTCTTATGCTCCCCAGGCTGCCCACTGGGCGCCAACCTCCCTGGGGTCACATAGTTACAGACACACCTGCTATCTGCTGCCTCCAGGGCTTTGCCTAAACTCAATATCCTACAACACCCAGGCAGCTCCCACAGCAAACAGGAATCCAGTACCACTTGCCAATGGAAACCTCTTCCTCTCTCCAGGTCAATGGAAACCTCTTCCTCTCTCCAGGTGATACTCATCCTTTAGCCCTCGGCTTCCTCCGACCCCACAACCTACAGTGGAGTTTCTTCATGGACCCTACAGCCTCCTGCCCCCAAATGTCACCCCCTTGCAAGCAGTGTGACTGCCTGTCACTTCACCATCCTGTCCTCTGATTCGTGAGTAGCTCATTAAGTGCGGGGCTGGGCCTGTTCAGGGTGCCTGGCACACACAAGACCCTTGAAAGGGTGTGTGTTCCTTGAAAGCATGAGAAGCACTGGGCGAGGGGTGAATGAGCAGACTTTAGAAACACAGGTCAGGAGCCCGCACCCTGCATTCCTGGTCCCCCGGCAGCCGAGCATGTGTATGGCCAGTGCAGTGAATCTGTGGATGCAGAAATGATAGCATCACAGAATGAGGCTCTGGTCCATCCTCAAAGCAGCTCCACCAGGGCTTGCGGGTGAGGAGCTCCAGGTGGAAAATGAGAGGCGAGCTGTGTTTTTACTAAAGAGCAGGAGCCCCCAAGGATCCTCTGCACTGTGAAGAGGTCAGGTTCCAATCAGTGCTGTGTTTAGGAATCTCGGGAGCATGTTGGCAGGGTCAGAGCCCTGGGCTTCTCAGCAGGGAAAACACTGAACTCTCAGAACATCTGCTCCAAGGAAACTCGAAAGGCAGACACTGCAATCCCCAGCAAGAAACCACTGTTCTCGCTGTGCTGATGGGGGATGAGGCTGGAGCCCCCAGGCCTCCCCTCGGACAGGCAGCCTTACTGGTGGGAGCAGGGGCCGCCAGGCTCCCAGGCCTTTCCCCCACCTGTTGCACTGACTCTCTGTGCTCATCAGTTCAGTTTTAACCAAAAGGCCTGGAGGCTTCCCAAACCCTACCCTAGGAAATAATAATCATTACTATTATATTAATAGCAACCACCAGTATTCCTTGAGCTCTTATTGATGCCATTGTTCTAAGTGCTTTGAACAAATGACCTCAGCAGTAGGTTGAATGCTGCCCCCTCCCCGAGCCAAGAAAAGGTCTGTTCACATCCCAGCACCTGTGAATGTGACCTTATGTGGGAGAGGGTCTCTGCAGATGAAGTTAAGGGTCTGGCGATGTCATCATCGTGGATGACCTGGGTGGCCCCTACATCCAGTGACAAATGTCCTTTACAAGATCAGAGAGGAGAAGACATCAACACACAGAGGACGCGGTAATGTGAAGGCAGAGGCAGAGATGGGAGGGGGTGACTACAGCCAAGGATCTCCAGGAGCCACCAGAAGCTAGGAAAGGTGAGGAAAATCCCTCCCCCAGAGCCTCAGGAGTGAGTGTGGCCCCACCGACACGTTGACTTTGGACTTCTGGCCCCCAGAACTGTGGGAGAGTGAGTTTCTGTTGCACTAAGCCACGAAATTTTTTGTAATTTGTTACAGCAGACACAGGAAACAGTTACAATCTAACATAGCTATTTCCACAGGCATCACTAAGAAACAGCATCGGCTAAACACCTTGCAGTCATGCCATTTATTTCCAAACACCTAAATGCTGCTTTTTCAAAAGTTGATCACTTGTCAAACTTACATATCTTAAAGTATGAGAACTAAGTATTTTAAAAGAATGAGAATTTCAAATTGTGTTTACAGTGAAGTAAGTGTAAGGTTCTTTATAAAGCGGGGGCCCTCAATCGCAGGGCCACGGACGGGTACTGGGCTGCACAGCAGGAGGTGAGTGGCAGGAGAGCGGGCCATGCTTCATCTGTGTTTACAGCCACTCCCCATGGCTCACATTCCCAACTGAGCTCCACCTTCTGCCAGAACAACAGCAGCACTAGATTCTCATAGGAGCATGAACTAGAGTGCGAACTATACGTGCAAGGGATCTAGGTTGCACACTCCCTATGAGAATCTAATGCCTGACAATCTGTTACCATCTCCAATCGCCCCCAGCTAAGACCGTCTAGTTAAAGGACAACAAGCTCAGGGCTCCCACTGATTCTACATTATGGTGAGCTGTGTAGATTTCTTGATATATTACAATATAATAATAGAAATAAAGTGTACAATAAATGTAATGTGCTTGAATCATCCCAAACCATCCCCCTGCCCTGGTCCATGGAAAAAAAAAATTGTCTTCCAAGAAACCAGTCCCTGGTGCCAAAAAGGTCGGGGACCGCTGTTATAAAGTACAAACATTTTATAGAGAACAAGTAAGAGCAGCCAAAGTGGCCTGAGTTTTGCCGTGTGCGCTGGTTGAAGGAGCATGTCTGTGCAGTTTTGCCTTTGGCTTCCTGATAGCAGGTGTCCCAGAGCACCTTTTTACTCCATGCAAGCTCAACAGACCTTCTAAAAGCTGGGATGCAGAACCAGACCGCACGCCTGCCTCCACTGCTTTCCAGCCATGTGATATGTGACAAGCTACTTGGCATCTCAGCCTCCTTTTTTTTTTTTTTTTTTTTTTTTTTGAGCCGGAGTCTCGCTCTGTGGCCCAGGCTGGAGTGCAGTGGCGCGATCTCGGCACACTGCAAGCTCCGCCTCCCGGGTTCACGCCATTCTCCTGCCTCAGCCTCCCGAGGAGCTGGGACTACAGGCGCCCTCCACCACGCCCAGCTAATTTCTTGTATTTTTTTAGTAGAGATGGGGTTTCACCGTGTTAGCCAGGATGGTCTCCATCTCCTGACCTCATGATCCGCCTGCCTCGGCCTCCCAAGGTACTGGGATTACAGGCGTGAGCCACCGCTCCTGTCCGCATCTCAGCCTCTTATTCCTCACCGGGGTGATGGTGCCACTACGGAATTGACTGCTCACTGCCGGTCATGGGAGTCATGTCCTTGGAGCAGCGCCAGGCACAGAGGGACCACCAGGCACCTCCCCCTCTTTGCCTGTGCTCACTGTTGTGTTGTTCTAATTCTGCCTCCCTCCGTCCCTCAGAAGTGACACAGGAGCCATGTCATAGACACTCCCCACATTTTGAAGTCAGCCCACAGAGAGTCGTTTTACAAGAATCTGATTTCCAACCCCAATATCTGAGGACAGGATGAAAGCTCATTACCTTGGGGTGGCAAAATGATTAACTTTCATCATTTTATCCTCGTTAGCTTCTGGTTTTACACATCATAATTAAATAACTAATTATGGCATCCATATGAGTGTGACAAATAGGGTTAAGAAATTGACAGCGTTATGCCCTTGAAAGGGTGGCCTGGGCTTCTGTGTCCCACCCCAAACAGGAAAACTTTGAGCCCAAATTCTCCCCTGGTGAAATGCTGGTCACTGGAGAGAAAAGGGGACAGCTGCTGTCTTCCTGGGGACTGTGCTGTGGACCCTCCCGCAGATGCCCATCCCCCCATTTCTCATCTGGCTCATGGAATGACATCCCCATTCCCAGCAACTTTCATCTCACCTGTGCAAAAGGAACATAAAAAAGGCCTGGGTGCAGCGGGCTTTGATCTAAGGTGTGCTCAGGACACTGAAGGGGTGGCTTGCTAGACAGAAGCCAGTGAAAGGTAGGGCTCTTCAGAGTTCAAAGAAATAGCTGACATCAAAAAATGCCTTTTGCCACATACAGCGCATGCACCATTTACAACAAATATTGCTCCGTTTGGCACGAAGCCTCCCCTCAAACTTCCCATTTTAAATAACGCGAGTTCAGGTCCCAGTGTTACCTTTTCTTCTTAACCACTGATGAAGGTGGCCCATGCATGTCAAAGGGGGGAATCCTGCCTTACTAGCTGATTTCCAAGTAGAGAAAGGTGGTGAACCAGTAGGACCATTTCTGGTGGGTCTTGTTTCCACCCAAGAGAGCACCTGGTCCAAAGTCTTTACTCCAGCTTGCAAGGTAACTGCTGGGGCCAGCCTGTGGACTCCATCATGAGAAGGAGCTCATGCCCCAGATCTTCCATCAGTCAACACTCACACCTCCCTCACAGACCCCATCAATTCTCCCCTCCCCTGCCTCAGTAGCCTTCCTACCAGCTTTCTTGCCCTGTGAGGTTCCCGTCTACACCTAGCAGGCAAAGGGAGCTTTTCAAGCTGCAGCCTCATCATTTCATTCCTCTGCCTGAAATTCTTCAGTGACTTCTTATTACTCTCAGAATAAAGGCCCAACCCCCCGCCATGTCTGACAAGCTCCTGCATGGCTGCCCTGGGGCCAGCTTCTCTATTCCTGACTCAGAACATGCTCATTCTCTGAACATCAGCCACTCTTCCTTATGTCCTTCACCACAAAGCTCCTCCCTGCCTCAGGACCTTTGCACATGCTTCCTGGAACACTCTCCTATTACACTCCACCCTCTATATCTCCTGCCTCTTCCCAGGTTTTTTTGTTTTGTTTTGTTTTGTTTTTGAGGCAGAGTCTCATTCCTGTCACCCAGGCTGGAGTGCAGTGGCACGATTACAGCTCACTGCAGCCTTGACCTCCTGGGCTCAAGTGATCCTCCCACCTCAGCCACCTGAGTAGTTGGACTACAGGCATGCATCACCACACCCAGCTGGTTTTACATAATTTTAGTAGAGAAAGCATTTCACCATGTTTCCCAGGCTGGTCTGAAACTCCCGGGCTCAAGCTATCCACCCGCCCCAGCCTCCCAAAGTGCTAGGATTACAGGTGTGAGCCACCCCACCTGACCACTTCACCCACTTTATTCTCATTCGTTACCTATCAGATTAAATGCCACTTCCTTAGGGGAGTGTCTTCTCACCATCCCCATTCAAACCACGCCAGGCCTGCCTGTTTACACGATGAGCGCACCACGTCCTTCCCTTTACAGCACACACAGAGTGGCAACCTGACACGCACTAGTTTGATTGTTTCCTTCCTTTCTGCCCTCCCTACTGCTCTGCATCTGAATTTTCTGCTGCTCACCATTATATCCTAGAGACCAAGACCTGGTGTGTAGGAGGTACCCAACAGCGCTCTGTGACCCAATGAATGCACAAGGATCTCCGTGTAAGTTCATGCTATTATTGGCTGCTGACAATGCTGGCACAAACTTAGCTTGCAATAAGAGAACCCTAGCGACAGAGTTAATACAGTTGATCATTGTAAACTTAATTCAGGTGTTTTAAAACCAGGTCGTGGTGTGGCATGAGGTTCTAAATACTAAATTTTGCAGAGTGATATCAATCAGCTGGAGGTAGATTTAAAATAAAATGTTGGAGAGACTCAAAGCCAGGCTGTGGGAAAGATGCATGAAGGATGCTTGAAGGATGTGGCAATGATGGAAGGAAACTGCTGCAGGGAAGTGAGTGCCATCTTTGGCCACCTAAAGGTCTGTCCCCCAGGATAGGTCAGGCATGTGCTGAGCAAGTAGGAAGCCTGGACTGTGGGCAGAAGTTTGGGAAATCAGATTTCAGACCAACACAAGGAGGAACAAGCACTCCCAGAGGCTGAAACTTTGACACTGTGTGATTGAGAGCATCTTACCCCTGCTGGGCCTCATTTTTTACATCTGTGAAATGGGTGGAAGTGTTTTCCATCCCACAGGTTATTGCAAAGATAAAATTAGAATAGATATGCAAAGTCATGCTTTGCAAAGCACCTTGCACAAGAGGGCTCAAACCCATGCTCTTTACCTTTGTGTTAAGAGAGGCCACCTTGGCTTCTTCTGAGCATCAGGCCTGGCCCTTATTCCTTGTCTGGGATCAAAGAGGCAGCAGCAATTACCAGCAGTGGGCTTTGGGATGAACAGGTAGAGAAGCCAAACACTCACCAACCACCACACCTCTGATCACTTTCTTTTTCCTTGTTGTGTTTTGGTCTGTATTTTTCATCATTATTGGATAGAGCTCAGTCAATATGTGTGCTTTTCAGAATGCTTATCTTAAAATAGCCAGAAGGAGAAGGCATTTGTGTCTACCTCACAATCTTAGGCCTTCCCATAGATTGTGGGGTCTCTGTCCAAGTCATTGTACCCTCGTCCCCACTTTTCCCTCTGCAAATAGCTTCCATGTGACAATGTGACAATGTGCATGCTTGTGATCCTATGTTCAATGAAATGTTCGTAGCATGCCCTTTGCCCCTAGCTGTGGGTAAGACTTTATGTCCACGACCACCTGTTGTTCCCAATGCTAATATTCAAGGTCACACTCGCTTCTGTATTTTTGGTTAATGCATACATTCAAACAGCAGAAAGTCCTCTCATCTCTGCAGTAATGGGTAAGTCTGTTGGTTGCAAAGATACATCTTTTTGCAAAACCAAGCCTGTGGTTCTTTTAACAGCATTAGTGAATGGAAATATGTTCAGTGTTCATTAGGATGTCAGATGCAGAACACTCAGTATCAAACAAATAAAATATTTATCTGTCATTTTGGAGTACAAAAAATTAAGATTTTATTTTCAGGAGAAGCAAATGGCATTAACACTCCTGACTACAGCAAAAAACGGTAACAGTATGTGACGTTTATTGAGCACTAGCTTGGTGCCAGTCATTTTGCACACAACACCTCAGTGCCTCATACACAGAGGGGGAGCTGCCCAAGTTGCCTGGCTTGTAGATGGGGGCCTCAGTCCACCAGCCAGGCCCAGGCTGCCCTACAGCTGCCCCCTACTCTGCCTCCCACACAAGCTGGTTGTTTTCAAATACAGCCAGCTGTAATCAAGCCAGAACACCTTAAATAAATCATTAGTCATGGGCATTCAGTTAAATTTTTGTTGATGATTTTCTCCTGCTCCATGCATTTTTTAGTACTTAGCCCTGAGACAAATGTGTCTCTTTTGTTGTTGAGGAATTAAATATGATTATGAATGTATGATTCTGATTCTGCTCAGGGACGTTCGGTGAAAGCCCACTTGTACATGTCCTCTTTCTAGGGGTTGAGCAAACAGGCCAAACCCTCATGGCTCGCTCATGAGACTCACAGCCAGGGTCAAGAAACTCAGACAAGGCTTAGCATAGAGCACACAGAAACCCCTTCAAGGGAACAGGCTGGGTGTCAGGGCACACATATCTGTGCCTGGGTCATGACAGGCTGCCCCTCTTGGGGCAGCATGTGAAAGAGCCCCCTGGGGTTACAGGGTAGACTCACCCCAGATGGCCTCCTGGAGCTCCAGAAATGTATGCCATCCTGGTTGGGCTCAGAGGACACAGTCCTTTCTACAAAGAGCAAACGCAACAGCTGGGGTTGTAAGACGTAACATGAAGAGATGTATTAGTCTGTTCTCATGCTGCTAATAAAGACATGCCTGAGACTGGGTAATTTATAAAGGAAAGAGGTTTAATTGACTCACAGTTCAGCAAGGCTGCGGAGGCCTCAGGAAACTCACAATCATGCTGAAAGGCAAAGAGGAAGTAAGACATCTTCACAAGGCGGCAGGAAGAAGAAGTGCAAGCAGGGGAAATGCCAGATGTTTATAAAACCATCGGATCTCATGAGACTCACTCATCATGAGAACAGCCTGGGGAAAACCACTTCCATGATTCAATTACCTCCACCTGGTCCTGCCCTTCACATGTGGGGATTATGGTGATTACAATTCAAGGTGAGATTTGGGTAGGGGCACAGAGCCAAACCATATCAGGGGATGAATGAAAAAAAAAAAGCAAAGAAATAAAGATCTATTAATAATTAATTGCTTACAGTGTGATAAGCCTAACCTTGCATCTCCACATCTAATTATCTCAGTTTGCTTTGAAGACAGCCCTATTAGAAAGCTATTATTAGTGTGTCCATTTTACAGTTAAGGAAACTGAGGCTTAAAGAAGCTAAGTAACTTTTGCAACATCTTGCATCCAGCTTTCAAGCGCCAGGTCTTCTGACTCCAGATGCTATGCACACAGGGCACCATGTGAACAACAGCGTGAACCCAGACAGGAGAGGGCTCATCACGGGGCCCAGTCTCTGCGTGGAGTCACATAAAGAAACAGGCTCACACAATCACACCTCTGAATGCTCAAACAAAATTTAGATTATTTCCATTTTTTGTTGGAGTCTCTCAAAGAACATCAAAGAGAATGCAATTCATAACCCATAGTAAGGCTTTTATTTCTAAATCCCTATTCCACTCACTCTTGGTCTGTCCCACACCCTGTAGCTGCCCTCAAATTCTTTCTATCCATCCCCCTCTCCCAACATTTTCCTCTCAAACTTCCAATCCCACACGATTCTCCCAAACCTAGTGCCTTGCGTCATTAGTTGTCTCCCCTTTCTGATCCTCTCTCTGTCTCTCTTTGTTTTCCAGTGACCAAATATTCCATAATCACTTTTCACTCAATTACTCAGACCCACCTGTCTCCCTCCACTTCTCCTGTCTTTCTACCCATTGTCCTCATCCCCAACCCAAGCTGGGGCCTGAAACTGGCAGAGGATAGCCCAGCCCATTTCAAGCCTAGGGGGAGGGGACCTAGTCAGTTCTTCGAAATGGATTTCTTGTGAAGGGGCTGATAAAGTTGAATATTTGTCCCCACCCAAATCTCATATTGAACTGTAATCCCCAGTGCTGGAGGTGGGGCCTGCTGGGAGTGTTTGGGTCATGGGCATAGATCCCGCATGGCCTGGTGCTGCCTTTGCGATAGTGAGTGAGTTCTCATGACATCTGGTTGTTTAAAATGTGTGGCACCTCCCCACCACCCTCCCTCTTGCTCCTGCTTTCGCCATATGTGCCTGCTCCCCCTTCACCTTCTGCCGTGATTGTAAGCTTCCTGAGGTCTCACTAGAAGCCAAGCAAATGCCAGCACCATGCTTCCTGTACAGCCTGCAGAACCATGAGCCTATTAAACCTATTTTCTTTATAAATTGTCCAGTCTCAGATCTTTCTTTATAGCAATGACAGAATGGCTTAATACAGAAAATTGGTACTGAGGAGTGAGGTATTGTTATAAAGATAACTGAAATTTTGGAGGCAGCTTTGAAACTGGGTAATAAGCATATGCTGCAAGAACTTGGAGAACTCAGAAAAAGACAGAAAGATGAAAGAAAGTCTGGAACTTCTTAGAGATTGGTTAAATGGTTATCACCAAAATGCTGATAGTGATATGGACAGTGAAGTCCAGGCTGAGGAGGTCTCAGATGGAAATGAGGAATTTATTGCGAATTTGAGCAAAGGTCACACATGTTACGCCTTAGCAAAGAACTTGCCTGCATTGGGTTCATTCCCTAGGAACCTGTTGACTTTTGAGCTTGAGAGTGAGACCTAAGGTATCTGGTGGAAGAAATTTCTGAGCAGCAAAGCATTCAAGAATTGGCCTGGCTGCTTCTAACAGCCTACGCTCAGGTGTGGGAGCAAAGAAATAACTTAAAGTTGGAATTTATATTTAAATACGAAGCAGAGCATAAAAGTTTGGAAAATTTGCATCCTGGCCATGAAGCCAAGAAAGAAAAAGCTTTTTTCAGGAAAGAAATTTAATTGGTTATAGAGCAACCACTCGATAGAGAAATTTACTCTTAACTAAAAGGGAGCAAAGTGTTAATAGCCAACATAACGGGGAAAAGTCCTCAAAGATATTTCAGAAAACTTCCAGGCAGCACCCCCGCCACGAGAGGCCCAGAGGCCTAAGAAAAAAGAATGATTTCACAGGCCAGCCAGTGCCCCCGCTACCCTGCACAGCCTCAGGACAGTGCTCCCTGCATTCCAGCTGCTGTGGCTCCAGTCATGGCATCAGTCATGATTCAAAGGGCCCCAGATACAGCTTGGGCTGCTACTCGGGAGAGCGCAAGCTGTAAGCTTTGGTGGCTTTCACGTGGTGTTAAGCCTGTGGGCACACAGAGTGCAAGAGTGAAGGCTTGACAGCCCCTGCCTAGATTTCAGAGGATGTATGAGAAAACCTGGGTGCCCAGGCAGAAGCCTGCTTCAGGGGCAGAGCCCTCACAGTAACCTCTACTAGGGCAGTGTGGTGGGAAAATGTGGGGTTGGAGCCCCCACACAGAGTCCCCACTGGGGTACTGCCTAGTGTAACTATGGGAAGGGGGCCACCACCCTCCAGACCCCAGAATGGTAGATCCACCAGCCACTTGCAGCATGCACCTGGAAAAATCATAAGCACTCAACCTGTGAGAGCAGTAGTCAGGGCTGATCCATGAAAAGACCACAGAAGTGGAGCTGCCCAAGACTATGGGAACCTATCCCCTGCACCAGTGTGCTCTGAATGCAGAATATGGAGTCAAAAAAGAGAGATTATTTTGGAGCTCTAAGATTTAATAACTGCCCTGCTGGGTTTCAGACTTGTGTGGCGCCTGTAGCACCTTCCTTTTGGTTGATTTCTTCCTTTTATAATGGCAATGTTTACTCAATGTCTGTACCCACATGGTATCCTGGAAATAAATTACTTGGTTTTGATTTTACCAGCTCATAGGTGGAAGGGCCTTGCCTTGTCTCATAAGATTTTGGGCTTTGGACTTTTCAGTTAATACTGGAACAAGTTAACACTTTGGGAGACTACTGGGAAGGCATGACTGTATTTGCCATGTGAGAAGGACATGAGATTTGGGAGGGGCCAGGGGAGAAATGATGTCATTTGGATATTTATCCCTGCTGAACTCTCATGTTGAATTGGAATACCCAATACTGGAGGTGGGGCCTGGTGGGAGGTGTTTGGATCATGGAGACAAATCCCTTGTGGCTTAGTGCTATATTCATGATAGTGACTGAGTTCTTGCGAGACCTCATCATGTAGAAGTGTGTGGCACCTCCCCGTCAACTCTCTCTCTCTCTCTCTCTCTCTCTCTCTCACTCCTGCATTCATGATGTGAAGTGCTTACTCCCCCTTCACCTTCCGAGATGATCATCAGCTTCCTTAGGCCTCCCTAGAAGCCAAGCAAATGCCAGCACCATGCTTCCTGTAAAGCCTGCAGAACCATGAGCTGATTAAACTTTTTTTCTTTATAATTACCCAGTCTCCAGTATTTCTTTACAACAATGTAAGAACAGCCTAATAACAGGGGGTGGGTGACAGAAGGCGGGTGACAGACATGGAGAATGTTTTCCTCCTGACCCATCCTGAGGACAACCCTGTCGACAGGAGGTTGAAGGGCAAGTGGTGACCAGCTGCAAAGCTCCATCCATCCAGAGGCAATCCCTGGAGGCTTCCTGGAGGAGGAGATCTTCAAATTATTTGTAAAGGGTAGGCAGCATTTAGGTAAGAATAATAAAAAATAAAAAGAAGGACACAGAAAGGTGGGGAACCATGGAGTTAGCTGCCAAACCACCACTCCGTCTGTAATTAGCCTGAGTCAGTTGAGTGAAATATTCAAACCTTAATGACCTTTTTAAATCTTTGATCTGGGTCTGAAGAGAACTTGAGGATAAGACAATACTCACATTTCCATCAGAGGGTGTTGTTCTTATCAGAAGTACCTATTACCCAACATGAAATAAGAAGCTAAAATTGGATGGGAAAATGAGTTTCTACTTCATAAATACATAGGACAAGCAGTTACATTTTTTTTGAATTGACTTATCTCAGAAAATTGTTTCTCCTTTTATGTTAAAAAAAGCTATATTCTGCTTCTAATTTAATTATTGCAAGTTTTTATTAGAACTAGTGACAGAATTCATAACTAGAATTTGAGACACCTTTTTATCCTTCAAGGGACATAGAGTGCAGGGCCACATTTGTCACCAGAATGAGCCTTTTGTTACACTTACAGGCATTATGGTAATTGGAAGGTGATGGCTTATTGGATGGAAAACATGGGTAGGTACTGCTGGCCGATTCTGTTATCTCTGCCGAAATACCCTCTTCCAGAAACCTGAGAGCACAGTGCTGCTGCAAAGACCCCGAAAGGTGGCCCCAGTGGGGACAGGTCAGTGGCCGCCTAATCCCCAGAACAGGAGCAGCCGCGATGGGCACTGCACCTAGAGAGATACCAGGCCCCCAGTTGCTGGGCCATGCTGAGGTTTAGTCACTGGACAAAAGATCTAAATGTGAAATCCCAGGCCAGAAGCAGGACCCGACTGGGGGCCACAGAAGCAGAGAGTGGGGTCAGAGGGAGAACTTCTGGAATGGACTTCAGTAAGAAGTTCCAAACACCAGTGCTGCAAATATCCTGGGGCCAGGAATCCCGTGGTTGGCCTAAGGGGCCAGAGACAGGGAGACAGGCAAGCTACAACCACAGCCAGTCCCACAACCCAGAAACAGTGACTCATTCACTCTTTCCTTTATTCTTCTCTCTCCTCCTTCCTCCCTCCTTCCACCTCCACTTCTTCACTCTCTGTCTCTCAGCTTTCTTCCTCCTTCTCTCCCTCTGTCCATACCTCCTCCTCCTCCTTAACCTCCTCCTCCTTTCCTCTCCCTCCCTCTAATCCTCCTCCCGTTAACAGTGGAGGGTCTTGACTACGAGTTTTCCAAGTCATTGGCATTTTGAACAAAGTATTGGACAAAATGCACAAACAAAGCAATAAAAGAATGAAGCAACAAAACCACAGATTTATTGAAATGAAAGTACATTCCACAAAGTGGGAGCAGTCTCGACCAAGTGGCTCAAGATCACAGGTTACAAAATTTTCTGGGGTTTAAATACCTTCTAGAGGTGTCCCATTGGTTACTTGGTTTACATTCTATGTAAATGAAGGAGTGGCCTGTGACCAGTCTGATTGGTTTCAGAAGGTGACCAATCGGAGGCTGAAGTGAACTTAGAAAGTTATACCCTACGCAAACATCTGACTGGTTGTGGGAGGGGACCAATCAGAGGCTGAAGTAAAGTTACAAAGTTACACCCCTATGCAAATGAAAACTAGGCTCGTGTCCACTCTGATTGGTTGTGAGAGGGAAGCCATCAGAGGTACTTTCCATTTCTCATCTGCCATGCAGAAAGGGGGTGGGGATTGCAAAGGGAGTAGCTTCTATTCTTTTGTTATGTGGAAAGTTGGGTTTTTCCTTTTGATTTAGTTCTAGGAAGTCAATGTGAATTGGCCTTAGGTTCCCTGCCCCCAGTACCTATTTTCCTGCCTCATTTCTCCCCCATGAGAGATGTGATCCCCATAAAGTCTTCACGGCAGGCAGAGAGACTGACGGTCTTTCTTCTGTAACTGCTTCATCCTGAATTGGGTGCAGTCCCTACCTATTGGGGATCACAGAAATCCTGCCCTGCTCTGTCTAGTGGAGAGAGGCTAGCTTCTTGATGTCCAGGGGTGGTGTCTTTACCTGGAAGCCTTGCTGCATCATTATCTGCAGCTTGATGGTCTCCAGGCAAGAGGAAATGAATTTGGTTAAGAGATTTAACAAACAACATCCGAAAACCAAGGGAAGTATCATCATTAATGAAGGGCCAGCTAGAGGAAGGAGTCATGAACCCCAAACTTAGCATTTTTGATCAGGAGTGCCATGACTTGGACAGCTGTTGTCATATATCAGAGGCCCAGTCAGCTAATTTTTCTGGGTAGCATTCCTTACAAATCCTGATTGGTTGACATAAAAGCAGCATTCTTCTTCTAGGAAAAAGACATAAGCCACCTTTTTTAGCATTAGGGAGATCCAGTCCCCTCCTATTTTATAAAGTGACTGCTGCCAAGAAGTCTATCTGATTTTGTAAGGTGACGATACTTTAGGCAATGCCATCCAAGCTTTTCATAAAATCCTTGGACAAGCATTGATAATAGGATAGGGAAGTTGCAAGCCCGCTAACCTCTGTTCCTATTCCAGCTGTTACGCCTAGCCCTACCAAAAGGGTATGAGTTGACTGGTTAATCTGTGCCTGGCAGTTGCAGTCAAAGGTAAAATGAGGAATTGGTTATTGGGAGCTATATTAATTGCCAGGGCTAAATAAACAAGTGTACAGGTTCCAGTCCAGTTGGCTGGTAAACATAAGTAGGAACCAGTTCCACGCAGGAAAAAAAGCTCCTTGTTGTTCAAGACAAAAATTGTTTTCTATGATGAACATGTGGGTTAGCTTGCCATTTTTGTTTTTCCAAGTAGTTAAGGTCCCTGCTAAGATGGCCCCAGTTAAAGGCTGGAAAGGACCTTGGGAAGTATCCCGAGTTGCCCCAGCAGTTCTGTTTTCCGAATGGAGTTAGTTACACTTAGTGTCCTCCAACAATCACCCAAAGCTATTTTCATACCGGCAAATCAAAAGGCAACCAGATATCTGAGGATCAGTACAGTCTTCCCAATGGAAAATGTGAACACAGCTAGTGGGCCTACCTTGACAGTACTTAGACTGTATATCCTTTAAAGTGTCCTTAACTCAGAATGATTTCCATGAAAACCATACAGGTTTTCTAAATAATGCTGATTGGGTAACTGCATAGCTTACATGATTATGTGAGGGATTAATTTCCAGGGTGCAGTTGTGTCGATGACTTTTCAAGGTTTCCAGGGCCTGACAAAAATTGTGGCTTCTCTTAATATAAAGTGGCACCTGGAATTTTAGTTCTGTGTACATTGATATTGGCCACCAAATGGGTTTCTAATGGGACGTAACCCCAGAAAGTTTGTTCTGATGGGACTGGAGGAGGTTTACTACTCATACTGTCATTCTAACCCTTGTCATTTACATAATTTTGAAGTCATATAAGTCATCCAGGCTCATTAATTTGAAGGGAGTTCCACCCTTATAGTTAGGAATGATAGGTTATTTTCTCAAAGGCCCAAGATTGGGCTGGGATTGAGATGGCAAAGTATTGGGATGATGATGGAGATAAACAAAGCCAACAGTCCTCTGCCAGAGTGGGGCTGGTGGTATTTAACATTCTTTCCATTAAATGTAAAGTTCTTAATAAATACCCAGAATCCATTAACTGATGGAGAGCTAAAGAGAAGCTGTTGTAAAATAAAGTTGATTCCCATATGCCTGGTCCCAGTATACACAGGCTATGGGTGACTATTATGGAACACAAAAAATACATATTTGTTATTTTGTTCTATAGAATGGGAACTTTGGGGTAGGGGTGGTGATGGATACCTATCCTGTCAGGAATGATTGTTACAAAAATGGATTACAACATTTTACTTTGCTTAATTATTAGAAAGGAAGTGATTCTATCTGTTTGGAGGAAAGAAATTAATTGTAAAAATATAACAATGGCTACTATTATCCAGCCTACAGCAACTATGCAACAAAGACACCAAGGAAATTTGGGAAGTATTTACTTATCTTTTGGCTGTCTTTTAAACAGGTACTTCAGGTCTTCCACAGGTTCATAGGTGTACTGGCTGATGACAGCTTCAGATTCCAAGTCCAGGGCTTCAGGTGTCTCAGGCTTGACCCTGGAAAGATGTATCCAACCATCTAATCCTATTACTTTGACCACAGAAGGCATGACCAGTCCCACTGAAAATGGTCCCTTCCATTTGGTTTGCAATTTTTGAGCAGGTGATCCCTCCTTCCATGTTTCAACAAGTACATTATCTCCTGGCCTGATTTTGGGTTGCTGGTTAGTTCCTGGTGTCGGCAGTCTTTGAGTTCCAAACTTTTGTATAGCCTGCTGAAATTGTCCTAGGCTAACTAAGTATTTTATTAGCCTGGCCATTTCTGGATCAGTAATAAATCATTAGTTTAATATGGCCTTCCATATAACATTTCATGTAGGTTCATATTAATTTTTGCTCTAGGGGAACTATGGATCCTTAAGAGGGCTATGGGCAGATAAGCTGACCCAAGTTTGTGATGTTTCCTGACATAGCTTAGCTAAAACCTGTTTTAGAGTTTGATTAGCTCTTTCCACTTTTCTGGAGGATTGAGGTCTCCATGATGAATGTAAATGGTATTTGATTCCGAGAGCCTTAGCAACCCCTTGAGCTTTCTAGGAGACAAAAGACAGGCTGTTATCACTTTGGCAGCTTTAGGGTACCCCATACTGAGGGATTATTTCCTTTAAGAGAATCTTTATAACTTCATTAGCCTTCTCTGTTCCGGTAAGGTAAGTTTCAACCCAGCCAATAAATAATAAAGGTGTCTACTAGTACTAGCAAAAACTTGTATCCTTTGCAAGCTAGCATATGGGTGAAGTATAATTACCAGTTTTCCTTTTTAACTTTAGCCAATATGTTCACACACAGAATCTCTTTTATAATTAATTTTTAATAAACCTTACACAACTTGTTCAAGCCTCTAGATTTTTCCTATCTCACTTAAAACAATCCTTTAACAAAACTTAGGCAAAAATCCACATTCTCATGACTTTTATCAAATGTATATTCTACTTTTCCTACACAAGTCCTCTTCATGACTTACACAGACCATCTATGACATGCTTGGACTCTCTGACTTGTCCTAAACATCCCTTGTTTTAAACAACCAGGCATTTTACTTTAGGACAAGCATTTACCATACAAGATCCTTTCTCATACAAAGTTATTGTCTCTACAACCTTTCCTACCAAAAACACATCTTCATACACATAATGTTCTTCACATCTCTCTCCCCTATTTACTGGTTCCTTCCTACCTTTTTTAATAAATAACCCCTTTTTAAAGTCCATAATTTGCAGCCAAAAGACACATGAAAAAATGCTCATCATCACTGGCCATCGGAGAAATGCAAATCAAAACCACAATGAGATACCATCTCACACCAGTTAGAATGGCAATCATTAAAAAGTCAGGAAACAACAGGTGCTGGAGAGGATGTGGAGAAATAGGAACACTTTTACACTGTTGGTGGGACTGTAAACTAGTTCAACCATTGTGGAAGTCAGTGTGGCGATTCCTCAGGGATCTAGAACTAGAAATACCATTTGACCCAGCCATCCCATTACTGGGTATATACCCAGAGGACTATAAATCATGCTGCTATAAAGACACATGCACATGTATGTTTATTGCGGCACTATTCACAATAGCAAAGACTTGGAACCAACCCAAATGTCCAACAATGATTGATAGACTGGATTAAGAAAATGTGGCACATATACACCATGGAATACTATGCAGCCATAAAAAATGATGAGTTCATGTCCTTTGTAGGGACATGGATGAAATTGGAAATCATCATTCTCAGTAAACTATCGCAAGGACTAAAAGCCAAACACCGCATGTTCTCATTCATAGATGGGAATTGAACAATGAGAACACATGGACACGGGAAGGGGAACATCACACTCTGGGGACTGTTGTGGGGTGGGGGGAGGGGGGAGAGATAGCATTAAGAGATGTACCTAATGCTAAATGACGAGTTAATGGGTGCAGCACACCAGCATGGCACATGTATACATATGTAACTAACCGGCGCATTGTGCACATGTACCCTAAAACTTAAAGTATAATAATAATTTTAAAAAAAATAAATAAATAAATAAAATAAAATAAAGTCCATAATTTGAATTAACTTTCAGATAACTTCTAAATTACACAAAATTATTTTTTCTCTCACTAATAACACATCTTTTGGCACATTTTGAATATAGAATTATGTGCTAACTAGAATTCTAATCCTTGGTAACCTTAAATTTTAGTGAAACCCTAAAAAGCAAAAATCCTGAACTATCAAATATAAGCATTTTATAAATGAGAACGATTCCACACTTTTAGAAATATATTTCCCCTTATGTAGACCAGCACTGTTTCTCTAATGTTCAGCTCAGGAATCAGGCATCACAGATTCTCAAAAAGCATTTACTCAGAAAGTAAGGGCATGTCTGTACCCACCTACCCACCTGCTCACTGAAAAAAATTTAAAACACCTTTTTTGACATCAGATTTATCTCTATTCTGGAATCCAGGCTTCCACAAACTTCTTGTCCTGCCTGGGGTTTTCTCTCCCCTGGAAATCTTTTATGAGGTCAGGAAAGGCACAGGGAGGTTCTGAAGTTGGGAGCGCCAGTTCGACATGTGACTAACATTGTCCCATGAAGCATTTTGGGGGCTTACAAGGCCTGCAGATTCTTAGACAGTGAATCTGTGACTTGTGGTCTATTTCACAGGGTCATCAACTAAATCAAACAGAAATGAAGTGTAAATTGCTGGGCAATAATGCCTTCCGGGGGAAGTGCTTCTTACACAGTGCCTGGCACAGGGTTGGTCTCAATGTGTGTTTCCAGACCTCCCTCATTTCCTCTGAACATCCAGATAAACCAGAAAGCATGCCTTCAGTTTCCTCCCAACTAAAGGTGAAATGTAGCCCCGTGGTGCTGAGGGTTCTGACGGCTGGTCTTCCCTCTGCCTGCCATGTCACCTTGACTCTTCGGGGGCCTGTGATTTAGCAGCATGTGCTCAGCTCAGCACAGATTAAGTTTCAAGGCGTATACAGTCTTTTGTGATGTGAGAGCCAGATGGGGTTTTTACTGACGTGTGCCACTGTTGAGCATAATTAGACTGAGGCAAAAAACCATGGAGTCACCCAAGAAGCAAGTCAGCAGGGCTGGAAGGATGGGGAAAGGGCCTTGTAGATGTTTCCAGCAGGAGGGTGGGGCCCTCCAATCTTAGGTGGCTTCTGGGGCCTCTGTCGTTCACCTCATTCTTATTCAACCACAAGAATTATGCCTTCCCAAGTCATGGGGGGACAGTCTGAGAAGGTGAAAGATCCATGCAGCCATGCGGCAGCTCCTGCTTGGGGGGCTCTGGAATCTGCTCTGCGTGGAAGGAAAGTCTCAGGCTCACAGCTGCCTGGCAGGTGTCCTACCTGGCTGACTGTCCCTCAGGGCATCCCAGGTCCTCCAGCCACTGCTAGGCACTTCCAAAGATGAGCAGCTCCTGACTCCTTCTTCTGCAGGTTTAATAGTTAGAAAACCCCTCCTGATGTGGATGTCCTTGGAGAAGTTGTCCTAGGACATGAAAAACATCCACACTTGCTAGCATATCCACTCACCCATGTAGCTAGCCACTAGTCCTCTGGCTGCCCTGCCCTCAGGGCTCTCCCATTCCTGCCCAAGCTCCAGCATCAAAGGTCTCCTCACAGTGCTTGAAAATGCCACTATCGAGGCTGGGCACAGCAGCTCACACCTGTAATCCCAGCACTTTAGGAGGCCAAAGTAGGTGGATCACCTGAGGTCAGGAGTTCGAGACCAGCCTGGCCAACATGGTGAAACCCCATCTCTACTAAAAATACAAAAATTAGCTAGGCATGGTGGCAGGCACTTGTAATCCCAGCTACTCAGGAGGCTGAGACAGGAGAATTGCTTGAACCTGGGAGGCGGAGGTTGCAGTGAGCCAAGATTGTGCCACTGCACTACAGCTTGAGCAACAAAGAGTGAAACTCTGTCTCAAAAAAAAAAAAAAGCCACTATCTCCATCTCCACTATAAAAAGTATTAATTTTAAATAGCAAAAAACATATGGACTATCAATAGTGCAAACATCCAATAATCATCACCCATCATCACCCATAATTAACAAACGTTAAGAGCTTGTCATTTGACTTTCTTATCCTGACCCCAGAAGCAGCCACTATTGTGAAATTGGTGGGTATCCTTCTGTTCCCATATTAAAACTTTGTATGTAAATATAAATGAATACATTGATTTATATATAAAATGTATATGTGTTTACCTATGCACTTTACATGTATGTAAATATATGTTGAGTGTTAGAATATGAATTATATGTATATATGTTAATATATACAATACAAAGCAGTATATGGAATTCTTCTATCCTCTTTCAAAATTGGCGTAAATGGTATCTCAATTTTGTGAAACTTATTTCTTTCTTTTAGTCTGTGTTCCTGAGACTCATTCAGGATGAAATATTGCAGAGGACTTAGTCAAACTCAGGGTTAGGAGCTCAGCTCTCCAGATGGCCAAGCCAGCCAAGATTTCTGACACACGTCCAGGGGTCTGCAGGGTCACTCTCATTTCTGGTCATCTGGCTACAAAATTGGAGGTTTCCACAACCCCCTCAGGATGGATAATTCACAAGAGTGACTCACGGAACTCAGGAAAATGCTATATTTATAATTACAGTTTTATTACAGTAAAATGACACAAATTAGAACCAGACAAAAAGAGGGACAGCTAGGGCAGGTCTAGGAGGGGTCCCACGGGGAAGCTTCTGGTCCCATTAATCAATCCCCACAAAGGCCTGGCTGGTGTTACCTCCTCCCAGGTAGGATGCATGAGGACACTCCAGCATGTTGCCAGCCAGAGCCATCAGTGTCTGTGTGGCTGGCCCTTGGTCTCCTGTCTCTCCTGCAAGGTCAGGCTGGTATCTTTGTTCTCCAATTCCTCCAGAGGTTGGGACTGATGTGGCATGTCCCGAAGGCCTCATCATGAATCACATGTTTAGACTGCAAACATTGGACACTCCTAGAGGGAAGAACATTCCAGGAACCCAGAGATCACTCCCAGTAGCCAAGGACATAGGCCAGATCTCCCTTTGGGTAAAGTTACTTCTTCACTCTCCACATATAAATCCAGTTCCTCCATTTTCCCTGCTGTGTGGCATTCTGTTGCCCATGCTTTTTCTTAATGCTGGATCTTCATGCATGGATGTCCTCCCTGGATGCTTCCTCAGGTCTCAGCATGATGGCTGCTTCCTTGTGAGGCCCCTCCTCACGCCAGGGCCAGTGTTTCTCAAAGTACAGCCCTCAGTCACCCTCCATCACAGCTATAGTGGAGTGCATGATCAAAATTCAGATTCCTGATTCCATCCCAGCTGCTGGAATATGACAAGCTGAAATTTGTATTTTTAATAAACTACACAGGCAATTCTGCTATACATTAGACATTGAGAACAAGTGTATTAACACACACTCCAAGATTTGTTGATTAAATCTGAATTTTGTGTATTATCTGGCAATACACAAGCAGCAGGTGTTTATCAATGATGAGTTCCTTCAACCTCCACTAATAATTTCCAATCATTGATCCTGATTTCATGTTTAAAAAGCAAAACAAACACACCCATACTTGCGCTCAAATATAAAGTGATTCCCTGTTTCCTCGATTTGAAATTCTCTCAAAGAGACTATGATCACCCTCCATGGAGAAAGCTCCTGGGACAAGACGAAGAAGTCTATCAACCCAGCAATCCCATTACTGAGTATGTACCCAAAGGAATATAAATTGTTCTATTGCAAGGACACATGCACACACTTATGTTCCTTTTAGCACTATTCACAATAGCAAAGACACAGAATCAACCTCAATGCCCATCAGTGATA
Organism: Homo sapiens; assembly: GCF_000001405.40. Lineage (NCBI taxonomy): Eukaryota > Metazoa > Chordata > Mammalia > Primates > Hominidae > Homo > Homo sapiens. Next base: position 60,278,647 of record NC_000020.11, on the reverse strand, counting down.
GACTGGATTAAGAAAATGTGGCACATATACACCACAGAATACTACACAGCCATAAAAAAGAACGAGATCATGTCCTTTGCAGGAATACGGAAGGAGCTAGATGCCATTATCCTTAGCAAACAAATGCAGAAACAGAAAACCAAATATCGCATGTTCTCACTTATAAGTGGGAGCTAAATAATGAGAACACACGGACACATAGAAGGGAACAACACACACTGGGGCCTGTTGGAGGGTAGAGGGTGGGAGGAGGGAGAGGATCAGGAAAAATAACTAATGGGTATTAGGCTTAATGCCTGGGTAATGAAATAATCTGTACAACAAAACCCCAAGACACAATTTTACCTATATAACAAACCTGTACGTGTACCCATAAACTTAAAATAAAGGTTTAAAAAAATATTAATAATGCCTATTAATAACACTGAAGTTGTTTGGACATATAGCATATTTGAGTGATATAGAAAATATGGACTTGGAAACATCGCTTTGTCCATCTCATTCCTGATGAGACAGTTTTACTCAGGCTCTTCTCTTGCGTCTTTGACGTCAGTGCCATCGCTGGGGTCACTTAGTGAATGATCAATGTGGTTTTCCAGAGTACACCATCTTATCTTACTTCTCAGGTTTTTGCAATTGGTACTTTTTGACTCCACGTATGAATGGAAACTGATTCCTCATCCAAGTCCTCATTCATAGAACACAAGGAGAGTTTGTTTTTCGTTTGTTTTTATTGCGGGTGCACATCAGTTATCTCCAGAGGACTGCTGGCCATGTCACTTTTTAAAGTGGTTCTTCAAAGCCGTGTGCAATAACCCTCAAAGTTTCAAAATGTAAAGTCCTGCCCCCAGGGAATATTCACCAAATCTGTGCTAATTTTTATTACTTTAAGAAAAAATTTCAATCCCAATTTTGACATGTGCCCTCTATAAGCACCCAACGCTGGAACTGAAAGAGATTGTCTCAGCCAAATGTGTCTTCCAGAGTCAAAAGATTGTTCTTTAAAATAAAAAGAGAGCCATATGAAAAGAGAAACATTTAAAAACACAAACCTAAAGGTATTCTCCTTTTCTGAGGGATGATTTTTAGAAAAATGCTTCTTCTATTCAGGTTTATATGATAAATATAATTTCATAATTGACATCTGGTATTCAAGCAGCACAGTGGGGGAAATGCCATAAAAATTTGAATTTGAATTCAAATTTTTAACTCTACTCTTGAGAAAACAGACAAAAGAGGATAGCTCCAATAAATTAATTAGGTCCCACAAAGCCATGACAGTAAGTTAGACCATTTTTATAACCTTAAAATACTATATTGGCTGGATGTGGTAGCTCACCCCTGTAATCCCAACACTTTGGGAGGCTGAAGCGCGCAGATCACTTGAGATGAGAAGCTCAAGATGAACTGGCCAACATAGTGAAACCCAATCTCTACTAAAAATACAAACAAAAAAAAATAGCAGGGCATGGTGGCAGACACCTGTAATCCCAGTTACTCAGGAGACTGAGGTGGGAGAATTGCCTGAACCTGGGAGGCAGAGGTTGCAGTGGGCCGAGATCACGCCACTGCTTTCCAGCCTGGATGACAGAACCAGACTCCATCTCCAATAAATAAATAAGCATATATTACACAGACATAGCAAGAGAAATATTGTATTTTTCCCCTACTAGAATCCCTCCAAAGGACTTACCTACTCATGGTAGATAAGTCACGGTCATGTTGTGGAGCAAGACAAGAAACCTCCCTTTGTCTTGGGGGGACTCCGGGTGTATGCATTGCGGAGACATGAGGGATCATGGAAAGATGAACAACCGGCGGCCTCTTGCACCACCCATGGCCACACCAATGACCAGGAGCCACGTTGGGGCATTGACACCCCATTTTTTACAGATCTCCCAGCACATCTCTCATTGAGAACGATAATGGCAAAAGGTAAAAGAAAAATCTGGGGAAGAGTTGAATTCTTCAGTATATAGAGTGCCTGCCTAATGATTATGTCTACACAGTGATCTACAGGAACACACTCAAATCAGAAGCATATTGACACACTGCAGTTCAGGAGATATCCCTATAGAGAGTTTTCCCTCTACTTAAAAATACAAGGCATCATTGGGCTGTAGGTCCCATTAGGCAAGGAGAGGGCGCCATCTTGAAATGGCCCTTCCATCAGCACCGACAAGTGTAAGTTCTGTGCCTCGTATGCTTAGAAAGAGCCTGGGTCTGTCTATTTCCTTTGTTGCTCAAAGATCACTCTTATCTGGTTATCATTTTACCATCCACTGGGGAGTCCCACCACAGCAAGCTTCTTGAAGTCTGCTCTAGTTAGATGTGAACTGACCTCTTCTGTGCCCATCACAGGGTAGGGAGGAGGGAGCTGGCTGCAGAAACAGACCCTGGCATCTTCTTTGAGAAGCACTGCTTTTTAATTACTTCACATAATGTTTTGATATAACCCAGTTCTGTCCAGGAAGTTATCAGGTAGGTGGGACTCAATATGCTGTGCAAACTGAAGACGCTGCTGCAGACCTTCATGAATGAATGGGATAGAAAGTACTCAGACATTCCAGATCTTAAATCTCTGCCTCCACACACATTAAAATCTCTCATCAAATGATTACCCATTAAGGAAATGCACACAGAAAAAAATGCATATAGAACCTCTCTCCAAAGTGTCTAAAAGTGCTGTTTCTGAACCGAGAAAATGAAGAGTATTTGGGAAACATATGTGTTTAAAGGACCAAAATCTAAAGCAAACATTTAATCAATTAATACCTCCATTAAAAAGTAATACGTGCTTAAATACCTAGCAAGGAAATGTGCAAGACTGTTAATCCTTTCCGCTTACGGTTCTTATCATTCGGTATCACTGCAATCTTGCTTCCCTCGCATTCCCCAGGAGGAAGATCCAGCAGGAGTGAGAAGAAAGGTGAAACCCACAGGCAGGCATTCTAGATGAACTCTCTCTGGCTGAAACTTTGTTTTTAACTGTTACCTCCCACTCCCCAGTCAACCAACTACAGTTGCCTTTATTTGCATTTTAATAGTTACCCTAATTCCAAACTTAAAATTATAGACTTTTCCCAGCTGCTTTTTAAATGCTACATTATAATTTTGAGGAAGCATCATACATAATTACATTTAATAGACACAGAATTGATTGAAACACTTAGCTGGAACAAAAAGCCCAGACCTAATTTTGTAAACATGTTATTGTACAGTAACCCCCAATGAGTCTGTTCTTAAATCTCCTAATTAATTTTTAATTAAAAAGCTCAAAGATGCTATTACACTTGTTGTTGTAAATGGCAGCCTCATGCAAGTAGAAACGACAGAGCAGTGCAAACAAATATCTCCCATTAAAATCTTCGTTAAGGAGAACTGCTGTGTTCAGGATTTCTGAGATAGAAAAGGGGCAGAAACCACCATTTAAGGGAACCATTAGATGGAAGCTTCTTCCCCCCTAACTTGTAGAGATATGTGTACATCAAGTGTGATGAGTCTGTATAGGACAAGCTGTCCCAAACCTTATTTAAACATATCCTTCTTCTCCCCTTTTCAATATCCAGCTAAATATAGCTGGTGCATTCAGTGGCAAATTATATTTAATACTGTTACAAGCCAAAGACGCTTCTGCTTCTTGTGATGATGACTCTCGCTCTCCTGTTCAAATGCCATCTCGATGTTAAATTACAGTGCCCCTCCTCACAGCCCCTACACAGGCAGACACTCTCAGCCTCTCCATTTTAATATCTCCATCTATCAGCCCAATCTTGCAAGAGTTTTGTTGTAATGCAGTAATTGAAACTCTGTTTCTCTGGGGATATAGGTGATGTCACAAATGGAGAATTATTAATAGCACCAAACACTGCAAGTGTCTTTTTTCAATGCAGTATCTTAATAACAGGAGGAAAAGTGTTTCAGCAAAGACCAGATCATTCTCCTTGCCTGTAACTCAAACATGATCAGCACATCATCAGACCAGGTGTCCTTCCTCTGCCTGGCTGCTCGGGGAATGAGCCCCGTGGAGGACGGTAATTTAGAAGTTATGGCGCCCTGCTTACTAGCCACACTTTGTAATTAAAAGGAAAAATGTCCGTTGCTGTCCTTGTCATCATTGTTCCTAAAAAGGCAAGATTTGTATGATGCATGGGCATCATTCTGTGAGTTTGGACATATCTCTCCTTTTCAAATATTCCAAAGACAGATCCCAGTGCTATCCAAAACTTCTAGGCCAGGGGCCAGGGTTCCTTACAAAAATGAATTGTTCATCTTTATGCCATCTTTATCTTTATGCCATTTCATCTTTATTCCATCTTCCCCTAGAGACCAGGGCTTTTCAACCTCAGTACTATGGATACCTGGCTGTGGGAGGCTATCTTCTGCACTATAGGGGGTTTAGCAGCATTCCTGGCTCCCACCCACCGGATGACAGCAGCACCACCCCTCCCAGTTGTGACAGCCAAACAGGTCTCCAGACACTGCCAGGTATCCCATGGGAAGAGGATAAAATTGCTCGCAGTTGGGAACCACTACTATAGATTGAACAAAGAAGGATGCCCTTAGGGGAACCATCCACATCCACATGAATAAGAGGCTGGATATTGACGTGGGAAGCAGCACTGCTGACAGGAAGACTCGCCATAAGGGTCTCAGATTGAGTCAGGCAACTAAGAAGATGGGCTGGTGTGTGTGGGTGTGTGTGTGTGCACGTGCGCACGTCTACTTGAGAGAAGCCTGTGTCTGTGTGTGTATGTGTGCGTGCACGTCTACTTGAGAGAAGCCTGTGTGTGTGTCTGTGTGTGTGTGTATGCACACAAGTACTCAGGCATGTGTTTGTGTAAGAGGAGACGGCTGCTGAGCCAATAGGGAAGTTTACAGCTCAACAAGAAGAGTTAATTCGTGCTCAGACTTTCAGAAACACCTTTGTCTTCTCTTTTGAAAGAAAGCTGCTGAAAGCCAGGAAGGAGCAGTGAGTCCACCTTAGGACTTGCCAACCATGCCACTTATTAACACGCCCCATGGAGGAGCACAGGCACATGCCTGAAGCCCAGCCAGCAGTGGGAGCAGGCCAGGAACCAGGCACAGGATGAGGGGAGACCCCCCAGAGCCATCTGGCCCGAGCTGCCCAGGCAGAGAAGGCTAAGAGGTTGTGAAGGAGGTCTCCTGAACAGGGTGGGCTTTGCTTTCTCAGATGTGTCCCTGTCTATCAAATGGACACACTCCGAGAAGGACATCCTCTGTGATAGTTAACCAAATCACATTGGCAACATGCTCTCTTGTTTAAAGAAACTCAATGGCAATTCTTTTGAGAAGAGGGAGAAGCATTCCTCTGTTATGTGAACCCTCTTTCTTAATTTCTATTTTTTCTAGTTTTGATGTTGGGGGCTTCTCTAGCAAGGACCATTGTCTACAGGATGTGGTGCCCCCCAAATGACTGGAAAAAAAACAGGAATAAATGATGCCCCAGGAGAGAAATTCTAGGCATTAGACAGAGCTAGAAGGCCTGAGTCTGAATTCTGACTCAGACCTCAGCCACATCACTCAGCCTTTCTCAAGGTAACAAAATCTGTTCTCTTTATCTCAAAGGGTGTGTAAGGATCATATATGCAAAAGGACTGAGTAAACTGTAGATTGCTACTGCAGATAATGTTATTTTTCTTTTTATTTTTTGTTTGTAGCAAGAAAACATTTCTTAGTGGCTGGCAGCAGTTAGATGCCGGTATAGATAACGTACCGAGCTTCAGTAGCAGTCTAACAGGTTCCGGCTGCCTCTTCCAAAAAGCGGGGACTTATCCTCATGGCTTCAAGGTCACCTGCAGTCCTTAGCTGTCCCGATAGACTTCTCTCTCCAAAAGTCCCTATTTTTAGCTGTTTTCACAGGGGCACCCAGAGGCAAATATTATACAGAAACTGCCACATGTAGACTGTGATAACCCACACCTGCTGGACGGGAAGTTAACCTTTGTATAAAGAAGAGGGTTGGCTGAGTCAATTTATGACAAGAACAATTTGGAAAAGGTAATGCTGGAACTACTCAAGTCCTTTCTCAAGCATCCTCCAGCATTTCAGAAGCACCTACCAATTAATATGTTAATTACAAACCATTCTCACCTGTTCAGGAAAGGGCCCCTGAGGTCTTCTTCCAGGGGAGACTTTCAGCTTTATGAAAGCCACTATATTGGAAGCAATAAAAAATATTTTCCTTCCCTCCATCCTATCCTTCAAACTTGTTCCCATTTCTAAACAATGTCCAACCTCAGTCAAAATTCCTGAGTAGCGACTATATTGCATTTCTTCTGCAAAAAGTAAAAGAAACAGCAAATATGGAAATTATTATCTTGATTTATACCCCCTTCCAAAGTTCACCTCTCATTTGTCTGGGATAATTTTCCTAAATCACTTACATTTTGTCTTATTCCTCAGCCAGAGTAGATTTTTATACTGGAATTTCAGCATCCACCTCCACTCCAATTCTCCCTTGTTCTGGTGTTCTCTGTCTCTTCGGAATGCCTTGAAGGTATTTGAGCCCAAATTATGTAGGTCACTGCAATCCTGTGTTCCTGGGATTTGAGTTGTAGCTTTGAAATTGTAATAAATGTGTCAGCAATTCTTAAGGTACTAACCTTTGTGAAGTTCATACCAAGCAGGACTGAGAATCAGGTAAGTTTTAACCATGATCAGCCTAAATCTCTGATGTCTAAACTTACATGCAGTACTGCACCCCAGCCAGCATCTTGCTTCTTGAGAAAAGTGTTTTTTAAAAAGGTAATGGTGTTCCAGGCTTCTCCCTTCCAACAGAGAGAAACCGATTCTGCATGTCATTACTAGCCAGCCCTCAAGGGGCATTGTGGAACCTGTCTCTAAAAGAAATCAGTGCTGTGTCCCTATCATGGTTGTCATTAAATCCAGCATTCTAGATTCTGTCACGGAAATGATTCTGATAAACCACCAAGTTTATTAGATCACATACAGATCACAGAGCTATTCAGTTGCAAAATATCTGCAAGATTTGTTCACCCTTCCCTCTCTGGACCCTCCATGAGAGAGAGGTTGGGCCAGTTTGGATTAAGAATTGCTGAGCAGTATCTCTCTCTGGAGCAAGGGGTCACTCATGATAAGGACCCTACTTTATGCAAATGATTGTTTCTGGAGATATGGAGGGTAGTGCAAAATGTAGGGACATCGACTAGCAATTATTTATTTATTTATTTACTTATTTTTTTGATACAGAGTTTTGCTCCGTTGCCCAGGCTGGAGTGCAGTGCTGCAGTCCCGGGCCCACTACAGCCTCCACCTCCTGGGTTCAAGCGATTCTCCTGCCTTAGCCTCTCAAGTAGCTGGGATTACAGGCATGCACCACCACATCCAGCTAACTTTTTTTTTGTAGTTTTACTAGAGACAGGGTTTCACCGTGTTGGCAAGGCTGGTCTCAAACTCCTGACCTCGTGATCCACCTGCCTCGGCCTCCCAAAGTGCTGGGATTACAGGCATGAGCCACGGCACCTGGCCCAAGTAGCAATTTTCCATGGACTTGCATTTCTATTGGAGGTACAATGTCTATTCGTTTTAAGTGCCTATCAACAATGATATGTTTCTAATATGTTAGTTCTTTTATACTCCTTTGTCAAGATTTCAATCCAATATGACAGTCCAATGACATATTAAAAAATAAACACTGGCTGGGCACGATGGCTCATGCCTGTAATCCCAGCACTTTGGGAGGCTGAGGCAGGTGGATCACTTGAGGTCAGGAGTTGAAGACCAGCCTGGCCAACATGGTGAAATCCCATCTCTACTAAAAATATAAAAAATTAGCCAGGCAATGGTGGCACATGCCTATAATCCCAGCTACTCAGGAGGCACAGGAGAATCACTCGAACCCGGGAGGTGAAGGTTGCAGTGAGCCAAGATCGAGCCACTGCACTCCAGCCTGGATGACAGAGCGAGAATCCATCTCAAAACAATAAAAATAAAAATAAAGGCTGGCCGTTCTGACTGTGTACCAGGTGTTGTGCTAAGCATCTTATGAGTGTTAAATTATTTGATCTTCACAACAACCTATTTATAGATGAGACTGAGACACAGGGCAGCCTAGTTACTTGCCCAGTCACCTAGTTAGTGAGAAGCAGAGGTGGGAACCTAGCCAGTCTGCTTGCAGCCCCAGTTCTCCTAAGCCCTGTACTAGGCTTCTGAGGAAACCCAAACACTGTCCACTGGTCTTCCTAAAACACTCCCCCAAAGTTCTTCATCTGCTTCACTGGCAAGTGCACAGCCTGGGTGTATGCGTGCCACTTCCCTCCACACACTGAGATCACTGGAAGTAACAAGGAGCCAGGAACCACATCTAGAGTCCAGGATCCCAGAGGGATGGCTACCACCTGCACCAACAGGTAAATCTCCAAGATGCTCCTCACTGACAGAATCTCCTCTCTGAAGGTCCCCGAAATGACCTAGAGAAGGTGTCCTCAGCGTGCCGGCCTCTGACTTTTCTCATCAACAGTCATAAGACTTCAGGGAAATCAGAAGTAGTGACTTCTCAGGAAAAGGTTGAAGACCCTCCAGCAAGGATACTGTGAAGGTGCAAACACTCCCAGCTAATGAACCGAGGAGAGACATATCAGATTTCCCTCTCCAGCTCAGTCTGCAGTGACCTCCAGGAATTTTCATGACTCTGGGGATAATTGATTTGCGAGTGCTTTGATTGGAAGCAGGCCATTTTTGCCTGATGGAGGCAATCCTGTACGGGGGATAAAGAAAATGTTTTCTCATGGTTTCCGCAGAGCAGTCCCCGAATAAATAAGACACAGCAGAGTAATGAAGTAATGACAGCTTTTGTCTTAGTCTCGAAGAACGTCATTATGCAGGAATAATTCATGGCTTGGTACTGTCAGTCCTATTTATGTGATGCTCAGCTGTCAAGCCCTATGAAACCAGATTCCATGTGAGCCCTTATGTGCCACACTCAATTTACTTAGGCTCCTGAAATTCAGAGAGTTTACCAATTGTCACTTATTTAACAAGGGCCTTAACTAGCTTAACTTTTATGTTGCCCATCAGAAAGACAGCTCCTGCCTCCAAGACCAAGGCTTCTAGGGACTCAATACAAAGACTCGGACCCTAAAATGTTGACTCAAGTTACATCAAGATTTGATCACACGCATATGAGGATCAAAGTCTCTTTTCAGGAAAGGCAAAACTTTTCTTCACCTGCAATCCATGGAGATGATACCATGCTCTACATTGCTGAGAAGAAATTAATTACATGAGGAATTGGGAACGAAAGCGCATTTTCATTAGCCTCTTTTGGCTACTGGGGAATTACCAGGTGAGAAGATCTCTCTCAGAGCTGCACTAAGGACATACATTTTGCTCAGCGCCCATTTCAAGGATGAGAGTCTGCATCCCACTAAGTGGCTAAGAGCTAAGGCTTCACAGAGGCACCTTTGGTTTCTCCCAGATGTTTAAGGAGTGGGTGGCCTTTAGGAGTGACTGTGAAGGGCCATTCAGCCCATCTCCAGCCAGTTGCTCCAATGCCTGTGTGCAGTGAAGAGAAAATGACATTTCTTCTTCTAGAGCCTTGGGCCCACTCCCGCCCTTGCACACCCGCCATGCCCTGCACCACACAATGCGTTCCTGGCTGCAGTTGCCGAAATGCTCAATTCAGACTAGCATGGCGGAGAGGAAATACACTGGCTTATATAACTGCAAAGTTCAGGGACTCCAGGGAGGTCCCAGTCTATGTGTTCGAAGAACATCCCTGGCTCCAGCCCTCCCTCCTAGTAGGCTTGATGGTCACCAGGGTACAACTTAGGGGGAATCCTGATTGACCTGGCCATGCGTAAATCTCTGAGCTGATTGGTTCAACCTGGTCATGTGCCTATCCCTGAGCTGATTGGTTAGGTCCAGTCATGTGGGCATCCCTGCACTGATTAGTCCATCCTGGTCACGTGTGCCGTCCTGAGTTGTTTGGTTTGGTCTTGTCATATGTATGTCTCTGAGCTGATTGGCTTTAGTTAGTCATGTGTGCACCCCTGAGCTGCTTGGTTTGAATTGGTCATGTGTGTCCCTGAGTCGACTGATTCAACCTAGTCACATGTACATACCTGAGCTGATTGGTTCAGTCAAGACAGATCATTGCCTATCTCTAGGGGAAGGTCAGGATATTGAACCAAGTGAAATGTACTCCTCACAGCAAGGAGGGGCCCTTTTAGCAGAGAGGAAAGGAATTTGGGGCAGGCAGAAACAGTCACACTCCATGTAATCTGCAGCTAAGAGCCTTGTGAAATACTTGTTTTATCCACATGTTATAGGTGGAAAACACGGACTCAGAGAAGTGATGAAAGTTGCCCAAAGTCACAGAGCTGGTAAATGGTGGGTCCAGGATTCAAACAGGGTCTGTGTGAGCCCAAATTCTAAGACTTTTCTGCAGCCTGCTCCAACATTTCACCCTTTAGCTCTTGATTTTAAACCCTGCTAATGCCACCAACACTCACACTTAGGAACAGAGTAGAAACGCTGTGGCGTTTCAGAAGCATCAATGTTAGAGGCCCATTCACAATCCCACTTGGGCAAGTTTTCTTCTAAACAAAACTTGTCGCAGCCAATAGGAACGGGATGCCTTCTGGAGAATGTGACAGCAGGCTCCAGGGACTGGGCACCTGCTGGGTCACTGGGCTCTGGTCAGACAGGATGCAGGTGGGAGGATCAGTTTGCACCAAGGGTCAGTTAAGAAGCAAGGTGCAAGGTGCAGGGGCTGAGGTTGTCCAGAGGCAGAGAATGAAGACTGACGTTCTTACCAGCGCTGAGGCCCCACAGGCTACTCACAATCCACCTTGTGGATTGAAATGACAGGGGTTCTTTCTCACAGCACATGGAGGAGCTGTGGGTTGGACGTCCACATGGAGTGGGGGCCTGGGCTAATCTTTCACCTTTCATGCCCACAGTCTGTGTCCTTTGCCAGTTTCCATAGACTGTTTTCCCAGCCGTGTCTGATGGCAGCATTGCTGCTCCGTTTGGCCTGTGGTCCAGACTCCTGAACACAACAAATGTTCACCCAGAGCCATGGAGTGATGGGCACACCTGTCTAGTTAAGAATGACTCCCGTCCCTCAGAATACTAGTGTAACCTTCGACAGAGACCTTGGCACTGCAGAATCTGAGAAGAATCCACCAACCTCGTAGGTGTCACCATGCCACATCCATGACAGCCTGCCCTGGTCCCAGCCTCAATCATGGGGGGCCTTCACGAAGAGAGATGATGAGGTCAAGAGCCCAGCCTTTCCCCTGCTCCATCTCACTTTCCACCATCTCTTCCCTCTCCATGGGGCACGAGGAGAGCCTTTGCCATATTCAAGTGCATTCAGTGTATACTTATTGAGCACCTGTGGCATGCCAGGTCCTCAGCTGAGCTCTTTGGATAGTCTGATGAATAAACCAAATAGAAATCGTCCTGTTCCCATGCAGAGCTCACAGGAATCACAAGGGGATGAATCAGTGAGCTCGTCTCAGATGGTGACAACAGTATAGAGAAACCAGAAGCAGGTAACATGATGCAGAATGACTGGGAAAAGGTGCCTTTCTGTCAGGTACTCATGGAATGCCCATGGAAGGAGCTGACAGGTGACCCAAGACAGAGGACCTGACAGAATTTACCAGGGGAAGAGCTGGGGGCTCTGATGGGCTGGGGCTGGGCTCCACCACCTAGAGCCCCGCTTCCCTGTCACCGGGAAGGTAGCAGAGGCATGGCGGGCCCCTTAGCTGCAGCAAATGAAGGGACAGCTGCACAATGGGGAAGTCTTTGGGAATAGGCAGCCTTTTAAGCAGATTCCGAGTGTCAGATAACAGAGGCTGTTTTCCTCTTCCCTGGAGCTCATTTCCACATAGGTGGCAACACCAGACCTCCTGAGGGTCACCAGTATCACTTGGTAAGTTGTCCCTTAAACCCACTCCCCCCACCCCACCGCCACCGGAGTGTATTTCCGCAAGGAGAGAAGCAGCTGTCTCCATCAGGGAAGGACTCAGGGGAGGGAAGGAGGGGTGCTCCATGCACCACACCCCACCCCATCCGGGAACACAGATCTAAGAAGAGGCAAGGCTCGCTGTGATGGTCAGGTGGGGCTGTGTAGACACAGGAGAGAGATGAGTGAAGGCCTCCCCACTGATGCCAGGTGAGGAGACCTCTGCACACACTGAATCTCTCTAAACCGCAGCCCCCCCATACTGCCTGGGACCAACAGAAGTTCTGAAGCATTGGCAACTTCCTTGGAGGAAGCTGAGCAGCTGACAGTTGGCTCAGAAGCATCAAACAACAGGCAGTGGGGGCCAAGCTACCAGGTGCTTTCCCTGGCGAACAGGAAGCGGTGCCCATTGCAAGTGGGTAAAGTGGGGAGCCACTGAGGGTTCTTGAGCAGAGGAGGCAACAAGCAGCAGAGAGGTTATATTGAAGCATATACAGTTTGGATGTTTAAAAGCCAAATAACAACAACAATGATGACAGCTGGGCCTGCACGGTTACAGGATCCAGGAATAATCTCTCTGCTATGTACTCACAAGCACGATTTCATCAACCCCCAGAATCCCTGAGGAGGAGCCCTAGGTATGTGTTTTTCAGATGAGGCAAGGAGTCACATAGAAGTTAAAGAACCTGCTACTGGCAAGTGACAGTCCGGTCTTCAACCCAGCAACGCCTGAAGGGGCAGCCCCATTATCAATGAGGGCATCTAGGCCGCCACACTGCTGACTTCTGGGACTGGAAGATTCTTGGGGAGAGGATGCCGTGCTGTGCACAGATGATGTTCATGCACCCATGGTGAAGTCCAGGGCTCCACCCACTGTATGCAGTAGCAATCTCTCCCACATCGTGACAACCAAAATGTTTCCAGACTTTGACAAACATTCCATAGGGGCCAGGGTAGGGGGCACAATCACCCTGGTGAGAAAACCCTTTACACCAAAGCACCCTGTACTTCGGGAGAGTCCCTGGACCAAGAAAGCAGAGCAGCACCACGCAGAGCCACCACATGGTACTCAGAAGAATTTGCACCAAAGACCAGCTGAACATGACAAAAAAAAGGCAGGAGAATAAAGGCAGAGAAAGGATTTCATAGCAAGAGAGACTAGCCTCAGCAGATATTTATTTAATAGATACATGTGCTTATAAATATCTGTGACCCTGTTGTCATAGACTAAGCTCTCAGGAAGAGAAGTGTTAAGTGTCTAAGTGTATTTTTTATAGCACAAGGCCAACTGCAAGCAGGAGCTCAGTAAACAACCTTGATGACACTGGAGATCCAACGTGGATGGAGGGGGCTGTCAGAAGCCCGCCACGCTCTGAGGCCATCTTCACCCTAACCCGCTGCTGGTCCCCCCCATTCTCCACCTGTAAGCCCCAGCAGATCCCCCAAACCCAGAGAGCTCTTTTCCAAAGCACCCAGTGTCTTCCGGGTTGGCTCACAAGCTCACAGAGAAAGGGAAAATGACACAGACAGACATCTCATCCTGGAGCCGGTCCCCCACCCCAAGCTTAGCCAGGGCTTGGATCCTTCAGGAACAAGGTCAAAGCCCATCCTCCTGGGTCGAAGTCATTCTCCTTGAAAGTTTTCTGCGTGTGTAAAGGCTAAAGCAACTGTTTGTTTTCCAGGTGATTTTCCTACCAACAGGGTCACCATTTCCATCATTTCCTCCGCCTCTGTCTTCTGCAGCAGCTCTGGATACATTTTACCTTTCTTATCAGTACCCAGGGCTATTTACTCCTTCTAACTAAGTGTTATAAACACAGTTTCCTCCAGCTGTATTTACTATATGCACAAACTGTTGCTTGGCCTGGGAGATACTGAACCTGCAAATGCACCATACAAAGCCTGTGGATGTAATGGTTAAAATGTTCTTGTCTCAAATGGAAATGTTTAGCTTAAATAAAAGAAGAAAACTGTCAGAATTTTGACGTGAATGTCTCTTCAGTGGAAAAGATACCTGGACGCTAAGAATTGGTGTCCCCACCACAGGGTGATGGGTTATGAGGGAGCTTTAAGGAGCATGAGTGTCTGAGAAAAATCGTTGGAAAAAAGTGTGACTTTGACCCTTCTCGGTGTATGGCAATAGTTCTGGAATGCTGGAGCTGTCTGCTGTGCCCCACTAAATCAGGGCAAACATGACCAAATGAATATGTTGCAATCATATCCCTATTATTTTTCTGTATCTCCAATTTATTCAGGGAGCAGGAAAGATATTTAACAATTACTTAGCAGCCTTCTTTACAGAACGAGAGAATGAATACAGATAACGCTGGCAAAGATTATTGAGAGCAGAATATTGAATTATCTGTGGATGGGAGCGAGCACATGAATAATTCATTCTCCCCACCTTCCGTATGGGCCCCTCCCGGGCCTGGGAGGCCAGACTGCTGGGCTGAGCTGCGCTGTGGCAGGGTATGTGTGGGGGAGGCATGCTAACATCTTGGCTCTCCCCGTTTTGCAAACAGTGCAAAGCTTCGCGTGGAACTTGCTATGCAAAAGCAACTGCATTTCAACCTTTTTGCTTTTCTGCAGAGCATATTTAATTTCTGCATTGCTGTGGACAGTAATCAGTAATGAAGTCATTAAATGCAAGAGGGGTGGAGAGAGAACTGTCTGCCAACCTCCCCCATTAAATTCAGGTACTTTGGCACATCTCTAATTAAGATCAGGAGGCTTGGGTTCCAATTGACAAAGCTCTTCATTCCCCTGATACTTAGTCAAGAGCGCTCGAGGGCAGAGCTAATACAGCGAGCAGGGTAATGGTTGGATAATTCCAATAAAAATTTCGAGTTATACTAGATTCTAGAGGTTAACTGGTACTACCCAGAGAAGGAGGCCATTTCTGGAGGTGTTGCCAGGTCTCTTCCAGACCTACAGAAAGATGTGATATTCATGAGACCGTGGCTGAGCAGTTTGCCTAGAGTCTATGGGGGCCACCTTTAGAACCCTCAGACTCAGGACCTTCTCTTATTAAACTAATGGTGCCTCCCTCTGAGCACCCGAGATCTGCAGTGTCAAATACTCCCAACTGGATTCACCCTGGGGAGAAATAAGGGGATGTATCATGTCTATGGAAAAGACCAGTGGCCAGGTAATTCCTGGGGAAATTATATTGTTTTATTTTCCACTCATTTAGATATTTAAAGAAAACATTTTGACATTTGCTGGTTATTCCAGCTTTCCCCCAAGGAACCAGGCTTGAATGCATTAATCCTAGATTTATATTTAAGAAACCCACATCTGATGTGTGAGTGTGGGGAGTGGACAGAGGGGTAGGAGAGGGCTTACAATGTTTTGACTACTGTATCTTTAAGGATTCCTTTCTATTTAGATGACTGGAAACAGAGACGAGCCCAGAGAGAAGGAGGTAGACAGAGGAGGGGAATGGGATTCACCTTTAGTGATGTTTGTGAAGTGCAGGAAAGCTCCCCATCCACCAGGGGTCGCTCTCCGAGACAGGCTCATTTTCCATCCAGAGGTGTCCTGCCTCCATGGCCAGCGAGCAGGCTTACCTGCCCACCTGTAACAGGTAGACACCTACCCAGGTGAGGACTTAATGGATTGTGAAGACCAAAAGAGCTGCAGCCACCAAATATTCAGGTTTGTTCTGTCTCCTTGCTCTGTCCATTTCCAAAAGGCCAATCACTAAGTCACCAAAAAGCCTCCAGAGACTTTGTAAATTGTCTTTCCATATGGTTTTCAGTGATGGCCAAGTTGGAAGTCATTTGCCTGCAGTAGATGCCAATCTACAGTGTTAATTTGGGAGCTGGCAGCTCTACCTCTGCCCCACTGGATAATCCAATAACAGAACCCAATAAAACTTCTATTTGAGCTGCAAACTCTAGTTAGGTCAAGTGGCCTTAAAAATCTCTATTAAGCCATATCCCTGGATTCAATGAAGCTCTCATATTCACACTAGTTTCTTTTCTTTTCCTTGTTTTTTTTTTTTTCTTTTTTTTTTGACAGAGTCTCGCTCTGTAGCCCAGGCTGAAGTGCAGTGGCGTGATCTTGGCTCACTGCAACCTCCACCTCCTGGGTCCCGGTTAAGCAATTCTCCTGCCTCAGCCTCCTGAGTAGCTGGGATTACAGGTGCATACCACCATGCCCAGCTAATTTTTGCATTTTTAATAGAGACAGGATCTCACCATGTTGGCCAGGCTGGTCTTGAACTCCTGACCTCGTGATCCACCCACCTCGGCCTCCCAAAGTGCTGGGATTGCCATTAGCCATCTTTTTAATGCACAGTTCTTAAAAGTTATTTCACTAAGGACTTCTTATACCTCTGCATCTTGAAGAGCATGGCCTGATTAAAAAAAAGTTTATAAAAATAACATTATCAGATCTACAAGTCTTATTTATTACTGAAAACAATTCATTAAAATAGTCTGTGATGGTTATAAATAATTGAAGCCATAAAGAAACATTTAGACTAAAAAGTAAGAGCTCTTCTTCCCCACCACACTCCCACCCTAGTCCTGCCCCATGTCCCTGGGGAGGGGGGCGGCTATTAAGAGTTTGTTCTACAAGTTTTTAGAGCAAAGTTGGAAAAGTTATACTTTTGTCACAATGAAAGAAGTAACCTTAATAAGACATTTTAAAATTTAATAAAGTAACCAAGAAAGCAAGTAATAAAGCAAGAGAAAGAAAATCTTGATAAAATTATCCCAAAGAACATGACCACAGCAGGAATTAATCTAAAACTAACAAAGGCAGGCGCAGAAATGACAGTACACAGCCCCTCTCTGGCAAGTGCTAATGAATGTGCACCGTAAGAAACAATAGATAACGGCGTCCTCAAGAAGCATTGGTATGTTAAATAGAGAGTTAGATGAGAATCTTGTCGTGGGGAAATAAAGATTATGGAGATAGAAGAAGAAAATAAAAGAAATGAACAGGAAACAAATAAAATGGACTAGGTGGGTGGCTTTTGACCATCCTAAAAACTTAGTTCTCCGTGTTTTTAGTGACTGCTGGATTTGCAAGGAATTGCTTTTTTTTTTTTTTTTTTTTTTCCGGCATTATTTCCAAGAAGAAGTCTCTTGGGCAATAGCAACCACATCCTTTATCTAATGGCAGAGATGGGTGAAGCTCAGCTCTTCTGCCAGAAGCAACAGTTGCAGGCCGGTACTTTACATGCATTTCCTTCTACCTCCTAACACCTGTTGGTCAACAGAAACAAGTCCCTGAGAAATCCAGGAAGGATCTAAACACACAAGACTTTTTAGATGCCCTCACCTCGTGATGCCCAACAAACTAATATCAGTCAGGAGAAGGAACTTGGAGCCAGGTAGATTTTGGTTCAAACCCCAGCTACACCACTCAATAGCTGTGTAATATTTAACAGTTTACTTAAACTCTATGATACATAAGTTACACACACATTCACACTCACAAAGGTGGGAGGATTCCACCAATAGGATTTCACAAATAGCTATTTAATTCATAGAGAACTAAGGATTAAATAGATATTTGTGAAAAGTGCCTAGAACATAAAAAACAGTCAAGAAGTAGTGGTGAATACAGTCAACAAAAATTGAGATACATGAAAATGAAATTGAAAGAAGAGACCCATAAAAGAAAATCCCAAATGCTTTTCTCTCCTTGCCCTCGGCATTGATGGATCCTGAAGGGACAATCTGGCTTTCCCGCAGCAATATTGCTAAGCACAGTGAGTCCCTTCTCAGCGCTGAGCATTGGTTGAGCTCCTGCTGTGTGCCAGGCCCTGTCATCAGCACTCTACGTGCCTTTCCTCCAATCCTCTGAAGCTGATGCTTTTCATCAACTCCACTGTACCAAAAAGAAAGCCAAGGATAAGAGAGGTTAATTTTCACAAGTCCACACTGCTCATATGTAGTGGGTGAGTTCTTGAACTCAGGTTTTGGAGTGGTAGGGCTCAAATGCTTCACCAGAATCACATCCCGACACCCACATGTCCTTACTCCATCCCAGGAGCCTGCCGGCACTGGAGCTTCCTCCTCCTCTGCAGTGAGGCACCCTTCCTTTAGTGCCCTCGGCCGTGCCTGGCACACACAACCAGGCCGAATAAACCACCAGGCTGCCCTCTGAGACCCACCCAGCTTCCAGTGCACCTTCCCCAACTCCCGTCTCAATCACGTCACCTCTGCAGGAAGACTTCCTTGACTCCATCTGGGGAACAGCTCTCCGCACACTGACTGCTGGTTTCCTTGCTGATTTTCCTCCTCATACAATTACTGTGATTTATTTGTCTGCTTGCTTGGTTTGGTCTATCCTTCGCACAGAACTGTCTCTGAGGAGGGTGGGCACCTGGGGCTCTTGTTCACTGGCACACAGTAAAGATTATGAAGTGGATAGAGGACCATCAGCTGCAGACTGCCTAGGCACCGTCCTGATGTATCTGTCTTCCTTGCTTCCAAGCTCTGGCAAAGAATAAGGACACGGGGTCTTGTGTCCTCACAGCATGTGGGACCAGGTCAGGTATCTGTCCTAACTGCAGGGACCTGTGTCTAGGTCTACACCAATAGCATCAGCCTGCCCCACAGCAAGCTTCAGAGACAGCAGGGGCAGTGGGCATCCTGGACCCTGAAGGAAGCAGCTCAGTGAGGGCTAGTGTTCCTGGGTGCATAGACCTCAAGCCCAAGTCACTGACTTTCCTAGGGATGCTGTGAGCTAACCAAGGCCCTTTAAGGAAATCCCTTTATGTTGAAACTAGCTACTAGCTAGGACAGATTCTACCATTTGCAACTGAAAAGCATGAGCAAGATAGAAAAGCAATGGAAACATTTTAGAAAAGTAAAGAAAATGGGGCAGGTATTCAGAAGGGTGAGAGAGAGACAGAGAGAGAAGACAAAATTTCCACAGACTCTAGCATCCAAAATCTAGCTATGAAGCCAGCTGGGCGCAGTGGCTCACACCTGTAATCCCAGCACTTTGAGAGGCCAAGGCAGGCAGATCACTTGAGGTGAGGAGTTTGAGACCAGCTTGGCCAACATGGTGAAACCTCGTCTCTACTAAAATTACAAAAATTATCCAGGTGTGGTGGAAGGTACCTGCAATCCCAGCTACTTGGGAGGCTGAGACAGGAGAATCACTTGAACCTGGGAGGTGGAGGTTGCAGTGAGCTGAAATTTTGCCACTGCGCTCCAGCCTAGGCAACAGAGCTAGACTCCATCCCAAAAAAAATCTAGCTGTGAAACCTTTCCTATGATCCTAAGTATTTGTTTTCTTTCAGTAAAGGATCACGTCTTTCCTCATTGCTGCCTTACGTTTTTGTAGGAGGCCAAAACCCAGGCTTAACCCTGATTTTTGCCCTCTAAGAAAACCAACAGTTTATACTGCATGAATGGATTTTCTTGGTAATAGGAATTCTTAGCAACAACAACTGAGAGGTTTTATTTCTTCCTTTTGGGTCATATTGCAGCACTTCAGCGTGAAAGCAGGGTGTGTTATCTACACTTAGGATTTCAGGGTCACTGAAAGGGTCCACACTGATTCCCAGGCCACATAATGGATCTGCCACTCTGGCTTAACAGGCTGCCTGGACTTCCAGCATTATGATATAATTTGTTGGAATCAAGTATTGTCATATATAAAGAAAATATTTTTTCAAATATGAAGACCTCCGCAACACACACACACACACACACACACACACACACACACACACACACGGAAATAGCTGAGTAAGTAGCTATCTGCCGTGGGTCTCTCCAGCCACCAAATGGTCTTGACAGAAACAGCCACCTCTTTTAGGGAGATAGAGAGGAGAGGATTCAGAGACCACCTAGCCCTTTCCTAGTTTTGCCTTTTAGACATATGCAAGGGAAATAGTGAGATGGGTAAATAGTCCCTAGGTTAATAAAACCAAAAGACACCAACTCCATCTCACCACGCACAAAGAAGACTTTGTTCCAGAGATGGGACTCTGTCCTGGCAAGCTTCCACAATCAGGATGACCTTGGCAAGAATGCCTGGTCCTCCTGCCCCTCGGATGGCCCTGAGTAGGAGGAAGTTGATTAAAGAGTAATTTTTTAATGGAAATGCATTGTGTGAATTTCTGCCCTCGGGACAGGAGTATTTGATTAGTTACATGAGCAGGTAGAGACCGCTAAAACCTGATTAAAATTCTGCTCAGTGCCACCTTCTCTCCTCCCCACCCTCCTAACCGACACTCAGAGGCAGGTTGACTCTAAATAACACTGCAGCATATTTATCTCCCAAATCAAATCAATAGTTGGGGGCGGAGAGGCAAAATGAGCAGGAACATGGCAATTATGGGTCAGGTGAACCCACACTTGAAGTGGCAAAAATAGATTCATTCCAAGTTTCTTTCTTTCTTTTTTTTTTAATTGCAGAAAATCTTCATTACCTCTTTGTCCAAGATCCTGGTGGTTTTGCAAAGGATTCTGAGTTGGGGAGGGAACATTCTCGGGCATCTCATCTATAACAGGAGAAGGAATATACATGATTAAGCAGCTGAAAGTCCTTACAGTAGCAGCCTTGATTCCACATTTTGGTTGGTCCGTGGGGTCTCACCTTGTTTCAGTGAATTAGCTCTTCATCCACCTTCCCACTTGTCTGGTTCACAGTGTTCAATGAAGACTTGTTCTGCGATGCCCATAAAAGAATTTTGCCCTAGAGCCTTCCACTACAGGCTGACATTGATGGCTGAGTGCTCAGTCAATCTTCTCTCCTGGAAAGTCTGCTGGGTGCAGATGGCACCGTTGGATCCTGCACTACCCCAGTGCATGTGCCCCTGGGTTTGCCATGAAGATGTTGCATGAGCAGGTGCACACAGGCAAAAGCAAGTGGAGGCAGTGCATGTGGTAAGCATCCACATGTCTGCTGAATTGAATTCCTATACATAGTCTTCAACTCAAACACACACACACATGTCCAATAGATACAGCAGGTGCAGTGAGCCTTCAGGGGTCACCTACCACATGACGTGGTCCAGGAATCCCCATGCTGGAGACCACTGGCTGCCTGTTGGATTCTCATAAGAAAGGGGCCTGGGGCAGGAGGAAGGTGTTTTTCATATTTGGAATCCCACCTCTGTCATGTCCGGGCACGGCTCCCACAGGGCCACTCACCCTCTGCTGAACTCAGTCTCCTCCACCCTCACCTTGAGATGCCTTAACCCCTGGCTTGCTGGTGTGACAGGGTGCATTTTTGATGAATAATAGGGAAGCGGTGTCAATGTTTTGATGACTCTGGGGAGGCTGAACAAACCAAGGGGATCGCCGAACAGTTTGGAGGAGGGGAAGATGGGAGGCAATGTTTTGGAGGTCCTGACGAACTTGCATCTCAAAACAAAGAGAGGGTTTTTTATGCACTTGAGCCCCCGTGTATGCTGGACCCCTGCTACGCCTCAGCACGGATGTTCTGAATTTCTGCATCAGTCAAAGGCACAGACTCCAGAGTCAGACAGACCTGGGCTCCATTTCCAGCTCGGCCACTCCCCAGCTGCGTCACGTCAGACAGCTCAGCCTTCCATGTCTCAGCTTCCCCAACTACACAATGAGAATCATAATTCCTGACAGGGTTCTCCTAGGATGAAATGAAGCAAAGCACACGTAGCCTTTATCCTGTTCTGGCCCAAGATTTCTCAGCCTCAGCACTTGGGACTTTCTGTGTCAGACACTACTCTGAGGTGGGGTCATCTTGTGCCCTGCAGGATGCTGAGCGCCATCCCTGGCTTGCACCCACTAGATGCCAGGAGCACAACCCCCAAATGTGCCAATGACAATGCCCCCAGACATTGCTGAATGTACGCTGTGGAGAAGAATCCCCCTTGTTGAGAAGCATTGGTCTAGCCCATCAAGAGTACCCCCTAAGTGTTGGCTGCTTCCCGCTGTCACCAATACCATGACCACTCATGGGGACAGATAAGGAACAGGGACACTCTGCCTCGCACAGCTCAGTCTGGGCAGCCATTGAGGATCACAGACACTGAATTCAAGTAGGGTCATTCTAATGATTTGACTGGCTTTGATACTGAGTGCCTCATCCCTCTGCTTCTGTCCTTGACCCCAGACCCCATCTCTGCTCACCATCAGAAGCTCCTTATAAAAACACGGCTCTGACCATGTCATTACTCTATCTCCAAACCCATTTCTCCTGTCACTCAGATGCAACCCAAAACCCTTCCTGAGCCCCACAGGCTGTGCTCCTCCCACTGTTTCCCACATCCCAGGTCCTCCTCCACTGCTCCCACTCCCTGACCCCTAATTCATCTGAAGGCACCTGTCCCCTGGGCTCAGGTGGCCTTGCAGTTTTCCCGAAGACCTTGACCCACCTAATCTCCAGCCACCCGCTCCAGCCCTGAGCGGCTTCATCATAGCTGGCATCTCACAGCACACCCCGTGGGGCTGTCTGCTCCCTTATTTCCTGTGCATCTCCTGGCTGGAATGTGAGCCCCCCAGGGTGGGGACTTTGCCATTCTACTCACAGCTCTCACCTCAGTACCTAGTGATGTGAGAGCTATGAGCACCTGGTCCATAACAGCTGCTCCGAAGTATCTGCTGAATCCATGAGTGACTGAGAGACCAAAGTTCCCTGGCACTGGGAGAGGAGAATAAGTCACCCAGACACACTCACAGCTTTGGCTTCATTCCACAGCAGGTCCGTGGGCTCATTATGAGTCTGCCAGGAGGCCAGTGAATAAGACATAAGAGGCCATGGCCTCCCAGCGAGGAGAGGACCCTGAGTCGGCCCCCACGGCGCAGCCTTTCCCAGCACAGAGAAAAGAAAATATTGACTTCACAAATTAAAAGGAATAATATTAAAATTTTACAAACCTAATATAGGGTGGCCAGTCCCCTGCTCACCTTTCCTCAACACCGTCAGAGATGATTTTATGTGAACTCGCTGAAGCACAACATTCTCTCCAGGGTCCCTGTGAAGCTCCTCCCTGCAGATTGGGAGGGTTTTTCTGCCAGCTGCAAATGGGCTGTGGAGAGGACACCTGGCTGGTGTGTTTATGAATCCCTGGGAGTGTCCTTGTGTGTTTTCAGTTTCTGTGTCTGCAGCAGCCTTACACTGCCTGCCCTAATTCCAGCTGCTGCCACTGTGCACCACGGGGAGCACCCTCTTTCCTCTGGGGGTTGGGGGTAGATTTCCTTCTCTTGCAAATCCTTCTTCCAGCCAGACCCAGCCCCTCCTGGACCTCAGCTTCAAGGAGATACTGAGAAAGGAAGACCCCAGCAACATCACAGGGTCCTCTCATTTCTTATACTTTGCACCTGATTTGATCACAATGGACAGATGCTTTGCCTGTGTGGCACTGTTCTATTTCCTGTCGTTTTCTAATATAAAGGTGCCTCGGGGCAATGTCTCTGGCTCTGAGGGTGAGTGCTTGGCCCTCTGCCCATCCCTCTCACTGATGAAAGTGACCTAACAGTTCCTGTGCCTGGGCATTTTGGATATTGGCTTCCCCAGGAGGGTCTGTGGGTGAGCCATACCCTTCCTGTAACCTCCTTGGCCCTGCCTGACAGGCTCACTCTAGCAAAAAAATTAAGTTTCTTTCATGACATCATGCCAAAAGGACCGGATAAATTTTCACCCAATTTTGCGAGTATGTTAGCAAGAATCTGGCTTAAAATACAGGCCATGTGACACAGTCATGATTCACTTGGAAGGGCCTTGGGGCTCAGTAAGGGTCAGCTTCAGAGCAAACAGCAAAAGAGGTCACGTGGAATAAGAGGATAAAGACAGAAAAAAACGCAATTGGCTGTTTCAAGCATGAGTCCCAAATCAGAGTTCCTGAGTGGATGCACCCGAATGCTGGCGTCTGCAGTGGGGTTGCCTGGGTGCTCCATGAACCACGCTCGGTGAGGGGGTGGGGTGGGGGTAGGAGTAATGGGGGCAGGGGGCTGTTTACCTTCAGGGAGACAATCCTGTGTGTGCACCTATGGGTGTGCTATTCTGGCCTAAGTTGTAACTAAACCTAAGTTCAAAATATCTTTTTTTTTTTTTTCCGAGACAGAGTCTTGCTCTGTCGCCCAGGCTGGAGTGCAGTGGCGCCATCTCAGCTCACTGCAAGCTCTGCCTCCCAGGTTCACACCATTCTCCTGCCTCAGCCTCCCAAGTAGCTGGGACTACAGGTGCCCACCACCATACCCGGCTAATTTTTTGTATTTTTAGTAGAGACGGGGTTTCACCATGTTAGCCAGGATGGTCTCGATCTCCTGACCTCGTGATCCGCCCACCTTGGCCTCCCAAAGTGCTGGGATTACAGGCGTGAGCCACCATGCCTGGCCTTCAAAATACCTTTTTAAGAAATGTTTTATTTTGAAATTATTTTCAAAGTTATAAAAGAATTTGCAAGAATAGTACAAAGATCTCCAATACACCTTTTACCCAGATTCACTAATTTTTAACATTTTGCCTAGTTTTCCATACGTGTGCACGTGTGTGTGTGCAAGCTTGCGTTTCGGAGTCATTTTTAGGCAGGTGGCACCCACCGTGCCCATTTCTCCATGATGTTCAGTGTCTACACTCTAAGAACAAGACTTATTACATATTTTCAGCACAGTCACTAACTTCAGAAGATATAACATTAATACAAAAATCTAAATGATAGATCGTATTCCAATTTTGTCAATTGTCCCAATAATGTCCTTGATAGGATTTTTTTCCTGCACAGGATCCATCCAAGATCACTTGGTGCATTTAGTTCTCATCTCTTTAGTCTCCTTTTAATATGAAACAATTCCTTAATCTTGAGGCTTGTTACTCTACAGCCTGTCCATCAACTGGACTTTCCCTGTGTTTGCTAATGGGTAGGCTGACCCCCTGGTGGTGGGTAGACACCCTCCACTAGTATCTACCTACTGGCCTGATTGATGAAATGAGGATCCTCAAAGTGGCCCCAGAAATTTCTGAGTGTCCTAATAGGAGTTCTTACCAGGTGCCTGTCCACCAGCTCGAAGCCATGGCCCCATCCATCCACCTAGACTTCCTCTCCCACCTGACTGCACGGCAGCCTGGAACTCCACCTGGAGAGGCCACACTGGGCTGCCCCAGCCCAGCAGGGACTGCAACATCCTGTACCTTCCTGTCAGCATTTTCAGGGAGCTCCAGATGGACGTAAGGAGAAAATGAACCGCCCCCCTCCCCGCCCCCGGCCAGTGCTGGGGCTCCAAACTGCTTACAGTTAGGCTGGAGAGGGGCAGGAGCTGCCCAAGAAGGATTCCATCAGCTTCTTCCCACCTGAGGTACTGACTCAGCCACAGACGGACTTCTGTCCTGACCATCTCTCTCCTGAGCTCTCTCCAGGTAGGAATGACAGTGGCTGCAGACATACATGGGCATCAGTGCACCTGCAGTTTGCAGTAAACACCCTCCCTTTACATACCTAATGCTCACCCTTTAAGATTCTTTCCTACATGGAGATTCTGTTAAGCCCTCTCTCTGTCACTGCCACCACTACAGCCAGGAGGTCGGACCTCAAGTTGCCAGGAGCCCCAAGCATCAGGCTGAAGAAAGAAGCTGGCTGGAGAAGGGTGAGGAGCCTCCTCAAAACACGGAAGGCTGCTACCTGGGGGGCACTTGCAGCTCTGAGTCCAGAATGGGTAATGGGAGCAGCCTTGGCCCAGGATGGGTGGAGGCTGCAGATGAGCCCTTGCTTTCCCACACCTCTCTCAGGACAGTGCAGAGACATTTTCTCCACTTCCCTCATGGTGCCACAAAGGCTGCAAGTGGGGTCAGTTGCCTCATGGAGTATAGCTTGAGGATGCACCTTCAAGGATGCAACCTCCTTCAGTCCCTGTCTCCCTTCCCCACTCTCTAACTGGTGTTTCCTTCAATCACTCAAATCCTTATCTCGAGAGAAATCCCAACTCAGAGACCCCACATCCCCTCAGAAAGGTTCTTGCAGGTTTTCTGTGTTCACATCTTAAGTGGTCTGAGCTTTGGAGACAGGTGGTCTGAAGTAGACTCAGCCTCCCTGTGCAGAGAGGCAGGCAGCCAGCTCTCCTTCCACTGCCTGACCTTGGCCCCTCAGAACAAAGGGCAGATGTCAAGTCAGACGTCAAGTCAGACAGAACGTCCTGGCGGGTCTGAGGTGCCTCCGTACCAGACAGCTCCTCAGAAGCCTTGGACAGGTGGAAGTGGCAGGGGGACGAGTACAGGAATCAAACAGAAGCTGACTCCCTGGATGAGACTCAGACAAGGGGATTGCTAAAGCCCCTCTGCCCCGCAAGAACTCCTGCCTCCCTGCATCTGCTGCAGACACCTTGAAGCTAATAGGAGTGGGTGATGACTGTAACCCCTTATGAGTTATTAGCAATACTGGCAACTGCGAAATAAAAATAACCATTGAAACACTGGAAGACACCTTGAATTGCAATTCAATTGCAATAATCATTGTTATTGTAATAGTGAGTTAGAAAATGATTTTCTGTTAATAAACCAATGAGTAAAGGACGATTCCATACTGCAAGTGTGTGGGCTTGGCCCCGACCAATGATTTGAGAATAAACCCTCATCCCTGGACAGTCAAGGCGTGGGTGGTAGGGTGGGCAGGGGAAGAATGATAAATATTTTTGAATGTACACCCTCCTAGAATAGCAGCAACAAATCAATGGGCAGAGCACCTAGGAGCTGAGAAGTAAAAGACAGGCGGATAAGATCCAGAGACCTTGAATGACATTACTTATGTGACGCTGGAGTGAATAAACACCAGCCTGGGTTGGATACTCGGCACTAGAACTGTTAAGGGGGTGAGTGGAGGCGATGAGAACACTTATAGCCTGTGAGTTTCAGGGGCTACTCTGCCAAGTGCATTCTCGGGGTTCTCTTGTCCCATCCTCCAACCACTCAATCAGTCAGATAGTTCCACTGTTGTCCCCACTTTACAGGTGCCAGCAGGGAGAATCACAGAGGCTGAATAACCAGCCCACGGCCCCACCTGGTAGACGGTGTATACAGGACTCCAACCCCAAGACTCCAAGGTTTTATGTCCATCCTAAAAGACAGGGAAGTCGAGCAAAAATAAAAGAGTTGGGTCAAGGCTGTTTTGTGTGATAGGGAAATGTAATGCAGGAGAAAAACCACACACCCAGCCATATGAAATGGGAAGCAAGCACATTTGAGCACCGACAAGGTTAACCTTTTAATACAGAAATAATTCCATGTTAATGTGCTTGGTTTTCAACTTGCTGTGACACTATAGCCAAGGCATTTGAATCTGTTTGCGATTTTAAATGTCAAAAAATAGATGCATTTGGAAGTGGAATTTTGAAATTATGTGTTTCTGGTTCCCTCCCCTTCACATTCCTTTCCTTTCAAGAAAAATAAGGTGTGGCCCCATACAGCACCTTCTAATGAAATTTTAATGTATTTTGGAGTATTTTCAGGCACTCTACAATTTTATAGAGATGAAAATATAAAAGCTCTCAAAAGACTTCAAAACTGAATTAGTCTGCAACATATATTTAAGCTGTATTTCTTTTTGACCCAGTTTATTTTTAAAAGTCCAAAAAATATCAAAGGAGCTTCTTTCTCTCTCTTTTTTTCTCTTGGTTCTTCTTCATAATTTAACAATTATTGAACAGCTAGTATGTGCTGGGTGCCTTACAAGAATAATGTTATTCAATTAAAAGAGCAACCTGGGAGGTTGGTTGTGCTGTTATTTCTATTTTAAAGGCAAGGAAACTGCACCTCAGGGAGGACGACGGACCCTGCAGGTGAGGCAATGAGCCAGGGTTTGCAACAGGGCTTATGTCTCTTAATTTGATACAGCTGGGGTATTTGGTTCTTCCGTAGTTTTCCATTGTTGCTATAACCCATTGCCACAAATTCAGTGACTGAAACACCACCAATTTCCTATCTCACCCTGCGGCAGTAAGAGGGCTGGCATAGGTCTCACGGGGCCAAAATCAAGGTGTCTTAGGGCTGTGGTTTCTCTCTAGAGGCTCTGGAGAGAACCTGCTTCCTTGCCTGCTCACTGCGTGAGTGGAACACATTTCCTCACTGTTGCAAGACCAAAGTCCTGTCTCCTTGATGTCAGCTGCGGGCCCTGCCCAGTGTCTAAAGGGAGCCTACACTTCTTGGCTTGTAGCCCCCTTCCTCCATCATCCCAGCCAGCAGTGCTGAGTCTCTTCATGCTTTGAATCTCTTCTCCTTCCTCTCCTGTCTCAACCCTCTGAGCACTCTTCCACCTTCCTCCAGTTTTAATGACTCATGGTTACATTGGGCCAGGATGATCCAGGAAAATGTTTTTGCTGTTTGTCTTTCCAGCATGTTTCTCCAGCCCTCTCCTTTTTTCTGGTGACATAGGCTCTCTCTGCCCACAGCATGACTGAGGTGCATCCAAGCTAAGGCCCAGTTATTCAGAGTCTCCTCTTGCACGCGTGTCTGTCGGAGCCGCCAGAGAAGATCACCCCACAGCACAGAGCTGCCTGGCTGGCTGCCCTGTCACATGCCAAGAGCCCACCTGTGCTGGTACAGAGTAAGAGCAATGCATAAAGAGAGCCCAGCAAAGGAGAGGGGGACAGTGGAAAGATGGAGAAGAGAACACGGGGGAGGGAGTGTGGGTGGGGAGAAAAGAGAGAGAGAAGGAAAGAGAGAGCTCAATGAGCATCCTTCAGTCCTTCTTGAACACTGGGCCAATATTTTAATCTATTGATTGATTCATTGTAGGGGTAATTTTATTCAGATTTCAGTGATTTACAGCTGAGAAAATCCAGGGCTTAGCAATATTTTGTTCAATAAGAGAGAGAAATGGTCAGCCTACTCACCACGCACCTTCTTAGACTGTTAACACATTACCCTAAAGCAACACTCTTCAGTGCCTGCCATGCCCACAGCTGGGAGCTCAGCTCTAGGGCTCCACCCAGAAGGCCCTAGAGCAGGGAGCGGAGGTTCCAGAACGTGGTACGCACACCAGCAGCATCAGCATCACTGGGGAACTTGATAGAAAAGTCAATTCTCAGTCTCCTCCCCAGACTTGCTGATTCAGGACCTCTGGGGTGGATCCCCTATCCATGTCTTAAGGAGTCCTTCCGGTGATTCAGTGCCAGCCTGGGAGAAGCATGCCACGGAGGTGAGGAGCACAGGCTTGCAAGCTGAGTCACCCTGGCTCTGAACTGCAGCTCAGCCACATAGCAGCTCTGGGACCTGGAGGAGACGACCTCGGCTCTGTCATCTGTAGCTTGCTATCAACGAAATGGCCATAGTAATTGTACTACCAAGACTCTGACTGCAAATGACAAAACTGAACTCAATCTGAGTTATAGAAAAAAAATGCTAGCTCATGTAAATGGAATTTCATGAGACATATGGAAATGAAGCGAGGCTGACTCTGTGTTCAAATGTTCTTGACATGTCCCCTCGATTGCTTTCTTGGGGATCACCTCATGTCCAGACAGTCTTTCTCCATAAGAAGGAGGGACAAGCACAAAGCCCCTGCTTCCATGAAGTTTACAGTTCTGATCTCACAGCAGGAGACCTTTTCTCCCACCCCACCCACATGATCTATTCTTATGGGGCATTTGGGGTCTCATTCTCATCCTTACACAAATCCCAAGGCCAGGGGATGGCCTGTGCTGATTGAACTTGTCTGAGTGACAGCTCCCTTGATGGGAAGACAAGGGCAGTTAGCCTCGTCCCAAACCCACTGAGTGACTTCCCAAAGAATCAGTGAGTTTATACACGTTAAAGAAAAATGTGAGACATCATAAAATTTTAGCATATGGATCAATTACTACAACTCTACTGCTATCATCACTGCTATTCTTGCTATTATTACTAAACATAACCAGAAATTTATGAAATGTCAAGAGAAAGAAATGTGTTTCAGAGGAGGGATGGAAGGAGAAGAGTCTTTTTATAAAGATGTTTCAATCAATAAAATTCCCTACCTACTCTAAAGAACTGGATAAAATACAGAGGAGACCATTTTTGCAAGGCTGAGTCCATGGCATCAGGAGACTTCCTAACACAGTCAAGACTGTGGTTAAACCTGCACCAAAAGACAGTACAAGGCCCAGATGAATTCTAGGAAATTAGAAAATCAGTAAATAAGGAATCAATATTGATGTGGTTTAGCTCTGTGTCCCCACCCAAATATCACCTTGAATTGTAATAATCCCCTCATGTCAAGGGAGGGACCAGGTGGAGATAATTGAATCATGGGGCTGGTTTCCCTTATGCTGTTATTGTGATGGTGAGTGAGTTCTCATATAATGATTTTATAAGGGGCTTCCCCCTTTGCTCGGCGCTCATTCTGTCTCCTGCTGCCCTGTGAAGAGGTGCATTCCACTGTGATTGTAAGTGTCCTGAGGCCTCCCCAGCCATGCGGAACTGCAAGTCAATTACACCTTTTTCCTTTATGAATTATCCCACCTTGGGCAGTTCTTTATAGCAGTGTGAGAACAGACTAATACAAATATCAAAGACTTTGGGCAATGGAGAAAAAGCTTCCTTCCCTTTCCTTTCCTCCTCCTGGAAGAAGGTGGACGTGCATGTAAGTACTGGAGTGGGGTGTGTGTGTGTGTGTGGGAGGGGGGGGGGCATGCATCTGTGTGTGTTCACAGAAATATTATTTGTTTGATAGCACAGAAACAAGGCCTTCATCCCCAAATGTTAGTATTTAAAATTCCAAGAATTAGGATTCTTGGGGTGCATGCCCTGCTAGACCCCATGAACAGGGTTCTGAGAGGAAAACCATTGAAAACTTCTCAATATACCTTATGTTGGGATTACTTCTCTAGAAAAGCAACACGTAAAGAGAGCCCAGTGACAAAGAGGGTGAGAGGGAGACAGAGAGAGAAGAGAACCTAGTGGAGAGAGTGGAAATGGGGAGAAGAGAGAGTGAGAAAGGAGAAGGAAAGGAAGAGAGAGAGAGAGAGAGAGAGAGAAGGAAAGAGAGAGCTCAGCCAGAGAACATCCTACCATTCTCCCCAAACACTGGACCAATATTTTTATCTATTGCTTGATTCATGTAAGGGGCAATTTCACCATCTCTAGAAAAATGGTCTGAGGCCGGACGTGGCGGCTCAAGCCTGTAATCCCAGCACTTTGGGAGGTCGAGGCACGCAGATCACGAGGTCAGGAGATCGAAACCATCCTGTCTAACACGGTGAAACCTCGTCTCTGTAAAAACACAAAAAATTAGCCGGGAGTGGTGGCGGGTGCCTGTAGTCCCAGCTACTTGGGAGGCTGAGGCAGGAGAATGGCGTGAACCTGGGAGGCGGAACTTGCAATGAACGGAGATCGTGCCACTGCACTCCAGCCTGGGAGACAGAGCGAGACTCCATCTCAAAGAAAAAAAAAAGAAAAAAGAAAAATGGTCTCAGGAAATTAGTGTCAAAATATGTTATTTGGTTGCTCAGTGTCTTCCTTTCCAGAGGGCTCCAAAAGGGGCGTGTTCGGAGAGAGACAGAGCCAATGAGAAGCTGCACCACTTTCTCTAAGGGGTCGCGGGAGCCCAGAAGCCCAGCAGCATCTCTTCCAGAACATTATCAAAGCTGTCACAAAAGCCCACCCAGAGCCTAACAGAGGGGACATGAGACACCGCCCTTTGAGGGAGTGCAAGGTGCTATAAGCCCCTGTGGGACAGACATCTCTCGTGGCCTCTTCTGGAACATGCGGGCTGCCGGGCAGCCCTGCCTTCCTCCCTTAGCCTCACTCCTGCAGAAGCCAGCCATCTCTCCCCATCCCACTTGCCTTGCTTCACCCCAGCTCAAGACATCACCTAATTCCTGGGGCTTTAGAACTCACTCTTTAAGCAGCTGTCCTTGTCACTCCAATTTAACTTAGACCAGCAAATTGGCCCATGTGTGAAAGATGTGTTGAATTACTTCTCACAGGTATCCTCAGACCCATCTTGCTCGTTGGGTGCTTGGGAGGAGAGCCCTTTGGGATTAACAGAGAATGAGGATACACACTTGCAAGCACCCCAAAATGTCCCCCACTGCACCTCACCCCACTGCCAAGGCATTATTTTAAGATAAGCAAGTGAGCAGTGGCTCACACCTGTAATCCCGACACTTTGAGAGGCCAAGGCAGGTGGATCACCTGAGGTCAAGGGTTCAAGACCAGCCTGGCCAACATGGTGAAACCCTGTCTCTACTAAAAATACAAAAATTAGCTGGGCATAGTGGCAGGTGCCTGTGATCCCAGCTACTTGGGAGGCTTAGGCAGGAGAATCACTTGAACCCGGGAGGCAGAGGTTGCAGTGAGCTGAGACTGCACCATTGCACTCCAGCCTGGGCAACAAGAGCGAAACTCTGCCTCAAATAAATAAATACATAAGTGAAAAAAATAACTTACCTGATACCACAGAGTTAAGGGACAGAGTGGTGGGGCTGAGGTTTGAACCCAGGCAATTTGACTCCAGACACAATATCCTAATTCCCACCCAGTGGCAACATCTACCAGTGAAAAGGCCTCTGTATCCAAGCATGTCCACCTTGAACCCATTGTTAAAACACAGATTCCTGGGCCCCACCACACAGGTCCAGGGTGGGGGCCCAGGACGCACATTTTGAATTCTTCTGACAAGCTCCCCAGGGTTACCTTGGGTGCTGCTGGCCCACAGACCTCCCTTTGAAGGGCCCTGCACTCTATCATCACAACAGTGACACAGTCTCTGGGCCCTCACGGCATGACTGTAAAAACCAGAGAAGAGAAAAGGAAAACTCTTATTTCTTCCTCTCTGAATACAGCAGCAAATTCTTGCATGATAATAATGTAAAAACAGAAAATCTTTTGTTAAAACTCTCTTAAATGTGTATGTTTATGTATACATATATTTTGCAATGCATATTTTTATTTTATAAGCAAAATTAGTTTTTCTTTTAATAAAAACCATATACAGTTTAAAAAATAATCAAAGAAGAGAATATTGGTGACAATCCTAAACATAATAGAGCTCTTTGAAAAAGTAAAGGGTGGCTATTTAGATTATTGATTTTGGTGTTATCTTACGGGTCTGATTCAACAAAATTCCCAGCCCCATCTTCTGAATACCTGGGTTACAAGCTGGAGTCCGTGCAATTATGAAATCCCAGGCACGTCTCCATCAGAGCTCTATTTTTGCCATTAATATTCTAATAAGAAAGGCTAAATGGAATCAGTAGGAAGCCATGTGAACTGTCTGCGGAAAAGACTACAAAATTTTTTTATTGTTATTATTTCAGTTTGTAGACATTTCATTGTAATGGGTGAAATCAGAGGCCTGAGCTGAGACTTAATCTGTATTTTGTGGTACAGCGAGGAATATTTTCCCCTCCTAATCTCTACTTAAAGTGTAAGTAAGAGTGCCTCTATCCATCGCTGTGAACAAAAAGCACAAAAGGATTCAGAAAGTAATAACAAAGATAAATAACTTTGCAATAAAATTTCAGCTCCAGTAATTTTCCATTTATATTTTCTCACTGAATCATGTAGTCCTGAGCATTGCACTATTCACGTCTGAGCTGCATCATGCAAAGTAATTTCATATCTAATGCTTCCCAGAGAGTCCCAAATAACGCCCCATGCCCCATGCACCACTGTGCAGCCAGTGAGTCACACGGTTCACCCCAATAATAGGACTTCCCGTGTGATTTCATTGTCTTTCCCAGGCAATCAGTCTCAACATCGCAGAGAGAACAAATTGTCAGGAAGCCCCTCCAGCAAAGGGGGTCCCATGCTATTACTTATGCCACTTATTGTTGGAAGCTGAATGCTGAACGTGGTTTTTCTGGGTGAAACCACTGACGTGGTTTTCAGCCAGCAAGTGTAGGCCTTGGTTAGCAAGGCAATAGTTAAGTGCATTAGGGGACCTCAGGGAATGTTCCAGAGCGAAAAGGGAGGTGAAAGGGTGGGAGGAAGAAAGCAGGAGGAGCAGAGCCATTCTTCAGGCTCCAGATAGGGAGCGCACTCTGCTCTCCTGAAAGAAATCTCCCTCTCCCTATCGCTCTATTTCTCCATCTCTCTCCACCTCTGTCTCTGTCTCTAGGTCTCCATTTCTTTCTCCATATCTGTCTTTCCCTCCTTTACCCTCTCTCTCTCCCCTTGCCTCAGTTCTTTTTCCCCTCGTCTCTCCTCACTCTTCCTCCCCGTCTTCTTTGTCTGTAGAGAGATGTTCTCCATCCAGCCTTCTACCTTTTCTTCTCCTTTCCCATCCATCCATCCATCTCCCTCTCTCCTCACTCTCTTCCTTTTCTCTCCAGGTCCCTTGCCCTTTTAGCCCTCCCATTCCTCTCTCCACTCCCCTCACCTCCACTCTGGACATCTTTCTCTCTGAGCCAACCTAAACCAGATGCAGCAAGGGCTCTGTAGAGGCCACCCTATGTTAGCATCCCCAGATGCCTGTGGGTCCTCCTTGGACCCCGTGTTCATAGAACTAAGTCCATCTGTAGGATGGGGCGTGTCTCCTGGAAGCTCCTAGAAGATCTTGCTGATCTTGCTGTATGTAGGTCACTGAACTGGGTGTTTCTCCATCCTCCATCCAGTGCACCTGCTAAACTCCACATGCTCTCTTCTTTCTGCCCCTTGTCTCTCCCTGGCTCTCAGCCCTTCCAGGGCCTTTAAAATAACTTCGATGCACAGCCAGTGAGAACAGAGCGCCTGGCCTCAGGTGGGAGGTGAACACCTGCTGATGTTCACCCACGGCTGCTCCTATCCTTCACCTGGGTTTCTGGACTTTCTCGCCTTCACCTCTTCAGGCTGGGCCAGCTTGCTTTCTCATGTGAGCTCAGAGTATCCTTTTTAAAAAGTCTATATCTTTGTAATTATTCATTGGCTTCTGTTTGTTTAGTTAATATCTGCACATACATGCATACACACCCAGTTGTCTATAAGCACCTTGAGGCAGGGTCTTGTCCATGTCTTCCTCTTTGCATCCTGCACTGGATAGAATTGTGTCCATCAAAGATCCCTGTCCTTCCTGGGACCTCAGAATGGGGCCTTATTTGGAAGCAGGACTATTGCATATGTAATTAGTTAAGCTACAATGAGGTCAGAGTAGAGTGGGCTCTTAATCCAATACAACTAGTGTCCTTATACGAAGAGGGAAGCCCAGAGGGATGCGTGGAGAACACTGTGTGACCACAGAGACAGAGACTGAAGCCACACAGCTGCAAGCCAAGGAAAGCCATGGCTTGCCATCAAACACCAGGAGCTAGAACAGGCAAGGAAGGATCCTCCCATAGAGCTTTCCAAGAGAGCATGGCCCTGCCCACACCTGGATTTCCAGCTTCTACTCTCCAGAACTGTGAGATGGTATAATAAATTTCCATTGTTGTAAGTCACTCAGTTGTTGATACTTTGTTGTGACAACCCGAGGAATCGAGTCCCCACGCCCAGGGTCTAGCACCACTCCTGGTCTGTGCTAATGGCCATCCTGGAAATGACACATACACATGGTATTCCATATTTCAGTTTAAGCTTTAGTCAGTAGTCCCATATTCTCAACTTCACAAACCACAAATGTCTTAATTTGGGTAGCCCAGGAGCAGACCAAGGCTAGGAATCCAAGGGCAGATATTTTAGCAGGAGGTAACCCTGACAAACACCAGTAGGGATGGGGAAGGAAGGCAGAGGAGGCAAGGAGTCAATAGGGTGCCCAGCAGAGAGTTTGAGGTTACCTGTGTGGGCCACTGGGGCACAGACTCCCTGGGCACCTCTGGGAGACAGTGTAGACAGCACTCTTTAGAGAATCCCACCCATGCAGGGGAAGAGTGCTGGCTGAGAACAGGGACAGAATCTGACTGCATCTGCTACAACTCTGGAGACATAGAATTGTCACCTTTTATGTTGTCAAGTTGGAAAAGAATAAATGCAAATTCCATTTAATGCCTCTCCATAAAAGGAACATTTAACGTTACCAATATCAAGATGATCATTTTAGAATAGAAGAGAGTTTTTTATTTTAAGTTACTGCCAAGGTCTTTCTGTCTTTGTCTTTATTTTGTCACTGTTGTTAGTTTGGGTTTTTGGATTTTTTGGGGGGTAGTAGATTGTGTAAGTAAACTTTTATTGTAGAAAAAAAGTATATTTACAGAAAAGTTGCAAAAATAGAGAGTTTCTATATATCCTTTACCTGGCTTCCTGTAATGATGACATCTTACATAATCATAGTATGGCTGTCAAAACTAATAAATTCATATTGAGACAATACTATTAATCACTTGGTTCTAATTTTTAGACACTTCATCACTAAAAATGCTACCAATCCACAGATTAGCATCTGGGAGCCACTGTCTTAATCTATCCTGAGTAAGTATTCATGGTGCAAGTCTCTTTGATAATTTTCTGTCTTGCTTCTGAGCAGTTGACAAGTTAAAATTGGCCTCCATCTGTGGGTGGGACCCACAGATCAATCAAGAGTTTCTAAGCACACAAAGGTCCTGCCCTCAGATTCAGTAGTCCATGCAAGTGAAAACAAAAAGACCATGCCTACAAATGCCTACATTGTATACAATATACATAAATGCATGCATTCTATATAAAAGTGAACATGGCACTCTATGTGCACAAATGGACACTGAAGGACAAGTATTCATCATCAGCTATACTAATGGCTTTAAGATTTCATTTACACAACATAAGCATTTACTTGTTCAAAATAAACATTTTAATACTTTCTGTTATATTGACACAGTTGTGTAAGCATCCTCATCATCTAATTTTAGGATGCTTTCGCCATTCTAAAATGGAAGCTCATAGCTATCAGCAGTCATTCTCCATTTCCACTTTCCCCAGCTCTTTGTCAACCACTAATCTGCTTTCTGTCTCTACAGACTGCCCTATCCTGGACATTTCATATGAAAGGAATCACATAGTATATGGCCTTTTTTGTCTGGCTTCTTTCTTTTAGCATGATGTTTTAAGGTTCACCCATGTTGTAGTAGGTATCAGGACTTTATTCCTTTTTATCACCAGATAATAATATCCCATATATAGTAAGTACGGATATACTACATTTTGTTTATCCATTCATCAGTTCATGTGTGTTTGGGTTGTTTCCACTTTTGCATTATTATGAATAATGTTGCTGTGAATATTCTATGGGTTAAATTTGATTAAACATAGTGAGAGCTTGGATCTGCAGGAAAACATTCATTCTACAGTAGAAGGGCAGCATGGTCAAGCCATGGCCTCAGAAGACTGCAGATCGGCGGATCTCAGAGAGACTTTATCTATCAGCAACACAACTTGAAAGGATGTCTGCGCTGAGACTTACCATGTGTAGGTGGCTGTGTGCTGGATTCTGCAAGGATTATCTCATTTGATTCCCCCGTAACAATTTCTTCATTTTACAGATGGAAAAACTGAGGCTTTCTCAAGGTCACACAGGAGGAAGGGGTGGAGATCAGATTTAAATCCACATTAGTAGGACTCCAAAGACCATATTCTTAGCTGGGACAACGTAGAGATGCTGGGGCAGGGACCACCCACAGGGGAAATGTGGACCCCGGCACACATCTGCACTGTTTGTCTCTTGACTGTTTCCTGTCCTCTTTGCTGCTGAGTCACCCATCGCCAAATCCCAGCCCACTGCTGAAAACTGGCTTGAAAGGCAGGGGTTTAATTATTCCACAAGATAGTCTCCCCGAACCAAATCTCGTTAATAAAAGACGAGAAATAAATTTTAATAAAGGACTTGCCGAGATGCCTCTGCAGCAGCACCTACTGTCAAAAACTTTTCTCCCCCTTGAACAAAAAGGATCGTTCTCAGCAGGGCAAAATAATCTCCACTCCTTTATGGCAAGTCTACCGACTGCTGGTGTGGAAGGAGCCCCGGCTTCAGGTTTGTATTTACATGTGCTGCTGTTTCACTCTTCCTTGGAGAAAAATGCACATCTCCCTGGCATATTCAAAATATGCCATTAATTACTGAACATCGTCTTGGTTTGGAAAGGAAAAAGAAAGCATATAATTGGAGACTCCCTTTCACTCCAAAGATGTTTGGAGGGACATGGGAGGAAGTCACTGGAGTGTGACTGGTTGTCACCCCTGAGCCGGCTGGTGACAGCAGATGTAAGCACTGCACAGCAGAGAGCATCCTCCTTGGAAGGCAGCTCGCTCAGCGGAAACGCTGCCATGGCTCAGGGCAGACCAGGGCTTGGCATTGATGATGTCGCTTTGTTTTATTGCATGGTCTGAAAATCTGCCTCTGGATTGTGGAACCAAATTGCACGGCCCAAAAGGCACAGGTCCAGCAGGCAATACAGGAGCCTGCTCTGCTCTGACAGAAGCTGTGGCAAAGCAAATCTTCCTAAGCCAAGCAGTTCAAAAAGGTGCCAGGGTCTTCCCTGCTCACAAGTCTTCAAGAGGCTTGCTTTGCACATGTCATCTCTCTGCAGTTTCGCAGTTTCCATTCAAGTTTACTTAGGTTTGTTCCCTACGTCTCTGCCCAACAGAACAAGAGGACTCGGTCAGATCCCCCCAACTCTGATCAGAGGTGAGCCAGGACAGGACGTCATGTTTTCTTGCTGCTGCCAGGTTCAGAGAGCAGGGGCGGTGCTGTGACTGCAGCCCCGCATGGTGGGCAGTCCTCGAACGAGGCGCTCCTTTCGTGTAGCTGCCATGCCTGCTCTGTGTTTTGCATTTTGTTAGGAGTCTGTGATGTGTGCTGCACCCTGCGAAGCCAGGGGCTTGAAGATATCACTGCAGAGTGCTTAGGAAGAGAGAGAAAAGAGAGTTGACAGAGTCCTCGTCAGTTCTGAACAATGCTGTAAAGCAGCATGGGCTCCAAGCAGCTCAGATAAATTGGAAATCAGGTCCTTCCTCCAAGACAACAACCTGCCACATCCTTCATTGTTAGACTGTGATGCTGGGCTGTGTGATCAGCCTTAAGTCGTGGCAAGGATGCAGGTGGCTATGAATTGAAGCCTAGATCTGTCCAGACCAAATGCAAGACGGGACAACCACCCTCAGGCTTTCCCTCCAGACCCCGCTGTCATTGCTACAGCACCCTGATTTCTCTGAGGACATTTGGGGGTTCTCATTAGGGCGACCCACTTGTCCTGGTTTGCCTGAGACTTTCCTGGGTTTAACATTTGAAGTCCTGCATCCTTGGAAATGCCTCAGTCCCAGGCAAGCCGGAGCCATAGTTCACCACATTTGCCTTTGCAACCCTTACTGGCCAATTCCCAATATATTTTTGTTCATTCCTGTAAGACTCACCCTCTGAATATTTAGTGAGCACCCACTGTGCACCAGGCACTGTTCCAGGTGCTGAAGATGCTGTCAAAGCAGGCAAAGCCCCTGCTCACACAGGAAACAGACAGCGCCACTGAATCAAAGCACCACCAGCACGCTGTATGGTAACAAAGGCTGGGGATCAAATACAACTGCGCACAGGAGAGACAGAGTCCCCAGGTGGGGTAAAACCATGTTAAATGTCCAGCAACAGCCTCGGCAATGAGTTGGTATTAAAACAAAATCAAGAAGAAAGGGAGAGGTGGGGCCTTGTGGTCATGCAGGGGCGGAGTGGCGTGTGCCTGGAGTCCTGGAGGAAGACAGAGAGGCCAGGCACGTCTGGAGCAGAGAGGATGTGGGGAGGATTGATAGAGAGGAAGGGCAGAGCAGTGCAGAATCATCGTTGTCCACCCAGGCTGCACCATAGCCTGGGTGGCTCATAACCAACAGAAAGTCATTTCTCCCAGGCTGCAAGCTGGCCACGCACTATCAGAGCTGTGGCAGAAGCAGCGTCTGGTGAGGGCCCTGGCTTCTGGCTCACAGACTTGCCTCCTCTCTGTAACCTCACATGGTGGCAGGTACAAGGGGGCTATCTGGGACCTCTTTTAAGAAGGCACTAATTCCTAATCACCTCCCAGAGGCCCCACCACCAAATACCATCACATTGGCGGGTAGGTTTCAACATGCAATTTTTCGGGGAATGCAAACATTCAGACCTTAGCATAGGACCTAGGGGATATCAGGTCATGATTCAGTTTGATTAACTTAGTTAATTACATGTTCTTTGTAGCAAGGTAGTAAAAAAATGTTATTCCAAGAGCTGGTAACTATCTTTTCTTAAGGAGAAATATGTCTTTGTTTAGAAAAAATATCTTACAAAGCCACACGGGTAGGTGAGACCCTGAAATTTGGTGAATGAACATGAAGGAGTGAAAATGGTCATGAAATTGCTGTGCATGAGAAGGGAACAGAAACACAGAGGTGAGAGAGACAGAGGAGCAATGGGCTGAAAATGGGAGAAAAGAGAGGGCCAGGGATGGCCACACAGACAGGATGGTTCACTGAGGGACTTCTGAGACTCAGAATGTCTGACATTCAGTTGGCAGCTGTCAGGATGCAGAGCTGTAAAATCTCCCCGTGACTTCCTAAATGTAGCAAACTAGCGATGATGTCAAGTTCATTTGCGACCTGCTGAGAGTGAGGGTCCCCCATGAACCTGTGCAGGCTCTCTGGCTGCCCAGCCAGCAGAATAAAGAGCAGGTGATGTTGGCTCTGCTGGCTTCTGAGTCCACGTCTAGACTTCCGACACTTGGCACTTCTGCTTTCTGTGTCTTGGAATCTCCGTTCTTAGAAGTCAGCCCCCATGCTGTTAGGGAGCCTAAGCAGCCCCACAGAGAGGAGACATCTGCCTGAAGAGGAATCAAGGCCCTGACTAATAGCCCTGTCTGACCTCCCAGCCTCAATTCTCCAGCCATATGAGTGAAGCATCTTGGAGATTCATGAGCAACATTAACAGTTGTTGATGCTTTCGGCCACTATATCTTGTATAGTTTGTACTCAGCTGCAGAGAGCCAGGACACTGAATTGTGAAGAAGTTGCCTTCATGACAGCCTGGAAGAAGTTATGTTGTGATCGTTGAGGAAAGAGACTGAGTCATACACCCAGGCCCAAGTGATACAAACCTGAGCAGCATAGGCAGGAATGCTGCAGGGCCGCAAAAACTGTCAACTGGGTAGAAGCTGGAGGCTGGAGGCTGGAGTCAAGAACTGGCAGCCCCCGGGAACTGGTGGAGATAGGGGGAGGGCATCAGGTTTCTTATCTGTTCTTGAGATAATTTTGTCAAGAACTCAAGAGGCGGGGTGACCCCATCTGATATTTAGGTTCCCACTCCCTGCTGAGCAGAACCCATCATGCCAGTCCACTCAGGTTGGGCTGTTCTTGGGTAGTGTCCATCCCAGATCTCATAGGCACTCCTCACCAGGCACACAAGATACCCACGCTGTTCCTTACACCTGGTCTTTTAGGAAGTGCTCTACCAGCTGCAAGACAATGGCTATGAGGGGCACCATGACCATTTTATTTGGTACAAATGCACCTGGACAGCATGCAATGAAAAGAAACAGAGTTCCTGCTGCAGTGCTTGAGGAGCAGAGCTGAGCATGATAGAATTTCCCCAGAGCTAAAGCTTTCATTTTTCCTGTTCATCCGAACTTGAGTTGAAGATTTACCAAGAAAGAAGACACTTACCAAGGTTAAAATGACTTGGTAAGTTAAAATATTCATTCAGTATTCTGAGCCCTTTCATATGACTCCTAATCTTCACAATAATCCTGTAATATACCAACTTGATTTTGTAATTGAATTTATCAAAATTTATAAATTTTATAAAATAAGGCCCAAAAAGAATGACTGCCTAGCTCAAGCTATATATCTTATGGTGGAAGACCCAGGGTTTGAACCCAAAGAGCCTGAATTTTAAGTACTTTCTAAAGCACCACAAAAATGCATTAATTTTGGATAGTTTCTAAAACTAACTTCAGTGGATTCATGTCTATTTAAGTTACAACTGTGTATATAATTGCATAAACTTTCCAACACAAATAAATCTAAGCATGCCAGGCTTTGCAGGGAAACATCCAGCCTTGAAGAAAGCATATTTCATTATACAAGTAGTCATACTGTAAGTGGTATGAGGAAAGCAGAAAGACCATCTCAGTCAACACTCTGCAACCGGAATTCCCCTGACATCTCTGTACTAAACCAGAAATTCTCTAAAGCCATAAATGAGTTAACTAAACTACAGATCAAGTATCTAAATACAAAAGCATTAGAACATCAGAGAGCAATACCATACAGGTAGATATCTGCTTACTTATTCCTGATGCTGTGACAGCATTTATGTCTATTTTTCATTGAAGGAGCTTTTTTCATAGATAACTCAATACAAATTATTTGAAAGAAAATGTATTTTGTTATTACTTGGAATAGAAAAAGGCAATCATGTTGGAATGGAATGCAGATAAAAAATGAGATCACATAATAAAAGATACAGAATTTGGCAATTTAAGCAGAGCCATTCAAAGGTAGGTGATTCATGAATAAGCTGAAAAAATGGTTTGACTAATGTTTTTGAACTACCTACTATGCACTGGGAAAATGCTATATTATCCTTCAGTTTAACTGATAATGCAATGCTATAATTTGTAAAGGAAAATATTTATTTTGTAGGAAAGTCCCTACAGAGGACATTGAAGTGGGAAGAGCTCACAGGTGCTAATTCTCCTGAGGCTGGCACACCTTTCTTTTCACCTATACCATCCAGGCAGAAGAGATGCTCCCTCTCTGAGTGCCCTCTGTGTTTGTGGGGAGGGGCATGTGCCAGAGTTCTGGCCAATGAGATGTTAAGTGAAGTCTTCTAGGTATTGGGTCCTGGGATAGAGATGGCTGGCACAGATCTTCCCTTATTCTTACTGCCTTGAATGTCAATATGATGTCTGGAACTGGAGCAGCCATTTTATTACCACGAGGAAGAGATTTGCAAAGATGTTGACTCTTATATTGTTGATCTACTAAACCAATGCCAAGAACTGACTATGTTCAGATTTCTTGTCATTTTAGAGAAATAAGCCTTTAATTATTTAAGATACATTGAGCACAGCTTTGTTTTTGTTGTTGTTGTTGTTTGTTTGTTTAGCCAAAACATTCTTAACTGTGTGTCCCTTGTATTATGTGAAGGGGATACAATGGATATTTATTCTTCTTTATACTGATAACTACAGATAAACAGAAGTTTAGGTGTTTTCTTAACACTTAAAGGTAACTATTCATGGCCATAAAAATGGACATATGTCTTCAAGATTACTAAGAAATGATTAAAGGCAATATAATCCATACAGCAAAGAAAAAAAGAGGCATAAATACAGAATACGGAAATAGAATGACAAGAAGAAGATCAAGTATATCATATCCATTGCAACAAAAATGTAAATGTGTTAAACTTTCTATCAAATGATAAAATATCTCCTACAGGTACATATATATCCAATTATATATGTCTAAAAGACACTCCAGCATAAAGTGATAAAGAAAAGTTAAAGATAAAAGGAATACTGACAGAAGTACTTATATAACTAGAATAATGCATCTTATTAGAGGTTACATGGGAAAATCCTGTCATCACCTTCTACATGGATGTAGGCATAGAAAGGCATCTGATAATATTCAACATTCTTTTCTGACACATTTTCCTAATAAACTCAAATCAGAAGAAAGTTGCTGTCATGGTAAAGACTATCTATCTTTAGGCAGTACCACTTGAAGCATACCATTATTGTCTATATAAAGGTAAGAATCCCCATAAGCTTTGTATTTGTCATTGTTCTATCAAAAGTAATTAAGCATCCTAAAATGATCTGTTAGAAAAATAGAGATGATGATTATTACTACCATACAGAAAAAAGTCTACCTGGAAAACAGAAGAGCTACTGAGATACGTAACAAGGGCTCATTAAATCACCTATTAATAAATAGAAAATCAATGCGTGTCTTTACCCACAATAACCAGTTAAAAAAATAAAATAAAGATTCCAGGGATAATGGCCACAAAAACGTAACATACCTCAGGCTAATCTCAAAAAGAAACGTACAGGACTTCATAAAAATATTATAGCACTGTACTGAGAAATATAAAAGACAATGAAGAAATGGAGAGGGCATCATAGTCTTAAGTGAGAAGGTCTGATGTCGTAAAAATATCAAACTTTAAATTTAGTGAAATTCCAATGAAAGTTCTTATGTAAGGCTTTTTGAATCTTAACAATATGATTTTAAAGTTTTTCAAGATGAAAAAGTGGATAAAGTCAGCCAAAAAGTTATGAGAGAGAGAGAGAGAAAGGGAAGGAGGGATAAAACAAGAGAAGGAGAAAGGGAGGGAGGGGAAGCGCAGAGGTGGATTGTCTTAACAAAATATGAACAGTAAGTTAAAATAGTCTCTTATTATCCAGAAATAATCACAAATATCACCAGGACAGATTCAAAACTTAGAAGCAAACCCATGAATTGTGTGTGATAAGAATGACATTAAAAATGAATGGCACAAGGTGACGGGTATGTTAATTTGGTTGATTGAATCAGCCTATGTTGTATACGTATACCCAAACATCAAATTGTACTCCACAACTGTATATAATTATAATATGTCAGTTAAAATAATAGTAAAATTATTTTTAAAATTAACACGAAGTGGTTAATTCAACAGATGTGAGATCATTTATAATAAAACAAAGTTGGATCCCTACTGGCGGCTTGCACCAA
Source organism: Homo sapiens (assembly GCF_000001405.40). Classification (NCBI taxonomy): domain Eukaryota; kingdom Metazoa; phylum Chordata; class Mammalia; order Primates; family Hominidae; genus Homo; species Homo sapiens. The sequence goes on along the minus strand of NC_000020.11, from coordinate 60,234,201 downwards.
AATAGAATCCATGAGTATGAGTGATTGCAGGGTCAAATGGGAAGTAATAACTTGGAGAAACTATCTGCATTATATGTGCATAATATTATTAATACCCAAAGAGATCTTCTAAATAAGAAAGTGAGAAGCACCTCAATAAAAAGATGGTTAAAAGATGTGATTAGGTAATCACGAAAGAAGATACAAATGTTTGAAGTTACCAGAAATGGAAAGAATTCTATAGCAACATTCCATTTCTCACTTAGAAGCTTGGGAGATATTTTGAAAGCTGTAATGATGTTTGGTGATCAAGGAAAGGTGGAATGGAAAACCCATCGGGCCAGGGAGCATAAATTAGTAGATTTCACCATGGAGAGTAATTTGATGTTACTTATATAGCAAACTTGCAGGAAAGTATCCCGAAAAATAATCTCAGATGAAGGCAAATTAAGAACAAGGATGTCAGAGATGTGATAGTTACAATGGTGAATATTGAGAAAAAAACTTAGGAGCCCAAGAATAAAGGAGTGGTATCCAAATTAGGGCACCACCATTTGAAGGCATGCTATGCAGCTATGAACAAATGTTTTAGAGAATATTGTATGGCATGGGAAAGAAAGATGAGCAAGAAAAGGCTACACTATCATATAGATGAATGGTGCCAGTAAGGAAGAAGAGAAGGAGGTGGTGGGGAAGGAATGGCTGGAATTCAGTTCTCTTTCTCTCTCACAGGAAATGGATCTCTCCAGGTTCCCCAGGGTGATAAGTCTGGATAGAACCATTGAGTCATAGCGTTTGGACAGAGACCTCCAGTGAAGGATTTTTTCCTTCTGTTCTTAGAGATAGTTATGCTTGTTTTTCCTCCCACTTAAAGATGGAGGTTAACCCAGCAGGCTGACAGTGTGTGTCTGAGGCAATTCTTCTCACCATGACCGTTGGTTTGTCAGATTTATTTGCAGCAGTAATTCATACCAGACAACTTAACACCATTGCTGTTTCCTCCCCAGCAGTTCAGGGACATTGAGATGAATCTTCAAAGGGCCAACATAGCTCCAGATGCTGGGCACTGTCCCAGACATGGGCCATTTGTCCCATGTGGGCGCCTACAGAAGCTGACATTGCCCAAGCTCAAGCCACACCCATCTGTCAGGGAACAGGTTGGCTGGTGCTTCTTGAATTAGAGTTTGTAGAGTTTGATTTGAGAGAAGTCTACAGTATTTGGAGGAAATGATTTTTTTAAGAAGAGTCACAAATCATCTGTGCTGACTAGGCACTGGATACCTGCCCAACAGGTACATATAATCTTGTCCCAATACGTAGACATAAGGGTCACTTGTACGAATCTCCTATCTCCTACACCCTTTTAATTGATGAAAACCCCATGCTTTATTGCACTTTGCCATTTTTGCAACACTTGTTATGTAACTATATTCCAGGCTGCAAACAGGGCTAACAAAGGCAAGTCAAGAAAACTAAGACATGATTCCTGCTAGTAAGCATCTCACGGTCTACTTGGAAAAACAAATATATAAGCAAATAACTAGAACTCTGAGTACAGTGAAAAGGATGTGAAGGAAGGGCTGTGGGAATTGGAAAGTGATGCTCAACCCTGCCCCCAGGGAGATCCGTGATAGAGACAGTGACATCTGAGCTGTCAATACGAGTCTTCAAAACAGGCAGGTGCATTTCCCTTGAAAGGCACAGCATGTGCAAAGATGCAAAGATGCAGAAGTGGGAAGAGCACAGAACTTGGTATCTGCAGGCACTCAAGCCACCTGGGTAATTTTACGTTGATTTCTGGCATCCCTTGACATGACCATGAAAATCAAATTTTGTATAAGTTGCAGCTTTTAACCAAGGACTCCTGGAGCCCAGAGAGGCCTGAACAGACTCTCCAGGGACCCTGAAGCCCCTGAAAGCAGGTATATTTTCCTGGTCCACAGTTTTCATGAGATTCTTAGGCATCCATCACTCCCAAAGGTTCCGAGGGTCATGTAGATATGGTTACCTCTTGTGTTGCTGGACTGTGTCTCATGGAAAACCTTGAAAAGAGAGAACCACAGGAGTTCCCCAAGACCTGCTTACATTCAGGCGAGGTTGATCTCTTTGAGAATAAAGGTCCTCTCCTTTCACAAATGCAGTCCCATCGGTCCATGTGAAGCTTAGGTTCTGCGTGCTGAAAGGAGGCTCACCCAGCAGAGGTTCCCCCCGAGACTCCTTTAATGCTAGGCCCTTGGGAAGAGACACAGTGCAGGGGTGCAGAAGCAGCATCCAAGTATCTGCCCTCTGAAACTGCCAGCGTCTCTGAGGTGCAACCAGCTTGGATCCTCACCTGCCAGAAAGAGCAACCCCAAGCATTCTTACAGGGTTATGTAAGGACCAAAATAAACCACATGTATGAATGCATTTTGAAAAGTACCAAGATATGCTCAAGCTATCACACCGTTGAAGGGCAAATGCAAACAGAGATAGGAGGCTCTGCTCCAGGCACACCAACCTGGTGACCGTTTGGCATCTGAGAGGGCAGAGTGCTGGGTGGATTTTGGCGCTCCCCTTGCCCTCTTGTGCAGTGAGCAGCCTGTATAAAGCACCTTGGACTTTTTCCTAAGGGCAGGCTGCTTGGGCAGCATAAAATGATAATAAGGTCTCTATTTGTCCAGTGTTATATACTATCCATGGGTTTTTTTCCTCAAATAATCTCATTACTATTCATAACCCCAACTATATTAACAGAGAGTTGAATAGGCATTAGTACATTCATGTAAGCAAAGGAAAAAAGGGTTGGTTCACAAAAGAAGAAATATAGGTGATCATGATCAATAAACATGTAAAAACCAGAAACCTTTGCCTCTCCAGTAATTCAGTAAATAAAAATTAAAACAAGATACTATATTCAACCTGTCACATTGGCAATAATGGCTTTGAAGGTTAATGCTTGTTTGATACATTGCAAAATTTACTGAGTAACTACTAGTTACCAAGCAGTAAAATGGGCAAAGAGGATACAGAGTTGCACCAGTATGACCAAGTCCCTGTCCTCAGTGGGCTTCTGGTCTAGAGCAGGGCTGCTCAGCCTTGCACAATTGACATGCCACGGCAGGTCACTCTTTGGGTGGTGTGTGTGGTTGGGGGGAGGGGTATCCTAGGCATTGTAGGATGTTCAGCAGTGCTCAGCCTGCACCCACTAGTTGTCATTAGCACCCTCTCCATTTTTGGTGAGGATAACCAAAAATGTCTCCAGACATTACAAAATGTCTCCTGGGGGGCAAAATAGCCCTCAGTTGAATTTCAAAACATAAACAGAAGAATTTCAAAACATAAACAACAGAATGAGAAGTCCAATGTATAGTCAAAACAAGTTACAGGAGAAGATAACAGAGATGGAAGAAAGGCAATCTTCAAAATGAAATCATTTTGAATTTTTCAAAATTGAGGATACAAATAAATCCTCTGTTGAAAACACATGAAATATATACCCATTCCTAGATGCGTCCCAGTGAGATGAAGATTACCAAAGACAAAGAGAAAACCTTCGAAGCAGCCAGAAGGACAACCACTCATTTAGGGTTAACAAGAAAACTGCAAAATCATACTTATGAGCTGTTTGTGGGAGGAGTATGTAATTGAAGGGCAACCTGAAATGAAGCCTTGAACTTCCTCATACATATCACTCAAGCAAGTGAACTTCCACCAGCACAGGTAAACAGCAAGAGACCCGGCACTGCTTGGCTCTGAATAAAGAAGCCAAGCCTCGCTAGAAATTCTAACCCAAGTCTACACCATCCAGAATACAGAGTTCAAGTTTGCACTTCATCTACGGGGCAGAAATTCCAAACCAAAATGAACATAACATTTGCATTCAGGCTGAGGAAAATTGGTCTGTAGGGATGAGTTTTTGTAACCAAAGTTACATAAAACTGTCACAATACATAGCCTCATCAGCTGAAGATAAAATGAAAATTAAAAATTCTAACCTAGATGAAGAAAAGCTGCATTGTAACAGAGAACCAGCATACACAACAAAGATAACCGATCTATCCAAGAACTTGGAAAAATTGAAGAATTACAGGGAGTAAAGAATTAAGATACTCCATTATGAAAGAACAAAATACTATGAAAGAAAGAAATGGTGGATTTAAATTTTAAAAATCTAGAAATGAAAAATACAGTCACTAATATCTAAAACTCAACAGATATTAGACATAGCTGGAGAGCAGAGCTGAATAAATCACTAGTCATGCAACAGAAATTTGAAAGATGGAAGTCGTGGCAAGAATTTCAAAACAAACAACAGAATGAGAAGGCCAATGTATAGTCAAAATAAGTTGCAGGAGAAGATAACAGAGATGGAAGAAAGGTAATCTTCAAAACAAAATCATTTTGAGTTTTTCAAAATTGAGGATACAAATAAATCCTCTGTTGAAAACATATGAAATATATACTCATTCCTAGATGTGTCCCAGTGAGATGAAGATTACCAAAGACAAAGAGAAAACCTTCGAAGCAGCCAGAAGGACATAGTTCTCTACAAAGGAACAATAATGAGAACAGCAATCAACTTCTCAGTAATAATAAGGACCACATAACAATGGAACAATACCTTTATGGACTATGAGAAAAAAATCTAAAACTTGATATTAAAATAAGCTGTTGTTTAAGAGTGAAGGCAAAAATTAAGACATTTTCAGACAAAGACTGAAAAATTCACCACTCACAGACCCAAAGTGAAAGAACTATTAAAAGAAGTTTTTGACTAATAAGAAACAAGTATCAAAGAGTGAGAGTCAAGAGATAGCTGCAATCCCACTATCAGTAAACACGTGGGGAATTTAATTTTCATTGATTATAAAAATGATATTGATAATTACTAATTAACAGAGGCTAAAAATATGGTGAAAGTGTAATACTAAAATAATATATCTTAGAAAATAGAATGAGTAATCAAATTTAAAAGTTTAGGGCCAGGTGCAGTGGCTCATGCCTGTAATCCCAGCACTTTGGGAGGCCAAGGCGGGTGAATCACCTGAGGTCAAGAGTTTGAGGCCAGCCTGGCCATGAAACACCATCTCTACTAAAAAAAAAAAAAAAAAATTAGCTGGGCAGGGGTGGCGGACACCTGTAATCCCAGCTACTTGGGAGGCTGAGGCAGGAGAATGGCTTGAACCTGGGAGGCAGAGGCTGCAGTGAGTGGAGATCACACCACTGTACTCCAGCCTGGGCAACAGAGCGAGACTCCATCTCAAAAAAAAAAAAAAAAAAGTTTAAATGCCTTCATGTTGCTTGGGGGAGGATAAAAATGATAAAAATGTTCATTAGCTCTATAATTCATTAAATCAAGTGTGCATGTTATAAATTTCAAGTTGGCCATAAAAATAATTGTAATAAAATGTGGACTTTTCATACCAATACAGAGAAATCAGGGAATAAATGAACTTTGAATAATTATTCAGTCTGTAATGGAAGACTAAAAAGAGGAGAAAAAATATTTTTAAAAAGACAATAAATAAAAACCACAAAATAACATAGTAGAACTAAACTCAGTAATCACAGTAGATATAAATTGGTAAAATACTAAAGTTAGAAGACAGAAATTTTGAGATAGAATCTATCCACCTAAATGCAGTTAAAATCAGAGCTGTAATGTCACCAAAAAAGAGGAAGATGAGAAGATGAAAAGCAGAAACATGCCAGAAATTCGGCAGACACGTTGGGGCAAGCCCAGAAAGAGCTTACCCAACAGCCTGATCTTGTCACCAAAGCCACAGACAGCCTGTCCTGTGAGGAAGTCCCCAGCATGCTCAGAAATGCAAGGATTATCTCTGAGTACCTGAGTTTTGAAGTTCTCTGGTTCCAGTGAGCTCCAGGAACCCTGTGAAAAGGACCAGTCAAGCTACTCTCATAACACAGCCCAAGACACCTGAGCCACCGACACAGAAAAGACCTGTCCCTGGTGCCAGTGAAGACACATACAAAAGTTCATCAAACTGAGCATTTTCCGAAATAAAACCTTATTAAACAAACAAAATGGCAGGTAAACAAATGTCCTAATGTGGTGTGTCTAGGAGAGAGAGTTCAGTGGTTGAGTGTTGGTCTCGGGGTTTTCAGGGAAGTTGACGAGCAGCTCCTGTAATCCACATAGGTAAGTTACATGAAGAATGATTAAGACAGTTTTGGAGAAAAATGTACAAGGGAGTACTGACCACTCGGTTATCGGCTATTAAGTCTATATGAAATTAAACATGCATTTTTGTCCTGGGGATAAAAAAATTAGGACCTTGGAACAGGGTAGCACAGAAATTGATATCTGGAACCCTGATATGGAATAGAAGTAGCCTTGAAAACTGTGGTGAATACATGGATCGTTCAATACCTGATGCTGGGGCAGTAAGCTAGTCATAGGGAAACAATTACATTAAATCCATACCTTATGTACAAACTCCAGATGAATTTTAAGGCAAAAATACTAGAAGGAAAACTAAGACTCTTAGGACAATGATAATCGTCTAACTTTTCTTGAGTGAATGTCAGGCGCCAGGCACTTTTAAGGACTTGACATAGGTTAACTCTGTTAACCTGCCAAACAACTTAACAAAGCAGGTACCTTTATTACCCCCATTTTATAAACCAAGAAATCTCAGTCCAGAGAGAGATCTTTCCCCAAGTCACAGAGCTACTCAGTATGAGTGCTTACCAGTGTATTACTAAGGTATAACATGGGGGAGTGTCTCCACAGTGTTGCAGTAGATATGTACTTCTTAAGACATCCAAAGTATATAAGACACCAATAAAGAAAGGGGCCAGACACAGTGGCTCACACCTGTAATCCCAGCACTTTGGGAGCCCAAGGCAGGAGGACTGCTTGAGCCCAGGAGTTCGAGACCAGCCTGGGCAACACAGCCAGACCCCATTTCTACCAAAAGAAAAAAAAAAATTAGCTGGACACGATGGTCATGCCTGTAGTCCCAGCTACTCAGGAGGCTAAGGCCGGAGGATTGCTTGAGCCCTTATGATTGAAGCTGCCATAAGCTGTGATCATACCACTGCAACCAGCCTGGACAACAGAGTGAGACCCTGTTTCAAAAAAAAGAAAATATTGACAACTTTAACTATTTTAAACAGTAAATTTTTCTTTGACAAGAGACACTATAAACCACATTAAATGATAAATTCCAGTCTGACAAAACAATGTCTTTGCAAGGCATGTAACTGGCAAGGAAATCTTATCTAGAGTTTATAAAGTAGTCCTATAAAATAATAAAAGAAATCCATTCAAACCGATAAAAAAAATTGACAAATTGTAGAAGAGGAAATGGGAGGAGCAAATGGAAAATATGTTCAACTTCTTGAGTAATAAAGGAAACGCAAATGAAAACAGTAGGATAGAATTCCCACACATTCAGATTGGCAAAATGTGTAATCTGCCAGTATTCTGCCGGGAAGGCCGTGCTGGGGTTGTGAACCGGAAGAGCCCCTTTGGAGAAGAGTGGGTGCCCCCACAGCCGCACGTCTCACAGAAGCCTCTGGGAGTTTGCAAGCAGTCTGCTTCCTGTCCCATCTCTGTGTACACAATTTCCTCACATTTTGTCATCACAAAACCCTATTTCTTCCCGTGTCTGTAGGTGCCATTCAAAGCCCCACGAAAATTCTTACACAGAACACAATGAGCCATTAAATAGAATATTGAAGATGAACATTTAACCACATGGAAAAGCATTCACCATATATTGTTAAAGGAAAAGGGTTCGAAAACATTTTGTATAATAAAGTCCAACTTTTAAGTAAAGAGATGTATCAGCAAAGAGAGAATATGCAAAAACTATACACTAAATATTCTTTCTGTTTACAGTCGTCTCCTGGTATCCAAGGGGATTGGTTCCAGGACCTTCTGCAGACGAACTAGCATAATATTTGCATATAACCTATGCACATCCTCCCATACAGCTTAAATCATCTCTAAATTACTTATAATACCTAATCCAATGTAAATGCTATGTGAATGATTGTTACATTTTATTGCTTTTTATTTGTATCATTTTTAATTGTTATATTTGCTACTTTTTTCTAATATATTTGATCTGAGGGTGATGGAATCCTCAATGCAGTATCTGTGGATTACAGAGGGCTGACTGTACTTCTATATGTTTATTTCTAATTTGTTTTATATGTACTTTTTTTCTTTTTCTTTCTTTTCTTTTTATATGATCTCCTTTCAAAAATTTAAATCTTTGGGATGATATAAACAGTGTAACTTTTATAATTAAAGTGAATTTTAATAAACACTTATACCATATACATACACACACATACGTATATATGTATGTTTTGTTTTGCTTCCCTATTCTAGGCTCTGTGTTAAGTGCTTTAACTGCCTGAACTCCAGGCCCACTTCCCAGGCGCAAAGACTGAGGCTGAGCAACATTAGATAGCTTGCCCTCGGCCCAGCAGCCAGGACTCAGAGTGGGCCTGGCTGACACTGACACCCTTGTCCTCCTCCATCATACTGTTTAGCCAAAGACCCAGCTGAACCCCCAAGCCTAGGCCTTCTCCCCCAGGAAATGCAAAGACACAGGTGGTTCTCCAGGCTGCCCCACTCCCCCTCGCACCTCCACACACAGGTACTACCTCATGTTCCCAAAGGATAAAACCTCAGGTTTGCAATGAAGCTAAATATGTCTCATGTCATGGTGGAAGAATTCCCAGATCCTCCTTCCTTTCAGCAGACAGAATATCTCGAGGGAAGACCTCTGCCTAGACTAACTATCAGCAGAAAAGGCCACGCCATGGTTATAATGTGGGGAGACCGTAATGTTAACTGGGGGTCATTTGCCGTGAGCCCGACAGACGCTCTATAGGCCTCCCCTACTAGGAGGCCAATGAACTGAGAGTCGGGCCTGCCTGAGCTTCTGTGTTCATTTCCTAGAGGTGCCTTCACAAAATACCATCAACTGGGCATCTTAAAACAACAGAAATATATTCTCTCCCAGTTCTGGAGGCCAGAATTCCAAAATCAAGATGTCAGCCAGGTTGGTTCCTCCTGGGGCTCTGAGGGTGAGTCCTCCCCTGCCTCTCATCTGCCCTCTGGTGGTCCTTGGGGGCAAGTGATGCTGATGGTTACATCTCCCAAGTCCCATGGCCAGGTTTGGTCTCCATCGGCCAGGCCAGTCACTTAACTGAAGCTTACAACAGATCCTTCATAGGATAAAATAAGATGATATCTTAGTCCAAATAAACAACACAAAATTTATTTCTTGGATGAACATGGTGACTTACGCCTATAATCCCAGAATTTTGGGAGGCCGAAAAGGGAGGACCGCTTGAGCCTGAGAGGTTGAGGCTGCAGTGAACTATGATTGTGTCACTGCACTCCAGGCTGAGTGACAGACAGAGTCCCCGTCTCAAAAAATAATAATAATAAAACAAAACAAAATAAAATAAAATATGCATTTCTCACAGTTGTGGGGGCTGGAAGTCCAAGACTCAGATGCCACACATTCAATGTCTAGTGAGGTCCGGCTTCCTGGTTCCTAGACGGCTGTCTTCTTGCTATGCTCTCAAGTGGTAGAAGGGCTGAAGAGTCTCTCCAGGGCCTTTTTAAAATAAAGTCACTAATCCCAATTACATTAGAGATTAGGATTCAAAATATAAATTTGGGGAGATCACGTTCAGGCCATAGAAGATGACTTTGTGAATTGCTTTCCACAGCGTCTGACACAAAATAGGTGTTCCATCATGATTTCCTGCCATCAGCTGCAGCAGCAGCATTTTGTCATACCTGGGTACAGCCGCCGTGTCTGGTTGTGACAATGGGACACCTTGGGTTTGCATCTGGCCCAGCTCAAACATTCCAATGCACTCAAACATTCTCTAGCACTCAGTTCAACTCAGCAAATGTGTACTGGGTGCCCGCACACCCAGCACTCTGCTAGCGCTGAAGTTACTGAGACAATGAGGCCCTGACCTCAAGGAGGAGATGGAGAAACAGAGACACAGCTGTTCAAAGGGATGGAGGCTGGAATCCCAGGCTACCTTTCACCAGCATGACTGACTTGGTCAAGTTCCTGAAACCTCTCTAAACCTCAGTTTCCATATGTGTAAGCAGAATGTATAGGACAACTCCTACTTGTTGGGGAGGCTGGCAGGGCCCAACAAGGCAGCACTTTCAAAACTCTCGATAAAGAGTAACCGCTTAATAAATGTTAGTGATTATCATCATGGGCAAAGCAGGAGAGGAGAATGGGGTGGACGGGAGTTGTGGAAGGAGAGGTGTTGGGGATGGTTTTGCCAAGGCAAGCTCTGCAAAAGAGGTAGAAAGTGAAGCCAGGCATTCTGGGGGGCAGACCCCCTGGGAAGGCGGTGAGGGACACACGTTCTAGGCACTCCTGACTAATGTGAGGGGCCATCACATAGTGGGGAATATAATATATGGGAGAACAGAGATGTTTCCAGAGGCAGAACAGGCCCTAAGCCCAAGCTGAGGTTTTCCTTCTGGTTTCAGGGAAAAAGAACTTCAGGTTCGACCCTCTCTGGGACTTTCTAGACATGAGATTCTCTGAAAGGACATTTCCATTCCTGTTCCTGAAGTCTTATCTCCAGAAAAAAAAAGAAAAGAAAAAACTGTACTAGGGCTGTTAGGACTGGTGGTTCTTTATTCTCTGAAAGTAATACAAATTTGAATATTACTTTAGCATTTACAAAAACTATCTATGACCCTGAGATCGCACCACTGCACTCCAGTCTGGGCAACAGAACGAGACTCTGTCTCAAAAACTTAAATTAAATTAAATTTAAATTAAAAAGTGGGTATAAATACGACTGCAGAACTGCCCTGGCCTGCTACTCTCAGCACACCGCCTATGGGGTGGCCTGTTCTGTGGGAGCAGTCACGGGGCTGTAACACTGCCATCTCAATAAAGCATTTTCTTCTACCACCAGCTTACCCTCAAATTCTTTCCTGGGTGAAGCAAAGAACCCTTTTGGTCTAAGCCCCAATTTGGGGCTCCCCTGCCCTGTATCAATGTAATTTTTAGGAAGCTCCATTTTTTCATCTACAAAACATGGATGATAAAGACAGTATCTACCGCATGGGGTTAAATTGAATATTATATATGAGACTATAAGCACACTGCCCAGCACAGAGTAGGTTATCAGGAAGTGGTGGTTATAATAATAATAGTGTATGTTATGGTTATTATATTTCTGCTTCTAAGAGATCTTAAATCCATGCACATTCTCTCCATGCCATCAGCTTAGTCTAGGCCACCATTATTTCCAGGCTCTGGCACCACCTCCAAATGGCCCCTCACTTCCACTCTTCTCCTCTAATACATTCTCTATATCACAGCAAGAAGAATGAGCCTATCACATAAATTAGGTTGCTTTTCCTGTTGCTGAAATCCCTGCAATGGTTTTTCCATTATTTCTCCAAAATCCCTCCCTCTGGGCTGCACAGTCTGTGCCCCGGCCCATGATCCTTTCAGAGCACTGAGCCACAATCAACTTCCTTTACTCCCTGGAAAATCCTACTCATGCCCTGCCCCAGGGCCTTTGCACAGGCCACTCCCACTCCTTGGAGCTTGCTCCCGGGTGTTCACTATCTTGGAACAATTGCCTCCTCCTCATCCTTTCCAAGCTTCTCAGAGATGCCTTCTTTGTAACAACCACCTAAAGCATCACTCATCACACACAACAGTAAAAGTATTCTGTGTAGGTAGTCATTCTCTTTTGTGCTGTTTCTCCCATTAGACTGGAGAGAGAAGTAAAGGAGAGAGCAGTGTTCGTGTTCTTGCCCGCTGGGTCTCCAGTCCATAGCTCATGGTTGTCTTTGTTATAAAGAAGGAAAGCAGGGAGGGAAGAAGGGAACACCGTCTGTGTTGCAGTTGGGAGCTGCAGGTAGAAGGGAGACGTGGGCAATTCACAGCCAGTGGCCTGACTGCTCTCAGTGAATTTTTCTTTGCCTGCTATAATTGACTGAGCTTTTATCTCAATCCCCCAGTCTTCCTAGAGAAGAACACTTAAGCTGTCACCTATGGACCTATTCAGTTTAATCCACCAAATTTTTAGTCAAATGTGAATTTTTTTTTTTTATCTTACTCACTAGTCACGTTTGGGCAAATCATCTTACATTGCTTTACTCTCTAGCTCCTTCTCCCTGTCTGGGGGTGAACTGGCAGAGGAGGGTGGTGATCCATCAGCCCCCTGCCCCTCCGGTCTCTGCATGTGTCTGCAGGTGCTAGACTCCATCTCTCTGGCTGGTGGGCATTCCTTGGCAAGGCATCTGCCTGTGGTCCCTGCCACGGCCTCCCTGCATCCTCCTCACCAGTCTTGAAAAGGTCCTGGCCCCTGATCTCTTAGTCTTTCACTTCCTACCCCACCCACAAGCCTTGGAGATACTCCCTAATGTACTTGCAGCTTGGCACTGGCCATAGGGAACTGGGAGCCCTCTTCACGTTCTCTGTGGGATCACAGCAGCCCCACAAGGTTCTAGAGTTTGACAGCAGGAGCAGGACACCGGCCCCTCTCCTTCCACAATTCCCTTCAACCTTCTTGAGTAGGTACCTAACCCTAGCCTCCTTCTCTTCCTCTCTGCTCTTCCACATCTTCCCTGCACTCCCAGTCAGGGGCAAATGCTATGTTTTGCATAACTTCCTGCTTTGGACCTCCTTGTAGCTTTTTGCAATGCACAAATCCTTTGTTTAATTTTTGTATCTTATATAAAACCTAGTTGTTCCAAATCATAAATGTTCGTTTTTACCTGTGCCTTTCTGTGGCTTACAAACCTCAAAGAAGATATTGCCAGTTTTCCAAAGTGGTTGCACTGATTTCCACTCCCACCATCAGCATACAGAACTTCTGGTTGCTCCATGTCCTTTTCAACTTGTCCTTCTTTATAGCCACTGATGGAGATGCAGTAGTATGGCCTGGTTTTGATGTGTATTTCCTAGATGACTAAAGTGGTTAAGCACCACCATTCCATGTTTATTGGACAACTGAGCATCTTCTTTCGCGATGTGACCGTTCAACTCTTTTACTGATTTTTCTATAGGGTTTTCAGTCTTTTTCTTATTAATTTCCAGAAGTATCTGGCAGCCCCTAAAACTGAATATGTACATGCCCTGTGACCTGTCAACTCCACTCTTCAGTATATACTCAACAGAAATGCATTCACATATTCATGAAAAGACATGCACACAAATGTTCTCAGCAGTGCAATTTATAATCCCCAGCCTGTAGATGCCCCGAAGGCCCCTCCCCAGTGGCATGGAAGATTCAGTGGCCGCACAGTCAGATAATGAATACCATCCACGCTGAGAGTGAATGGGCTGCAAGTGCACAGAGCATGAATGAATCTCACGAACGTAATGTACAGTGAAAGAAGCCAGGCACATAAATAGCACATACAGGATGACTCCATTGTATCAAGTTCAACAAACCAGACAAAACTAATCTACGGTTCCAAAGTCAGGATAGTGGCTAACTAGGGGGAAGAGGAGAAGAAGGAGAGGGCGTGGCTCCCGTCCTGCAGCTTGGCTTAGGTGCTGGCTACATCCACATGGATTGCTCACTTTGTGAAAAGTCGTTGAGATGTAAACTTTTGACGTGCACTTTTCTGCATGTGAGTTATACGTGAACAAAACATATAAAACTGTAAAGTTGAGTAAACATATAAAACTGTAAAGTTTGTCCCAGGCTTTCAGAAGGAACGTGCACATAGGGTGGGGAGCCACTCCAGAGCCACTGGGAGTAATTAGGAGCCATAAGAAGTGGAAACGCACAGTGTGAACACTCTGAATCATCTCCTCCATATGCATCACCAAAGCACGTCAGCCACAGCGAGGAGGTCATCAACCGCAGGTCATTTTTCCCTCTCCTTCCAGGGGCATTTGGCAATGTTGAAGACATTTTCGGTTATCCCAACTGGGGGTTGCTACTAGCATCTAGTGGGTAGTAGTGGTTAGGAGTGTTGCTAAACATCTTAATTGGCACAGGACAGCCCCTCTCAACAAAGAGTCATCCTTCCCAAGTCGTCAGTAGTGCTGAGTTGGGAAACCCTTATCTGGTCCAGCATTCGTGTTTTACTGATGGGGAAACTGGCCAGAGATGGATGCCCAAGATCCTGTGACCAAGGAGCTGCAGCCACCATGCCTGAGCCAGCGTTCCTGGCCTGTGTCCCTGACCTCCCTGGTGCAGGAGTTTCTTGTTGGCCCTGTTACCTGGACCCAATCTTCAGACTTAAGGTGTCCAAATGATAAGCTGTAAAACACTGCGTCCCATCGACTCCCCTGGGAAATCAGGGACATCCTGCCTAATTAAAAAATAGGACAATGACATTTTTAAGAGCGTAGAAGTGCCCTGTTTTGTTGTTATTGCTTTAGATTTCATAGGGAACTTGTAAGGAAAATATTATCAGCCAGAAAACATCACAAGAAACTCTTGGTGTTAATGCACTGTGCCAGGCTGACACGGTTACATAAAATACTCAAGAAGTGGAACATTTCATGGGTGGTATGGACAGGTCCAGAGTCATTTTTATTCATCATATAGTTATGTTTTCCAAGGGCAGGAAAGGGAGGGGAATACCTTTCTTTGAAGCTATTTACCATCTTTCACCTAGAAGATCATGTTTTGAAGCTGTGAAGCCTAAACACATCATTACAAAGTTTCAGCAAGCTGCTTTCTGAAAATAGTTGTCATAGTACTGGTTAATCTGTACATTCAAATAGAATGAAGCCTCCAATGTGGACTATTTTTATCCAAGCCGTCATGGCAGATGGATTCATATGCCAGCCAGACATGTTCCGAGTCGCAATGAAGTTCCAACCTGTTGTTTTCCCCAGACTTCTGCCTCCCCAGCTTGAAACATCGGCACTTAAGTGTATGCAGCAATCTCCCAATATTAACATGTATATCAAACCCAAACAATTGGCTGAGCCTTTCATGCATGCCAGGCTATATGCTGGGCACTGGGTTTGGGGAGGAAGACAGTGAGATACAAAGAAGCTGGTGCACCCAGGCTCCAAACTCTCAACAATCTTGAAGACCGAGGAGTAAAAACACACACATACACCGGTGGAACAGGGCAGAGAACACAGAAATAACTCCATGCGCTCAGAGCTAAGTGGCCTTTCAAAAAGGTACTGAGAACACCCACTGGGGAAAGAACAGTCTCTTTAATACACGGTACCAGAAAAACTGGCTAGTCACATGCAGCATGAAATTGGACCCCTATCTGTCACCCTATACAAAAATCACCCAAAATGGATTAAAGATTTAGGTGTTGTAAGACCCAAAACCATAGACTACTAGAAGAAAACATCCACGAAATGCTTGATGACATTGGCCTGAGCAAGGATTTTTTTGGATTAGAGCTCACAGCACAGGAAACAAAACCAAAGGCAGGCAAATGGGATTACATCCAACTAAAAAGCTCTGTACAACAAAAGAAACGATCAACAGAATGGAGAGACAGCCTATGCATGTGAGAAAATATTTGCAAACTATGTATCTGATAAGAAGCTAATATCCAAAATATCTAATAAGGAAGTCAACTCAATAGCAAAAAAAAAAAAAAAAGTCCAATTTAAAATGGACAAAAATTCTGAATAGACATTTCTCAAAAGAAGACATTCAAATGTCCAACTGGCATATTAAAAAATGTTCAGCATCATCATTATGAGGTATAATGTTCAACATGGGTTTGTTGTTGTTGTTGTTTGTTCATTTGTTTGTTTTTTGAGACAGAGTCTAGTTCTATTGCCAAGACTGGAGTACAGTGGTGCAACCTCGGTTCACTGCAGCCTCTGCCTCCCAGGTTCAAGCGATCCTCCCACCTCAGCCTCCCCAGTAGCTGGGACTACAGGTGCACACCACAATACCTGGCTAATTTTTGTATTTTTAGTAGAGATGGCATTTTACCATGTTGCCCAGGCTGGTCTCAAACTCCTGGCTTCAAGTGATCTGCCCGCCTTGACCTCCCAGAGTGCTGAGGTTACAGGCATGAGCCACCACTCCCAGCCTCAACATGTTTTATAGGTTGTTAAACTGGGGATCAGAAAGGGATAGAAATCTTCCTGAGGCCACCCAGCCCATCAGAAGCAGAGCCAGGGCTGGAACCCAAGTCTCCCACATCCCTAGTTCAGTGCCCATATATTAGGTTCCTTTTAGCTGGAAATAACAGAAAACATGACCAACCTCAATAAAAAAGGGTTCCTCTTTTACCTACAGGACAAGAAGTCTGGGAAGGTGGCTGGTGCATCATTTGAGGGGTCTAATGCTACCACGGCTGAGGTGTTCACAATTTCCCTTGGACTTTTCTTCATGAGTGCAAAATGGCTGCCAAAGCTCCAGACACCATGGAGGAGTTAAAGATAAGAGGGAAATGGAAAGGAATCCATCTAAATACAGTTGGCCCTTCGTGTCTGTGGGTTCCACATCCCTGGATTCAACCAACTGCAGATCAAAAATATTTGAGAAAATAATCGTGTCTGTACTGAACAGGTACAGACTTTTTTCTTGTCATTGTTCCCTAAACAATGTATTATAACAACTATTCCCATAGCACTTCCATTGTATTAGACATTATAAGTAGCCTAGAGATGATTTAAAGCAGACAGGAGGATATGCACAGGTTATGTGCAAAACTACGCCGTTTTATATCAGGGACTTGAGCATCCACAGACTTCGGTGCTTGCAGGGAGTCCTGGAGCCAATCACCCCTGGATATCATTTTTCTCCCCAAAGCCAAAGCTTTTCCTGCAGCCTCCCAGAACACTTGTGTGTAGATATGGCCACTCCTAGGAGTCTGAGAAAGTGGGTGTTTCACTTTCCACCCTCCGAAGAGGAGACAGAAAAGGGAGAAAGGAGTTAGAAACAGATATAGGATTAGCCAACCTGAAGCATCTGCCTCCATTTCCCTTCCACAACTCACATCAGTCGGGCAAACACAAACCTGTGGCCCACCACATGCTGGGATGGTGCTGATTAGCAGCCCCCCAGGTTGTCCTTCTCACTCTACAGCAGATGTTCCAAAATCTAGTGGATCATATACAACACTTAGGAAACATCATGAAGGCATGTATTTCCAGATCCCACTTGAAAAGTATGAGATCAGAAGACTAGAAACAGGGTCCAGGAATCTGTATTCAGATGGAGATGGACTCTTTTGTCATTTAAGAAATAAAATACAGTAACGCCTGCAATCTTAGCACTTTGGGAGGCCAAGGTGGATGGATCACCTGAGGTCAGGAGTTCTAGACCAGCCTGGCCAACATCGCGAAACTTCCTCTCTACTAAAAATACAAAAATTAGCCAGGCATGGTGGCATGTGCCTATAATCCCAGCTACTCGAGAGGCTGAGGCAGGAGAATCACTTGAAACCAGGAGGTTGCAGTGAGCCAAGATTGTACCATTACACTCCAGCCTGGGCGACAAGAGCAAAAATCCATCTCAAAAAAAAAAAACAAAAAAAAAAACGGTAAAATTCAAACAATATATAAAGTTGTCCCCCCAATCCCAGTACCCAAACATTTATTTCTTTTCTAAAGGCCCTTTTTGTAGCAAGTTCCCTGTGGATCCTTCGAGAAATATTTTGAGCACATACAAGCATGTGTGTAAATCTCTCCAGTATTTTACACAAATAGAAGCTGACTGCACATTACAGAGCACTGTGCTTCCTCACTATGTATCTTGGAAACTGTTCCACATCAGCACGTGGACATCTATTTCCTTTTTCATCATGGCTGCATAGCAGAAAATTTGTCTCTTGTAAAAGTTCCCCAAGCAGTTGTGAGAGCAGGCTAGGTGTGGGGTTGACGGGCTGGTTGGTGCTGCTAGCGGGTTGAACAGCCCTTGATTAAAACAGCAAGGGCAGCATCCAGCATGAGCCGAGCCCTGGGATGCCTGCCAGCACCATGTTAAGCTCACGGCACAGATGCCTTTATGTGACCCTTTCCATAACCTCAGAAGGTGGGATTATTCTTCTATCCCACTTTACACATGAGACATTGCAGCACAGGGAAATTAAGTAACTTACCCAAAGTCACACAGCAATACTGTCACAGACAAGGCTGCACTCTGATGACTTGGACTCAGAATCATGCACTCACTCTGGTCAGCATGGTGTGCAGCCCCACCCAGCAGTTCTGCGGGATGGCAAATTATCTGGAGCACAGGAAGAAAGACCAGGGTCTGGCCTAGGATCCTCCCGACCTGTCGTGCTGCGAGATCTACCACAGAGTTAAGTGACTGCATCTGGCTGAGCCGTGAAGCAGGGAAATGTACCAGTCAACTGGAGCAGGGAGCAAGCCAGGGTGCAGCTCCATCCTTCTCTCCCTGCATCATCTGCCACCTCCCTGCTCCTCCTCCCAGCAGCCTCCCCTTAGCAGCTACAAAATCTGGCACCCATGATCCAGCTGTCAGTGTGCTATGTGCAAAATCGGAGGCTTTTGCATGGATGCCTGGGATGAGAATTTATGTAAGGGCTCAGAAAGAGCAATGCCTCAAAACTCACACAAAAAAACCCCCAGCATTTGATGTCTCTTCCAGGGCCAGGGATGATGACATGACACTCACCTCCCAGTATGCCCTAGAGTCTGGCACAGTCGGTGCTCAGTGAATATATGTGGTATTGATTTAATTCCTGAAGAAGCTGCACGACCCCTGAATGTACCTGAAAACCATGGCTGCAGTGATGGAGTTAAATTCATCATCTGATTCTTTCTGAAATTACACTCGGACTGCTCTGCAAAGCACCACGCGAGGCACTAGGACAGATGAAAAGCATATGGCCCTTGTTTCAAAAACCTTCCTGTCTTGTAAAGGAGACAGATGTGCACAGCATTAAGTACATGATAAGGCAGAATGTGGTAAATACTACAGCAAATAGACAGAGGGGGCGTGAGAGCTGAACTGGTGTGAATTTGATGAACATCTGTTTCCCACACGACTCATTGGGCTGCAGGGTCCCCCAGTGCCCAGACTTGTCTGTGCTCCTCGCTGCTCCGTCCTCGGGTTCAGCACTTGTGGACCAGATCCCTGACCAAGGAAAGCTGGCTGACAGCCACTCGCAGAGTGAACGAAGTACGATGGCTTTGGGTGGTTTTCTGAGCTACTTTCCATGCTGCATTTTATTGGATCCTCAGAAGCTGACTTCTGAAAAAGCAGTGGATATAGCAGCTCCTCTCACAACTTGAGCCTCAGCCTCTGTGTCTATAAAATGGGAATAATCCTACTGCCTTCCCTGCGGGTTTGTTGTAAGTATGAATGGGGCTAACCCATTGAAAATGCTTACCAAGGGTGTTGTAAGTATGAACGGGGCTAATCCATCGAAAATGCTTACCAAGAGGAGAAAGAGTGCATGTTGGTAAATGAATGGGAGCCAAGAGTGACTTGGTCTCCTTCACTTTGCACACGAGCGAGTCAAGGCTTGAAGGGGTGGATCCATTTCTCCACCTGTTGATGAACTTATTAAGTTCTCAAACCTATGCCTGGGCATCCCCATCTCGCTGGAACCCTGAGATTGATTCTCATCATCCAAGACACTAAGGGTAGACACGCAGGGGAATCCATGACTGTGTCCAGCACAAAGTAGGAGCTTTGTAAGTATGTGCAAACTGAAGCAAAGCTAATTCAGAAGCGACCTGGATGTTAATTTCTTTTCCTTAACTGAATCCTGCTATCTTTGTATTTTAATTCCTTGGCCTTACTCTTTCAGGAAAGTTGAGCAGGTAAAAGAATTCATTTATACAGTTAAATAAGAACTCCATTTACTCGTGCTCTCCTCGGCTGATTTTAAAGGCAGATATAAAGGATGTAGATTTCCAAAACTCAACTCTCATTTTTGAATATTGATTATGTGCCAGCTACTGGGAATTTGCAATTTCTAAAACCCTCCGTGCTTTCAGGAACCCACAGTAAACGGCAGGCAGGGAAAGATGGGGGAGGAGTATGTTCACGATTGCAGGGCATGAAGTGAAGGCCCAGAGAGATATCCAAGGGTTTATAGCAGCAACTGGGGATAACACGGCTCGTGGGGTCTGTTAAAACCTCAAAGGATTGACTTCTGCAGAGAAGAGTCTTGAAGGACAATTAAGAGTTTGCAAAGTGACCCAAAGAGGGTAAAATATCCTATGAAATGAAAGGGACATTCAAAACTCAGGCTCCCAAAACCATATAGTATGCTCAAGTGACCACAAGTTGCCAGAGAGAGAGATTGATGGTAAACACACCCCTGCTTACCCGTCCTGTGCCCTGGAGGCATTACTAATCAATCATGGCCCTAGGCTCCAGGAAGCTCTGACCTGGCCTTCGAATCCTTCTATGGAGCTCCAGGCAGCTCCCACCACAAGAGCTGGACCATGAGATTCAGAGAGGAAGTGACATCCAGGCTGCAGAGTTAGGATAAGGGGAAGCCATCACTGCCTTTCCAGCAGGGCGTGTTCAGCTTCCATCACTGCTTTAGAAAGGCCCTGGTATTCATGGACAGGATGGATTGGGGGAGGGTAGCAGCAGGTGGCAGAGGTAGTTGGGGGCAGGTAGGGCAGGCAGAGAGTGAGTCCTAGGAGTCACATGGTCCTGATGACAGCTGGAAGGGAAGAGGCACTCGGGGGAGGAGGCTGAGACCAGTAGACATTCCACAGGTAGAAAGGAAGGGACTTGGGGTGGGTGGAGATGGGAAGGGCAGATGGCAAGAAAGCTGTTAACTAAGGTAGCCACCTTGGGGGAGAAGGGGGTTAGAACCTCTGTCTTTGGCCTGGGATCCACAGTCAGAGGCATAGCAGCATGGCTGAGTCGAGGAGGCTGGGCTTGGGCGTCTGAAACGCCTGGGTGGGAATCCAGACGCCCTAGATTAAGCGCTGCCTGGAGCATGTCACTTAAGCTTACAGGACACAGGAAGCAGGAGTGGAATTAGCGACACCTACGAGCACAGGCTCCACATTCGGCTCCTGAGTTCGAACACTGGCCTGGTTCTGTGACCTCCTCAAAGCTGTCCAGCATCCCCAGGGTTGAGCACAGGATGGAGCCCTTCCTGCCAGCAGGAGAAACCCACGTGAGGCCTCCCACGCACCCCATGCCACATGGCACATGACCGTGAAATGATGCCTGCGATATGAATCCCTCCCTCTCCACCCCACTTGCTTTCTCACTAAGCTTCCACCAAGTTCTTGTTACCTGGGTCCTCCCCGGCCCATTCCTTCCTGCTTTGCTGACCTGCCTCCCAAGCCTTGAGTTTGCTTCTGGCCAACATTAAACACTGGCAGGAGGCCCTTTGCCTTGACCTCTTGGCTCCCAGATACCACTTAGCTCTTGACCTCTGGCCATGACCCCAAGGCCTTTGCTCCCTGACCGCTGCCCAAGATCCTTCACTAGGGCCAGGCTCCTGTGTCCAGCCCAGGACCACTGCCACTCAGGTTCTAGCATAATGCTACCAGGTCACCCCTTCAAGTTCCCACCTTTGCCATAATCACTGTGCACTAAACGTGGCCTGGGACATATGGCAGTGCCTGTTCAGAACCCCCAGCCACAGTCCCTTCTTCTGCAAACACCCAGATCTCCCCGCCATCCCCCCCAAACCCTTTAAAATCTGTTTGGTTTTCTTACAATTTATGCTCAAGACACACAGAAATATCCACCATCGCTTTTTCACGGTACCTAAAGAGCTTGCTTTGCTTATGTGTACACTAAAGCTACAGTGACAACAAAACAATTCTATGTCAGTGGAACAAGCAACTCACACAAAGAAGCACGTCAGCTTTTAATAATGCCAAGAAAAAAGCCCTCCGCTGCTGTGCCCACCAGTCTTCCTATATCTGATGCCCATTTAGGGACGCCTGGAAGAACGGCAGCCTGTCTGCTGTCTGGGAAAGCATTCTCTGGCTGGGTTGTGTTACTCCTAAATTATTCATAATCTTGACTGAGATTCATCAAGGTCACCACCTCCTGGAACCTTTGCGCCGAGAGGAGCATGCGGGTGCCTTCCAGGCCTAAAAAGATGCAGGAGATGCAAGTCTCTGAGTGCAAAGGCCTCTGCTAAGCCCTCCGCACCTGCTTCTGGCCTCCTCCGCAGAGGAAGCCAGGCTCATCTTTACTCCGAATCAGAGACCTGCAACACGGCCTGTGCTCATTTCAAACGGGCAGAGAGGACAGTCTTACCACTTACATTTAAAACCTAACTCCAAGCATGTTCTGAACCTGGTAGTTACAGTCCGGGAAGCCTGATTGTCAACAGCTCACACTTTATTCCTGATTTCTGCCTGGGTAGAAAGGCACTCCAGGTCCTTACCAGCTCGAGTCTGTCACTTGAACACATGAGACATACTGAACACACTCGGGGACACACACCTAGAAGGCCCCAGCGTGGGTGCGCACAGGGATGAGGCTCTCCTGCCCAGGAGACACCCACTGCTCTCCCAACACAGTGAGTCTAGTCTCCCAGCCCCATCACCACTGGGCAGAAGCCCTGGAACCAAACACTGGGGGTCTGGAGCCCAGAGGCAGGGCCATCCGGAGCCGCTCATGCTGCAAGGCTGCTGTGGAATTCTCCATTCTCCATGTGTTTCCTTTGGATCAAGAGGTTTTTGTTTTTGTTTTTAGAAGAAGAAATAGAATGAAAAACAAAATACTGAGCTAAAATCTAAATTATTTCTTCTCCTGAAACACACTCACTATGCACATTGATGGAAGTTCTCAAAGACTTATGTTCAAAGGGTGGATTTCTAAGGATTTCAAAAAAGACGGTCAAATAGAATCTTTTCTTTCTTCCTTCTGAAGAAGAGTGGATCACAAAGTTATCTGAGTTGTACAGCCAGGAAGGTGAAGAAACATAGATTTGGGTCGTCTCGGCATAAACATAAAAATGCGGCAGCCCGCTTGCGTGCTGCTTAATTTCTTTTTGTCTTAGAATTACCACTCTGCCCCTCGGCCTGAGTGACAGGCGCGAGGCAACAGCGCCATCTGTAGGAGAAACTTCACAGCCCAGGCAGGACGCTCAACCCTGTGGTTCAGCCCCGTCCGACACTTTCAGGATTCAGAAGCTCCGATACCAGCACCCCTTCCCCAGCACACACACACACACACCCATCCCTGGATGAGCTGAATGCCCAACTCGGTCATCTAAAGAATAAATGGGCCAGGCACAGTGGCTGACATCTGTAATCCCAGCACTTTGGGAGGCCGAGGTGGGAGGGTTACTTAAGTCCAGGAGTTTGAGACCAGCCTGAGCAACATAGTGAGACACCGTGTCTACCGAAAATAAAAATTAGCCTGGCACGGTGGCGTGGCATGGACCTGTAGTTGTAGCTACTGGGGAGGCCAAGGTGGGAGGATCGCTTGAACCTGGGAGTTCCAGGCGGCAGTGACCTGTGATCACGCCACTGCACGCCAGCCTGGGCAACAGAGTGAGACCTCGTCTTTAAAAAAATAAAAATAATAAATAATAAATGGTTACTATTATGTTGGAGGAAGAGTTAGTAAGATCTATCACTTTTTTAATTGGCCATTTCCTCTAATCTAGCAATTATTCCAATTCTAGAGGTTTATCTTGCATAAATATTAGCTTGTATGCAGAGATAAAAATCCAAGGGATACTCACTGCAGTGTTCGTTTAGTAGTGAAATATAAAAGCAATGTAAACATTGTTAATAGGACTGGTAAAATAAATTAAGGCCCTCTAGGGCACAGAAGCCTGTGTGAAATTTACCATGAACCAATTTGCCATGAACCAGGAGTTATGCACGTAAGGAGACTGGACTGTTTGCCATAGTAAAATTTCCAGTTACAAAAGCAGCTTTGCCAAAATCATGTAGAATGTGGTCTTTCTGTAAAGATGTGTGTTCTACACACACACACACGCACACACACATAATATCTGGAAGAATGTGTTCTACACTGTGATGTTACAAACAGTGGCTATCTTGGGGGTGGGAGGAAAAGGAGGAAATTCACTTTCTACTTTGTACATGTTTGCATTATTTGAATTGTGTTGCAAACATGTACTAATTTTGGATTTACTCTCACGGTGCTTGAGGACATACTCGAGTCATCCTCAGAGTATCTCTGGAAGGCAAGCTTTTTGGGTCCTTGCATCTCTGCAGGGTTCCATTTTGCTCTCTAACCTGAATGTGATTTCGGCTCAACACAAGATCCTACGTGCAAGCCAGCTTCCCTCAGAACTGCCAAGTCCCACATCATCTCCTAACATCTGACACTGGCAGTGAGAAGTCTAATGCCGATCTGAACTGTGTTTCTTTGCAAGAAACCTCATTTTTCTTTCTGGGAGCTTTTGATATTCTACTCGGCCTTGGTTTTCTGAAAATTCAGCACAATGTGTCCAGCGCAGGCCTTTCTTATTTCTCCTGCTCCCAATGCAGTGGGTACCTTCAATATGATGACACGTGTCTTTTTGTAACTCTGGAAAATTTTCACTGATTTTTTCTTTTCAATTCCTTCTCCACATTGCCTCTTTTCTTCCTTCCCAGAATTCTTTAACTAGATGTCCATCGTGGAGATTCATTCTCTATGCCTCTTATCTATCTTACATTCTCTCATCTATCTTACACATAGAATGTTGGTGCATTCTAGAAGAATCCCTTAAGCTTTAGCTATATCCATTCTGCTACTCAGCCCATGCATGGAGCTTAATACAGCATTTCAATAATCCCATTTTTAACTTCTTAGATCTCTGGTGGATTCATTTACATCATAGATGATGCTTTACATACTTGAATCTCTCCAAAGTACCTAAAGTTGCTCCATTTTCTTCAGTTTGCTGGGTTATTCCCATTCGTTACATTTTGGTTCTTCAGTTGGATGCATTTGGAGTCATGCACCCCACTGTTGATTTCTCTCAAGTGTCTGCTGATGTGTGATGATTTGCTTATCTTTATGTGTTAAACGCCCTGGTTTCCTGCCTGGTCCATTTATTGATGCCTGCTTTCTGAGATTGTGGGCAGGGGCAGGGCCAGCTGCTGCTGGCTGACAGATCTTGTTTTCTGGGTGTGGGAGCCACCCTGGCTCTCTGGAGGTCACTGACTCACTGGCTTTGTGACCTGGAGCCCTCACTACCCGCTTTGGCCTCAGGCAAATATCACTCCTACTTGACACTGTGGAGAGATGGAAAGAGCCTCCTCCCCGAATGAAGACCCTCAGGTAACCTGCTTGGCAAAGCCCCTGAACCCCACCTCCACCCTCCCGCCTGCCAGGTCTTCAGCTCTGGACTCTTTCCTGCCCTTCCCGGACCTTTGCCTGTGTTTGCTCTGGCTTCGTTTCTCTGAGTGGCTGATTTTATTTGCCTTTTAACTTTCAAGACCTCCTGGTCTACTGTTGTCACTTTATCTCGTTTGGATTATAATTTGCACTGTCGTTTTGCTCTTCCCATATGATTTGGGATGGGATTTAACATGTAAGAAAAATAAATACTATTTCTGTGGTTACATGACTTCCCCAGTGTAGAGAGGGCCAGGAAATGTACGAAGTCATCAATACTGATGCCAAAGTGTGGTGTCGGAGGTCACCATCCCCAAAATGGATTAAACAGCACAGACGGCCCATTCCATGGAGTTAATCAGCTTAATTGTGTTTCTTGGCATTACTGAATTTGGGGAAATAAGTTACTCTAAGTAACTTCAAATGTTAAACGTCAGATCACCAACATCTCATATTAAATTTGGAAATAACCCTTCACTAATCAAGAGAAACATGTACTCAAAACGGAACAATTGATATTTTCCTCTTCTATTCTCTTCTTCTCCTCCACCAATAAATTTTAATAAGGAACATGTAACTCCTAAGTTTGTAAAACTAGATAAACAAAGTGCTTAAAAATCTAAATTTTTTTGTTTTGTTTTTGTTATTACAACCCAAGATACTCTTCACATTAAGGTTAGAGGTTGGGTTTGGTTACCATCCCAGAGTTCCGCGTGGGAAGTCTTTCAGATTTCTTCTTTAATTCTTCTTTCGCATTTGGTTTTCTTCAAACAGGATGAGAGAAGCACACAGAAAGAAGGCATTCACTTAATTTTACAGACTATTTTTCCTGGGTCCTAGCTTAGAGAGGAGCATCTTGACCCATACGTCCTCTTTAGCATCTTTTGTGTGTGGGGAGGACTCAGCTGCCGAGATGCTGGCAAAGGTGTGGATGCCATTTGCTCCTCATGTGCTCATTTGTGCGTAATGACAGGAGTACACTGGGCAATGAGTTTGATGAGAAATTGAAAAGGCAAAAGGTGAACGGCCCACATAGCCCTTCTAATGTAGGCGTTGAAAGAGTGTAATTTCCTGGAAAGCAACTTCAATGTCAGATTGAAATGCCGGTTTCAACGTGCTCTTCATGCACTGACTCCCTAAGCCTGGAAGAAATGCCCTCTCAGGGGTGCCGTCCCACACAGAGAGCAAGTGGGCCTCCCTGTTTCCACTCTCTGCCCTCCCCAGTCATTTTCACCAACAGGCAGAAGGATCCTTTCAAAATAGAAACCAGATCCTCTCACTCCCAGCACAAAACCTGGCAAGGGCCTGCCATTGCCCTCAACCAGAAACCCAAAGTTCTCACATAGCTGATGATATGGTTTGGATCTGTGTCCCCACCCAAACCTCATATCGAACTGTAATCCCCAGCTGGGGCCTAGTTGGAAGTGACTGGATAATGGGGGCTAATCTCCCCCTTGGTGCCGGTCTGATCATGAGTGAGATCCCCTGATATCTGGCTGTTTAAAAGTGTGCAGCACCTCCCCCACCCCCTTGGTCCTGCTCCTGTCCTGTAAGACGCCTGCTCCCACTTTGCCTTCCGCCGTGATTGGAAGCTCCCTGAGACCTCCTCAGAAGCAGATGCTGCCATGCTTCCTCTACAGCCTGTGGAGCCATAGGCAATGAAACCTCTCTTCTTATAAATTACCCAGTCTCGGCCAGGCATGGTGGCTCAAGCCTGTAATCCCAGCACTTTGGGAGGCCAGGAGGGAGGATCACGAGGTCAGGAGATCGAGACCATCCTGGCTAACATGGTGAAACCCCTTCTCTACTAAAAATACAAAAAATTAGCCGGGCATGGTAGTGGGTGCCTGTAGTCCCAGCTACTCAGAAGTCTGAGGCAGGATAATTGCTTGAACCCGGGAGGCAGAGGTTGCAGTGAGCTGAGATTGTGCCACTGCACTCTAGCCTGGGTGACAGAGTGAGACTCCGTCTCAAAACAAACAAACATATTACTCAGTCTCAGGTATTTTTCTTTCTTTCCTTCTTTTTTTTTTTTTTTTTTTTTTTTTTGAGACAGGGTCTCCCTCTGTCACCCAGGCTGGAGTGCAATGGTGCGATCTCAGCTTACTGTAACCTCCATCTCCTGGGTTCAAGTGATTCTCCTGCCTCAGCTCCCCACCCCACCAGTAGCTGGGATCACAGGCATGCACCACCATGCCCAGCTAATTTTTGTATTTTTTAGTAGAAATGGGGTTTCACCATGTTGGCCAGGCTAGTCTCGAACTCCTGACCTCAGGTGATCCTCCTGTCTCAGCCTACCAAAGTGCTGGGATTACAGGCGTGAGCCACCGTGCCTGGCCTCAGGTATTTCTTTATAGCAATATGAGGACTGACTGATACAGCTGGGGAGCCCCTCTGTGATCCAGCCAGCTTCCCCCTAATCACCCTCCCTCACAGGGCTGCAGCCACAAGGCTTCCAGCCGCTCTAGGATTCTGCCAAACCTTTGCACTTGCTGTGCCTCCAGCTAGGAATGTTTTCCTTCCAGCTTCCCCCACCATGGCTTCCTCAGTCAGTGGAGGTTTCTGCTTCAATGCCTCCCTGCAGGAGCCTTCCCCAGCCACCCAGTGATGACAGGAGCTCAGGGAGACTCTCCATCGCCCTCTTCTGTTCTGTGTCCTCTTAGGACTTTCTTACTCTCTGACATCATAGATTCACATGCTTGCTTTCTGTCTCCCACATTAGAACATAAGTTGCACGAGAACAAGGGCTGTGTTTTGTTCTCTACATAGTCCCCGCATCTAGAACCCAGCCTAGCAATCAGGAGGGGCTCAGTAGGTATTAGTGGGTAACCAAATGCTTCTGGATTTTAAAATAAAATTTAAAAAGGACTGTGCCTCATAACTGTACAGATAAATTCAATTTCCAAAGGATTCATTTGACATAAAAGTATGACAAAAGGGTTCCTCAAAAAGTTAAACATCCAATAACCATACGACACAGCAATTCCGCTCCTAGGGATATAACCATGAAAATTAAAAGCAGGGACTCAAACAGGCACCTGAATACCCATATTCATGGCTGCATTATTCACGGTAATCAAGAGGTGGAAACAACCCAAATGCTCTTCAATAGATAGAAAGACCAACAAAATATGACATAGCCACACAATGGAATATTATTCAACTCTAAAAATGAATGAAATGCAGATACATGCTGCAACATGCATGAGCCTTGGAGATATTATAAGTGGAATAAGACAGACACAAAAAGACAAATATTGTATGATTCCTCTTATGTAAGGTAACTAAAATTGGCAAATTCACAGAGACAGAAGCGAGAATAGAGATAATCAGTGGCTGAGGAGAGGGAGAAAATGGGGGTTATTGTTTAGTGGGTACAGAACCTCTGTTTAGGATGATAAGGAAGTTCTGGAAGTGGGTAGCGATTATGTTTTCACAGCATTGTAAATGTACTTAATGCAATATACACACACACATACATATATACACATATATTCATATACACACACATATATATTCATATACACGTATATATTCTCAAAAGAAAATGGTAAAGCACTTACTCTATTTGCTTTGATTTTATGAAATTAGATGAAGTTATCCTGAGATTTTTTTTTATTAGATGAATCGGCACTAGTAAGTCTTTACCATCTGTTTAACTTAAAATTCTAACAAAAATTCTTGATTTAACATTCCTTATTGGTTTTATAAAGATGAGTCCTGATAATTATGTACATAAGCCAGTGATGTCTGATTTTATTATGCAAACAAGAGAAAATACGTCAGATGCTTTCTTATTTTTCCCAGTGTCATTTGTAAATATTACTCAAAGTTTTTACCCACATTATTACTTCTGTTCCCTCAGGATTTAAAAAAAAAAACACTTCTACAAACGTTTGTCAAAATTGGGAGCACTTTAACAAACAGCTCTCAAATGTAGTACCTTCTAACATGTCATTAAATATTCTCCTTTGAATATCATTTAGACCTTTTCAGTTACATTGGGAAATTCTCTAATATATTTCCATAAATTATAATGAATAATGTCCTGTTAAACTTCTGGGGGTTTCAGCTCATGTGTGATGTGAGTAATTCAAGTTCAGTTCTGCGTTCTCCCTGATGTCCCCAGTTCCTCACACCAGCCATACCCATCAGGGACAGAGCCAGCTCCACCAGGCATTTCAAAGGATTCCAAGCTCCGTGTTTGAGTGGTCATTGTGGGTGGAAAGGCGGTGGGGGAGGAAGGCTTGAAAGCCTGGTTTACTGTGGCTGAGGGTCTGGGTCACCTTTGTAAAACTCCTCAGAGCAATTACAAAAGCATTTGCATCCATAGGTCCTCAATAAATACCATTTGAATGAATACCCCAGGGTTTTGCAGAGGCTGTTACTCCATCGTGAATGGTGGGAGACAGATTTTAGTACAAGGACAAACACTTGTTTAATTGCCGTGCATTTTTTAAAAATTAAGACAAATTAAGACATTCGTTTTTCACTGATAATAAAAATATGAAGTGTCTTTTAAAAATACATACCTTTAAATTTTAAATGTTTATATTTAAAAGAATGAATTGACTTGCAGTGTAGGATTTGAAAACCATCCATAGGGTGGTACATAAATAACTGAACTGGCTGGGCGTGGTGGCTCATACCTGTAATCCCAGCACTTTGGGAGGCCAAGGCGGGAGGATCACTTGAGCCCAGGAGTTCCAGGTTAGCCTGGGTGACATGGTGAAATCCCATCTCTACAAAAAATACAAAAATTAGCCAGGCATGGTGGTGTGAGACTGTGTGTAGTCCCAGCTACTGGGGAGGTGGAGGCAGCAGGATCACTTGAACCTGGGTGGTGGAGGCTGCAGTGAGCCGTGATCACGCCACTGCACTCCAGCCTGGGTGACAGTGAGACTCTGCCTCAAAAAAAAAAAAGACTGAATTGAGGGCAACACTAAACTAGTAAATGTTCATTGTTAGCCATCAGAACCTAGAAGCTGGGAGGACAGAGCAGAGGGCACGGCCCACTGTGTACAGGAGCCTCACAGGCCCCCGAGGCTGGCTTTGGGGTGTTGGAAGAAGTAGAGCTTGGAGCCCACAGCTGGGGGACACCCGAACACAAAGGAGCCCTGCAGCCTCCTGCCTGTTGTCAGGACCCAAAGGAGAAATGTAGTTTGCAGGATCCCACAGCATGATGAAGCCACGAGCTGATGAGTGGGCTGGGGCAGGGGCAGTGGCTGAATATCTGCTGCAGACTGGCCGGGCTCACCCACCCTTTGTGTGAAACGGCCCGAGGCTGCCTTGCTTCCCCTCCCCTGCTACCTTTTGCCCACACTAGACATCACTCCCACCTAAATTCTGAACTCCTCTGTCCTTCCAGCTCTCCTGCAAATTCCTTTCATAGTTGGGGTGGGACTCATCAGGCCATCCCTGCCCAGGCTTGCTGCATCTACACCTTCTTGCCCACAGAGGTCCAGGCTCCCTGGCCTTGGAGGGCCTTCTATGGTGGGAGGTTGCCAGGCCTAGGAAGCTACAGGCCTCGAGTCAAACGTCTTGCTCAAGCCAGTAGGAGTTGACAAAATTTAAAACTAGAGCTCATAGACCTGCCACAAATAAATGGCAAGTTTTTTATGATCAAGATTCCATTCTAGCCTGCATCCTAGGAGGATTTGGCATCCCTGATCTCTGGTTCTCTCTAGACTCCGATTAACACCACCGGCTGTCCATCTTCCCAGCTGTCGGGACTTAGCAAAGGTACTAGTCCTTGCTGTGCTTCACTTTTCACATCTGTAAAATGGGCTTAATCATGATATCTATGTGGTGTTTGCTTTGTAATGATTAAATGAGATCATCCAGGAGCAGTGATCAGCACTGTGCTAGATCAGAGCAGATGCTCACTACATGTCAGCCATCAGAAAAGAAAATAGAACAGGCCTCCCCATGTTCCCTGTCTAACAATGAGAAAGACATTGGATGAATCCCAACTGAAGGATATTCTACAAAAACCCTGACCGGACCCTCCTCAAAACTGTCAAGGTTATCAAAAACAAAGACAGTCAGAGAAACTGTCACAGCCAAGAGGTTCTCAAGGAGACATGATGACTAGCTGTCATGTGGGGTCCTGGATGGGCACCTGCAAGAGAAAAGGGACATCACAGAGGAAAAAATAAGGAACTCCACATGAGGTTTGGACCTTAGTTAATGAGAATGCATCAATATTGATTAATTATAACAAATATGTCATACTGATGTAGGTTGTCAATAATGGGGACAGTTGAGCTTTCTGTGGTGTATTAGTAGTTTTTCTATAAATCTAAACTATTCTGAAATAAAAAGTTTATCAAAAAACGAAAAAGATTGGAACAAAAATGTAAGCCTCTCTCCCAAAGACACACAGCTGGCATAAAGAAAGCTATGGTTTAGGACCCACTTTTTAGTGACCTGGGAGCCTGCACGCCATCCATTCGGGGCTGCACCTAGTGTTATTATTTAAGACAATTACAGACTGAAAGAGGAAAGCTGGAAAATGCAATGCTCCCAGTAGGGCTTTAGGTCTGCAGTCACCTAAGTGGAACCACAGTGGTGAAGAAGGGTTGTGGATGGGAAATAGCAGCCCACAGGTAAAGGCAGAGTTTAAAGGACCAAATCTGCTTGTCCACAGATCACGTAAGAACAATACCCTGAGGGTGTCCAGAGCAGCCATGTCCCTCCCTCCTGCAGCCACAGCCCTTGCTTTGGAGAGACTCTAGGGCAAGTCAGGCTTGTCAGGACGGAGTTATCTGCCCAGAACAACTGTGAGAGTTGGCAGGCAGCTTCTGCGACTGGTGCCATCCTCTCCTTTGTCAGGACAACCCAGGGGCCTGTGGGGGAGCTGCCTATAACACAGGAGCCCTTCCTCTGCCCAGCAGTGCCGGCAGACATCAGGACGGGGAGCAAGGCTGGATCATTCTGGGTTTTCAGTGTTGGGTTGCAGCAGATCTTGTGGGAACCTTGCCTAACTCTGCCCAAACGCTGTGGCGCCTCATCTCTCCAAGGAGCCCATGTGTCAAATCATTTGATTTTCAAACCAGTCAGGTGGAAGGGAGTCAGCCACTGTACCGATCTCCAGTAGTTTGCAATTTTGCCTTACAGATGACAGTTTGCTATCTTCTGCTTTCTTGAACAATTATTTCATTTAACATATTTAACAAAGTTTCATTGAGCACCAACCTCAGGGGAATTCCAATTGAATAGGCAGTAGGGAGAATTTCCTCTTGAGCCTCACTTGGATCACCGATTAATTTTCCATTTCTCAGCCTTAATGTGAAAGACACCTCTTCACTGCCCAGCAAGCATTCCCCTTCTTCCAGGTGTGCTGTCATCATTTTGTTTGGGGACCTCACCCCTTCCCTACTCTCAGACCATGTGGTAAGGATGGTGCAGACCCACAGGCTAGTTCTAAGAATAGTTTTCACATCTAATCATGGGAATGAGTGCAGAGATGGTCACATAACCTAATGCAATTAAATGAAGCCATCCTCTAATTGTTTGCTGGATCTGTGCTTTCTCTGGTGAGGGTGCTGAGCTGGGAGGCTGTGTGCCTGGAGCTGCTGAAGGCCACCTTTTGTCATTGCATGGAGAGAGACTGCTGAGTATAAGGCATCTTAGAAAATGAAACCAACATAGTGAGTGAGAAATGGAACAGAGTGAGTCCTTATGTCACCTGGGGCCCCTGGATCTGCCATGCCTGCAGCCAATTAATTCCCCTCTTCCTTTTCTAATCCAGTTTGAGCTGGATTTTTTTTAACCTAAAGAGTCCTGGTAGATGTGCTGTTTGATGATACTGTTAAAAACCAATCCGGCATAGGTTCAGGGGACATTGCTGTGCCACATGACATCACCATATTGAAACCATGTGAACTCATAGAGCCCTTCGTCCCCCGGGTCTCCGGGATGCACTAGAGACCTATTTCCTTCCTGCAAAGTGCTGAGGTCTCAGCTTTTCTGGCCTGAAGAAAATGGCAAGTTAAAGTAGAAAAATCTGTTTTAGAAAGTCTTCTGCTATAAGTATCAGCACCACTTGTTTTTTTTTTTTTTTTTAAGATGGGGCCCCAACTGATAACCCAAAATCTAGAAAAAGAGCATTTCTGGGGCCAAGATGGCCAACTAGAAACAGCTATGGTTGGAGACTCCCACCAAGCAGAATAAAAACAGCGAGTGAATCCTGCGCCAGCATCTGAGGTGTCCAGGTTCTCACTGGGACTGACTAGGCGGTTGGCGTGACCCACGAAGGGCGAGAAAAAGCAGGGTGGAGTGACAGCCTACCCAGGAGCCACCCAAGGCAAGGGGACCTCCCACCCCCAGCCAAGGGAAGTGGCGAGTGATTGTGCTACCCCATCCGGGAAACCACACTTTTCCCACTGATATGTGCAACCCATGGATCAGGAGGTCCCCTCGTGAGCTCACGCCACCAGGGCCTCGGGTCCCAAGCACACAGCTGTGCAGGTTCTCAGAGGCCACTCGGCAGGAGGCTGCCTAAGACTGCTGAGTTGCCAGGGTGAGGAGCGGCCACCATCACTGCAGCTCCAGTCTGCGGTTTCCCTCTGCTGGTGCCGTGGAGACTGGGTGGTTTGGACCTAGGAGGAATTCCCCACAGCACAGCACAGCGGTTGTGGCAGACCATGGCCAGACTGCCTCTTTAGGCTGAACTCAGACCCATCCCTCCTCACCCAATAGGGCCTCCCTGTGGGAATTTCAGCAACTCCAGCCAGGGGTTTATGGACAGAACTTTGATCTCCCTAGGACTGGGATGGAACCCCTGGGGAAAGGGGCTGCCGCAGTCTCCATAGATCAGCAGACTTGGTCTTTCCCCTGCTGGCTCTGAGGAATCTGGGCAGTCCAGACAAGTGGGATTCCCCTCAGGGCAGCACACCTCCTCTGCCAAGGGGCAGCCAGACTGCTTCGTTAAGTGGGTCCCTGATCCCATGCCTTGTGACTGGGTGAGACCCTCCAACAGTGGTCACTAGACACTTTATACAGGAGCATTCTGGCTGGCATCAGGTCAGTGCCTCTCTGGGATGGAGCCCCCAGAGGAAGGAGCAGGCAGCCATCTTTGTTGTTTTGCAGCCTCCACTGGGTGACAGCTCCAGGTGTGGGACAGACTCAGGCAAATAGGGTTTGGACTGGGCCCTGAGAAAACTGCAGCAACCCTACAGAAGAGGGGCCTGACTGTTAAAAAGAAAAGCAAACAAACAGAAAGCAACAACCACAACAGCATCAACAAAAAAGTCCCCACAAAAAGCCCCATCCAAAGATCAGAAACCTCAAAGCCCCAAAGATCAAAGGTAAATAAAGTCATGATGATGAGAAAGAATCAATGAAAAAATGCTGAAAACTCAAAAAACCAGACTGCCTCTTCTCCATATGATTGCAATACCTCTCCAGCAAGGGCACAGAACTGGGCTGAGGCTGAGATGGATGAAAATGACAGAAGTAGGCTTCAGAAGGTAGATAAGAAGAATTGTTACCAGCCACTACAAAAGCACACTGAAGCACACAGACCAATGACACTATGAAGCAACTACATCACAAGTGTGCAAAATAACCAGCTAGCATCATGATGACAGGATCGAATCCACACATAACGATATTAACCTTAAATGTAAATGGGCTAAATGCCCCAATTAAAAGACACAGACTGGCAAGCTGGATAAAGAATTGAGACCCATCAGTGTGCTGTATTCAAGAGACCCATCACTTGAATACACATAGATACACATAGGCTCAAAATAAAGAGACGGGGAAAAATTTACCAAGCAAATGGAAAGCAGAAAAAAGCAGAGGTTGCAATTCTAGTTTCTGACAAAACAGACTTTAAAACAACAAAGATCAAAAAAGACAAAGAAGGGAATTACATAATGGTAAAGGGCTCAATTAAACAAGAAGAGCTAACTATTCTAAATATATATGCACCCAATAAAGGAGTATCCAGATTCATAAAACATGTTCTTAGAGACCTACAAAGAGACTTATACTCCCACATAATAATTGTGGGAGACTTGAACACCCCAATGTCAATATTAGCCAGATCACTGAGACAGAAAATTAACAAAGATGTTCAGGACTTGAACTCAACTCTGGATCAAGTGGACCTGATAGATTTCTACAGAACCCTCCACCCCAAAACAATAGAATGTACATTCTTCTTGGCACCACATGTCACTCTAAAATTGATCACATAATTGGAAGTAAAACACCCCTCAGCAAATGCAAAAGAACTGAAATCATGACAGTCCATCAGACCACAACACAATCAAATTAGAACTCAAGATTAAGAAATTCACTCAAAACCACACAACTACATGGAAATTGAACAACCTGCTCCTAAATGATTCCTGCATAAATAATTAAATTAAGGCCAAAATCAAGAAGTTATTTGAAACCAATGAGAAGAAAGAGACAAGATACCAGAATCTGAGACACAGCTAAAGCAGTGTTAAGAGGGAAATTGATATCACTAAACGCCCACATCAAAAAAGTAGATCTCAAATCGACATTCTGACATCACAACTAAAAGAACTAGAGAACCAAGAACGAACAAACCCCAAAGCTAGCAGAAGACAAGAAATAACCAAAATCAGAGTGGAACTGTATGAGATAGATACATGAAAAACCCTTCAGGAAAATAGCTAATCCAGTTTTTTTTTGAAAAAAATTAATAAAATAGACCACTAGCTAGATTAATAAAGAAGAAAAGAGAGAAGAATCAAATAGACACAATAGAAAATGATAAAGGGGATATCACTACTGACCCCACAGAAATACAAACAAACATCAAAGAATACTATAAACACCTCTATGAAAATAAACTAGAAAATCTAGAGGAAATGGAAAAATTCCTGGACACATATATCCTCCCATGACTGAAACAAGAAGAAGTTGAATCCCTGAATAGACCGAAACAAGTTCTGAAACTGAGGCAGTAATAAATAGCCTGCCAACCAGTAAAAGCCCAGGACCAGATGGATTTATGGCTGAATTATACCAGAGGTTCAATGAGGTGCTGGTACCATTTCTTCTGAAACTATTCCAAACAATTGAAAAGGAGGGACTCCTCCCTAACTCATTTTATGAGTTTATGAGACCAGCACAGTTCTGATACCAAAACCTGGCAAAGATACAACAAAAAAAGAAAATTCAGGCCAATATCCCTGATGAACATCAATGCAAAATCCTCAATAAAATATTGGCAAACTAAATCCAGCAGCATATCAAAAAGCTCATCTACCACAATCAAGTTGGCTTCATCCTCAGGATGCAAGGCTAGTTCAACATATACAAATCAATAAACGTAATTCCTCATGTAAACAGAACCAAAGATAAAAACCACATGATTATCTCAATAGGTACAGAAAAGGCCTTCAGTAAAATTCGACATCCCTTCATATTAAAAACTCTTAATAAACTAGGTATTGAAGGAATATACCTCCAAATAATAAGAGCCATTTATGACAAACCCACACCCAGTATCATACTGAATGGGCAAAAGCTGGAAGCATTCCCTTGAAAACTGGCACAATACAAGGATGTCCTCTCTCACCACTCCTTTTCAATATAGTATTGGAAGTTCTGGCCAAGGCATCCGGGAAGAGAAAGAAATAAAGGGTATCCAAACAGGAAGAGAGGAAGTCAACTGTCTCTGTTTGCAGATGACATGATTCTATATTTAGAAAACCCCATCATCTCAGCCCAAAAGCTTATTAAACTGATAAGCAACTTCAGCAAAGTATCAGGATACAAAATCAATGTGCAAAAATCATAAGCATTCCTATACAACATTAGACAAGTAGAGAGTCAATTCATGAATGACCTCCCATTCACAATTGCTACAAAAAGGTTAAAATACCTAGGAATACAGCTAACAAGGAAAGTGAAGGACTTCTTCAAGGAAAACTACAAACCACTACTTAAGGAAATCAGAGAGGACACAAACAAAAAGAAAAACATTCCATGCTTATGGATAGGAAGAATCAATATTGTGAAAATGGCCATAATGCCCAAAGTAATTTATAGATTCAATGCTATTCCCATTAAACTACCATTGACATTCTTCACAGAATTAGAAAAAAACTACATTAAAATGCATATGGAATCAAAAAAGAGCCTGTACATCCAAGACAATCCTAAGCAAAAAGAACAAAGCTGGAGGCATCATGCCACTAACTTCAAATTATACTACAAGTCTATAGTAACCAAAACAGCATGGTACCAGTACAGAAACAGACACATAGACCAATGGAACAGAATAACTCAGAAATAAGACTGCACATCTACAACCATCTGATCTTTGACAAACCTGACAAAAACAAGAAATGGGGAAAGGATTCCCTATTTAATTAGTGGTGCTGGGAAAACTGGCAAGCCATATGAGGGAAACTGAAACTGGACCCCTTCCTTACACCTTATGCAAAAATTAACTCAAGATGGATTAAAGACTTAAACGTAAAACCCAAAACTATAAAAACCCTAGAAGAAAATCTAGGCAATACCATTCAGGACCTAGGCACAGGCAAAGCTTTCATAATGAAAACCTCAAAAGCAATTTGTAACAGAAGCAAAAATTGACAAATGGGATTTAATTAAAGAGCTTCTGCACAGCAAAAGAAACTACAATCAGAGTGAACAGACAACCTATAGAATGGGAGAAAATTTTCACAATCTATCCATCTGACAAAGGGCTAATATACAGAATCTACAAGGAACTTAAACAAATTTACAAGAAAAAAACAACCCCATTAAAAAGTGGGTGAAGGACATGAACAGACACTTCTCAAAGACAATAAACATATGAAAAAGAGCTCAACATCACTGATCACTAAAAATATGTCAATATCACTGATCACTAGAGAAATGCAAATCAAACCCACTATGAGACACCATCTCACACCAGTCAGAATGGCTACTATTAAAAAGTCAAGAAACGAGAGATGCTGGTGAGGCTATGGAGACACAGGAACACTTTTACACTGTTGGTGGGAATATAAATTCGTTCAACCCTTGTGAAAAATAGTGTGGCAATTCCTCAAAGACTTAGAACCAGAAATAACATTTGACCCAGCAATCCCATTACTGGGTATAGACACAAAGGAATATTAATTATAAAGACACATGCACACATACATTCATTGCAGCACTATTCACAATAGCAAAGACATGGAGTCAACCGAAATCCCCATCAATGATAGACTAGATAAAGAAAATGTTGTATATATACACTGAGGAATACTATGCAGCCATAAAAAGGAACAAGATTATGTCCTTTGCAGAGACATGGATGGAGCTGGAAGCCATTATCCATGGAACAGAAAACCAAACACTACATATTCTCACTTATAAGTAGGAGATGACAATGAGAACACATGGGCCCAGGAAAGGGAACAACACACACTGGGGCTTGTCATCGGGGGAGGGGTCGTGCGAGGAGGAAGAGCACCAGGAAAAATAGCTAATGCATGCTAGGCTTAATGCCTCGGTGATGTGTTGATAAGTGCAAAAAACCACCATGGTGCATGTTTACCTATGTAACACACCTGCACATCCTGCACATGTATCCCAGAACTTAAACTTAAAAAAAAAAAGAAAAAGAGCATTTCC
This sequence comes from Homo sapiens, assembly GCF_000001405.40. Classification (NCBI taxonomy): domain Eukaryota; kingdom Metazoa; phylum Chordata; class Mammalia; order Primates; family Hominidae; genus Homo; species Homo sapiens. Next base: position 60,195,405 of record NC_000020.11, on the reverse strand, counting down.
AAAAAATATATTCCTTGGAACAAAGGGTATATTGTTCAATATATTTGAAAGAGACTGAATTTCACTAAGTTATCTGAATTTCTTTTGTGTAGGATTCCCAAGAGACCTGAATACACAAATGTACACAATGCTAAGGGCTCAAATGGGTTTCTCTTAACTGACCACAGAAAAATTCATTTTATAAAAATAGAATGTTATGCAGAACTGTGTTTTTCCAGGGACCAATGTACCAAAAGTTCTTTCTATACAACATTCATTCTTGAAGTCTCATATCTCACAGCTCTAAGCCACTTGCTGAGTCCCAGCCTTGCTGGATTTCTCAGTGGGGAGGGGACTGTAGGAAAAGGTATTTGTGCAGAAGAGTCAGCAGGATTTGCAGGGGCAGGTCAGGGAGGTGCTCCGTCCATTCTCTTCGGGAACATTACTTTAGAACACCTTCACTGCAAAGTTTAGCCATTTCATGATGAGCAAAAGCATCCCAATTTTGGTAATTTCAAAGCCTTACAAAAATTAAAAGCAACTGCTCCCAATAAAATATGTGGGCCCCTGTCCCTGTTGGATGCAGATATGCACACTGGCATTCTCTCTCTTCAAGCACTCACAGGTCTCACCTCCACATAGCAGTGTCGAGGGACCAGCACCTCCAGCCAACTATTCTGCACAAATATCTTATCCTTAGGACCAAAGGAATCATTTGGAAACTTCCCATTTGAAGTCTTTTCCTTTTGAAATACCTTTGAACTTGTTTCATCTCCTTTTACCTTTCTTTTTGACAAACTGGCACTTTCTTAAACTTTTAGAGACATCCCAATTATGGAGGTAAATTCTTTGGCAATTTTTCGGGCAATTTCTGCATAAAGGGACATTGTGTGCATGTCCAGTAAAGACCCATTCATTTTCATTGACTTTTTAATGGATTTAACTTGGTTTTAAAAAAAATGATGGCAAGGAAATTAAAGGTAATGAGAGGGAAAATGGATGATTCCAGACTTTCTTCCACTTTAAAGATAGCCAAATGTAATATGCCCAAGTTTGATGAAATTATTTTATTGTTTTAACCATCATTTATGGGAAATTGAGTTTCCCTAGAGACTGCAAGGACCCATTGAAGAGACACAGGACTTTTAACAGGTAAATTGGCAGAATGTTAGGGACTGTTTCTCCTCTTCTGCAGTCACCACCCAAAGCACTTGCCTCCCCTGTTTTACCCAATATGGTGGCTGTGGACCACACACTTCTTTAGGGGATTTGCTTGGGTTGGGCTACCCCAACATCTATTTCCCTACTTTTTGCACAATGCCCATCTCCCTTTGGGGAAATTGCCCCTCTCCCACTGTGTATGGTCTTGGGTTGGTGGGAGGTCAAAGTGCCCTGCTTAGTTGAGTAGGATAGCTATAAGTAAAGGTATTCTGCCATTGCTTGGTGGGGTGGGCTGGCTGTATGTTAAGGTTCCCTGCCATTGTCTAGTAGTGTAGGCTGGCTCCATGTCAAGGTATCCTGCCATTGCTGGTGGGGTGAGCTGGCTACAAGTCAAGTTGTCCTGCTATTGCTTAGTCGAGTGGGCTGGCTGCAAGTCAGGTGTCCTGCCATTGCTTGGTGGGGTGGGCTGGCTATAAGTCAAGGTGCCCTGCCTTTGCTTAGTGGGATGGGCTGGCTATAAGTCAAGTGCCCTGCCATTGCTTAGTGCACTGGGCTGGCTGTCAGTCAAGGTGCCCTGCCATTGCTTAGTGGGGTAGGCTGGCTGTCAGTCAAGGTGCCCTGCCATTGCTTAGTGGGGGAGGCTGGCTATCAGTCAAGGTGCCCGGCCATTGCTTAGTGGGGTATGTCGGCTGTCAGTCAAGGTGCCCGGCCATTGCTTAGTGGGGTATGTCGGCTGTCAGTCAAGGTGCCCGGCCATTGCTTAGTGGGGTAGGCTGGCTGTCATTCAAGGTGCCCTGCCATTGCTTGGTGGGGTGGGCTGGTTACTGGCTATAAGTCAAGATGCCCTGCCGTTGCTTCATTGCTTAGCAATGTTGGGGTAAAGGGGCACTGGAACTCAAGCTGGGGCAATCTCATGAGCTCTCTTTCCACCAACCCCCAGATATTCTGTTAGCCAAGATGACACAAGATAGGGAAAAGAGTTAACCTGATTCCCACCAGATACACTGAGTTGAGATGCCTGGTGCCAGCTCCTGCTACCTGGACCATAACTCTGCCCTTGATCTTGCCATTTCCCAAGCAGAGTTCTCATGCTCTTACTAGATCCTCTTCTGCTTAACCAGAGTTTGTGACCTGGGTAACCCTCACTGGCCCAAACTCATTTTGACAGATCAAATGATTCCTCCTCACCTGAGAAGAAGCAGCTAGAAGTACTCCCAGACACTGCAGGGCATCTAGTCTTCCTCCTCTGCAACAAGAGCCTGGCAGTGTCCCCCTCCCCTCAAAGGATGGCCAGGCCAGCACCCAGCACAGGAGGCCCAGAGCTCCTCCATTGTGGCCCTGAATAATGGAGGGGATGGCACAGATCCACAGTGAAGTATGTGCCCTCTGGACCAAGGCTGTCCAGCTTGAATCCCAGCTCTGCTCCTCACCACTGTATGACTTGGACAAGTCACCAAGTCACCTCGCCCCCATGTGCCTCCATTTCCTCATCTACCAAATGCAGCTAATGCCATTGTTTTTATCTCAAAGGCTTGTTTTAAGGATTAATGAGTTAACATGTGTAAAGCACATAGAACAGCACTTGACCCAAATATTCATTTACTAAGTTTTAGCTATTCTACTCTTCCTCTTATTACTGTTGTTAAAAAAAATAAGTAGCATTCTCACCAATTTAGTTTAGAGATGTAGCTGGCTTTCATTAGTGAGTCATGTGTCAGGCAACATTCCATCTAAAGCTTTAGAAAGAAGATCCTGTAAGCTGAGAAAAGGAGATGGACTTTATGGCTGAAAAAAGGAATAAAAAGTAGAATGGGCATTACAGGTTACTTTCCTTATAAGGTCAAAATGGAGGGAACTTCTGTATCATGCTGTTTCAGACAAATGGGGCTTCTTCCAACTGCTGCTAGGAATCTCCTGTTTTTTGGAAAACTGGTCCGTATGAGTCAGTTTGATTACATGGCACTTAGTATGGATGAATCCATTCTGGTCTGGTTGGTCTGTTGCGCCTAAAACGGAGCTCATTCTAAACAATGACCCCCATCATTGTTATACAACATTATCATGATTTCTACTGTCCTCTTCAGCCTGCAAATGTGCCCTGGTTCAGGCTGTGGTCACAGACTTTACAGATGCTGGTTTGCCAGCACATCAAGAGCTGATCCTTCTCACAATGGCAACCCCACATATGCCAAGTTTTTACAGCTGAAGTCTAAGCTCCAAATGCCAATTTTTAACTTACAGTAACTCATCTCTGTCATTTTGTGGTCAAGAACACAGACTCTGGCATCAAACCCACCTAGATTCAAATCCCAGTGATGCCACCTGCACACTGTGGATTGTTAATCCCCTCTCTCAATCCTACCTCATAGGATTGGAGCGGGGATTGACACAAAATAATATGCACAGAGGGCTTCCTGGGGAGCCTGGCACCTAATAAGTGTTCAATAAATGGCAGCAAAATGTCCTGTAATTATCATGGTGATTGAAAAGATTGCCCGTGCATGGTAGGCATAAGAAGCCAACTTGTATTCAGAGCATCATTTGTTTGATTTTAGAATGAGAAGTAACTCATGCTGGGCACAGGATGCTCAAAGTCTCTATGATTCCTGCATTATTTCCCTGCAGGCAGACAATGGGGGTACCACAAATAATCAGCACATAGCCTGGGGAGCCTGGAATAGACACAGGAAGAGGGAGGGGTGTTCAATGTTTAATGTCACTGGGTTAGGAAGATGCATCAGCTTCACCTGATGGGCTTTGCCACCCTGGCCAGATTGCCTCCATGGCTAAAGCTCTCTCTACCCCTCAGAGAGGTTCTAAATGAAACTCCCAGTATTTGCCAGTGGGATTTATACACAGCTTCCTGAGCACAGCAAACCTTCTTTGAATGACACAACCTCATCCTGAAGTTGTTAATAAATTCACCCAGGTCCCAGCCAGCCTTCTCTCTCCCTCCCTAGCTGGCTCTGCCTCTCTCATCTGGGGAATTACGTGTTGATCTATTTCTTAAAGCCCTGTTGAAGCCAGTGTTTCTAAGTTCTGCAGGAGAGGGAGGCATCTCAATTCAGCCTCCCAATACCGTTCGTAACTGAACACTTAATCCAGGGTAACTTGATCTCTTCTGTCCTAAAGTTGCATGTGTAATTGAACTCAATTTTTAAAAATTACATCATGTTTCTGCATAGAGGAAAAGCACCAGCTTCCATTACAGGATGTCCCATTATGCAGTAGGCACCTATAATGTCACCATTCTAAGCTTTCAACATAGTGTATCTTATACAATCCTGAAAGGAAACCCCTGTGGGATACCTCTCAGCAATGAAAAGGGGTGAACTACTGATGCGTGAGAAAACCTGGTTGGATTTCAAGGGAATTACCTTGAGTGAAAAACACCAATCTCAATGGGTTACTTAGTACATGATTCCATTTATATAACTTTCTTAAAATGGCAAAATTTTAGAGATGGGAGGCAGGTCCATGGTTGCCAGAGTTTGACAAGGAAAGCGCGTGGTGTGGCTATGACAAAGTGGCACAAGGGGCCTTATGACGGATATGCTGTTTCTGGACTGAAGTGATGTTCACAAGAATCTACACGTGGCATAAAATTACAGGGAACTAAATACCCACGTGTAGGGAAGAAAAAGCACCTTTTCCTCACCCATGGCAAGGGTCTTGACCGACAACCCTGTAACAAAAGGCAGATTGCCAGGAGAAAGCATAACACATTTATTTTTATAAAGGTTAATGTGAGGAGCCTCCCGAAATGAATATTCAAAGACCCAGGGAAAACTATGTATTTTTATAATAAGTCTGATGAAAAATTTAATTTGTGGAGAAGTAAAATGGAACAAAATGGGTATGATCTAATGGTAATAATCTGGGGGGATCTTCAGCAAGGCCGGTTTGTTCAGATTCTTTTCTGTGTTTCTGCAAAACATTCCTCCCCCGCCCCGGGTATGAGGAAGGACAATGAGGAACTTCAGGGGAGAAGGGAAGAGGTAAGAGTGACCTTTCTAGGTGTCATGGCTTGCTTTGGGGAAGAAGGATTCTAGTTTCTAAAGCCTGCTTCAGGTTTTTCTCCTAGTTTTGGAGGCTAGAAATTCAAGATCAAGATGCCAGCACAGCCTGGTTCCGGTAAAGACCCTTTCCAGGCTGCAAACTGCCACTGACATGGAGAAAAGAGGGCACGAGAGCTCTCTGCGGTCCCTTTCATAAGGGCACGAACCCCATTCATGAAGGCCCCACCCTCATGTTCTAATCACCTTCCAAAGCCGTATCTCCTAAGACCATCACCTTTGGGATTAGGATTTCAACATAGGAATTTTGAGGGGACACATTCAGTCTATATCAGGGTGCACATTAAATTGGTGCCATGTCAATGAAGTTGGTTGAGTGTGTCAATGCCAACATCCTTGTCTTGATATACACTTGTACCCTAGTTTTGCAAGATTGGGGAAAGCTGAAAGAAGGGTATGCAAGATTTCTCTGCATTATTTCTTACAACTGTGTGTGAAACTACCTTGTCACTGGGGAGTAGCAGGACACAATGGCATCTGTGGGCTGGGGAGCATCAGTTTGGATCCCTACATCACTCCCTATTGCCTCTGCAACCTTGGGCCTGTTACTCAACCTTCCAGAGCCTCAGAGCCTCAGATACACAATGAAGGTCATGGTAATGCCAATCCCAGATAGTACACCTTAAAAAAAATTAATTTAAGTTAACCAGAGTCAGCTTCTGTTGCTTAGAACAAAAACAATCTTTGCTTTTTTGTTGCTTAGAACAAAAACTGATACATAGGATGTTATTTTATAATAGGAAATCAAGTGACTAAGATATATATTAGTCATCTGGTTGATGATATAAAGGACTAGTCTGCAGCAAGACAAATCTTTTGCTGAAAACATACACACACAAAAACTAGATGAAATATGTATATTAAAAAGGTGAATTTTACGTGATTGTGTTATTTTCAAGGTTGGAGAAAGGTCTACCAAACGAAGACAGATAGTCCAAGATCCCGGAGAAAAAGAAAACATATTTAGATGAGACGAGTATTCTCCATTGCTTTCACTTTGAGGTTTATTTAGTTTGCAAGTTATGTGGGCAAAAGGCTGAGAACCTGAGCAGAAAGCCAAGCATGAAGTGGGAGCTGAGCAGAGCTTTTGGCAGTTTATAGAGATGGGAGATGAAGGTTATATTCAAGGACATGATGGCTACCAGGACACATAGGTCCAAGATCTTGGAGGGAAGGCAAGCATTGAGACACAAGCCCAGCATTTCTACTCTGGTTTTCCCCTTGAGATATTTGCCAATGCGTAAGTGGGGACTAGCAAAAGGTTAGAAAGACAAGCACAAACAGTTCTAGATGTCGGAGAAACTAAGCATGGCTTTCAGCAGTCTTACAGGGCTAAAAAAGAAAAAGTGAAGTTCAGAGGTATACCTGGGAAAAGCGGCAAATAGAAGAAAAAAGACCCTGTCTTACAGAGTAGAAACCCAGTCCTGAAGTGATCAACCAAATTCTGATTAGCCTGAGTGGTCTTCCCCTGATATAACTGCCTGATATAAACTCAAATAAAATAAAATTCTTCTCTGTAAGACTGTAATACCGTAGAGAGGCTCTGCACCATCATTCAAGAAAAAGTTCAAAAATTAGCATGTATACCATGAAATAAGACACAGAGAAAAAGCAGACAACAGAAGCATATCCATAGATGATCCATACATTACAGTCATAAGGTATGGATTTTTAAAGAACTATGGTTAACATATACAAGAAAATAAATAATAAAATGGGGAGTTCTAGTAGAGAATTAGAGTCTCAAATTGAAACTGGACATCCAAAAACTCAAAAATAAAGTAACTGAAATTACATACTCAATAGACAAGTCTAACAGCACATTAGATAGAACTAAAAAGAGGACTCATGAGCTGGATGATAGAATAGAAAAATACCCACATTGAAGTGCAAAAGGGGAAAAATGATAGAAAATACACATGTGATTATAATACTAAATATACATATTAACTACAGTCCCCAAAGAGATGAAGGAATAAAGGTGGGAAGGCGCCCTATTTGATAAGGTGATGGTCAAGAATATTTTAAAACTGATAAAATTATAGAAGTATATATTCAAAAATGTTATGAACTCTAAGAAGTTTAAATAAAAAGAAAATCACACCTGGGGACATCTTAATGAAATAATTGAGAATCTAAGACAAAGAAAAACTGAAAAGCAACCAGATTTTAAAAACCCACTTTATCACAAAGAAGTAACAATAGAACTGACAAGCAGGATACAGGAAAAGAAAGCCACACTTAGGTTATTTTTTTCTCCTCTCTTTAAAAAAAAAATATTTAAAGTTCATGTGATAGTAACCACTCTTAGGTTCTTAAGGAGAAAAGCCACATGAGGCATTACTTTCAAAGGAGTAAACAGTAATAATGACAGTTAACTTCTCAACAGAAATGGTGGAAACCAGTAAAAAAAAAAAAAAAAAAAGACACCTTTAAAGTGGTTAAAGGAACTAATATCCAAACTAGAATTCTATGCCCAGTGAAAATATCATTGAAAAGTGAAGATTAATAGACATATTTCCAGACAAACAAAAATTAGCAGGCCTAACTAAGATATTAAAGAGATGTCCACCGGTATAATACAACAATCCTGCACAGAAATTCAGGAAGATGTAGAGAACAGAAAAATGTATGTAGATATATGAGTCTCAAGAATTGTTCAGAGTACTGAATCATAAGAGTGACGCTGTCTTGTGGTGCTTGAAATATATATATAGAAATAAAATATACCCATAACACAAATGGTAAAGGGGTTAAATGAAGTTAAAGTGTTCTAGGGTAATTGAATTGTCTGGGAAGTGGTAAAAGTGCTAATTAGATTAGACAGAGGCACTGTAGTGACACAAGAATACATGTTATAATTTCTAGTTTACCTATTAAAATAACAGCAAAAGGATGTATAACAAGGTAAAAAGGGGAGAATATAAAATCATGAAAACATTGATTCATATAAAAGAAAGCAAGGAAGGGAAGAACAGGTAACAGAAAAAACAAATAGCAAAATTATAAACTCAAATATATTAGTACTTGCATAACACATAAATGGATTAAATGCTCCAGTTTAAAAAGCAAGAATGTCTGATTAGATTTTTTTTAAATGTATGATGTAAAAGAGACACACTTTCTACATGAGGATACTAACGGGTTGAACATTAAAACATGGGAAAAAAGGCATGCATACAGTAATCAAAAGAATGGTGGTTTCCTAGACTAATATGCAAATCAATTTTAAAGAAAGGAGCATTACTAGAAATAAAGACGGATGTCTCATCGTGGCAAAAGAATATGTCAGAGAAATATGATCATTTTAAATTTGCATGTACCTAATTAACATATATTCGAAATATATGAGACAAAACTTGGTGGGAATAAAAGAGGAAACAGGAAATCTACAATGAATACGATAGACTTTAACATACCTCTCTAAGGAATTAATAGAATAAGCAGACAAAATGCCAGAAAAACATACAAAAGATTCATGCATTCTGACTGACACGCCTGACTTAATGTACATGTGTAGAACACGTCACCCAACAGCTGTAGAATTTGCATACATTTAAAATACATGTAAAACGTTTTACATACTTACACACACATATCAACATCTCAATGATATATCAACATATCAAAATGTGTGGTATGCAGCTAAGCCATGCTTAGAGGAAAATTCATGGTCTTAAATGCCTATGTAGGAGAGAAGAAAGCTGAAAGATCAATTGTCTGACTACCAATCTCAAGAAATTACATTTGGAAAAACCAAAAAACCTGAAGTAGAATGAAAGGAATATAAAGGAAGATACAGGATATATTCAAATAGAAAACAAGGCTGGGTACGGTGGCTCACGCCTGTCATCCCAGCACTGTAGGAGGCTGACACAGGAGGATTGTTCAAAGCCAGGAGTTCAAAACCAGCCTGGGCACAGCCATTATTCAAAATTGTACTGGAGCTCCTAACCAGGACAATAAGTAAGCAATCAATCAATATAATAAAACATGAAAAGAAAAAGATAAGACTCTCCTATCTAATACTATGTAGAAAATCCAAAAGAATTCACAAACTATTGAATTATTAAGAGAATTCAGCATCACTGCTACGTGCATGTCAATACACAAAAGTCATTTCATTTTAATGCCAGTAACAAGCAACTAGAAACCGAAATGTGAAGAATAGTATTTACAATATCAGTAGAAATGTACAAAAGCCAGGAATGAATCTAACAGAAGACTTGCTAGATTCCTATAAAGAAAAACCAACAACAACAACAACAAAAAAACACCATAGCGGCATTATTCACAATAGCAAAGACTTGGAACCCACCCAAATGTCCAACAATGATAGACCGGATTAAGAAAATGTGGCACATATACACCATGGAATACTATGCAGCCATAAAAAATGATGAGTTCATGTCCTTTGCAGGGACATGGATGAAATCGGAAATCATCATTCTCAGTAAACTATCGTAAGAACAAAAAACCAAACACCGCATATTCTCACTCATAGGTGGGAACTGAACAATGAGAACACATGGACACAGGAAGGGGAACATCACACTCTGGGGCCTGTTGTGGGGGGCGGGGAGGGGGGAGGGATAGCACTGGGAGATATTCCTAATGCTAGATGATGAGTTAATGGGTGCAGCACACCAGCATGGCACATGTATACATATGTAACTAGCCTGCACATTGTGCGCATGTACCCTAAAACTTAAAGTATAATAATAAAAAAATAAAAAAATTTAGAAAATAGAAAATATAAAAGACCTAGGTAAATGGAAGGATATATCATGTTCGTGGATTATAAGAGTTCTTATTGGAAAGGTGCCAGTTTTCCTCAAGTTGATGTATAGATTATAGGCAATCCTATAAAAATCCCAGCAGCGTTTTTTTTTGTTTTTGTTTTTGTTTTTTTGTTTGTTTGTTTGTTTTTTGTTTTTTTGGACACTAACAAAATGATTCAAAAATTTACATAGAAAAAAAAAAAAGCAGCACCAAGTATGCCTGGAAAGAATCACAGAATTACAGGTCACAACACCAAAAGCAGGGGCTGATTGTGGAGCCAGAGCCACAGCCACAGCCAGTGAGACACTGTGGCCTTGGTGTAGTCACAGGCCAGGTTTCTTAGCCAACCTCAGCATTACTGACATTTGGGGCTGGATGGTTTTTTTATTAGGGAGTGTCCTGTGTGATGTAGGTTGCTTAGCAACATCCCTGGTCTCTACCCATGAGATGCCAGTAGCAGCCTCTGCACACACTTGTGACAACAAAAAACGACTCCAGAAATTGCAAAATGTCCCCTGTTGGGGGAAAAATTTACCCCCGGTTGAGAACTACTGGAATAGAAAACAGAGCCAATCAAATGAAAAATGAGATACAGACCATACATAGGGTTCTTTGATTTATGACTAAAGAGATACCACCTCACACTATAGGCAAAGATCTGTTCCCAAAGCTTTGGTGCTCTAAATATGAAAGGTGAAAATTAAAATGAAGTTTCTAGATGATAATATAAAACAATATCTTCATGGGCTTGGGGCAGACAAAGATTCCTTAAATAGGGCAAATGGCACAAACCATAAAAGGAAAAAGATGACACTGGATTTCATTAAAATTAAGAACTTCTGTTGAGCAAAGGATATGTTACAAGATTAAAAAGGACAACCGTAGTGATGGAGAAGGCATTTCTAAAGCAAATATCTGATGAGGACTACAGTCCAGAATAGGTAATTAACCCACACAATAAGAAAAAGGCAGACGACCCAATTAAAGACGACGTAATTGTAGAGTTCTTGAGACACTTCTTAAAATAATATAAACACACAGCAATAAACATAAGGAAAGGGAGCCTTATTAGTCATCGGGAAAATGCAAATTAAAGTCACAACAAGATACCACTGTATCTTATTAGCCAAATGAGCACAATGGAAAAAATGGCTAAAATGAAAAATCAGATAATACCTAGTGTTGGTGAGAAGCTGGAACAACAGAAACCCTCCTACGATGCTCGAGGTATTCCTATCCATACAAACACTAGCAATGCCTGCTAATACTGGCCATTGGCTCCTTGCTGCCTTAGTGTAGCAGACATGCTTGGTGACCCACCCAGGCCATTTTATGAGCCAGGGCACCGATGTCCCAGCTCCTCAGAGTGTTAGCTGCTGAGGTCCCACACCTTTTCCAGAGAGTGATTTTGCTGATGGGAGCCATCACACATACAGATGCTTCACAATGTTATCCCCACCCCTCTGGGATGACACCCAGCCAATGTCTGGCTGATGAAAAGATACCAAAGCCCTCAGAGGATCAATGCTGTGGTGCTGGTCACCCCCCAGAGCTCCCTATGGCATCAGGCTGCCCTGGACTCTACCCGAACCCATATATGGTATAGCTTCTCCCAGGCTGTCTCCTCCTTCCCTTGCTTCCTCCCAGCTTCCTCCTGAGAGCACCCTTTCTGTAAATCACTTGCACAGTAAGACCCATCTCAGACTCTTGCTTCTGGGGAATGTGATCTAAGTCAGCCAGTAATTCCACTCCTAAATAGAATTCCACTCAATAGAAATGTTTGCATGAATCCACCAGAAACAGGAACAAGGATGTTATAGCACTGTTATTTATTGTAGGCATCCCAAACGGCCCTCAACAGTATAATGCATAAATCACGACTTCTTCTTCAGTGGAATATTACATTGCAATGAAAATGAATACACTACAACCACACACAACATGGGTGCATCTCCCACACATAACGATGAGTGAAGGAAGTCCAACACAAAAGAAAGCACACTCTGTACACATTGGGTATAAAGTTCAACAATCAGAATTAATTCCTAATGATAGACCCTCTGATAGGGATTAGATTTTGAGAAGGCTGTAATTGGGAGGGGGCAGGAGTGTGCTTTCTAGATGCTGATAACCTTCTCTTTCTTCCTTTGAGTAGGTAAAGACTCATTAACTACACAAAGTATTATTTATGTACATTTATGTATGTTATATTGAAATAAGTATATTTTAAAAGAGATCATATTGTTATATATCCAGTAATAAATTATACAAATGTACTGCTTGCAGAAAGTCTACTGATAATTCCTTAGTGATTTCCTTTCTAGTGTTTTATTATTCCTCAGGTCTCTTTCTGCTGAATAATGTAAGTATATTTCAACAATGTTTTCTCTACCTAAGTTGTCTGTTAGTCCAGAAGGAACTGTATCCAGATTACTCCTAAAATCCTCAACTTCCTGATTCAGTTACCCCTGAGACTTTTTCCGTTTAAATCAATCACTCAATAATTATTGGACACTATGAACCAGGCGCTGTTCCGGGCTCTGGAGGTGAAGCAGTGATTAAGACAGGTGTGGTCCCCTGCCTCACGGGGCCTACAACCTCCACAAAGACCCATATCTGGGAACTAATACCCATCAGTCCACTGGGAGGCCCTTGGAGCACAGTGGAAAATGTTTATTCAAAACACTGAGATAAAATCATCTTTCGAAATAATGATACAGCATGCACAAGGTCATCAGTAGTGAGCACCAGAGATGGAGACCAGCACAGCCACCCTCGAACTCACCAAAACCTCCAGAATGTCTGTGCCCCAAAAGGAAGGCACAAGGAAGTCCAAAATGTCTGAGATTGAATTTCCCACCAGCCTGCCAAGATATTGCTTGAGAGTCGTATTTAATTCAGTCTTTTACGAAATAAAGAAATATGACATTTTTCATCTTCCTCTGTGTGCGGATACAAATCCTTTCTCACCCCAAGGCAACAACAGCAGTAACAAAACAAGAACTGCTGAGCAGAAAGCCACAGCCCAGAGCAGCTGAGGTGGGGACACAGAGCACCAAGGAACAGAGTGGGGGGTCACTGGGAGTAAATGTGCGTCCCAATGTCCACTGTATCTTATGGAAGTGCTGATATCCAACCCTTTTTGACCATAAAAACATCAGTTTCACAAGGTATGTGCTAATGTTCCTAAGCACTTAGCATGCTCCCCCATCGGTCAGCAGAGAGTTCAGTGGGGTCCCTCTCAGCCACCAAGAGGCTTTGTCCTGGTGGAAACACCTCAATTACCTGACTAAAAAAACACCTCAGGCCGGGCACATTGGCTCACTCCTGTAATCCCAGCACTTTGGGAGGCTGAGGTGGGCAGATCACAAGGTCAGAAGATCAAGACCATCCTGGCCAACATGGTAAAACCCCGTCTCTACTAAAAATACAAAAATTATCTGGGCTTGGTGGTGCGTGCCTGTAATTCCAGCTACTCGGGAGGCTGAGGCAGGAGAATCGCTTGAACCAGGGAGTCGGAGGTTGCAGTGAACCAAGATAGTGCCACTGCACTCCAGCCTGGGCGACAGAGCGAGCCTCTGTCTCAAAAACAACAACATCAACAACAACAACAAAAATTGCCTGACGCCACAACTACCTGTTCCTGGGCCAACAGGACTCAGGCCCGACCTGCATTCCCTGCAGATGCCTCCTGATCAAGTGAATGGTGTGACTTTTTTCAAATGATCAAATGCTGCCCAAAGATTATTAACTAAGTACAGAAAAATGTCCCATTTCATTACAGACAAGGTCTTCCGAACGTGGCTCCACCCAGAACACAGCAGTCCCAGTACGCATGCCATGATGGGTTTTTATGCCCAGCTTATAATAAGAAGATATTCTTACCAGGAAGTGGAGAATGCATCTAATTTCTACCTCTCCCTTAATGAGATGAAATCAGTTATATTAAACAGAAAAGTACAGTCAACCTGGGCTATTAATTAGGAAGATCTAAACAAATCTGCCCTCATTCTCTTGCAGTTGGAAAGTCAAAATGTATATTCATTAAAATTAGGTTCTTAGAGTGTCCCCGCTATGTTGATGTCAGGGGGATTTATCTATACAGGCCTTCCCGATGCTTCAAGAGAATCAAACCATGGGTTTTGCATATCTCTCTTAAGAAAGGCCTTAATGCTCATGCAATTCAAATCACCATTCAGCTGTCTGTAATTTCAGTGACAACTGTCCCCGTCGCACATACATGCACCACTAATCAAAGACTGCAGCCTGAGCCTAAGGGCTGAGAAGATGTGCCAGGAAAGTGGCAGGCCTGGGGATTCTGCAGAGCAATAGACCTCAAACCGAATGCAAGAAGATTTTGTTAGCTGAGTTTACATGCACTCAACCCCAGCTACAGAGTTGTATAGGGAAGAAAGAGCTGTCTTAACATACAAACATCCCCCTATAAAGGACCACGAGAAAATTAGCCCCTTTCAAATGTCCCCGCCTACTCACCTGTAGCTGCTGCCCTGGTGCACCCCAGCACCGCCTTCACAAGCCCGTTCCGACCACGGGAGGCTCATGTTGTCAGCATCTAAAAGGACAAGACAAATTGGTTTCAAAGGAAGTGTAAAGATCTCACAAATGATGTATGGTGTTATGAAACAGATAACTGTGATTTTGGAAAACACAGAGTCTTGTGCAGAGGCATTCGCAAGAGGATTCTTCGGCAGAGACAAGAACCGAAAAGAGAATTTATAAGAATGGTGACAACGCAGACATTTTCGAAGAAAAAATCATTTGAATTAAGAAATGTTCTTGGCAGAGTGGTTATAGCATCTTTATAACAGGCAATTAAAACAACCCAAAGGTCCATCAGGAGAGGAATGGATAAATAAATGATAGTACTTGCATGGCAAGAAATAGCTCAAAGTCATAACAACGAGTGAGCTGCAAAGAACAGTCGCCAGGATGAGCCTCACAGATGACAGACAGGCTGGGTGAAAAGCCAGACGCAGAAGAACTCAGGATAACAACTCCATTTCTATGAGGTTGGGGAAGAGGGGAAACTAGCCTGAGGTAAGGAAAGTCAGCACAGCGGTGACCTGTGAGTGGAGAGGAGTTAACACCTGCAAAGAATCACGTGAGAAGACTCTGGGTGGTGGCAATGTTCTAGATCTGCATCTGAGGATGGCCACATGGAAGTACCCGGATGTGAAAGTTGACTGGGCTGAAGACAGAAGACATGCACTGTGCTCAAGTAATACTTTACTATAACTCATTTCCACATAAAAACTTAAAGAATATTCTTGCAAAATTGATGAAGCCCTTGAATGAAGCCCTTGAATGACTCTACAAAATGTCCTCTTCCTGATGGTTCTGTGAAAGTCAAGCAGAAAGGGAAGGATATTTTATTGTGCTGTCATACAACCTGGTTTGGAAAATTCTACAAACAATTAACACTCACTAGTCACAAAAGGACCACCATGTGTCATTTCACTTATATGACGTACCTAGAGTGGTCGAATGCATAGGGAGGGGAAGTTGCATGGTGGCTGCCAGGGGCTGGGGGAAGGGGGAATGGAGAGTTGTTGGTTAATGGGGACAGAGCTTTAGTTTGGGATGATGAAAAAGTTTTGGAGATATATGAAGGTGAGGGTTTTACAATGGGAATGTCCTCAATGCCACTGACTATATGCTAAAATTGGTTAAAATGCTACATTTTAGGTTACATATATTTTACCACAATTAAAAAAAAATTGGAAGGAAGTCAACTTGGTTTATTCTTTCTCTATTTTAAAATTAGCTTATAGTTGTGATTATAATGTAAATATTAATTATAAGATAAACATATCTTCCTAGTTTCATTTCATTATTTTAAGATGAAGTTTCAATCAAGTTTGGGTTTGGGAAGGGATTTTCTTTTTACTGTTTAATAATAAAAAGCAGGTGCCCATTGTAAGGAACTCACTTATGAGGCCTTTCTCTGGGGGCCCCATATCCCAGGATCACAAAGACCTTTGTGGAAATGATAAGAAGTTCAAGGGTTCTGCCAAGATTGTGCTCAAATTTCTTTTTCTTAAAATGTATTTTAACTATTTTCAAAAAAACCTGTATAATAAAGAGCAATATGCTTAAATGTCATATATATCAAATTATAGCACAGGTTAAACTGTGTTTCTGCAGAACTTCGAATAAATTCTCACGCAATTTTTGTGCATAATTTAACTTCCTTGAACATGTTTTACTGGTTAAGAAGGCTGTAACTCTGCATTGTGCATTTAAAAAATTCAGTGCTTTTTCCATTTTACTCAGATAAAATTATCTAAGCATCAAGCTGATGAAGCACACACGTGCCTCTCTCAACCACGTGCCAGGCAAGACTGGGAAGCACCTGTGTGGGGCGTGCTCCAGCATCACATGCAGTACGCCTACATGTATGACACATTGTGTATGCACGCTTTAGGTATAATAACTATAACATTTGTCACTGAGATACCAGCTAAAGCCTACGTAGAGTGAGCATTCTGTAACAGCCCCGTTCTGAGTACATTAATTTCCATGATCTCCTTTCAAATTATTTTCATATCTCATACCAAATCCTTAAAACAATCCCACAAGGTAGATCATGTTATTCTCGCATTTTACAGAGGGAGAGGATAAAGTGAGGTGGAGTGAAATCATTGGCCCAAGGCCACAGAGCCAGTGAGTGGGGAGAACTGAAAAACAGAAGCATTAAGAGGCCAGAGCCTGGCCTCCTCACCACTGCACTAACTGTGCACAACGGTGAGTACACACCACATTGAGGTTGACCCTTAGTTCATATAGACATTTCAGCACTTGAAATTTTAGGGTGCTTCTTGTCTGATCTTTCTATTCAAGGAAAGAAATGTGGGCTGTTACCAGATATTGTTGGCAATGCTGTACAGACACACAGGGCCCCACAGGTTTACTACTCTGCCATTGCTGTCTTGACATTTTTAATAACTTTTGAACAAGGGATCCACCTTTTCATTTCGCATTAGGTCCCACAAATTACACACCAGTCCTGATTGTTGGTGTTTCAATTCATGTTGGAAAATGTTTCCTACTGCTTCTCTTTCAATCACACTGATTAGTGTAATTGATGAGATAGGAAGGCAAGGTGTTGAAAACATCTACAATTTTTACCTCTATACCAATGTGAAGCCTAACATTCTTAATATTCTGCAACCAAAACAAAACATAAAAGCAAATTTGACCTTGAAACTAACATAAGGTGCAAATGTCCTCTGCCCCTTCTGTGGTGGGCACATGGTGCTGTCCTGCCACAGCTGGTACCCTTTCCCCTGGCCATAATCCCAATTTTTATTTATGGTCTTCACCTCCCCATGCTCAGTCCTGGTACACGTGCAGCTCTGGCCCCAGCTCCTGGAATGGAGCCTGGGACGAGCTAATCAACTCAGCTCATTCCCGGGCACACGGTCCACCTCAGTCCATCCAAGTGACTCTCTGGACTTGGGTTAGCCTTGCCTTTCTTGGCTGGATGTGAGGAGTACGGCCATCTGGCCACCATGTGCAAAGAGCGGGTCAGAGAATGGAACCAACTAGACTAGGTAGCCCTGGGGAGACTGAGTTGGTTGTTAAACTGTCAAAATACCGCCATACTTGCTGGCAAATAGCCACCACCCTCAGGTCCTCCAAGTTCTCCCTCTACCACCTGTCACCCCAGCCCCTCCTCTGGTCCTCCTGTATCTCCCCACAATGCAGCAACTGAAGAAGTAATGCTGGCACAGCAGGGGTCTTCCAGGAGCCACTCAAAACTTTGGCCTGTGTTCCTTCTGATCCTCAGTGCGTGGTTGCTAAATAGTTTTAATATCTCCCCTGGGGCCACCTAAAGGAAATGCAGCAGGGAAGTGGAGGGAGAGACACCAGCTCCCATAGAGGGCTTGAGCCCCTGTGTCAGCCTGCCCCCAAATCCAGTCCCAGCTCTTTATATCATGGGAGCCAATGAATGACACCATGCCTGGGCAGTTTGGGTTGGAATTCCTGCTACTTGCAAGCAAAAGAGTTTTAAATAATGCAACCCCAGTTTCAACGCTGATGCTATTCTCGGTTTCAATTTCCTCATGGGGAAATGGCTGAA
The DNA here is from genome assembly GCF_000001405.40 of Homo sapiens. Lineage (NCBI taxonomy): Eukaryota > Metazoa > Chordata > Mammalia > Primates > Hominidae > Homo > Homo sapiens. The sequence goes on along the minus strand of NC_000020.11, from coordinate 60,177,303 downwards.
TCAAAGTTGTAGGTCGAGAAATGTACAAGATTAGCCTAGACATCGTGTCATGTCTGACAGCAGACAAAGTCACAATCAACCTGCAGCAGCTCCCACTGGCCAGAGATAATCACAGTCCATTGAAGTACATCAAACATGTTCAAACCTATGAGTTAATAATACCATCCTCTACCTCGAAAACAAAAAAGAAAATAAAAACTGATTGGTCACCTCTGGAGAATGCCAGGAAGTGAAGTTATTTTGAAAATTAGTAAATAAAAGGGGAAAGATTTAAGTTTTTATCCTAAATTTCCTATACAAACTATATCTCAGAGTAACCAAGGACTTGAATTGGAAGAATTATTCTGACAGAGACGTTCCACCAAACAAATGAGAAATAAATGACAGAACAAGGGCATTCTAATGTTGTCACACTTACTGAATTAAGGTCTTATGCAGTGATCAACAATGATTGATGTAATCTCTCTCTTTCTCTCTCTGCCCACTCTCTCTGTTCCTCCCCCCATCTCTCAATCTACCTTTTTTCTTCCTTTTGTCCCTCTCCCCACCCATCTCTCTCTCTCACACACACACACACACACGCACGCAAACTCAAAAAGAAGAAAAAGGCATCCAGATGTGATGTACCCTTTGATGCTACCTATGAAATATTTTTGCCAAAGTTTCTATTCGGAATTTCCTCCAACCTTTAGCCCTATCAGTTTACAGATGCACAGAGAACAGAGGAACATTAAATAACACCCCAGAGAATCAAGCATTAAAATCGAAACTGCGAAAAACTCCATAGGACTAATAAACCAGTAAATTATAAGAGATGAGGAAAAATACAGATAAAAAATATTGAGAAATTTATCAACCAATTGCAATGTATGGACCTTATTTAGACTCTGATTTGAACAAACTAAATGTAAAAGAAAAATTTATAAGGTACCTGGGGAAATTTGTGCACTGACTAGGTAGTGAATGAAATTGAGGAATTATTGATATTTTAAATACTATTGTAGCTATGTGTAAAAACAAGAATCTTTATCTCTCAGAGATACATGTAAATCTTAAAACCATTAGTTGGGGAGTGGGCAGGAGTACCTGTAAAACGAGATTATCAGGGAATGGTAGGTGTTGAAGTTGAGTGGCAGAAACATGAGGTTGATTATTTTAACATTTTACAAATCGTTTCTTTTAATTTTCTTATTATATTTATTAAATATACAAGATAGCTTCAACAAATCTTGGAAAATATGTATTATTTAAAAACCATGTGTGGATTTCAAAAAATTTTTTAATTTTTTTTGAAAATTTTCAATTTTTGCACCAAAATAAACTCATACTAACTTGTTATAACTTGTCTGAATAGGATCTAGTTTGAAGTACAAAGAAGGATAAGACAACAGTTTGCAAAGAGCCCCTATCAGAGCAACATGAATTCTGCTAAAAATGAAACAAGAACAAACATCAAGTTTATGGTGAAGTTTGTGTGGAAGAGTGTGAAATGATTGATGCTTTACAAAAAATGTATGAGGACAATGCCCCAAAGAAATCATCAGTTTACAAATGGATAACTCATTATATGAAGAGACAACACAATGTTGAAGATGAAGCCTGCAGCAGCAGAGACCACACCCCTAATTTGCAAGGAAAACATGCATCATGTTCATGCCCTAATTGAAGAGGATTGACAATTAACAGTGCAATCAATCACCAACACCATAGACATCTCAGTTGGTTCAGTTTGCACAATTCTGACTGAAAAAATACAGTTGAGCAAATTTCTACTCAATGGGTGCCAAAATTGTTGCACCTATATCAGCTGCAGACAAGTGACGAGCTTTCAATGAAAATTTTAAACAAGTGGAATCAAGCTCCTGAAGCACTTCTTTAAAGAATTGTAACAGGAAGTGAAACATGGCTTCACCAGTACCATCCCGAAGACAAAGCACAACCAAAGCAACAGCTACCAAGAGTGACCCAGTCAAAATACAAGAGCACTGGGCTAGACCAAAAGTCATGACAACAGCTTTTTGGGCTGCTCAAATTTGCTTACTGACTCCTATGAGGCCAAAGAACAATAACATCTGCTTGTTATGACAGTGTTTTGAGAAAGCCAAAGCGTCAGCAGCAAAAAAACCCAGGAAAGCCTACCAGAGAGTCCTTCTCCACCACAAGAATGTTCCTGCTCATTCCTTTCATCAAACAAGGGCAATTTGGGGAATATTTTGATGGAAAATCATTAGGCATGCACCTTACAGACCTGATTTGTCTCCTTTTGACTTTTTTTTTGTCTCCTAATATTAAAAAAATTGTAAAGGAAACCCATTTTTCTTCAGTTAATAATGGAAAAAGGACTGAACTGACATGGTTCAATTCCCAGGATGCTCAGTTCTTTGGGGATGGTCTAAATGGTTGGTGTCCTTGCTTACAAAAGTATCTTGACCTTAATGGAGCTTATGTTAAGAAAGTTTATATTCTTTATTTTTATCTCTTAATTCGATTTTTCCATGAACATTTTGAAGTCCCCTTGTATATTAACTATATATTGAAATTTTAAATTTATACACAATAATTTATTCTAACACTATGCTATTTGTGCTGATCTTACATATTAAAGTTCCATAAGATATTCAACTTTTGGAAAGAGGTCCTTATGTACCCCTCCCCACACTCAAAGTACAATTTTACAGCTTCTACCTTCTGTGATTATTCTGTGATTATTCACCCTTGTACCATTAAAACATTTATAAAAATGAGTAATATGGACCTAGATCTGAGCATCCAATCCAGTGTCCAATAGCCATATTTTGCTATTGAGCACTTGGAATGTAGTTAGTCCAAACTGAGAGGTGCCACAATTAAAATACATGCTCTGCTGGATTTCAAGGATTTCCTACAAAAGAGAAAGGTAAAGTATCCCATTACATGTTTTATGTGGACAACATGTCAAATTGATAGTATTTTGGATATATGGGGTTAATAAAGTATAATATGTATTTATTTTTTTTGAGATGGAGTTTCACTCTGTTGCCCAGGCTGGAGGATAGTGGCACCATGTCGGCTCACTGCAACTAGCATTTTGGGAGGCTGAGGCAGGTGGATCAACTGAGGTCAGGAGTTCAAGACTAGCCTGGCCAACATGATGAAACCCCATCTCTACTAAAAAAATACAAAAATTAGCCAGGCGTTGTGGTGGGTGCCTGTAATCCCAGCTACTTGGGAGGCTGAGGCAGGAGAAAAAGTATATTATTAAAAGTAATTTTACCTTTTTCCTTTTGTTTTAATAGGACTACCAGAAAAATTTAAATTACACATTTGGCTTCTATTATATATCTATTGTATAGTGCCACTCCAGATAAGCAATGAGTAAAGCAAGTATATGGAGTGACCATTTAATTCATGATCGAAAGTGGGACAATTGGACAGTGCCCACAGGCATTCTTAATAATCACACTAGAACAACTGGCATAAGCCAGGACATACGCTCACCTCACTAATTAACCAGTAAATGTGATTGTTGAAAACATAACAGAAATAAAAGATTCCTCTTGTAACTTCAACTGCTCTTGAAGGGGTGCACGCCCCATTGAAGGGATGCCTTGCTGCCTGCTGTGTCTTCATGGATTTGTTGTTAGGTTAGAGCGTGGACCTTGCAGAGGTTGCAAATACCCTGAGAGTTTGGAGTTTTAGGAACAATCTGACGGAGGAGCAAGAAATATCGAGTGAATCAGAGAAACTCCCTGGCGAAGGAGTGGGGTGGTCAAAGGGCATTTTAACAGCATTACCTGACTATTCTACATGAACTTCTTTTTTTCTCTCTTTATTCCAGTACAAGTTTTCCCCCCTCATCCTCATCATTCTTATCTCTATTTTTTTTTTTTTTTTTGAGATGGAGTCTCACTCTGTCACCCAGGCCAGAGTGCAGTGGTGCAATCTCAGCTCACTGCAAGCTCCGCCCCTCGGGTTCACGCCATTCTCCTGCCTCAGCCTCCCAAGTAGCTGGGACTACAGGCGCCCGCCACCACGCCCGGCTAATTTTTTTTTTTTTTTCCGTATTTTTGTAGAGATGGGGTTTTACTGTGTTAGCCAGGATGGTCTCGATCTCCTGACCTCATGATCCGCCCACCTCAGCCTCCCAAAGTGCTGGGATTACAGGCGTGAGCCACCACACCCAGCCTTTTTTTTTTTTTTTAAGGTTTCTGTATTCACATACATTGTATGTGAACAGGGCAAATTTATGATTTGTAAAGAAAAAGATTTTTTCCATCTGGTTCAACATGGGGCAAAATAGCCCACAGGCAAGGCAGGTGTCCCCTGGGATGCAAAGAAGCCATGAGAATGAGCTCCCACCTTCTGAGTCACCGCTCACCCTGCTGCCCACTGGAGGAGAGGAGAAGTTTCAGTGCAGGTTTTTCCTTTCCGAGTATGGGACGTGATGGGAGCTGGCCCTGACCTTGTCTATGTGCCTCAGAGGACCAGGAGGTCCCAGCCAACATCAGGAATATGATAGTAAAGGTTGAGTAATAATGACAAAATAATACTCTGAGAATTATTCAGTAGTTTCCAACCACAATAGCTCTCCCTTCAGAAACGCATAAGATTGGCATTTATTTTGCTCTAGAGAGAACATTCCTTATTAGAGCAAAGTGAAAAGGAAAGCAACAATACCCAAAAAGAGGCAGAAAATGAAAAGCCGCAAGCTTCCACCGGCCTAGAGGATGCAATTTCTCTTTGCTTATTTAAGAACAACTGGGATGCATCGAACACCCCATAAAAGGCCGGCTATAGACTCACATGTTTTATCTCCTTATTACAACATCACTGTGTGTTGCTGAAAATGGCCAATTCTGTAGCAAAGAATCATTCCCAAGGGCAGCATCTGCCTCATTGCTGTTGACAATGCTTTGGAAACAGCACTGGGTTGCTTTCCAGATTCCTCAGACCTCTGCCCAAGAGGTGACCTGAGCTGATTCTCACAGAATCCATAGAAAGAATGTGTTGGCATAAGCTAGTCCAAATTCAGGTTGCTGGACTCAAAATCCGTGTCCCTGAAGAGGAGTAAAGTAGGTGTCATCTTCTCCTGCCCACTCCCCTGGTAATCCACTGTTTAAAACTAACTAGGCATCAACCTCAGAAACATTTACTGGACCCGAGCTCCATGTCAGGCCATGAAGTACAGTTACAGGCAGGTTCCATCGCATCTTCACAGCACTAACAGGTATGCATTTTTTATTATCCTCACTTCACACATGAGAAATGGAGACACACAGAGGTTACATAACTAATGTGGCTAAAACGGAAGAGTAGGTCAGATAAAAAGCCATGTCTCCTGACTCCAAACAGCATGGTGGTAACGCACACAGGGCCACTCCCCAACACATGGGCCATATGTTAATTACCTATAAATCCATGTGAAATATTCATTCATTGATTCATTCATTCACTTAAACTTGATTCGATGCTTCCAGCTGCCCTGGATACAAAAATAAATAAAATCTGGTCCCTGACTTAATTCAAGAAATTCACCATCTGGCTGAGAATAATTTTGGAATGCAAAGGTCCAAACCCCCATTTATTTGTTTTCTGATTTTGAAAAACTTTTCTTACTGGGTTTACCCATATTAGGTTTTTGCATTTTGTTTGTTTTCTCTGAGCTTGGAGGCAGAAAGACCTGCAATCAAAGACTGTATTTTTTTCATTGTTTTATTTCCTGTCTATTATATTTTGGATTCAGAATCCACTTTTCTGCAAAGCCTTTCATTTGCATCTGTACACTATAAATATGCAAATCCCAAACAAATAGGAAAGTAAAAACTCAGCCAAACCAGCCACTTGACATCAGGGTAGTTTACTGACTTCTAACTCTACTGTTAGCCAGTTTGTGCAGAGCAGACATTACAAAGTGGCAGTTTAGCCTAAAATGAGTTTTATTTTGCCTGTTCAGTGTTTTACTTCCAAGTGAATCAGTGTTTTAAAAATATAAAATGTTACATAAAAATCCAGATTTCTGGTATTTGTTGAAAAATTGGAAATTCTCATAGCAAAACACTGGGCCCACATGCCTACATAGCAACAAGGGCTGGAGCGGAACAGTGGCTATCTCTGTTAGTGACATGCTCATTCCAGCTCCCCATAGTCCCCACCACTCCCTACTGAATCCCCATCCTTGAGACTGTGTGTACCAGTTGTCATCCGGCACCTCTCTTAGACAGTTGCTTTCCTATGGTCTGTGGCTATTTCTGTATCTGTACATTTATCCAAATATGTACAACAAAACTCAAACTAAAAGGGCCTGATGATTATTTTTCTATGCAGCTTGTCTTGCTCATTTGCCTGACTACCTGATCCCTGTAGATATGGCTTTGACCAACAGTGTCAATAAATTGCATTCCCAATCAGACCAACAAAGGATGTGCAACTCAAGTTGTTTCAATTGAGTATGTGGCTGAAAACCTCTATATCCTACATGTGTCGATTACGTATAGCTGAATAACAAACCTCCCCACAACTCAGTGACTTAAAACAAGCATTTATTTGGCTTTTAATTATGTGTGTCTGAAACCTGGGCTGGGCTCAAGTAGGTAGCTCTTCTACTGGTCTCACTAGACTCACTCATCTGTGGTCAGCTGGTGGTCATTGAACTAACGTGCCTGCCTACAGGCTGGCTGGCTGCAGGCTGAGGCCATGAAGGTACCTAGGTGTCCCATCTTTTATCACCCAGCAGGCCTGCCCAGGCTTGTTCTTGGGATGGTGGTTGTAAAGTTCTTGTATGAGTTTGCTAGAACTGCCATAACAGAATACCACCGACTATGGGGGGCCTTAAACAATATGACTTCACTTTCTCACAGTTCTGAAGGCTGGAAATTTAAGATCAAGATGCCAGCAGGACTGGTTTCCAGTGAGGCCTCTCTTCCTGGCTTGTGGACGGGTGCCTTCTTGCTCTGTCCTCATGTGACCTTTCCTCTGTGAGCCTGTGGAGAGGAAGTAGTCTCTGGTATCTCTCCCTCCTCTTATAAGAACACAGTCCTATCAGAGTAGGGCCCTACCCTTCTGGCCACATTTAACTTTAATTACTTCCTTAAAGGCTTTACATTCAAATACAGTCACATTGGGAGTTAGGGCTTCAACCTATGAATTTTAGTGGGATGCAATCAGTCCGTAACAGTTCCCAAGAGCAAATAGAAGACAAGCCCTTTGTGTAATATTTGATTTTTTTCTCATTGACCTAAACAAGTCCTCTGGCCAGGTCCTGAGTCAGCGTGAGAGTGGACCACACTGACGCAAATACCAGGACACAGAGAGGCATGAACAAATGAGGGGCTGTGACAGCAGCCATCCACCATGTCCAGGCCAACTTTCTTCACCTGCTGCATACTCTAGGTCAGCGCATTTTAGATGCATGCTGTGGGGGTTACTGTGGTTCACTATCCAACAACTGATTCTCATCAGCAGGTTATTCTAAGAGGATTATAGGCTCCCTTTCCCCTTCAATGACTGATGGGGGAGTGGGCATGGACCCAGTGCAGATAAAATGGAAATGTCTGCTGCATGTCCTTATGGAAAAGGTTTCCAGGCTCCAATAAAGAACAGGAGAAGAGAAGGTCCTGCTCCTGGATGTTGTTGAGTCAGATAATGCCTGGATCAGCTGTGGCCACCTTGCCATCTCTGGAGGATGACGCCAATCCCTCAAAGGCAATGGGAGACCAGAAAAATGCAGATAGTCTCCAGAGCCTGACATCCATGCCTAGACCGCATTCTGACTCCGAATTTCTTGTTACATAGCACCATGGATATCCTTGCTGCTTGGATTGGTCTGAGTCACTGTATTCAGTCGCTTATAGCCTAATGCAGACCAACAATGCAGACACTGATTAGACTGGCCCATCCATGTGGAGCCAGGGAGGTCACACACATTTCATGGGGAGCCCTGGATTCTATGTTTATGTTGGCCTGGGGCGGCTGCTGTCTCAGCTTCCTCCACTGAAAAAGTAGAAAATGTCTATTCTATAACCCCAAGTGTGGATTTATGATCAGATGAGATAATGCATAGGAAAGCATTTCAAGCTGTATAAATTGTCAAACCAGTGTAAAGAAATGAGAAAACAGCATCTTTCAGGATGAAAGGATTGACAGCTAATAGCTAGAATTATGTCATATCAACAATCCATCCATCCAGTCAAGTCAGTCAGAGCACTGTCAAACCTGTTTACTGTTGCAGAGACCAAAATAACCACATATTCTACAACAGACCTCCACCTATAATTAACCTTTCAATTAAATGAAGACAGCCTCAGCATTGTGTGAGTGCTAAGAGTGGTTAAAGGGTGGAGGCACTGGGCAGAAGCAGGTCCACATCAGCTAGGATGATTTCAGCTGCAAGGAACCAGCACCTAACTCATCCTGACTTAGAAAATAATTTACTGGCTCAACTACGAAGAGTATAGCAGTAGGACATTTACCTGAGGATTTCAGGTGAGGAGTCATTCAGTGGTTCAGTGACATAGCCTAAAATCCAGCTTCCTTCTTCCTCTGCCCTCTGTCTTTCATGGTATTGGCCTTATATTCCCAAATGTCCAGGGAGTAATTGCTAGACATATCCTCAAGTAAGATCACGCATTTAGTCACTGCACTTGACTGTGTAAAAAGCATAAATTTCTTCAATGAAAAGAATATAAATATATCCAATTTTTATAACCTGTTTCAAGATTCCTTCATTTTTCAATGTATTGGAAGCTTCAGGAATTGACAATAGCCTGGGCTCCCTCGATCATGAAGAAGTCCTGTTTGTCCTGATATAACTGATGATTGGTCCTGAAACTATTTGCCTGAAAACTTTCTTCCTGGAATGCAGCTTGTCTTCATCCTGCAAACACACACTTCGATACCTGCATTTGTTGAGATGGGCTGAAATGACCCAACAACAGATCCCCACTTTCACTACAGACATAAAGAAATGTTTGTACTTGAGATGGTAGCAACAGGCCCCAACTCTACATGTCTCCCACTGAGATTTGAGAAAGTAAAGAAAAGAAGACAAACCTTGCTTACATTAATTTACTGTCACCCACTGTGGCTGAAATGCTCATTAGAATCTGGCATTTATACATAATTTTAAATTGGCCCAGGTCTTCTAATCCTTCTAATGAGTTATTTCCCTCCACTGGCCATAGATGTTAAGGCAACCATCAGTCTTTACACCCATGTAAATATTTTTGTACTTATTTTGTGGTGAAAGTTGACAGGGAGCTTGGTGTCACAATGAAACTGTGTGTAGAAACCAGAGAAGACTAAGTGCTAACAAGCATAAGCCACATCCCCAGGGTTTTGAACAACCATGGTCTGGTCTTTCTCAACTCAATTGAATATGTATTCCTTTACATAAGCAAGCCAAATACCAAATGGAAATTATATTAGACATGCAGAAACATCAGCAAACCTCAATCTCTAGTCAAGCAGAAAGAAATAGCAATCAATTAAACTCACCCGGAAATCAATGCCTGAATCTATTTTGTCTGACATCATATATCCTGGCAGTACACAATTTAAGACAAAACAAACTCACCCATTTCAGAGATTAACATCTACGCCCCTTAGCTGTAAGGACTTTTGGAACAAAAATCCTAAAATTGAATTTTACTCTATTCATTCCATCAGTAGGTCTAGGAATGAAGCTCCATTTATTGAAAAACATAAAATTCCTGACATTTCACTATAAGTCCTCTTCTCCATTTTCTTTGAATTAATCTGATGTAGAACCTGTTATAAGCAGATCATCCCTGTTAGACACCAGAGGTCATGTCATTAATATATCTGCATGCCCAAGGCACAGTAAATCATACAGTATACAGTCATTGCTCAATATATGTGGGCTAAAGTTTGATGAGACTTCAGAATACCCACCTTAATAAACACTTGACTATTTGAACTTCCTATCTCATAGTGTCATTTAGATGCTGCCTTTCCTCAGGTGGCTGGCCATGTGTTTGTGACTGTATAATATTCATTCTTTGACCAAACAGAAAGTTCTAGAAACAGCATTCTTGAAAGCTATTCTATCACATAACCTTTGTTAATGTAAAGCTAGAATAAATAAGTGTCTGTTGTATTTCCCATTAGGGTAGTTGACTAGAGGGGATTCATTTTATCACTTCTAAAATCTCAAAGGATTACAGGTTGCTTTTTCATAGGAATTTTAAAAAGTCAACGATCCATCAGTAAATGTATATCTGACCATTCTTGCTTTTGCATCCTTAGAGAGAAAGACAGATGGACAGCTCAACATTCACATTCTCCTCAAACTGCTCCTTCTTTTACCCTCAAATACAGAACAGCAAAGCTTCTGCCAGCATTTCAAGTCAGCCTTGCTATTGTTCCTTTAGCAAGCCTGGAAACAGTCAGGCTAGACAGAGCAGTGACTAATATTCCAGAAGTTATTTAAAATTCCACAAAAGATGTCTGTTGTGATTTCTGCCTGCCCAATGTTCATTCTCCCTTTTCTAGGTTGTGGAGACAAAGTTTCCACCAAAGAACTACCCTCTGCCATTTGGCGTATGGGAGGTTGAACCCATATTGTGGTTTCAGAGGTGGGCCTGGGACCCAAGCTTGGCCAATGGACAGCATCCCCCTGGCCAAGTGATGTGCTTAGGGCTGCAAATGTGACCACAGCTAGGCTAACGAGAGCCTTAGTGCTCTTTATAGCAGGGTTGCTAAACTGGTAAGATGTGGCCAGAAACTCCTGGTGACCACCTTCATCACCAGGTGGAAAGACACGAGAACAGGAACTGATTCCTGAGGACGCCATTTATGCACCTGGATCCACCATGCCTGGGATGCTGGCTTCTGGCTTTTCCATTATATGAGACAATAAATTCCCTTTTAAAAGGGAAATGAACCTATGTTTTGAGCTGGATTTCAGTAACTAGAAGACTACAGAATTGTCGGGCAGTCCAGAGAAACGTCTTTTTGGAAAAATAGATGAACTAAACTTTGTAAATAAGCTAATTAGAACAGAAACACAGTCTGGGATATTTCAGTGCAATTCTTTTCAACATACTCAATTTAATCTGATGTCTTAGAGTTATAGAAACCAAGGAGGTGTTTCTCTGTATTGTCATTCTGAAACCACCCCCACTCTAAAGTTAGCCTGGTCCTATATCATACAATTAAGTATGCATGGGGATTCGTGCCCTAATTACCCAATAGTTGTGCTGAAGCCTTGGTCTTAAGAGTCCCATTAATATTTCCCAGCAATGACAGATGAAAGTGCTGAGAACATTATACTGCAATTAGTGGTTGACCCACAAAAATAGAATTATTCTTTGTTGCCGTCATATAATTGATTCAAATACTTCATATTATTTCCAATGTGTCTGAAGCTCTCAGCTCTCACTGCTTCTCTACAGAATAAAAGGTGATTGTTAGTTTTTTTCCGTAAACTTCACTTTCCTACAAAATAAGAAGGATCTTTGTATTTTTTCTTTCATATTTCAAGCTTTCCATTGTCGTGATATCTGGCTGATGTGAAATCTAGATGTTGGCATATAAGTTGCATATAAGTTGCATATAAGTTGGCATATAAGATGTGGGATATAAGTTGCTTTGGATCAACTTCATTTAATTCAATTAATTCTATTATGATTGAATGATGAATTTGGAGAAAAAAGGAAAAGAGAAATATAGAACCAGCCCAGGATACCTCATTTACCCAAGGGAATTACAAAATGAGAAACAGAATAAATGGAGTTGTGGCAAGGATCAATAAAATTATAGAAGAAAATTTCTGAGCACTGAAAATAATTAAATCTCATCTTGAGTATTCAAAACAGAACAGTCTCAAGGACCTAAAAAATTAGTGAAAGTCAAAAGAAGCTACCTCTGTTGCACGTTCTGGTGAGCTTATTTTTTTCTGGAAATAATTCACACGTATCTCTAAAATACAAGACTTTTTAAATGGCCACAATACCATTATCAGCATAACATATGACAATAACGTCTTTATATAACCAACATCCAGGGAAAGTCAACATTTCCCTGATTGCACATATGTGTGTGTATATATATAGTTGTGTGTATATATTTTTTTATATAGTGTAAAACATCTCTAAACTCTCAGCACTAGGCATTAGTATTCATTTTATATAGTGTGTATATATATGTGTGTGTACATACATAGTATATATATACAGTGTGTGTGTATACATAGTTGTATGTATACATATTTTATATATATGGTGTGTGTATACATAGAATTGTGTATATATTTTTACATAGTGTGTATATATAAATTTTATATATAGTATATGCATATATATAGTGTATATTTTATATATATAGTGTGTGTGTATATATATATTTTACATATAGTGTGTATGTGTTTATATATATAGTTGGCTTATTCAAGTTAGGATCCAAAGAAGGCCTCGCCTTGCAGTTGCCTAATATGACCCTTAAATCTCTATCTGTAGGTTCTTCCTCCTCTCTTTTTAATGGCTTCACAATTTATTTGTCAGTGACGACATAGGGTCTCTCACATTCTAAAATTTGTTGATTACAACCCTGTGGTATCATTTAACGTATTGCTCTATCCCTGGTCTTCAGGTTCAATATTTTTCAAGAAAACCCCTAAGTGGTATCATGTACTTTCATCTAGAGACACAATACCAGGTTGTTGCTCTTTTTTGTGATGCCAACAGTCATTGGGGATGACAGCATCGTCCAATTATTGCCTTTGAGGCTGAAAAATTATGATATTCGAATTCTATCATCCATCATTATTATTGAGCTGGAACTCTTCAATATAAAAAGAAACGTTCCCAAATAAACCACTGTGTTATCCTGAGGTACAGTTGTAAAATTAAGGCAGGAAAAATGCTCAATTTTTTCTCTTTATTTGCTGGTTTTCAAAATTGTGAGTTGGTTCCCTATCATTCTTTCAATCCATTTCGTGATGGTGTTGATTTGCTGCTGCTTCTGTGGTGGTTTTGTGCTTTACCTGTGGATTTCGACATGGTTGATGTGTCTTGCTCCATTGTTGTCTGTTGTCTGTCTTTTACACATGGATGGGAACACAGACGATGTGTTTCCATTCCACGTTGTTATTCTTACTGAAGCCCTGAGTGTGTGACCTCTGTCCGGTGGAAGCCTATTTAGGTCAGCTACTGGGTCCTCCGAGGAGACCCAGCAACCTTTTCTTTTGCTTCCTGGGGTTGAGTAAGATGATCTGGGATCTTCTCATATATTTCGTGCCCCAGATTAGGAGTCAGCCATTTCTCCAAGAATCCCTGCTTTGTTTTAGTGGATAGGTGCTCAGCAGTGACAGTGCAGGTGCTAAGTACATCCATTGCTACTAGTTAAGTTCTTTCAGGGTTTGCTCAGTTGACAGAGGCGGAAAATGTATCTTTTAAGTGAAAGTATATTGGGCATCTATGCTGATATTTTCAATTCAAATTTAAGGTTGCAGGGTTTTTATTTCAATTCTTTTATATTTTTCTCTCTTAAGCTAAATATATTATTTCTTGTTCATGTTAACATAATTTGATTTCTCCTAGAATTTACTTAAGTAGTTTCCAAACAAAATACCAAAGTTATTATTAACAGTATAATTACTGAAAAGAAAATAAAATTTCTTTGATGTTATTTACGTCCTTAACGTATATTCCATTAAGATGTACAGCCAAGTAACTGTTTTTTATAGTAACTTAACTGATGTCCCTCTGTGAGGGTTAAACCAACAACTCAATGCATAGGTTTATTTGTCTCATTTTGCTTTTGATTTTGAAAAGTATCACATTAAAAACAAAATCATGCCAAACCACAGAAAATGACTTAACATTTTAATATAAGTTTCTAGTCATTTGCCTACATAAATGCTATTTCAAAAAATGGAATCATAGTTTCATAAGGCTTGATATTTGCTTTATTCACCCCAGAGTATATCATAAACCTCTTCCATGTCATTAACATATTTCTAAATCATTATTTTAATACCTTCATAGTATTCTGTCATTTAGATAAATTACAACTCTCTCAGCTAATTCTCTACCGTTGACCATTTAAGTTGTTTACAATTTCTCACAATTTTAAACGACATTGTGATGAATATCCTTGGTCCTAAATATGTCCACACGTTCCCAAATTACTGCTTTAGGGTAAATTCCCACAAACGTATTTGCTGAGCCAAAAATAAAATAATCACTTTAAGACTTTTGCCTCACGCATCTAAAGTGTTCTTGTGAATTATTTCAGAGCTCCCACATCTGCAGACTCTCACCAACATAAGGCATTAGCATATTAGCATAGCATTCTTTTTTTACTGTTTTTCAGACAGAGTCTCACTCTGTTGCCCAGGCTGGAGTGCAGTGGCACGATCTCGGCTCACTGCAATCTCTGCAACCCAGGTTCAAGCAATTCTCATGCCTCACCCTCCCAAGTAGCTAGGACTACAGGAACACGCCACCATACCAGGCTAATTTTTTGTATTTTTAGTAGAGACAGGGTTTCACCATGTTGGCCAGGCTGGTGTTGAACTCCTGACCTCAGGTGATCCACCTGCCTCGGCCTCCCAAAGTGCAGGGTTTACAGGCGTGAGCCACTGCGCCCAGCCAGCATTCATTTTTAATGTGTCTAATATGAAAGGTTAACATAGCCTGTGATGATGGCTTATGCAGACACTTCTTTAAATGGATTACTATAGGCATTCAGTTATTCATTTTTTTAATTCAACAAAACTGTAAATCAGGATTTACCATTTGCCACACTGGCCAACATAGACACATCCCCCCGCTTCATGGGGCTCAGAGTCCAGTGGAGAAAAAAGACATTTGAGCGACTCAGCTATGAGAGAGCAATGCAAAGCATCAAGAAGGTGCTTAATAGGGAGACCAAGCTAGACCCAGCAGGGGCAAGTGGGCATCACAAAGAATGCAGAGGTTTACGCTGAAACCAAAAGGATGAGTGAGCCACAACTAGGAGGTGAGCAGGTGACACATAGGGAGAATGACCCAGAGAGAAAATAGCATGTGCAAAAGCCCAGGGGTATGAATCATATTTTTTCTTAATAGGCAAATATTCCATTCATGAAAGAGGAGCTGGAACTGTAGAGACCCATCTCCTGCATGCTTACTCTATGCAGGACCCAGTTCATGTGAAACACCAACGCTGTCGTAAACCATCAAAAAGGAAATACAGCAAGACCTCAGCATCTTGTCTCAGACTTCTCCTGCAGGTGCTTCTGTCTCCATCATCTTTGCCAGCATAAGCAACAAGTGCTTTTTCATCA
Organism: Homo sapiens; assembly: GCF_000001405.40. NCBI lineage: Eukaryota > Metazoa > Chordata > Mammalia > Primates > Hominidae > Homo > Homo sapiens. The sequence continues at coordinate 60,162,038 of NC_000020.11, read as the reverse complement.
TCCCTAACATTCTCCCAGTCAAATCACATGAATGTGGTGATTTACAACAGCTGTACATCCAGGGCAGATTAGAAAGAGAAATCTTTATAATTATACAGGCTTGCTGTTATTTAAATATTTACCAACATTAAACACCAAAGGGCTGTGCAAATGATCCAGGGATTCATATTGTTCTAAGCTAATATTCTTTGTACAATATTATGCAAATTGCATAAACTTTATTTTGTTGTTGTTGCTGCAAGCGGTATATCCCAAGGCAGCCATTCACTAAGTTGAAGCAGATAAAGTTTTAATAATAAATAGTGATGATAAATAAGTCACAAAGTTTGTGCAATGCTAATGTACTCGCTCACCCTAGGGTAGTTTATTAGATAAACAAGTAACATTTCCTGCTTTGCTCTTGCTCAAGTGGCTTCGTTTTCCTGGAAATGTTTGTGCAATAAATTATTTCAACCCATTAGGTGTTAACGAACAAATCACATTCACTTGCAATCTGTCGTGAATTGCCGAGAATTGAGATTTAAACACTGAAATCATACATTAATTTTACTTTACAACAACAAAGCTGGTTAAGAGAAATTAAACTTGGCTGAAATGGGAACAAAGCAGTATGTCTGATGCTCAATATTTTAAGCCTGCAAAGGAGGCTGGAAATTGTTTCATTAATATTCAGAACATTGGGTGCTCGTGACAATGAGAAAATGCAAATAACAACCCATGCCTTGGGAATACCCATTAGCAGCAATGCGTCCATGCAGGCAGCATGTCTGCCCACACGATGCCATTGTTGGTTCACAAAGGGTCAGGGCTCCACACACCTGTGTGGTGGCCTGGAACAGGCTGAGCTCCCTCTTGGCATCTGCAGGGCAGAATTGGTCCCATGCACCAAGGTATCATCTGTCTGTGCTCATAACAACCTGCTTCTGTTTAGAAGGGTGATTAGAAAATATCTTGGAAAATGCACTCAACAGCAAATAGCCAGAAACAAGTGTGCATGAGAGGGTGGGAGTCTGAGGGAAAATGCCATTTGTCCGTACAATAAAGGTGTCTACAGCTATGAAAGAGAAGGCGGCAAACCCATATGTTCTGAAATTGACTTCCAAGATATGTTTTTTTAAATTTCTAGCATGAATTTTATTGAAGAAAATCATGCTTACAGAAATGTGCACAAACCATATGTGATGATGAATTTTCACAAAGTCTACACATTGGGCAGCCAACAGCTACAGGGAGTAGGACATTGTAGGCACCCATCCAGGGTCTCTCTTACACAGGATGACCACTGTCCTAACTTGTGACCTCATAGCTAAGTCCTGGGGCCATTTACATTTGTACTTCATTCATTCTCATCAATGGATAACATTCTATTGTATAAATATACAATTTGCTGACTCATCCTCATGTTGACAGATATTTAGGTCCTCTCCAGTTTTTAGCTATTTCAAATAGTACTGCTTTAGACATTCTTGAACATATCCCTGGTGAATGTAATAATTTTTTTAAGTAAATGCAGTCAAGTAAAGATCAGGTTATGTTATGGTCATTGATATGAAAAAGAGATGGTGGTATAGGCACATACACACAAATACATACACACACCCCAAATATTCACTAGTGATATGTGCAGAGACCATTTCTGAAGTGTATAAAAATAACAACCTCATCTGCCCTTGGGAAGAATGTGTGAGGGACAGTGGAGTCTTGCTTTTCATTGTTTATATTTTTGCACTATTCTAAATTTTTCAAGGGCATCGATTAGGTTTGCAATATAAAATTATTTAATCAAAGGGGGGAAAATGTAGTGACTCTGAAGTCATTTAGGTCCTAACTAAACATGTAGCCATTATTATAACATTATATTTACTTCCCTTCAGCTGTGCATTATCATTTACAAAGTGCTGTCCCAAAGTTTATCTCACTGCTTCTCACAATACTAGTGAGAGGAAGCATTTGCTGCCCATTTCTATGTAACAGACATGTATCATTATGCACTTGATCTTCCCAGTTAACCTAGGAAAAGGGTGTCATTAAGTACCCCACTTCACTATCTGGAGGTCAGAGGGGTTGGGTGAGTTTCCAGGAATTGCATGGTGAGTAAATGGTCTCTGGACCTTCAGTCAAGTGCAATTTTCACTCGTGACTGCTCCCCACTGCATCCCCGCCCCCAACCACAGAGCCTGGAACATGCTGGTGCCCAAACAGAGAGAGGCAAAGAAAGGTGAGGGAGGCAGAGACTGTGAGGTCAGAGCTTTAAGGGGCAATTCTAGAATGAACATGGGGCTTTCTGACCCCTTCTCATCCCTAAATAAAGGGTATCTTCTTAACGGCCCCAGTAATGCCAATGCTTTCTGCAGTAGGTTCTTTAGGTCAGGGATTGGCAAACATTTTCTGTAAAGGGGCAGATGGTGAATATTTTAGGCTTTGTGAGCCATCCAGTCTCAGTTCAGCTTCTCAATTCTGCCTCACGTGTATGAGAATAAGGTAGCTATAGATGATACATTAATGAATGGCTTGGCTGTGTTCCAAAAAAACTTTATTTAAGACACTGACATTTGAATTTCATATGCCTTACGAATGTCATATTCTTTCATCTTTCAACCATTCTAAAATGCAATGACTATTCTTATTCTTAGCTCATGGGCTATATAAAAGCAGAGAGTGGGCCAGATTTGGCCCATTGGTTACAATTTGCCAACTTCTACTTTAACTAGATGTAAAAATAGGTTAAGATACAGCCACTGAACAGAAAGTAATCAATTTATAGTTAAAATCCTTTCAGTTGCTAAACTGGGACGAAACTCAAACCAGTCTCGGTCAAAACAGGGAATGTAAGAACTCATAATTGAGAAGCCCAAGGGATTGGTATTCAGAGATGACCACTGTAGGGGTTTGAATTGTATGAAGGTTCTCTTTCTCTCTCCCTCCCTCCATCAGTTCTTCTCCTCCTCCGCTTTCTCCTCCTCTTTCTCTTTTGCTATTTCCTCCTCCTCTTCCTCCCTTTCCCGTTCTTTCTCCCCTTCCTTTCTACCTTTTTCCCTTCCCCCAGTTTGTCTCCTCTTGGACATACTCCGTTATTCTCTTTAAGACTATATGTATATATACCACAGTTTCTCTATCCAGTCTATTGCTTCTTAAAGTTGAGTGTTGCTTTTAAAGCAGGTATGGAAACCAGCTGGTTTCCAACAGTCCCTGCCATTAATCATTATTTTGTTCAATAAGAAATAGCACAGTTCTCTTCCAAGCCCACAAGTTTTCATAGCCCCATCCCCTCAATTTTCATAGAGCAACACACCCTGCCTATGATTTCTGTTACAGTTTAATGAGTTAACATGGATTAAAATAGTTGTTGCAGTTGGTAAAATCATCACATCATAATAACAACAAAGTTAATAGAAATCTGTTATCACAAGAATGCAGAAAGTTGCAAGAGGTAGTTAATACCACATGAACGATGAGAACAAGACAGATGGACCACAAAATCAGTTTTTAAAGACCCACCAGAGAGGTAAAAATGAGACAAGCCTAAATGAATTAATTCCCTATCGGGATGAGTCTTATGAAAGCCTAGACCCAGCTCTAAGGCAGATTGGATCTACTCAGCTGCCAACACTTGTGTCCTGACAAAAGAAGAGGCACACCACCTTTCCAGTAGATATTTATTCAATATCTACTGTCTTCATACAGGCAATATCTAGAATAGGATTAAAAATTATGAGACATAGAAAGGAGGAAAAGGTGAACCATTTTCAAGAGAGAAAACAGTCATTAGAAGTAAATCCACAGATAACCTAATCATTGAATTAATAGATAAGGACTTTAATATCACTATGAAAAATGTGTTAAAGGTCTAGTAGATAGGTAGAAAAATTTTGCAGAATATTCAAACCCTTAAATAACAATTGGAAATTCAATAATTGAATAACATGATACAAAAAAATATTTTATTAATTTTATAGACTGGATATCAGAAGGATTTGGAAACTTGAAGAAAGGACATTAGAAATTATTCTATCTGCAACACAAAGAGAGTAAAAGCAATTTTTTAAATTTAATTTTTAAGTTCAGGGGTACATGTACAAGTTTGTAGTATAGGTAAGCTTGTAACATGGGGGTTTGTTGTATAGATTATTTCATCACCCAGGTATTAAGCTGAGTACCAATAGTTATTTTTCTGGATCCTCTCCCTCTTCCCACCCTCCACCCTTCAATAGGCTCCAGTATGTGTTGTTCCACTCTATGTATCCACGTGTTCTCACCATTTAACTCCCACTTATAAGTGAGAACCTACAGTCTTTGGTTTTCTGTTCCTGTGTTAGTTCACTTAGGAAAATGGACTCCAGCTCCCTCCATGTTCCTGCAAAGGACATAATCTTGATCTTTCTTATGGCCACATAGTATTCCATGGTGTATATGTACATTTTCTTTACCCAGCATACCATTGATGGGCATTTCGTTTGATTCCATGTCTTTGCTATTGTGAATGGTGCCACAATGAACATAATATGCATGTGCCTTTGTAATAGAACGATTTATATTCCAAAAAGAGCAATTTTTTTAAATGTTAGAGAATGACAACTGTGAGTCAATATGAAGTATTTAATATAAGTGTGATTGAAGCCCCCCAAAATTGGAAATAAAGAATGAAGAAAAATATTTGAAATCATTGTTGGAAATTACTAGAAAGGGATGAAAGACATCAATCTAGAGATCCAAGAATCTCAGCAAACCCCAAACAGGATAGATACAAAGAAAACTGCAACTAAGAATAACATACTCAAACTGATGATATCAAAGACAGAGAAGACATCTTAAAAGCATCCACAGGGGAAAGAAAAGATATTGCATACAGTGAAGCACTAAAAAGAATGTAAGCTACTTCACAATAAGAACTGTGGTGGCCCAAAACAATGAAACAATATTTTTAAAAGTCTAAGAGAAAAAAAAACCTCCCAATCTACAGTATACTATCCTGTTAAAATATACTTCAAAATTAAGAAATATAAAGACTTTTTTATGTAGACAAAAGCTGAAATAATTCACATCCAGCAGATATGTGCTGCCAAAAAAAATGCTAACAGACCTTGTTTAGGATTATGAGAAATTATACCACACTATGAGCTGCTTAAAGCACGAATAAAAGTATTGCAGGTGCATAACATACAGAGGTAAAATACATGACACTAAGAGGACAGAGTAGTGTAGGAAATAAATAGAGTTATGTGGTTATAAAATATTCACATTGTGGGGCACGGTGGCTCACGCCTGTAATCCCAACACTTTGGGAGGCTGAGGCGGGCGGATCACGAGGTCAGGAGATCGACACCATCATGGTGAGACCCCGTCTCTACTAAAAATACAAAAATTTGCTGGACGTGGTGGCGGGCGCCTGTAATCCCAGCTACTCAGGATTCTGAGGCAGGAGAATTGCTTGAACCTGGGAGGCAGAGATTGTAGTGAGCCAACATCGTGCCACTGCACTGTAGCCTGGTGACAGAGCAAGACTCAGTCTAAAAAAAAAAATTCACATTGTTCATGACATGGCAAATTATTATTTGAAGATGTGTTTGATAATTTAAAGATAAATATTGTGATATATAGAACCACTAAATGTTAAAATAATTGCTTTTTTTAAAAAAAAAAAGGAGATTAAATGGAATACTACAAAAATATTTAGTTAACCCAAAAGAAGATAGGAAAGAAGGAAGAGAACAACAAAGAATAAATGGGACCATCTTTTTAAATGACAAAATAATAGACTGAAATACAATCTTATTGACTACGACACTGTTAGTAGACTAAACATGTGAAAGGCAGAGATTGTCAGTTTCAAGGAAAAAAAATGAAGATACAACTATATGCTATTTACTAAAAACATTCTTTAACTATAGACATACGGGTTAAAAGTAATGTGTGGATAAACATATATTGGGCAAAAAATAAACATAAGAAAATTACATTAATATCAGAAAAAAATTTCTATGTAAGTGGTATTAATAAAGACAATGAGGGAAATTTCATAATTATGTTAAGTGTTAATTGATAAGATGTAACAGTGCTACATATTAGGCAAAAAAAAAAAAAAACAAGATTGTGAAAATTTAAGTAAAAATTCACAGCGAAATGAGAGAAACAGACAAATCCACAATATTAGTTAGAGGTTTTACCACTTCTCTCTCAGTAATTACTAGAACAACTAAACAATAAATTTATAAGGTTATAAAAATTTGCTCAACATTCTCAATCAACGTAAGTATTTAAATACCCATTGAACAGCCAACAAGATAAAGCAATGCTGGGCCATAAAAACAAGTCCCTATAAATGCAGAACATTGAAACGCACAGAGTATGTTCTCTAATTAAAATGGTATAACCTAAGAAAATAATATGATTTCTAGAAAACCTTAAAATGGTTTGAAATTTGTTAAAATGCCTCTAAATAATGTATATCAACGAATAAATGACAAGGAAAAATTGAAATCAGATCTACTGAATAACAAGACAAATAATAAAATATCAAAATTTTAGGATGCTGCTGAATTGATGTCTAGAGGTAACTTATATCTTTATAGATGTATATATATACTTAAAGGAAGGTTTAAAATCAGCGAACTGAGCTTTCGACTTAATTAGCTAGAAAAAGAACATGTTTAACTGAAGGAAGTTAAATAAAGCAAGTGATTTTAAAATGGGTGGTAGTCAAAGAAATAGAAAACAAAGAAACAATAGAGAAAATCAAAGGTCAAAGTTTGGTTCTGTGAAAAGATTAATACAATTTACAAACTTCTATTAAGACTTATAAGAAAAATGGAGAACATATAAATCACCAATATGAAGACCGTAAGAGGCAATATTACCAGACATTCTACAGACATTAAAAGAATAACAGGAGGAATGATGTTTTATCAATAAACTTAACGAGTCAGATAAAATGGAAACATTCTTTGAAAAACACAGCCAACAAAAGTGACACAAGAATTAGTATATCTAAATGATCGATATCTTTTAAAGAATTTGAATTTGTAATCAAAAACTTTCCAAGAGTTAAATATCATCCAGATAACTTCACTGTGAATGCTATCCAATGTTGGAGAAAGAAAATAATACCAAATGTATATTCTTTTAAAGAGGAGAAAAAGGAAGAAGGAACAGTTCCTCCACTTGTTTTAGGGCAGCATAACCATAGTAGCAAAACATGACAAATCAAACAAATAAAATTACAGACCAATATCCTTCATAGTACAATCGCAAAATATCAGCAAATATGGCAATATATAAAATTTATCATAACTGAATAGAGCTTAACCCAGGAATTCTGGTGGTTTCAACATTCAAAACTCAATTGGTATAACTCACTACATAAATGAAATTAAGAAGAATAACCATATAATTATTTCAATAAATGCATAAAATGTACTTGACAAAATTCAAAATCCGTTATTTAAATAATTTTTTAAAACTTTCAGCAAAATGAGAATAGCAGAGAAATTTCGAAATCTGACAAAGGACATCTATGAAAAACCTAAGGTTTATACTTTACTTAATGGAGAAGGACTGCTTTCCTCTTCATATCAGGAACACAGCAAGGACGTCTTTTCTCACCAGTTCCATTGAACACTGTACTAGAGGTCTTAGCTGTTGAAATAAGAAAAAATAAAGAAACTATAATCACTGAGAAAAACAATGTGTATCTGTCCCTACTACAGACACAATTGTGTAAATGAAAAAAAATCAATAGAATCTGCAAAGAAAAACTACTAGACTTAATTGAATTTACAAAGGTTACAGAATATAAATACACCAAACTCAAGTGTATTTCCAATATACAAGCAGTAACAATGGGAAAACGAACATTTTAACCTGTATACATATATATTTACAGTGGCATTCCAAAATATTAAATACCTAGAATAATCTAACAAAAGATCTGTAAGACCTCATCACTGAAAACTATAATACAGTCATTTATCTCTTAACAAGCAGGATATCTACTGAGAAATGGGTCATTATATGATTTTGTCCTTATAGAAACATCATAGACTATACTTACACAAACCCAGATGGTTCAGGTTACAACACACCTAGGCTATATCTGGTAGAGCCTATTGCTCCTGGGCTACAAACCTGTACAGCATGTAACTATACTGAATGCTGTAGGCAATTGTAACAAAATGGTATTTGTGTATCTGAACATATCTCAACACAGTAAAATATGGTACTATATTCTTGTGAGACCACCGTTGATTATGCAGTTCATCATTGACTGAAACATTCTATGCAACCCAAGTGTATGTTGTATTGTAATAATACAAATTAATTTTAAAAACTAAATAAATGCTCACAGCCTGATAAACTAATATTGTTAAGATGCCTATTCTCCTCAAGTTGATTCATAGATAAAACACAATCCCAGTGAAAATAATATCAGGTTTTTTGCATCAATTGAAAAGCTAATGCTATAATTTATATGGAAATTCAAAGGATCTAAAATAGAATAATCTTAAAAAAACAAAGTCACAGGACTTATAATTTCTGCTTCAAGGTTTACATAAAGTTATAGTAATCAGGATGAGTTGATACTGGCACAAAAATAGAATATACCTCCATCAGTGGAAAGAATGAAAGGTACAGAAAGAGACCCATACATTGATTTTTGAGAAAGGCATCAAGTCAACTCAATGGAGAAAAGAAAGCGCTTTAAACAAATACTGCAGAAACAAATGGACAGCTGTATCCAGGGGAAAATAAATGCTTGACCTCGCCTTGCTCCACTCCAAAATAATAATTACAATAACATGTAATAAACTGAAATGTAAAAGCTATAGCCATAAAACTTCTAGAAGAAAACATAAAGGCAAAAAGGAAAAATAAAGGTTACATGGGATTCATAAAAAAATTTGCTATTTAAAAGACACCATTTGGCAAATGAATACACAACCACAGAGAAGAAAATATCCATAACACATTTGTCTAACAAAGGACTCATATCCGGAATGTTTAAATGACTCCAAAAAATCAATAATAAAAAGACAAACACTCCAATTAAAAGAGTGGGAAAAAGACTTTAACAGGCACTTCACAAAAGAAGACATAAAATGGCTAGTAAGCACATGAAAAGGCATTTAACCCCATTAGTCATTAGGAAAAACTAGATTAAAGCAAGATACGATTTCACATTCACTAGTAAGACCGAAGTGAAAATGACTGACAATACCCTATGTTGGCAAGGACACAGAGTGATAGAAACTCTCATATGTTGCTGGCAGGAGGGTAGAATAGCACCTTGGAGAACTTTTTGGCAGTTTTCTATAAAAAATATACAAGTCCCCTATAACCCAACAAGTCTGCCCTCTTGAGATTCACCTAAGAGAGATGAAAATCTGTGTCCACAAAAAGACTTGTACAAGAGTGTTCACAACAGCCTTGTTTATAATAGCTCATAACTGGACATAAATGTCCATCAACAGATGAGTAGATAAACACATTGAAGTATATTCATAAAATGCTTCTTGGCAATAAAAAGGCAAGGACTACTGCTAATACACAATACCATGACTGAGTCACAAAAATAAAGCCATTGCCCAAAGTAGGCATTCTGTGTGCTTTCATTTGTATGAGATCGAAGAACACAGATAAACTCACCTGCAGTGACAGAATCAGAAGGTGCTTGCCTTTCCAGACTAAGGGTATCAACTGGAAAGGAGACTAGGGAACTTTTTGTTTAGGGGTTTCATGGCAAAAGTATTCTATATCATGCCTTGGGTGGACGATCACAGGAGCACACACCGTTGACAAAACTCATTGAAATAGATACTTAAGATGGTAAGACCTGTGCACATTATTGTTCATAAAGTAATCCTTTATTATAAAAATATTTTTAAAATAATATCTAATCTCTAGATGCTGAATGGATAAAATTTAACAGAGTTTGCAGGACTGATGGTAGGTGAGTTAGGAGACTACTGCCATGATCCAAACCATTCAACAATGTAAGCTCTCAAAGAAATTCCACTTCTATTCATCCTAGCCTTTTGGGATGAGCTCAACCTTCTTCACTGGAAGCAAAGAAATGGAAGTCGATCCTTGCTAGAAAAGCCACCCTTCAAAGAATGATAGCCCTTCTCCCAGTTTCTTCCCGCACAATGATGCTGTGAGCATAGGCCACACAATGTTCCACTTTCTAGCATTACAATGTTTTGGGGTTCACCTCACGTGTGATCACTAGAATGCACTCATTCTGAAATCCCCTCTTCGTAACTTTTTCATTTTTCAATGTCTGTCTTGAATCTGACAATTGATCATTCTCTTCTATGAATTCAACACATTTCCCACTGTCATTTCAAAAGTGGAAGGGAGTGGTAGTGAGTTCTCTGTCTCTGGGATGATTCAAGTAGAGTGTGAACAATGATGTGTCTAGGGAAATGAGAAATGGTGAGGGTGAAGCTCTTAATGGAGGACGGGGGATAGGCTAATCACCTGGGTCCCTTCCAACTATAAAATCTCTACTTTTTGGTCAAAGTCTTGATAAATGTTAATACAGTGTAAGAAATAAAAAAATCAGTTAATTTATACTTAATTTACTTAGCTAAATTTAATTGTACCCTGTATGTATTTTGTTGGACCAGAGGATAGAATTTTATGCATATCTACTCTGGCAAGAAACTCTGAAATTCTCTTTGATCCTCTGCTAATTTTGCCGCTACAACAGTTAGCCGTTGCTCAGTTGCTGTACCTTTCAGGCACAACCTGATGTTGATTTTAATTACTTAACCTAAGACCAAGGCAAAATGAAATGCCCACTGAGTCCTATTCCAATTTCAGTTCATTTAATGCAAAATCTACTGCTTGCAGACTTGGACTTCATTCTCTGAATTAAGCATCACACATTGGGAGGCATTTAAATATTAGTTTCCTCTTTTCTTCAATTCTCCACTCATGACCTTTCACAGTTATCGTTATTAATTAGCCCAGCAGTCACTGCTTTCTATCATTGTGGCTCCTCTCTGTAAGCCTCCCTACTGGTCCTCCTAGGGGAACCATACACATCCAGTGTGGGGTTCTAAGCACAGTTAAGTCCAGCTGAACCGCGTTTCCATCCTCAGAACAGAAGTCTGGAGCTTTTGGTTCTATGGTGTCAAGGCATCACTGTAGGTAGTTCATGCTTTACATCTTCTACCTTAGGTCCCCTCTCTAACACCAGTTAAAGGATTTTCTTTAATCTCAGGTGATTTGGATAAGTGTGGATATGAGAAGCAGGAGTCAGACTTTACTTTTTGTTTCACCCACAGCCAGATCTAATGACCACAGGTGACGGTCTTGACTGGAGTTCAATACTAATCTGGCTTAATGGATTTCTCGAGTTTACTTCATTTTTTTAATTCAACCTGTAGCTTAAAAAAGAAAAAGAAAGTTTAAATGGCTCAATGCAATCAAGTTGCTGCATCATTCAATCCCTGTCAACAGACTGGATCTGTTTATACTTTGGTTTCCCTCCTGCTGGTCACCTGTACATTATGTCAAGCAGTAACCAAGGATCAAATTTATTTCCAAATGACGGCTAACAGGGAATAGGCAGATACAGTTTTCAGATATCTATGTCTTTTGATAGTCTGCAAAGTTGCCTGAAGAAAAAGAAATATAATTCTCTTTATTTTTTAAAGCAAAGAGAATAGGGAACACAACACACATTGATGCTTCATAAGAAGCGTTTGCCCTAGTTTAGAAATCCAAATTTCCTCCCACTTCAAGTCGGGAGGATCACTTTGGTGTCAATTATTAGATAATTATAATCCCCAAAGATCCTATTTGGGAGCCATGTGGGCTTTACCTTATTGTTATTCTGGAAAGGCAAGCTGAGGGAAGAAAAGGTATGCTTTCACGATTCACGAAGACAAGTCATATATCTAAGGCATGGGTTGTGTGTGTGCACACACTGCATACTCAACATTCGGGGAACATGTTTGATCTCCACATGATCGGGCACATTGTCCTGTCGAGCCAGATAGAAAGTAGCTCCTGATAATGAAGAAGAAAGAAACTATATGCAACACATGGTCATGGGCATAGAAATTGGGGCTGTCCTGGAGGTCACACACACAGCTTCAGTGTTCAGTCTGCAAGTGAGCTGGCTGAGCAATCCCAAGCAGTCTCAGCTCCCAAATACAGGAGGCCATCCTATTCAGAGCATCTTCCCTTGGAATTGGCCACCATGCTAAGAGAAAGAACTATCTACTTTAGAACTGCTCTTGAGGTTCTGAACCTTGGGGCAACCCAAGCCTTTCCTTGCCCCTGGTTCATGGCACCTGCCAGCCATTCTATAAACATTTAAGTGCATATGATATATCAGTCTAAGGCAAATTTGTGACTGAGGTCATCATTCCCCAGACCCCCATGTCAGCAGTCGCCCACTGTGGGGGCTGCCTTTGGAGGCTGCGGTCTAGTCTTGTTAGCAGGGGTGGATCTGTACAAGTCTGCAGCAACTCAATTCTTGCCTTGCAGAAGAAAGAATACAGCCAAGGGGCAGCAGGCAGGGTGAGAGACTGAGGCAAGTTTTAGAGCAGGAGTAAAAGTTTACTAAAAAGTTTTAGAGAAGGAATGAAAGGGAGTAAAGTACAGTTGGAAAGGGCCAAGCAGGCGACTTGAGAGATTCAAGTGCTCTGTCTGACCCTCGACTTGGGTGGGGTCTTGTATGACATGACTCCAGGGTCCACATTTCTTCTTCCCTGATTCTTCCCTTGCAGCAGGCTGCTCCCATGCAGTGGCCTGCCAGCACTTGGGAGAGGAGCATGCACAGTGTGTTTGCTGAAATTGTGTGCAAGATCATTACCCTTTCCAGGTAAGCATTCCTAGAGGAAGGTCACATACCAGTTAAACTCTGCCATTTTGCCATTTAGTGCACATACTTGGGCCCACTCATCCAGCTCCTGAGATCCTATCAGGAAGCTGATCACCAGCTTCAGATGTTTCCTGTCTACTGGAAGACAGCCTTTCCCTAGTGCCAGGCATGGCCAATTAGAGACAGCTTAACAACAACCTGGCTATCACCTGATGGTCACCTGACATCCCTGGGGCAGGGGGCCCTCTTCTGCCCTGCTCATGTCTGCCTAAATACCAACTCTAACAGTCTGATGCCCCAAACATCTTATTATGAAAGGACCGCTCCTGCTCCCTCTCTGGGTTTTTGAACTTCCCACTCTATCACAAGTGTCCTTGCTCTCCACCCCTCAGCCCCTGCATCTCTGAGACTTTCCATGCTTACTCTTTACAGTCCTGCCTGGCCTCTCTCTCCACCTCGCGGCCCTTGCATCTCTGTGACATTCCATGCTTTTTTATGCTCCCCCTGGCCTCACTCTCCACTCCACAGCCCCTGCATCTCTGAGACTTTCCATGCTTACTCTTTATGCTGCCCCTGGCCTCACTCTCCACCCTGTGGCCCCTGCATCTCTGTGACATTCCATGCTTATTTTTTCTGCTCCCCCTGGCTCATTCTCCAACCCTTGGCCTCTGCATCTCTGCAACTTTCCACGCTTTCTCTTCCTGCTCCTGCCTGGCCTGTTTTCTTCCATACTGCTTCCCCTTTCCTCTTTGTCTTTGTATCTTTTCCTGCTTCTCCCTCTTTGTGTCTGTCATTCTTTATTATTTATGAAACAGATCCTCAGAGTGCTCTCTTCACAAAGAAAACTGAAGAGTGAGGTTTCTCTCTGCTTTGAATATTTGGCTTTCTCCTCCTGAAATAGGACATAACTCTCTGGATACCTCGGTGCCGGCCCACCATTTCACAGGGTTTCTGAGTGGATATGTTAAGACCATGTGAGTATAAAATAATCCACCCTTATGCAAATATAGAAAGTATTAATTTTAAAGTCATCTAACAGGATTGACATCCTGAAATTATTTTTCTAATAGGTCTTTGTTGCTCACCTATTTTTGCTCTGCAGTGCTTTCCATGGGGTGGGGAAAGGGCCATAGAGGTGAATGATACATGAAAGGGTCATTGTTCTGACCTGGCCAAGCCTGACCTTCAGAAGGACCATCAGCAAAATTCCCACAGATTGGAATGGTTGCTATAAAGGGAAAATGCAAGGTGTCTTGATGAAGAATATAATGGGGGCTACTTCACCTCAGGTGATGTGTTAGTCACTCAGGCTGCCATAACATAATATCACAGACTTGGTGGCTTAAACCAAAAGAGATGGATTTTCTCATAGTTCTGGAGGCTGTAAGTCCAAAATCAGGTGCCAGCATGGTCGGGTTCTGGTGAGGCCTCACTTCCTGGGTTGCAAATGGCCACCTTGTCACAATGTCCTCTGTAAACCAAAAATAAAATTCAAAGTCCCCTGACTGAAGGCACCCTCCTCTTGGCCAAGGGGATTTCAAAATAAACTGGTTCAGACCATGATGGGAAGTGGGTGTCCGACATGCCTCCTTATACCCTCCTCCCCTGGAATTCAGGCACAACTGACCAGCTTTAACATTAAAATGTAGATCTTAAGACTGACAGAAGAAAATCCATGTAGCAATAAGATATCAAATTCCAACCTGACTCTAGTAGAACGTCACATGACAGATAGCAGGCCCTGAAAGAAATCAAAGTATTTTCCCCCAGAACATATTTCATTGACATATTTTGAAATGGTCCTGCAAAGCTGTCTCTCATGGGGAAAATCTACATTCCATAGAGAATCCCCTTCCCTTTCCAGGTAGTTTCCTACCCAGGAGAGATTTAACTAAGAGTCTGGCACATTTTAGCACCTGATAAAAGACATTTACTATTAATATCTATTTTCTGAGGCCCGCTACCTAGAGGCTTCATCTACATAACAAGAAATTTGGCTTCCACAACCCTCCTTATCTTAGCATTTCTTTCTGCTGACTTCAACTCTTCAGGCAGAGCTTAACCCTGTCAACAAACTGCCATCAGGAAATCTTTAAATCCACCTATGACCTGGGAGCCCCTGCCTCTCCAGGCCAAACCAATGTACACCTTGCACGTATTCATTTCTGTTTTTATCTATAATTTCTATCCCCTGAAAATGTATGAGATCAAGCTATAACCCAATCACCTGGAGCACATGTTCTCTGGACCTCTTGAGACCATGCCTCAGGCCTTGGTCACTCATTTGTGGCTCAGAATAAATCCCTTCAAATATTTTACAGAGTTTGACTCTTTTTTGTCAAAACCCCACAGAGCCTTCCCTCTGTGCGTGTCCCTGGAGGAAGAGAGAGTGCATGAGCTCCACCATTAAGTCTGCAAATTCATAGACCCCTCTCTTATGACCTCATTTAACCTTAATTTCACTCGTGTCCGTGTAAAGGGACCACCAAACAGGCTTTGTGCGAGCAACAAGGCTGTTTATTTCACCTGGGTGCAGGCGGACTGAGTTCAAAAAGAGAGTCAGCAAAGGGTAGGACTGTTTTATAGGATTTGGGTAGGCAAAAGAAAATTACAGTCAAAGGGGATGTTCTCTGGCAGGCAGGGGCGGGGATCACAAGGTGCTCAGTCGGGGAGCTTTTGAGCCAGGATGAGCCAGGAGAAGGAATTTTACAAGGTAATGTCATCAGTTAAGGCAGGAACAGGCCATTTTCACTTCTTTTGTGATTCTTCAGTTACTTCAGGCCATCTGGATGTATACGTGCAGGTCACAGGGGATATGATGGCTTAGCTTGGGCTCAGAGGCCTGACACTTAATGACCTCCTAAAAGCCCCATCTCCAGATGCTGTAACATAGGGGGATTAGAGCTTCAGCACATGAATTGCAGGGGTGGTGGAGGGATGGGGAGTAGAGACACAATTCATTCCGTAACAAGTGGTCAAGAAAAGACTCTCTAGGATGGTGACACTTATGGTGAGACCCGAAGAATGAGAGGGAACCTGCCATCTGAAACTCTGGGGAAAGCCCACTGCAGAAAGAGGAACAGTAGGTGAACAGGGGGAGAAATAAGTTGTAGAGATTAGCATTAAGCATTCTATTTCACATTTGTTAAATTTGAGGCTTGTGTGACATCCAAATGGATCAGTGAAGCAATGGAATAAAAGAATGGAAAATCCAATAGTAATACAAATAATTTATTCCTTGCCAAAGTACAACCATCAAAGGTTTCAAAGATACATGTGTATGGCTTTCTATGCCTGCCCTATCTGGATCATTGTCTTAATCGCTTGGCCATCATGAAACAAGTCATTTGGGTGTGGAGGAGGATGGAGAATCAGTTGGCAAGCGTGGAGCCAGGCTAGCTTCAAGTGCAGCCCAGAGAGCCAGGTGGAGAAAATCAGCACCAAGACTTTTCCCAGGTGAAGCACTTCATCAGGCTTATCAGAGGAAGTGTGTTTAGGGGTTCATTAGAGAACACAATTAGTCAAAACAAATTCTTCCTGTCTGGGAAGCCACCAAGTCCTTAAAAAAAAAATGCTGTATGAGCATCCCCAGTGGCCAATTGTGCATCCAAGAAAATGCTGCTGTCACCATCTGAGTAAGTTTCATTAAGTCCAAATGCCTCAAATTGCCTTCTTTTTCTTCCTGAAACCCTCAGCTTTTTAATTCCCTGAAATCCATGGTCTTTGACTTCCCACTGCACACAGTTGTTTAGATAAATCCATTGAAGATCTCTGCCCACAAAGCATACGATTCTGGAGAAAGGAAGAGACACTTCCCAAACCCCATGAGGCCTCACCCACTTCCTGCGAGAAGTTCAGAAAAGATCCCTCTGTGTTCTTGGTATCAGAGAGCACCTCGAGACATCGAGAGGCACTGGTGATGTTAGTTAAATTGCACATATAAACAGAATGCATCCGATTTTAATTGCTTTATTCCTCTCTACCAAACAAAACATGTATAAGCCTTAGCAGGCTGATAAAGGCCTCCAGGCACTGTTTTAACAACTTGCATATAATTTGCAGTTTGCAAGCACTGGTGAGGAAAGGCCTGCTGGGGGCAGAGGCTCTGTTACAAATCCTGGAGGTGAGGTTGCCAGGAGGGGAAGGAGGAGTGGGAAAAATTCTTATTACTTTGATTGTGTATTTTAATTCCAATATATTGAAAAAAAATGCACTCATTTTGTAATATAATTGTGTCAATGTGTTTTAATACAGCATGTTGTTAAAGTTACTTATACATTCCTGGGAAGATAAAATCTAGGGGCTAGAAGTCAGTCATTTAAATAATATGAAAATATCCGGGGCTCATTTGATGACAGTGTTTCAAATATTGGACCAAACAAGAAGTAATTCTCCCAACTTCCTATGATCTTTACCCCTTAATGTTACTCCAACAAGTGCTATTTTGAATTAATTCCATCTCTCATTTATTATCTTGTTACTGGAAAAAGGAGTCCCAATCCAGACCCCAAGGGAGGGTTCTTGGATCTTGTGCAGGAAGGAATTCAAGGTGAGTCACAGAATACAATAAAATGAGATCATTTATTGAAAGCTACTCCAATTACAGAGTGGGGATCCTCAGAAAGTGAGAGAAGGAACACATCATCCTTGTTTTAAGTTTTTCTTCCATAGCGGTCTTATCTATGCAAAAGCTAAGCTAAGCTATGACTATGTGCAGACGGGCTGACAGCGTGACAAAATTTATTATTCTGCTGATTTAAAGAAAACTGTATTTGGCATTTTAGTGCATATGTACATCAAAGCATAATAAGAAGTATCTTGAAGGCATATATTTTTATGTACATTGGGGCATCTGGACATTTTGTTGTCATAGGAGTTTGTCCTTGCAGTCATTGTAAACTGCTTCCTTAGCCATAAACATCTTATGACCATGGGTTGTGATTGGCAAGGAATGCGCCTTGCTGGTTTTAAGATGGCATTAATTCTAAAATGGTGTCACCTGGGCTCTCCTGGGCTCCTGTTTCCCGACAAAAATCTCCTACAAGGGAATGGAGAGTGGACACAACATTTCCTGGGAAAAAACCATAAGTCTCTTGTTCAATTAGAAAATGCTAAAAATTGGGCTTATCTGAGTGTGTAAATTATGTCAAAGAGTTGACAGATGACATACGTTGATATATTCATGAAAGGGGGCATTTTTCCTTTACATATAAGGAAGAGAGTTTAGGTTTCAAGTTTATATGTAAAGAGCTTGAGAGTCATCACTCCAGTCCTTCCAACAAATAAAAGTTGGACAAACTGAAAATCAATGACCTTTCTTGAACCTATTGGAGAACTGAGTTCACAGTGTGAAACAGAGCTCATGGGAGGCCATTGTTTAGGACTGGCCTCCTGCACTAGGCCCTGGGCAGACCAGAACAGAGTCAATGTACTGAGGGCTACCTAATGAAACTGAACTTTGAAATGAACCAGTTTTCCTAAAAAACGAGAGATTCTGGTTAACCTGAGTCAGCATAAGAAAGTTTCCTTTGTTTTAGTCCCATAAGGAAAATATCTTCAAAATGACCAGTCAGCATAATAAGAAAGTTCTCTTTGTTTTAGTCCTACAAGGAAAATATCTTCAAAGTGCCCAATCTGCTTTCTGTTTCTGCTTTCTTCAGCCCCTTTCTGCCCATGAAGCCAACTTCCTATGCTCAGCTCATTAGAACACGGACTCTATAGAATGAGGTGTTGACAAATTGAAAATAAAAGCCCATTAAGACCTTTAAGTTTGTTTTAAGTTTGCCTTTTGATAACAGGGTAAGTCACTACCCAGAAATCTGGAATCTCTCCATCTCTGGATGAGTCCAGAGAATCACAGCTGAACTCTGCCTCTCTGGAGCAGAAGCCGCTGTAGACATAAACTGGTAGGAACACTTAGATGATCAAGTTGACACATTCCTATGAACTGAATGTGTGAGACTGAAGAAGGCAATGTAAGACTGGTCACTGCAGCCTTGGGGAGACCTCACACTTTTATGGATTTTATCTCCAGGAGCCCTTCAGGTTCTGATGGTGAAGATCCTGGAAAGAGCTGCTCCCAGCTTTGGCAGGGAAAGGAAGAGTATTCCTTATGAAAGACACCAGACCTTCTCCTTCCCCTGGAAGGTCCACTCTCCAAGGGAAAGACTTCTCAGCCTCATTCCAGCCTGGGGAAGGGCATTTTCTACTGCAGCTCCCTCCAGCCTTCCAGTCTCACCTAAGGCTGGGGGAAACACTTGTGAAGTCACAGGCCAGACACAGAGCCCCACTGAAAGACTGAGATTTAATTTGATGATTATAGGACACTCCCCTTCCCCTACAATTTACCACCTCAACAACAGGGCTTCAGTATAACAGCAGTGAATTACAGTTGAAACAGCTCCAGACAGAGGCTCTGAAGAGCAGGACTCAAGGTCAAGAGGCGAGGCTTCTGGCACCTACAGCAAATATTGAACACAGCCCAACTCTGAGCCAGATGAACATAAATCCTCACACTAAGGCCTGTTGACCTCAGTTCCTATTGCTCTGAATTATTAGCCAGATAATTTAAAATACTGTGGTTAGTATGTTAAGGGTTCCAGTGAAAAACTAGATAACATGCAACAACAGATAAGTAATATAAGCAGAGTGATGAAAATACTAGGAAAGAATCAAAAGGAAATACAAAAAATCAAATCACTGCAAAAGAAATGATGAATGCCTTTGATGGGCTCTTCAGTAGCCCAGACAGAGCCAAGGAAAGAATCAGTGAGCTTGAGCATATGGCAACAGAAACTTCCCAAACTGAAATGCAAAGAGAAAAACATATTTAACAAAAAACAATAGAATCCTTAAGAACTGTGGAACAACATCAAAAGGCTTTATGTATGTATTATCAGAATACCAGAAAAAGAGAGAACAGCACATGAGTGTTCAAAGTAATAATGGCTAATAACGTTTCAAAATGAATGATAGACCCAGAGAACTGATAAATACAAAACAAGCAACAAATAAACAAAAGCCACAATCACATACCCTTAGGTATATTATGTTCAAACTGCAGAAAACCCAAAGACTAAGAGAAAATCTTGAAACAAGATTATTGATATTTAAAAGGCAAACATTTAAAATGACAGGAACAATTTATTGAGTGATTATGGCACATGGAGAAGTGGGGTGAAGGCAACAACATCCCAAGAATTTGAAGGAGGAACTGGGAATGTTCTGTTAGGTGGCATCTGCACTGCCTGGGGGGTGCCCAGTGTTATCTGAAGGTGACTTATTGGTAAATGGGGAGAAGGGTCCCCAAGGAGGTAGAGTGGCTTGGTAAGTCAGTGGGTGCACCAAGCATGGATAGCAATGTGACTGGAGCCAGAGAGACGGGGGCTCAGCCCCAATCCCACTCACTGTGCCAGCTTCAACAGGGTTTTCACAGCTTTTACTCTCAGATACCTCATCTCAGAAATTAAAGCTATCAATAGTTCCTTTGTAAGTCTCTCTGGAATTGACATAAAGCAAGTAAAGCTGTCCACATAACACCTGGCACAGGTAAATCGCCTATATATGGGAACTGTTATTATTTCAATTGACAGCAGTGGCGCTCATATTGTGGTTTCCCCAGACCAGCAACATCACCTGCAAATGTGTTAGAAATGCAAATTGTCAGCTCTCACCCCAGATCTACTGAAGCAGGAACTCAGTGAGTGGGTCCAGAAATTTGTGTTTTAATGAGTCTTCCAGGTGTGCTGATGCTTGCTAGTGCACGAGAAGCACTGCTTTATACAATGAAGAAATTACTAGTGAGGCCAAATACTGAATGGCAACTCTGATCACCTGGCTTTCCTGACATCAAGCTCTAACATCATAAGTAGCTCAGACAACAGTGTTGTTAAACACAGCTATTATTGATCACATTCTACCTTCACTATCAGAGGCAGCTCAATGCTTGGCACATAGTAGGTCCCTAAAAAACACTCAAGTGAATCAGGACCACAGCTCTCCCCATGTAACCTCACTATTTCGATAAGGAAGGCAGAGCGTCCAGCAGCTTCCTGCTCCACCTTGCCCTGTGTGCTTTGCCATCTGATGACAGCCCCATGAAGAAGTCAGAGTTTGACTCCTAAATATAGGACTAAGGGGACTGAGATTTGATCCTACAGCCTCTGTTTTCAAATGAGATAAGGCTGAAAGGCCACATGACTCCCTTCATAAGTGATTCAGGGAGGAAAGAAAACTAGAGCTAAGATCACCAATTTTTTTGTTGTTCTTTGTTCCATGGTTGTGCTGAACCCCTATTAAGCTCAATAGGAAGGCCGAAGAGACCCAGAGCTAGCAACCAAGCCATGGGGTTTTATTAGGGGCTTACGTGCAGGGAGAGTGTTCAATGATGGTGGGCTGAACAGGGAAATCACCTTATGTACAGAAATGCTCCAGTGGTGGCGGGCCGGGCAGGAAAACTGTAACCTCTTCTGAACAGCATGTCATGTACATACCATTTTCACTTAACACCCTCCTGGTAACCTCGCCCTGGCAACCTTCATCCAATCCCAAACTCAGGGCCTCAATCCCGTGAACGGCCCACGTTCCACAGAACAGGCCAGGGGCTCAGATGTTTATCATAGACACAGAATCAATCTCCGGGTTGGCCACTCCTGGATTCCCTAGCACAGAACACACATTTAGGCGCATCTGCCATACAGGGTCATTCTAAGGGTATGCTTATTACTATCAGGTGCATTTACCCTACATTCCCCCCTCATGAACATTAAAATGTTGAGGTTTCTTGATGGAAATTTTTTGTCCATTCGTAATTTTGGTTTAATCATTGTTAGTTTTTGATCAAGCTCTGTGGGGCCTCTGTGGCATGTACAGTGCTGTGCTGGACAAGGCAGGGGACTAACAGAGTAACACACGTCCCCATCCCCTGCAGAGCCGGAGCCCTGCCCAGGAGAGAGAGAGGGTGTAGACAGCCTCATGACGATGCAGAATGGGGAACAACTGTGTCATAGCAAAGGACCACGCATGATGTTAGGGGTGTTTAAAGGGCAGAAAAGAAGTCTGTTCCAAGAGTCAGGGACCAGGGAGGCTTCACACAGGAGCTGGACACCAGAGCAGCTTCTGCTAGGGCCTCCTGGGAGACATAGTGATCTGGCCTCTCCAGGAGAATGCAATGTCCCACCTGACAACCATGCAAAGAAATGAATGGTGAAACAGACAGCAGGTCCCCTTTGCCTATTACACTAGCATTAAAATGTAGTGGACATACCTAGTGCTGGCAACAGTGTGATGAAATTGGCATTCTCATCTATTTCTGGAAGCATCTGGCAAACTGCCTACTGGGAAGATAAGCTTTTGGAAATCATCAGTCAACACGCGTGAAGCGCTATTGTCGATGTTTGTGTCATCGGCCCAGCAATCAGACATGTGGAAATCTGTCCTAACGGATGTTGTTGTTAGCAAAAGAAAAACAATATTCTCCACTGGGTTCATTTCCCAACAGCTGGAAGCAATACAGGCATCAGAGAATGGCCACCTGAATGAATACTAACTGCTCAGTGTTGAGTAGCCCTTAAAATAATTTTTCTGAAGAAATTCAGCCACCTGCAAACAAAAATCTTAAGGTATGTTAAATTAAAAATCATGTCTCAGAATTTTACTGAGGACAATTGCAAATACTCAACAAGTAATAAACCTTGGGCAAAGATACTGGAAGGAATTACAAAATAATAGTGCTATCATTAAGATGGTGTGGTTGGTTGTGGTTTTTATTACATATTTTCCCTGCTTTTCAAATGCGCTAAGATGTTCTTACAGATAACAGTTGGAGAATGCAAAATATTAGAGAGAGAGAAATGAGAATGAAAGGTCACCTCCTTATCGTTGAAGTGGTAATAAAAGTAGTCACAGGACCTTCTCATTGCCAGCAGCACTAGCCCTCATGTGAACTTTATTTTCATTCTTTTCTGTTGCTGAAAATTGGTATCCAAGGGCAGTTAAGTCTCAGGGGCATGGCTTGACCTCAGGCTGACCTCAGCCCAGCACCAGGCTGGATTTCTGAAGCTAAGCAACAGGTTCTGAGGTAGGTCAGAGAGGGTGGTCACAGCCTCACTTAAAGGAGAGCAAACTTGCTAAATAGATGGCGAGAACAAGCCACCTGCGGTGCACAAGCCGCATCCCAGGCTCGTGGTTAGACCATCCTTTAGCGAGGAGGTCAAAGAGCGAAGGAAAAATCCGCGAATTCATCCAAGTGCAGAAACCCAAGATGAGTGTCCTTGGGCTGACCTGCGCTCATTAGAATACTAAAGAACTGGGTGGAGATTTACGATGCTAACGAGACATGCGATGTGTGTACTAGCATGCACAACCACAGCACATGTGCCACCAGGAGACAGCCCAGAACATGCTTCACGGCAACACCCCTTCCCAGCCCTTCATGAATAATCATGTAAGACCCCCATAAAGGGGGTTTCCCCAGTGTCGGCCAGCACTGCCTCGCCTTTGAGCGGCCGCTCCGATCCGCTGGCAGAGTGCGCTTTCGCTGTGCGATCAACTCCCTTGCTTACCTTTACTTTGGACGTGCTCTCAAGTTCTTTTGTGTGGCGAAGTCAAGACCCTGAACCGGTCCACCAGCAACAGTTCTTTCGGAGTCCCTCAACCACAGGCCCTGAAAGCCGCTGAGTTAAGTCTTTAAACTGCGGGAGAGCCTGGGAGCATCTGAAACGCAAAAGGACTCCCAGTGGATAGGGAGGCAGCACCCTGACCGGAACCGGAAGAGGTTTGCCGGTGAGCCTGAGTCTCCACACACAGTGATCCGGGCACCCGGGCTGCCGTGTGGCAGGTGAAACCGCGTGTGGTGTGGATGTTTCTCCAGCTGTGTTCTGTCGAGCCCCTAAAAGTCTGGCCTGCATTGGAAGGGCCTCCCCAGTGTCCTCGTTTCTGTTCAAACAGAAAAGTTCTTATTTTCTGTATTTGTGGTTTTTGCTTCCTCATATAATTTCGGTTGCACAAAGCTAAAAAATATTTGAAAACCTCTACTTAATCGTATAACTAAATGCAACATTATCTTTTGCTTATTTAATAACTATTTTAATATTTATTTTCTATTTATATTAATAGTGATAATAAAAATATAGCTTGGAGTGAGAGAAAAGCTTTCCTCTCTGTTAACTATCACTGTATCATTTAACTACCACTAGCTATTCCTCACAACGGTTTCTAAAGTGTAAGCACCTGCCACCTCATTAGCCTCTAAGCTCCACAGTGCCAGGGACTCTTTGCCTTAGTCTCTGCTATGTGCTCAGAATACCCAGCACATACTAGGTTTGAACAAAATGCATTTTGGAGAGTGGATGCTGCTGCCACCTGGTGACAGCATACCCACATTTCATGCTTAGCACTTTGATTACTTAATGAAATTCATGAGGAATGGAATCAGAAAACCTAAGACATGCATCTGTGTGATAGCAATCTCACTTTCCTCACTTAGCTTTTTCTGTTTCCCTACTCTGCACAGATTGGAGACATCTGAGTTTTCTCTGCCCCCATCACCTGCACCTGCCCTGGTGGCATGCACTTGCACCTCCTCTGTCTGGTATTAGGTTGGTGCAAAAGTAATTTCTGTTTTTGCCATTACAACTGCATAAACTGCGATTACTTTTGCACCAACCTAATAATAGGGCTTGCCCCTCCAGAGGATAGAATCTTTGCTTGTCACCTTAGAACTTCTCACACAGAGCACTGCATTCATCAAACCCTGGTCTCAGCCATCCTCGGGGCACATGGAAGGTCATGCCCATAAATCAATGCCTCAGCCAACATCTGGTCTCCCCTTCTGCCATTCCCTGTGTCCCTGCCCTGGCACCAGGCATTTGCAGGTGCAGGGGGCAACATCATTTAGTTAGCTTCATCTGGGCAGGGAGGAGCATTATTAAACATGAGAGATAGCTGTTGGCTCATGGAAAAGATTAGTTTTAAGCTATTTAAGGCAAAGCAATAAAGGATGTGGTTTCCTCCTCTGACATGCTTCCTAATTTGTAGATTCATATGACATCACACTGGATTACAAAGCCACATTACTCTGATTGGTAATATTATGCTATCCTAATTCAGTTTGTATAATTATTTAATTTTTTAGGACTGCTCTCAAATATTAACATTGTGTTCGGTAGAGGCCAGAAAAAATTGGGAACATGCATCCACACACGTGGAGAAGCTTAATTGCTAGAATAATGCAGGGCAATTATTGTAATGAGAACAAAGCCTCATGTCTGGCATACACATGTGACTGTGTCCAGCCCAACTTCCACTGAAGTGACAGTCACTGGACTCGAAGCTCCTCAAGGACAGGGGCTGTGTCGCCTTCACAGACATGACTCATTGCCGGTGCTCAATCAGGGTTGAGCTGACTTGACTTGAAGCCAAATAAGGACAAAGAAAGGTCAGGCAGTCCTGAAAAAGCCAAGGGTCTGAGAGACAACACTCGCTGTTGTCCTCGCTGTTTAATTCTCTGAGGTCCATTAGGAAGTAGGTAGGAGCCATGTCATCATGGCCACTTGGGCCAATCGTCTGCACAGATGGGGAAGGCATCTGCCCCCACAGTGAACACTAGGCTTATCTGCCTCCTAAATCTCTCTCCAGGCTAACTTCCATGGTTATTCAAATCCCTCTATTAAATATTCAGACCTCCAGCCCCTGGACCTCTATGGTCCTCCTGACAAAGCTAGAGCTGTGATTTCTCTGCACCTCCATTCTTCATCTGCAAAATGGGGCCATAGAGTCTACTCCACTGGGTTGAGAAGCTACTGGAAACCAGGCTGCCAAGTGCCTGATGCAGTATCTGTCTTCAGCTGGCCTCCACACAAAGACAGTTTCCTCTTTTAAATTATATCTAGACTTTTAATCATTTTTTTACATTTTTATGGGTACACAGTAGGTGTATATATTTATGGGGAACATGAGATGTTTTGATACAGGCATGCAATGCACCATAATCACACTATGGAAAATGGAGTATCCATCTCCTCAAGCATTTGTCCTTTGTGTTACAAACAATCCAATTATATTCTTAGCTATTTTTAAATGTACAATTAAATTATCGTTGACTCTACTCACCCTATTGTACTATCAAACACTAGGTCTTATTCATCCCCATGTCCGTCCTCCTCACCCCCGCAACACTTCCCAGCCTCTAGTATCCATCCTTCTACCCTCTATCTCCATGAGTTCAATTGTTTGGATTTTTGGATCCCACAAATAAGTGAGAACATGTGATGTTTGTCTTTCTGTGCCTGGTTTATTTCACTTAAGATGATGACCTCCAATTCCATCCCTGTTGTTGCAAATGACAGGTTCTTATTCTTTTTTATGGCTGAATAGTACTCCATTGTGTAAAGTACCACATTTTGTCCTCTTATTGCTTTTCGTCACTGCTGAGAGCCAGTCCTATCTGCTGCTTTTCCAGGGTTTCCTAGGAAGATGCCCACTCTATGTGTTAGACCAGAAGTTTAAGTTAACGTGGTCTATGGACAATCACAGCCCATGCACCCATGGCAGGGCCTCAGGTACCTGCATGTCACCAACTCCTTACCCCAGAGGAGATGCCCACTCTGGCTGGGAAAGTTTAACCACTTCGACGCACACATCTGCCCAACAAATATAGACAGAATGCCTACCATGTACAAGTGTTAACCAAACACCTGAGAAAGAAGCATTAGGTTAACAGAGACTCTATTTGCACAAGCAGTTTGCAAACTGGGGAGATGCAGCCTTCAGTACAAAACAAAGGTGGGCCCGGAGAGAACCAAGAGAGTGGTTGTCTTTGATAGAGAAAGCTCTTACCCAGCCTCCCACTCTGGGCCACTTATGCAATTGTGGGATGTAAACTGCTCAGTTCTGATTGGCCGATGCTGTCACAGTCTATTGCTCAGGTCCAGGAGGAAAATAAGGTTTTCCCACAGCTACTGATTCAGGTGGCATGAACAGGAAAAAACAGCCTTGAATGTCCCTAAGTTACATGGCAAGGGTGTGTGCTTTCCTGGAACACAGAGTATGTGTGTGACCTCTAGTCAGCAAATGGCTGCTTGGCTCTATTTGGAAACTAGGCCCAGTTAGATGCTTAAGAGCTGTTTCGGAGAATGGGCTCTTTCAGGTTCACACAAGACAAAACAACTAGCAAAAGGGAGAAAATGTTCCTGCAAAGTCTACTTTCTAGATTCTCTAGGAAGGTGGTTTAGTCAGGGTTCTCCAGGGAAACGGAACCAATAGGAGATATTATATATATCTTATATATATGTGTGTGTATATATATATTATATATGTGTATATATATTATATATGTGTATATTATATGTGTATATATATATTATATATGTATATATATTATATATGTGTGTATATATATATCATATATGTGTGTGTGTGTATATATATATATATACACACACACACACACACACACACACACACACATATGGGTGTGGGGAGATTTACTATAAGAAACTGACTTGTGGCCGGGCACGGTGGCTCATGCCTGTAATCCTAGCACTTTGGGAGGCCAAAGTGGGCAGATTGCCTGAGCTCAGGAGTTTGAGACCAGCTTGAGCAACACGGTGAAACCCCATCTCTACTAAAATACGAAAAATTAGTCAGGCATGGTGGCATATGCCTGTAGGCCCAGCTATTCGGGAGGCTGAGGCAGCAGAATCACTTGAACCCAGGAAGCGGAGGTTGCAGTGAGCAGAGATCACACCACTGCACTCCACTCTGGGTGACAGAGCAAGACTCTGTCTCCAAAAAAAAAAACAAAAAGAAAAAAGAAAAAAGAAATTGACTCAGGTGGTGATGGAGGTTGAGAAGTCCCACAGTCTGCCATTAGCAAGCTGGAGACCCAGGAAAGCCCATGGTATAATTGGAGTTCAAAGCTCTGAGACACAGGGGAGCTGAGGTGTAAATCCTATTGTGATAGCAGGAGAAGATGAGATGAGATGTCCCACCTCAAGCAGGGAGTCAAGAAAAAAGGCGAATTCCTTCTTTCTCTATCTTTTGTTCTATTCAGGCCCTCAACAAATTGGGTAATGCCCATCCCTGTGGGGCAGGTCAATCTACTGTGCTGAGTCCAGCAACTCAAATGCTAATCTCTTTGGGAAGGCTTCTCACAGACCCACCCAGAAGCAATGTTTAACCTGGGCACCCAGAGGCGCAGTCAAGGTGACACCTAAGATCAACCACCACAGAGGGTGAAACCATCAACCACTCTAGGAGTTTGGTGTAAGGGTGAACCCCTAACCAAGCCAGGGGTCTTGTGTAGTAAAAGGAGGAGGCCAGACTCTGACCCCAAAGTGTCTCATTTAAAGATCTGAGATGGGCTCCAGAACATTCTATGTGCTCACAAGAACCTCTGCTATTTCTGACTCTGTTGGTCCAAGAAACAGCACAAGACTGTGAGCTCTTTATGAGCTGAAACCAGGCCCCAGCTCTGTCCCTGAAGGGACAAAGCACAGTGTGTGGAAGTAGCAGTGTTCAGCGTCTCATTTGTGAGATGAAGCGAAGCCATCGTGAAGGAGTCTGGAAGGACAGAACAACTTTGCTAAGGGGAGTGAGAGTGAGGTCAGGAGTAGGGGAGAAACAGGAAATGGGAGTTCCTTTGAGAGTTGTGAGAACTAAATTCATGCTGGGAAGAGGTGGAGAGAATTCAGAGAAGTGGCTTGCTCTGGTGTGAAGGATCCTTCCGAGGAGGTCAGGATTATAATGATCTCATTACTAAATTGGAACTTGCCCGCCAATAGACCCTACTCATCTCAGACGGAGAAGGAGCTCCACAGCAAGCAACTGTGATTGCACATTAAATATTTAACAGATCGCCTCTTGAGCAATCATTTGTGGTCATAATCTGGCTCAGTCTACCACCACATCACAAAAATGCTCACGTGAAAAGAAACGTGGGTCCAGGAGGTGGTTTCTCAGTTCAATGCACAGATCACTGGTAGCCAAACTCCACACAAAGGTGGATCTCCCCTCGCCATAGCGTCTTCTGCAGTCTTGAGTCTCCAGCCTGAACTACTCCATGAGACCAGGCCCAGAGGACACCCAAAGCCTGGGGAGCCCAGCAACAGAGGTGTTCCACCTTTACCTCTAAAGGGACCTTGCTGCCCATGCCTACCTCCCCATGTGGGGGTGCTGGCTTCTCACTGCTGTCAATATCGGCATTGTCCTGGCCCCTACCTCTGCCAACAGGCACACTGACTTCGGCTCTTCCTGCCTTCCTCACACTTTCCATTCTGCCCACCTGATCCAGGTACAGGTGCTTCCTACCTGGAGGAGGGGAGGAACCTCACTGGCTCGCTGTGCTTGTCACATGCCTTGCTGACGGTTTGCCCTCAGCCACCCAGGAGGTTCCATTTAGGAATCTTAGAGCCTCCAGTGACGCTGCACTCAGGGTCTCACTTTCCATCACAGGAAGTTCATCTTTAGGTTTTGTATTGCCTTTGGCTATTTTTTTGTAAAGTTCTATTTGAAGAGAGAACTCTGAGGCCAGTGCTTGAAATCTACTAAGATAAAATGCCAACTCCCTAGCCTGGCATTCAGAGCCTCTCGATGACTCACCCCTGCACACACCTCTGCACGAATCTGCATCTCAGGTCCACCTGGTCACCCACTGTCACCAACACAGCTTTGGTTTCATCCTACTATGCTTCACTCACATTACCTAATTCCCTCAGCCCAACTGACCCTTTTAAAAAATGTAGCAAACCAGGTCACCTCTCCTGTTAAATCTCTCCAGTGTCTGCCCTCACCCACAACGTGGCCAACGTTCCCATCACCAGTAACAGCGTGTTGACAGCAGGAGCCCAGATATGATCACGGGCCTGCCACCTCTGTGGGCCTCTCCCTGAACACTCATCACCCCAGTCCAACCCTGAGAAAGACATCAGTCAAACTCAAACTGAAGGACACCTGGCCAGGATGCCTAGAAACCATCAAGGTCATCAAAAATGAGAAAAGTCTGAGACACCATCACAGCCCAGAGGCGTCTAGAGACATGATGACTAAGTGCGAGGCGGTGCCCTGGACGGGGTCTTGAAACAGAAAAAAAAGACATTAATGAAAATGAGTAAAAGCAGAATAAGGCTTACGGGTTCATTAGTAGTTATACACCTATGTTAGTTTCTTAACCGTGACAAACGCACCATATAAATGCAAGAAGTTGATAATGGGGGAAACAGGGTAAGGGATATGTAGGAAGTCTGTGCTACCTTCGCAATTTTTCTATCAATCCAAAACCATTCTAAAATTAAAAGATTTTTAAAGCTCTCCAACAGTTTCCTGTATCACCCAGAATAAAGTCCAACTCCTTGCTGGACTTGCCCAGACTCCACAAGGCCAAGTGCAGCCTGCATCCCTCACCCAGCACCTTGGCCACACCCGTCCTCTCTCTCTGTTTCCAGGCCCTGAAGTCGTTTCTTCCTTGCAGCTCTTGCATTTTCTCTTTGCTTTCCCTAGAATGTGCCCCTCCAAAGTCATCCCATCTCTGGTGGTGACTCAACAGGCCAGCTTGGTTTGAACATTTCCTCTCCGGAAAGTCCTTTCCTGCTGTGGCCCCACAGGACTGCCATCTGTCTCATGCTGCAAGTAGTTTCTTCCCATGCCTCTCTCTGTGGTTGGCCCCTTTATTCCCCCACTGGATGCCAAGACCGTGGCTTCCCTATTCACAGCGTCTTCCTAAGCACAAAGAAACATGCCTGGCACAGAGCAGGCACTCCGACGTCCTTCCTGAGCAAGTGACATCCCTTTCTTTTCTTCACTCAACAAATGTTTTGTAAGCCTGGTATTGAGCCCCATACAAGGACCCACTAGTGAATGAGGCAGGCATGTTCTTTGCCCTCAAAGAGCTCTGGACCCATCCTTTTTTCTTGGCCTAACTAAATGTCCAGCTCCTAGGAATGGACATCAACCCTACCTCTTCATCTGTGCCCCCTGAATACACTTGCCTGAAGCTGGGACCGACTCAGCCAGATGTTGGCAGCATGGCTCATTCTGAAGTCAGAATTAGGTTGTCTTTCTTCATCGTATTTAATAAATGTTGCTGTTTTTATTCAGTTTTTCCTTGTGGTAAATTTATTACAAATTAGAAAATATAGACGATAACAAAACAAAAATTCCTCATACACAATAACTCAGGAGACATGAATATTTTTATGTATGCAAGCAATTATTACAGAAAATAAGTATACATACTCAAAGGGATACATTTTCCAACTATGTAATTAGCTGAACTCTCCCCCCTCCACAATTGCAGTGGGGTCTTTACCCTTTCATATGATGTCCTATTTTCATGCTTATGTATCCCCCCACACACAACCTCAGTATTTTGCAAATAACTATGGATTCTTTCAGATCACTATTCTGAAACAACCTCTCACTTTAGCAAATACAGAACCACAGTACCATTTTTTTTTTTTTTTTTGAGAATTTTAGGAACATGTATTCCTGCTTGTTTCTTTTTTTTCTTTTTTTATTATACTTTAAGTTTTTAATGGCTATTTCCTTCTCAATTGTTTTACTGTACCACAATTCAAGTTGTTTTTGTTTGTTTGTTTATTTTGGACATTTTGCTTATTACCATTTTCTTCACCATTATAAACAATACCAGTCAATATCCTTGCACATACATCTTTGCACACTTGTCCAGTTATTTTCTTAGGATAAATTCATAGATGTTGAATTGCTAGACTAAGCAGTTTTTCGTTATTGTTATTTTCAGGGTGTTTTAAATTATTCATGTTGTCATGTTACCTCTCAAGAAAAGGATATAAATTTATATTTCCACTAGCCACGCTGTTATTTTCATACAAATCTCCTTTTAAAGGAATATCCAAGGAAGAAATGCAAATGATAAGATAATGCATTAAGGCGGCAGGAGATATATCACACAACAATCAATGGCCTTCTTATATGCAATTTAATTATTTACTTTTTATTCTTAAAAAATATTTCACTTATTTTGTCCAAATGATTTAAACTTAACATCAGATTTAAAACTCAAGGCAGACCCACCAGGATTTGTCTGCCAGCAAGATCAAAAGCACGGTTCTGGCAGACAATGGGAGAGAAGGGTGTGAGCCTACCATGATCATCCATCCATCCAACAAATAGCTACTGAAACACTGATTTTTTTTTATAGCAGAAGTGAGTCATTCGGGCCACTTTAGAGATTGACTGTTCTTACCACCTATCTCACCATCCTTTTTCTTAAATTAAATTATTTTGAGATAACTGTAAATTCACATGCAGCTGTAAGAAATAATGCAAAGATCCTGCGTACACTTTATCCATTTCCTCTGGTAGTAAAATCTTGCAAAATTAAAGGAAATATCACAACCAGGAAAGTGACATTGATATAACCCATCCATTTTACTGAGGTTTCATGAGTTTCCTTGTGCTCCTGTGTGGGTGGTATGTGTGTGTGTGCACGCGTGTGTTTAGTTCTATGCAATCGCATCACGTGTGCAAGTTTACATCTCCACCGTCAAAATCATTAAAGAGAACAGAGCATCCCTGGGGCCATTCCTTTATAACCACACCCACCTCTCACCCTCACCCCGCTCCTTAACATCTGGCAACCGGCAATCTGTTCTTCATTTCTATAAATTTGTCATTTCAACAATGTTATATAAACAGACTCGAGCATACAAAAATATATAACTTTTTGGTATTGGCTTTTCTTCCACCCATAATTCCCTGGAAATTCATTCACGTTTATGACTATCCGCAATTAATTCCTTTCGATCGTCTAGTCGTATTCCATGATATGATATATCACCACTTGCTTAACCATTCACCCACTAAAAGACAGATGGATTTTTCCCAGTTTGGGGTTATTATAGACAAACCTGCTGTAAAGATTCACGGACAGGCTTTGGTGCAAATTTAAGTTTGCATTTCTCTAGGATAAATTCCTAAGAGTACAACTGTTGGATGTCTGGTATAGTAATTGCATATTTAGTTTTATGAGGAAACTGCTGAGCTGCTTTCCAGAGTAGCTGTACCATTTCATATTCCTGCGGGCAAAGTGTGAGTGATCCAGTTTCTCTGCATCCTCATCAGCATTTGGTGTGGTCACTATTTCTTTACTTCAGCCATTCTGACAGGTATGTAGTGATTTCTCACTGCGGTTTTCATCTACATTTTCCTTATGGTTAATGATGTTAAATATCTTCTCATATACTTATTTGCCATCTGTATATTCTCTTCAGTAAAATGTGTCTTCATGTATTTTGCCTATTTTCTAATTGGATTCTTTTATTTTTTTACATTTGAGTTTTGAGAAGTCCTTAAATATTCTTAGTATAAATCTTTTATTGGATATATAGTTATTGAGTATTTTCTTAGCCTGTAGCTTCTCTTTTCATCCTCTTCATATGGGTTTTCACAGAACAAAAGTTTTGTATTTTGATGGGCTTCAATGTATCCATTCTTTCTTTTATGGGTTGTGCTTTGTGTGTCATGTCTAAGAATGTTCACCTAGCCCTCAACTCCAAAGATTTTATTTTATGTTTTTTTTAGAAGTTTTATGGCTTTAGTTTTACATTAGTCCATGATCCATTTTGAGTTAATTTTTGCATAAGGTGATGAGGTTTAGGTAGAGGTTCTCTTTTTATCTTTTTCTTTGTTTTCTTCTTGCCTATGGATGTCCAATGGCTCTCACACCTTTTCTTGAAAGTCTCTTCTTCCTACTATGAGCTGCTTTTGCATCTTCGCCAAAAATCAGTTGGGCGTATTTATGTGGACCTAACCACTGAGTTCTCTGTTATTTTCCATTGATCCACGTGTCTATCTCTCTGCCAGTGTCACACTGACTTGATTATGGCAGCTACACTGTAAGTCTTATTATTATCAGTTAGAGTGAGCAATGGCCTTCTGAAGACTCAGTGATGAGACCAATGGGAGGCAGCACCTTGCTAAGTTGAAGTCTGTATCTGTAAGATGCAGTGTGAACTCTGGACCAGTGATCAATATGTAGTAGTGTTTTTCCCCTCACCAGAATAAGTGGATCTGGGAACTAAGGGGTGAAAATGCAAGTGGCCCCTGTCCCTATAACACTGAACCCTCCACTCAACAGATTTTTACCTCTCGTCTCAGAAACTCTCAACCCTGTAGATTAGTGGTCTTGGTTTCCAAAGAAACAATGTTGGGAGTTAATACTGTGGTGCAAGAATCTGAGACTCCTTGTGCCTCCAAAGGCAAAGGAAGCCGCCCCATGTTGGCTGAGCCCACTGAGGGTAGTTCTAAAAGAGAAACGTGGCTGCTGCCCTAGGGGAAGGAAAGAGAAAAGTGGAAGCCCAGGGACTCTCTGGGGTTCTTCTTAGGACTTGCACATGGAAAACCATAGCAATCTCAAAACAGGAAAGACCACTGAGAGCACAGTCTCCTCAGGAATGAGATGTTGGGTGGAACTGCAATGGCTAAGAGAAGCAAGAGCATGGGAAGAGGATTTTTTTCTTTCTTTCTTTCTTTTTTTTTTTTTGAGACAGAGTCTCACCCTGTCGCCCAGGTTGGAGTGCAGTGACACAATCTCAGCTCACTGCAGCCTCTGCCTCCCAGGTTCAAGCAATTCTCCTGCCTCAGCCTCCAAAGTAGCTGGGACTACAGGCGCATGCCACCACGCCCAGCTAATTTGTGTATTTTTAGTAGAGACAGGGTTTCAGCATGTTGGCCAGGCTGGTCTTGAACTCCCAGCCTCTGGTGATCCACCTGCCTTGGCCTCCCAAAGTGCTGGGATTACTGGTGTGAGCCACTGTGCCTTGCCAGGAATTTATAAATACCAGATAGGGCTGTGTTAAGTTCTCCAGAGAGACAGGACCCATAGGATATTTGAGAGGGGTTTATTAGCAGAATTGCCTCACATGATCACAGGGGCAGAGAGGTCCCACAACAGGCTGTCTGCAAGCTGGAGAACTGGAGAAGCTAGCAGTGTAGCTCAGTCAAAGTCCAGAGGCCTCAGAACCAGGAAAGCAGACCATGTGGCCCCCAGTCTGAGGTCAAAGGCCCTGTAGTTCCCAGGCCACTGTTGCAAGTCCCAGAGTCCAAAAGCCAGAGAACCTAGAATCTGATGTTCAAAGGTAGAAGGAGAATTGCATATTTAGTTTTGTGACAAGCTGCCAAACTGCTTTTCAGAGTGGCTGTGCCATTTTATATTCCCACGGGCAAGGTAGGAGTGATCCAGTTTCTCTGTATCCTCACCAGCTAACTGTATCCTCGCTGAGCGTCCCACTCAGGAAGTGGGGAACAGAGACTGAGACCGAGAGAGAGAGAAAAAGAGAAAGTGAGAATCCCTCCTTCCACCCTTTTGTCCCAACTGGGCCCCCAGTCAATTTGACGGTGGCCATCCACACTGAGGGGGGTCTTTCTCAGTCTACTCACATGCCCTTCTCCCCTGGAAACATCCTCACAGACACCTAGAAGCAATGCTTCAGCAGCCATCTAGGCATTCCTCAGTCCAGTCAAGCTGACACCTAAAATTACCCATCACAAAAGCCTTGTGACCACTGGTAGAGATGAGGACTCTAGGAACTACACAGCGTTTCTTGTTTGCTTTATTGTGTATGTTTTTACACACATAACCCAGTATCTCTTTCCCCTGCTCTCCCCGCCTCTCTTATTTTATATAAGATATATTGACTGTGGCTAACCTAAAGGTTTAGTCTTTCAACCACAGTCTATCCGAGGGTGTTTTTTACTGAATATGGAGGGTGACCATCACTCAGAGATGGATACCTGGACCCTTTCTATTGGGGTGGAGGTGAGCATTTCTTCTTTGTGAGGAAGCATGATGATGTTTCTGTGATGGCTCTTTGGAAATTAACATGGGTGGGATGTCCATGTGGATGCTGAGTGGCCATGTGGGCAACTACACCTGCTATCCTTCCTTGGTATTCAGCGACACCCTCGCCTCCAGCAATTGTCCTTGCTTATCTCAGAGGCTGGAAGCATAAGAACTACACTTTCCAGAATCCCTTTCCAGAAGGAATCTGGTTTGGATTCCACCTAGAAGAGGTGTTCCTGTGAGATTTGGAAGGTGGAAGATAACCATCCTTCATCCTTTCTCCTGCAGCAGCAGGGGCTTCCTGCACCTTCCTGGCCCCTGCAGTCCACCATCAGTCTCTTGCTGCAGTGATGGGTTCCTCAGCAGGTTCCAGCAGGCTTCTCCAGTTTCCTGATTTCCAGGCAGCACCCCCATCCCATGGCTCCCGCTGCTCTCAATTCTGCCAGCAATGCTATGAGCACCTGACTCCCTTTCTGCTTGAAATTTCTTGCCTGCACTTTAACTGATACAAGCCTAATGCGCACGACTGAGTTGAAAGAAAGGCACAGTTGTAAGGATGTCCTTCTCTCTTCTCTTAATGCCGCATCCCATGGTTGATCCCTTCTAAGAGGACACTTGCACCTGGCCTGTTTCAGGATAAGATCTGCGGCTTCTACTTCATCAGAACAGATCTAGGCTGCAGATGTTCCAGATGGGGGCAATGCTAGGTGCCAGTCGACCGCATCACAGTTTTCTCACCTCCAACAGCATAATGAAAACAAACAGCACCAAAATGCTCTTAGAAGCTGCGACAGATGATTTTCAAAAACAATCTCACCCTCTCACACCTTTCCTGGCAGCCTTCCACGCTGCACAGGAACAGAATCTGTAGATATGGGAAGCCAACAAGCTTAGCTTCACCTGTGTTGAGACTTCTTTTTTCTTATTTTTTTCCCCTTTGCATCCCATTCTCACTTTATTTTATTTTATTTTATTTTATTTTATTTTATTTTTTGCTGGAGGTGGCACAACAAGCAGAAAATATTTAGGCTGCTGCTACACCATTTGTGTTTTTAATTTGACAAGAAAACTTGTGCAATTGCATGGAACATTTATCTTATTTCTGCAAAATTTTGCTTTCCTCTATGAATAACAAACAGGCTTTAAAGACAGCACTGCTTCCCCCGCCCCCAGCACAGAGCCCTGCCTCTGCTCTACAAGACCCTAACTGCATCTGCAACCATGGCCTGAATTCTCTTTCTCCATTCTTGGAAGGTCGACCCCTGCACCTCTGATTGACCCATTCATCAGCATGTGGCAGGCAACCAATATACAGAATTTTTTTCTGGAGCCAGCTCTGTATGCAGAACACAAATGAACAGAAAGACATGTTCAAAATGCAGACAGAGTGGGGGCCATGTGACTCAAGGAACAAGATAAACATACATTGAGACACATCAGCCAACCTGCACAATAGAAATGCAGACGGGAATACACAAATCTACTGACATGGCCTGTGCTCTGCCCACCACCCACACTGGCTTGGAACTGAGCTCAGTTTAGCCCCCACTCCCCTGCTTGTCTGAATCCCACCTATGCCTCCAGTTCTTCCACAAACCTAAACTTCTCTAAGAAGTAATTTCCCAGACTTTCCTGTTCATACTGACTGGTCCATCTCACACACAGCATTTTGCAACCACCTTTTCTTTGCTATACGAAAGTCTAGTCTCTCCAGCTAATAATCAAAACAAGCAGTTTGATTCAGGGCCTGCTTGGGGCTGGCACAATGCGGATACATCCCGTAAATTATCTCCTTCAATCCTCATAATCCTGTGAATGGGATATGGTTATGATCTCCATTTGACAGATGGAGAAACTGAGGCACAGATAATGAGGCAGTCCAAGATCAGAGGATTTTTAAGGAACTGACCCAGGATTTGAGCCCATGGCTTCAGAGCTCAGACTTTTTTCAGTGAGCTAGAAAAAGCAGCTAAATGATAAAATGTACAACATAAATAAGTATCAAGTCTGTGTTCTGAATTCTAGAATATTTAAAGTAAATGAAATGCATTGTTCAAGTCAGCAACTAGTGTAAAGCATTCACATTATTATTCTGGGTTCAACCTGCATCCTGATGAAATGCACAATTAAAAAAATAAAAAAGCATCCACTTTGATTTATATCAGGTTGAACAATGCCCAGAATCAGTTTCTACATTCCTATATACCCCGACTTTGGAAATTCCAATTTAGGCCTTTCTACACTATAAATATTAAATGTGAATTTTTAAGTTCCATCTGAAAGACTTCTCAAATTCTCATCATTATTCTTCCAAATAACAACCAATGAGCAAGAACATTAAGTGGAGGAAATTTTACTTAGGCTCATTGAGAATGTGACCCATAGTATGAACCATGCGGAATCTTAAGGAGGAGTGTTCTATTGCCCATTCTTCCTTATTGATGCTTACGTAAGAAAGAATACGAAGGTAAAACCCCTCCAGTGGGAAAACAGCCATACTATGAATTATTCCTTCAACGAAATTTACCTTACTCATTGTGGTTAAACAACCACAAAAAATAAATGAGGTGGTTGCTCATAACATCCAAAAACTTGGCATCAGATTAATCTAGAGGTAGTGAGACAGAGAAGAAAGGTATTGGGTACATGTTACAACAACTCCATTTTTATCTAGGTAAAGCTTTTCAATACATTTGCAGGCAGATGTTCTACCAACCCACTCACAGGTTAGGAGTCTAGAAAATAAGCCCCCTGACCTGCAGCCAACCACCTGCTACTCACATGATATAGTAAGGCTGTGCCTTCAAATGAAACTGGCCTTAGCCCTGGAACATCTGGCTCAGTGGGAGATGCTGGCACGTCCAGCGTGGACAACACCCAGAACACAAACGCCCACCTGGAAGAGGGTGAAGGTGTTCATACTCAGTTGATCCTATAGTCCCTGAACTTATCACACAGTATCAGCTCAATCAATATTTGGTCAATAAATGAACATGCCAAGGGGAGAGCTCCAGCGACTCTGAGTTCCGCCGCTACTAATCGTGGGAGCTGGGCCAGCTTGACCACTCTGAGCCCGGCCTCCTCATGTGTCCAATGATGGTAGCAGCACGACCTCATGGGTTAGCTGAGCTGAGGAATGTGAACAGCTCACCAGTGCGTGGCCCAGACTCAGTGCTCGATGATAGGCAAGTGGTTGGAGCCTCTTGACATAACCAAAAACAAAAACAATGTAGGATGTGTTTGATCCCATGTAATTTTTTTACTGGGAAAGCTCTTCATTTCCTTCCCTTGCTTTTTTGTTGAAAAACAAATCACTTCCTACAAAAGATCCCTAGAAAGAGTAACATGTTAGCCTTTAGAGACCCAGTAACTCAGACTTATTTATACTCAATAGACTTGTTTATACTCAATAGATATTTGAATGTGTCCTACACACCTGGCAGGATGCTGGGCACAGAAAGACAGTGCAGAAGGTAGAAATGGCATGGGCTGCGGAGCTGACTTCCTGGGTTCAAGGGCTCACTGCATCTCAGAGCTACCACGTTACTTCAAGCGAGTTACATCCGCACTGTGGCCTCAGTCTCCTAGGCTACTGAAGATGGTGATAGGTCTCCTTCAGAGGGAGAGCTGTGGTGAATGAGATCATGTCTACAAAGTGGCTTGGGAGGACCTGGAGGAGCAGAGGCTGGAGCAGTAGTGACAGGAGAATGATGATGGAATATATAGACAGCCACAGGGAAACAGACAGGTACTCAACCAACTGAATCATGAGGGAGGGAATAGCAAGGGGCCCAAGAGAAGTAAAGTGAAATATAGAATGTCCCAGTGAAGAAGAGATGATGTCTGTCTGTCTGTATTGATGACTGTGGAACGGAGTCCCGGGTTGATCATTCATTCAGTGATGCTCCTTAAAACCATGTTAGGTGAATGAATAAACCTGAAAAGCTACCTACCGCAGCACATCTAAGGACGAACGGGGGAACCCCCAAACCAATTTAGCCCTTCTTGGGGCTCTGCTTTGAACTGGTTGCTGGGGTGTCTCTGTGTGTCCCAAAGAGCCCATCCGAGCTGGTCATCAGCCTATTAGCTCTATGTGCAAAACCCCCTTTCAGAAGGAAACCTGCCTCACCCACTAAGCTGGGCTTTTTCCAATAACAACCAAAGCAGAATCTCTACCTGCATGCAGAAAGTAACCATGAATTATCCATGCGCTCAGAAGCCCCGTTTGACAGGGAACGTGGGAACCGCTGCAGACAGGTTGCAGGCAGTGGGACTCAGGGTGCTAATTACTTCTCACTGTCACTTAGCAAGACTGTCACATCTGCTGGGGGAGAACGGGGCCCTTTCTCGTCTTCCTCGTGGAAGAGAAGGATGTAGTCAAACAAACAATCCAGGATTCCGCAAAGCATACAAAGTAGCAAGGTGAGCCAGTGAATCTATTTAATCTCAGGGAGAAAATGGGTTTTGCCAAGTGTCTTATAACGAAACGCCTATAAGGACATTTGGCTGAAGTTGAAAGGCAGGGTGGTGGGACACAGAGACTGGGGCCCTTCCAATAAGACCAACGGGACTTTAACACCTTTGGCATGTGATTTCAGCCTTCTAGCTTCAGTTAGTTCATCTGTGAGAGGTGAGAGCAAGACCTACCTCACAGTATCAGGACGGGGGCGAGTGGCAAAGTATCAAGAACAGCAAGTGACCTGCACACCACAGAAGCTCCACAGAGGAGGTTCTGGGACAACATAAGCTCTTACGAGGCTGCCCAGCCTCTTACACTTTGTTGTCTTTTTACGATGTGATGTTTGGTATAGGAGATGTATCCAGATCTCCTCTGGTCTTTGACTGTTTCTGCTTGTGGCCCTGCACTCCCAGGTTTCTTCGTGTTTTTGCTTCTAACTGCAAATCCCACCCTGGCTGGCCTCTTGGCCTCCTCTGTCCCACCGTCCCGGTCCCCCACCAGTAGCCCCTGGGAGCTTCCTAATGTCTCCTCTGTGCACAGAGCTGGTGCTCAGGGCTGGTTTGCATTAGGCATTGGGTAGCATTCATCACAGATGGAAGCAGCCCTCACCACTCCTCCACTTTGAAGGGGTAGTGAGGATCAGCTCTATGGGATAACCCCAAAGAAAACACCTCCAGCTTTGTCTCCAGACCTTCCAAAGCACACCCTCAAAATCTAAAACTGCTCCAATTACAAAGGCTGAGATTAGTCTCGAGCCCTCTTTGGAGGATGATTTGACCTTTATTACTGTTCTGAATCTCTGCTCACCTTCCTTTCTGCTCTGTGATCCAACGGGGAAAAAGACGGATAGGCCAATTCCAGGCTCTTCTTTTAAAAAAGTGAGGTAGAATTTCACTTCTCCCTATGAATTGAGGAGGAAAAGAGAGTTTTGGTTTTCTTTCTTTTTCTTTTTCTTTCTTTCTTTAAGTGCTGCCCCAAGATTTCAGCAGGAGGGTTTCAAGAGCAGTATTCTAGAAATGACTTTTGAGTTATAAGAAAATGTCTTAGGGGTTTTATGGAAGCAAAGAGGTGGGCTCGAATGTTTTACTCTTTTTTTTTCCATATGGGGAATTTATAGATGGGAACCTACTTCCATTAGACTTGACACTGACATGGCCCTGGAATGAGATGGTGAAGTGGTGGGTACGTGAACCTAGATAAGAAGCATCCCTGTGTACAACACGGCAACTATGGTTATACCAACGTATTGGACTTTGAAAACTTGCTCAGAGAGTAGATCTGAAGTGTTCTCACCACAAACATGATAAGGGTGTGAGGTAATGTGTATGTTAATTGGCTTAATTTAGCCATTCCCCAACATATACATATTTTTTTTTTTTTGAGATGGAGTCTTACTCTGTCACCAAGGCTGGAGTGCGGTGGCGTGCGGCTCACTGCAAGCTCCGCCTCCCGGGTTCATGCCATTCTCCTGCCTCAGCCTCCCAAGTAGCTGGGACTACAGGCGACTGCCACCACGCCCGGCTAATTTTTTGTATTTTTAGTAGAGACAGGGTTTCACCATGTTAGCCAAGATGGTCTCGATCTCCTGACCTCATGCTCTGTCCACCTCGGCCTACCAAAGTGCTGGGATTACAGAAGTGAGCCCCCGCGCCCGGCACATATACATGTTTCAAGACACCATGTTGTACATGGCAAATATATACGTTTTTTGTCAACTCGAAAACAAATAAATAGATTTAAAATTTTTAAAGAGAAATGAATAGCCCTGGGACATCCCCTGAAGCCATCAGGTCATCTCCAGCTGGACTCTGGTTCAGAGCCGGGAAATTAGGTCTTACGGGGTATGAGCCACATGTGAACTTAGAACCCTGGGTTGTTTTGTTACAGGGCTCTTTGGTAAATGATGTTACTTCTTAAGCTTGGGAATGGACCCTGGCCTCCTCTAAGAGGGCCTAAAATCTAAAGATAAAAGAATACAGGCAAACACATGCCACTGGAATCAATATCCAGGTGAGCTCAGTTCTTGAAAAGGCTTGCATGTCTCACACAGAGCAAACCCTCCCTGGAGAATTCATTTAAAACTGAAAAAAACAAATACTCCCCTCTCCCTACAACTGTATTCTTCCACACTGGGAGTATTGAAGATAAAGCTATTTTCACAGGAGCACTGGAACGAAACGGAAAACAAGTGTAACATAACTACTGACATTTTCCCAGGAGATGCCTAGTTTGAGTGTATTTCCATTTTAATGTCATTTTAAAGATCTATATCAAAATTAGTGGCACGTACTCTCTTTTAAAATACGTGTGCCTCATTTAGAGTCTTTTAAGGAAGACCCCTCTCATGGTCGTGCTGCCTGTGGCTTTCTTATTTGCCATCTGATCATATCTCATCTTCCTCCTATTTATATCTCTGCACGGCTAGCAAGGAGGACATCTAGGAAGTTCCACCCAGGAACACTTTCCAGAGTGCCCTGGACAAGTGGCTTACTTGGACACATTCCTTGTTTCCTTTAAAAATATTATGTTGCTTTACAACCCACCTTCCGCCCATCAAAGATGATGTTTACCTGAAGGCCTTTGAATGGATTTTGCTGGGATCAAAAGTAATTACTTTGCAAAGTTCATTTCTGACTTCAGTGTCTTCTTTGGCACTGAATAAATATTTCATAAGCATGAAACTCAGAGGCTGTTTGTTTCTCTTAGTTTTGCAAGCTTTTTTTAATTAGCCTATATGCCTGTATTGTTCATTTTTTCCTAGATCGCTTCATACTGTCTTATAGAATAAGATACCATTAAAACAAATCTGAGGCATTTCCCAACAGAATACTAAAGCTGTCTTTGCACAGGGAACACATAGGGGAGCTGGGCATTTGCATCAGAGCATGCATGCCAATCATTTATTCAGGTTTCATCCCAAATCCACATATTGAGGACCTACTTAGGAAGGATGTTGGGAATGAATGTTTGTTCATGTTTCTGGGGACCCTGGTTATTAATTAACTTGGAAACTTGTGAGATCTCAGATCAAGTTTTTGGAGTGCATCATTAGAAAGACTCTCTAACTCCCTGAGATGGTAGCATATGTCACTTATCTGCCTGGTGATGACAAGAATATTTGCCATGGCAGCCGATGCTTCCGTAAAATCCTGACTTCAGATAAACAAGCAGGGGCAGATGACTTGGGACTGACCATACTTTTTATCCAGTTGGCAGCCGAGGGTGGCTGAAGTAAGCAAACTTAAGAGAGGAGGATGGCTTTGGGTAGGCAAGGTGTTCTGAAGCTCGGGACAGATGAAGCCTGCAGTGCACTGTTAGCATTTTGGTTCCCAGCATCCCTTCCCACATCCTAACAATATCTGGGTGTACTTGGAGAGCT
Organism: Homo sapiens; assembly: GCF_000001405.40. NCBI lineage: Eukaryota > Metazoa > Chordata > Mammalia > Primates > Hominidae > Homo > Homo sapiens. The sequence continues at coordinate 60,118,549 of NC_000020.11, read as the reverse complement.
CACCTCTGCCCCACTGTGCAGAGGTTTCATGCATTTTAGTCTAAGTGCTCTGTCCTCCCTTAAGAACCAGGCTTGTGACCCAAACAAAGTTAGAAGGAGTCAGATCAGGGAAGAAAGAAAAACTAAAGGGCATCAGCTTATTTCCATTGGAAATGCCCAACAAACTCGCCCATCTGTTCTGTTCTTTGAAGGGGGCTGCCCTGGTTTCTCTCTGGCTCGAGAGCCTGATCCTACAGCATTCCTGTCCATTCCAGCCACCCAGCAGACTTTAGGCAAATTCATTTTTGCTTAAAATAGACAGAGCTCATTTCTATTGCTTGCTACCAAAGAACTCTAAATGATTCCGGGCTTAGAAAGGTCAGTAGGGACCTGCGGTAGGGGAACCAAGACCTCCATTCACCAACTGCCATCATTACCCACCTCTTTGTTTAAGCAGACCTGTTGTCTGGACCCTCTGCCACAGCTGCCATCAAAGGGAGCTGTGGGTGTCATTCTCTATGACCTCCCAGTGCCCATTGAAAGTATGAATTACTATCCCCATGTTAAAGACAAGGAAACTAAGAATCAGCAGGATTGAGGTCAGAGGACTAGTAAGTGGCACATAGATTTTGACCAAAGTCTGATCAATAGCAAAGCCCATTTACTTTCCACTCTGCCAAGACTCTTCAGCACTCAAAAGTAAACCAATTATTTTTTTCTTTTAAAACAGTTCACATCAATGTTTTAATTAACCATGCCTCACCTTTTGAATTAAAAACAGAGTCCTTTTTTGTTTTCTCCACAGAAATCGTATTTGGAATCTCAAACTATAAGAGATAGAAGACGAAAGGTGAGAAAAGGACAGAGCCCAGCTGCTCCCCCGACCTCTGCAAAGGGTCCACAAAACCCAGTGGTCTGACCTGCAGCACAAAAACCAGCACTCTGAGGAGCAATTTGGCTTTTCATTAATTCAAATAGGACCGCATACCCTGACCTCAATCTATTTCTAATCATGGTGTCTTAGGAAGCTTAGAGATCCAGCTAACTTCGTGGGGCCACTCACAGTATGTCTCTCCCGTGTCAGCTCAAATATTCAATTTCAAGCTCCTATCTGACCCGTGCTGCTTAACTGAGAGCCGTTCATCTTCTTCATGTTTAGGAAACTGCAAGCTCAGTATAAATGTGCCATCCTCTGGTGTCTCTTAAATTCTGTCTGGAAGAACGCCACGGGGAAAGGGTTTAGCATATCTCCTTCAGCATTTGGGAGCTCAGAATTCACAGGGAGATTAACACATATGCTGTAAGTCACGATGGGGAGAGCTATAAATAGAAGAGCCTCTTTCCACACAGTTGAGGATCTTCTGGTATAACCACAATACTTTATAACCCTGATCATCACACAAGGGGAAGCATGAAAATGACCGTGCTCTGAGAGAAGATATTTTATGCATGAACTGGTTTCATTTCTGGAATCTGTAAGCTTTTAAGAGGCAGGAGTCACGGCACATTCCACACTTCATCCACGTTACACCTAAAGGTTCATTGGGAGCACCTGTGAGCATACTTTGGGGTCATAAATCCCAAGGGTTTCTGGAAGGCTACTTCCAAACGCACTGGGCAATGTTTTTAAAGGATGTGCTTAAAAAAAAAAAATGAAGCTTCCAAGTTGCATTTCTTTCAATAGAAAACTGAAGCAGGTCATTGGGGCTCATTTCTTTCTTCCCCCAAATCTGCCCACATATTCAGTTGTTGTGTCTCCTGTCTCCTAAAAACACCAGGTGCTTTTGCTTTTCACTATTTTACCCCCGTCAGGCAGGGGTTGGAGGCTGGCCGGCCACGCCCCCCCCATTAGTCAGGGGTTGGAGACTGCCCGGCCACGCCCCCCACATCAGGCAGGGGTTGGAGGCTGGCTGGCCACGCACCCCACATCAGGCAGGGGTTGGAGGCTGGCCGGCCACGCACCCCACATCAGGCAGGGGTTGGAGGCTGGCAGGCCACCCCTCGCCAACTTTATCCAGTGATTTTATTTACAGCAGGTCTATCACTTTCAAGAACTCAACAAAACCATGACTCAAAAAGGAAAGAAGGAAATCAGGCAACCGCTTCTGAACGCCAAGGCCTTGCTTAGTAAGCTATCACTTAGATCAGGATTTCTCAGCCTCCGTCATGCCGAGATTCGGGGTTGGATCTTTCTCTGTGGCGGAGCTGCCCTGTGCATGTTACGTGTCAGCAGCATCCCACCTGCACCCGCTAGATGAATGCGCACACAGTAGTCTCAGCACTGCCCCCAGGTGTGACAACCAAAAATGTCTCCAGACACTGACCCATGGTGGCCCTCAGTGGAGAACCTCTGAGCCAGATGTTTATTTCACACCTATAGGACTGTAATGGAAGTCATCTAAGCTGAGTGCCAAGGCCTAATTTCCTAAGGACCCAAAACTATCCCACGAGGAAGCCTGATGGTCTCTGAGGTTTCTTCAGCTCTCACTTCTGTGGCTCACACCCAGAGCCCACAACAGAGACATGTCCAACCATTTCCCAGGCCTCCTTTTCAGAAAGTGCTGGATGCTTTTGAGTGCTAGAAGGGGAACCTGACAGAGAAAACAAAACCCGCAGGAGGTGGCTGCTGTCACGACCGCCCCCCGAAACCCGCTCCTCCAATTCCCTGCTTTCCTGTTGCTAAACGCAGAGTCAGCTGTCCAGCTAGAAATAAAAGGTTTATGTTGGGTTGCCACATAGATTCTTATGGCAATAACATTTGGAGCCTTTTACTGGGACATAAACTGTAAGCTAAAATGTCACCCGGTTTTATTAGACAATCTAAACGTAATTGCAAATAAGTTGATGTACTCATAAAAGATGATGTAAGACTGTCATCCCAGCAGCGGCATGGGGACTGGCCAGGAGCACAGGGCGATGGCAAAGTGCTGATCTGCCCTCTGCAACCAAAACCGTCCCCAGATTCCTGAAGTACAAAGAGGGAAGAGTTATGTTGGCAGGCAATGGCAGGAAGCAACATTATTACTTAATAATAATAACACAGGGAACAAGAGGTTAAAAGAGGTCAGTGCAAACCATGTCCCAAGACCATTTTCTCTGGAATAAAATTTTCATAACGAGCTCTAAGTCTTTTTTATGGGCAGGCAGAACGTCATTGGGAAATTAATGATGGATCTGAATGATAAATCTGCTTTCATATAGAAGCGTTGGTTTTTTGAAAATATGCTTTTATGCCTCAAAAGTTGTAAATGAGAACAAGACAAGGATATATCCAGAGGGATCATTATTCCAAGCTGGGCCAGCTGTCCCACCACCTGATTTCATCAAATTTATTCTAAATAAAAATATAGATCAACAAAAATCTACTTTTTTGTGCAAGAATGGGTAATTTACTTTTTTAAAAGATAAAATATGCTCAATATTGTGAAGACATCATGGTTTACATAGGAATCTTGTGTGTTTAACATACAGCTTCAGAAGATTCACCCAGGATAACAAACGTGAGAACAAATTTTTGTGAATTTCAAAATGCTCATCAGTTTACCATCTCAGGCCATTTTTCTTAATTATTAATTGGTCAGTTTGCAAAAGTCATGATATGACTTTCATGGGCTGCCAACAAAGCACACAAACCAGGTGGCTTAAATCAACTGGAATTTATTCTCTCTCACTTCCGAAGGCCAGAAATCTGAAATCGAGGTGTCTATGAGGCATCTTCTGTCTGGAGACTCTAGGGAGGGTCCTTCCTTGCCTCTTCCAGCTTCTGGTGGTTGCTGGAAATCCCTGGTATTACTTGGCCTTGTAAAATAACAACACAGAGAGAGACTTTCCAAAGAGTTGATTCGGGAATAGCAGAGGATTGCAATCCAGGATATGCATTCTCTGGTGAGCCATAAGCACATCCAAAGAGGTTGGGACTAGGAGAAGCTTTTAAAGACAAAAGGGAGAAGTCCACCTTAAGTTGTTTTGAAATGAAGACCATTGATCACAGGGGCTTATTCCGGGAGTTGGTGTTAGCTCATTGGTGGAAGCAGCCAGTGTTGGACAAGTTATGTGCATCCATAAGTGGCTTACCTGGAATCCTGTGTTTTTGAGGAGTTCCTTGCATAGTTCCTGTCATAGGCATACAAGCAGGGATGTCTTGTGATAAGTCAGGCATGTGGTGGGGGTGCTGCACCCCATTTTACTATGGTTGATGTAGCGACTCCATTTTTATATCAATGACTGGCAGCTATTCCTCTCCAGTCCTTCTTCTCATGGCCTTCTTCACATGGCCTTCTTCTCAGTCCATCTCTGCATCCAAATTTTCCTCTTCTTATAAGGACATTGGCCAATTAAGATCCACCCTAATCTAGTACAACCTCATCTTAACCAGTTATATCTGCAAAGACTCTATTTCCAAATAAGGTCACATTCTGAGGTTCTGAGTGGACATGGATTATAGGGGGGACACTGTTCGACCCAGTAGAGTGGTGAGGAGCCTATCAGTGCACATATGGTCTCAGCTTGCATTAATTTCTCTCAGCATCCTTCCCCATCTGCCATCCGGTCAGGCACACTTCCCTGTGCTGATGCTTCCTTGCCATGCACAGCTCCACCAGAGAATCAACCGGTTTCATGCAACTTCCTGCTGACTTCATCTCCAGCCTCATTTGTCATGAAACATGGGTTCCAGGAAAGCCCAGTACTGCTATGCACAGAGGCCGATACTGGGCAGGTGGGGGCAGAGGCATCTCTCCCAACCCGGAGGAGGTGCTCCCTGTTCTGCATTCAGAACACTCCTTAGGCACGGAAGTCATTGTCACTTGGTGCCATGTCCATAGGCTACTGAAAAGCATCACCCAAACACATCTGCACTTTAGGACCCACTATCAGAGTGACATAACTCACACTTCGAAGTCAGGCCGACCTGTGTCTAGTTGAGCAGTCTGGGTCTCAACTGGGTCAAGTGGGGATTAGACCATGTGAAAAATTTGCCAGCCAACCCTGGAGAGCCCCCACCTTCACTGTGTCTGCTTCTGCCTTTAATACTTTCTTCTCTGCACTGCGGTCTGGCCTGGGCTACCTGGCCCCCAGCACAGCCTCCTTGTTCCAGTGAGTAGCCATGCTTCTCCTGCTCCTTCTTGCCTGCTGAGCACCAGGTCACGTAGTTGACTGTGCCCTTGGCTCACTCTCTCTCCTTGCACTGGGTCTGAGGGCTTCTCTTCCTCTGCCCCATGCCTGTTCCTGGAGTTCCTTGGCGGTCTGTCCTCACTGTGCAGATGCTCCAGAGAGACTGAGCCTCCCCCACAGCTATCACCCGCTACACACAGGCACAGACTACCAGGGTATGAGCTCAGCTTGCACTCACTTCTCTCAGGAGCCCTCCCCATCTGCCACCCGGTTAGGCACACTTCCCTGTGCTGCTTCCTCACCACGCACGGCCCCACCAGAGAATCAACCTGCTTCGTGCAACTTCCCCTGACTTCATTTCCAGCCCCAATAGATGGCAACCATTTTAAGGACAAGTGTGGTTCTTGTCCTAGCACAGTGCCTGGTGCACAGCGGGGACTCCAAGTGTCTGCTGCATATCATCCACTCGTTCATTCACTTATTTATTCAAAAAATATTTAGAGAGCCTCTACCAGGAAACAGGCACTGTATGAAGCACTAGGAATTCAAATGAACAAAACAACTACCCACACCATCCCCTGGCTCCACTGGCATTACATTCAAGGAGGGGAGATGGACAATTAATAAAAAAAACATAAAAATACATCACGTGGTGTCAAGAGTTGTGAAGCAAGCACCAGCCAGGGAGGGGAGATGACAGGAGAGGGGGCCCTGCTGGACGCCATGATGAGAGGAGGTGAGCAGGCTGCACTCTGGCATCAGCTGGGGAGGGAGCAGTGTGTGGTTATTTGGGGACGGGCACTCCAGGTGGAGGGAAAGGCCACTGTGCTGCTGCTGATGCTGCCGGAGCGAGGCTGAGATCAAGAGATGGGGTCAACACAGGTCAGCAAGGGAAAGGACAGCCCATTTCTGCAACGCCCACCTGCGGCCACGATCTGGGCCTTTGCCTTCCAACCTACCCAGCCCAGCTGTTAAATGAAGAGTCTGAAGCCCAGCTTTTAGCAATGAAGCTTTGACCATTCAAATGAGCCAGATCCTAAGGGTAGGAGTGGGTGGGGAGGCTGGGTCCAAGGCCTCAGCTGCAGCCCACCCGGATCTCCAAAACCACAGCAGTTCCAGGTTTGAAGTCAGCCAAGAACTCATCGAAATCTGCAAGCAGAGAAGAGGGGACCCTGAGAAGGAATTTCAAACTCCACAAAGCAGATTAAAGCCAAAGTGACTCTGTGGCCCATGGCGTGTGTTCTACATTCACAAGAAGGAAAATTCAGGAAATGGAGCAAGAAGAGTGGAAAAGCTCCTCGCTGCCCAGCCTCAAGATGCAATAAATTGCTTATTTAAAATGCCTGTTTTCAGGCAGGTAAGGGGTTTTTGTCCTACAACTGTCATCAGTATAAATTAGTGGCTTCTCTCAACAGGGCTTATTTACTTAGCAAGTAAATTGGGTTAGATCATTGCTAAATTTTGCCATTTGGCACATATGATATTTATGCACTTAATAGCTTCATTAAGGAGGTTTCTGGGAGTCTATTACTGAGCAAGTCTATAGATCACTGGGCAATAAATTCAGAGAACGTTCCTTAGCATTCATCTAATTTGGCCATAGTTTTAATTAAGTGTTTCAGCTAATGATTTCCATTTATGTTTAATAAAATTTATTGCATAAAAATAAGTTATCAGACCCCAATTTAATTCAAGTTCTTCTAGCTGATGTGGCTGCCCCCAGCAGGGTGCAGTGTGTGTTAATGGGTGGCCATTTCCATTTGGAGGTTTCCACTGGGCTCTGAGTCACTAGTCAAGGACACGCAAAAAGGGTCCAGCTTCCTAGGATTACCTTAAAAATCATTTGCATGGAAAAAACAATGTCATAAAGTGACCCTTGACTGGGTGATACACACACAGAACGAGATCAACTGTAGGCAGCTACAAACAAAGGTTGTTTTTGGAAATGGTTCCAAAAATGCAGGTATGCATCCCAAATGCCACAGAGCTTGCCTCGGATTATCTGGCACTGTCTTCTTACTCTAAAAGCAAGCAATCCATCTCCTGACAGCGCCCACTCTTCAAGTGCATGGGCCCATTAAAGACAATTGTGCATTGCTCACTCCATGTGCAGACCTCACGGGCCCTGCTCTATGCACACTTCCTCTCTCAGAACCAGACCTCTGGGGCCTCAGGCTGCCCGGTGCTCATGACCGACAGCCATAGCCAGGTTCCTATCACACACCCCTACCAGCCCATCCCCGGGACTGCTCAAGATCGTCAAGGTCATGCCCCCTCCCCAGGGCAACCCACATCCAATGACTGACACATGTGGGGGTGCAGGCACCCTACCCTGTGGCCCCAGCTCAGAACAGCTCCGGGCAGCCGTCCCTGCTCCACGACACAACCCCAACCCTGGGGGCAGCTGAGGCCTTCCTTCGCCCAACCTCACTGCCTCCACTTCCCTGGCAGTGTGACCCTGAGAACAGCCCCATAAACCCTGTCACAGTCGGCCTCACAGGGATGCCCTCTGGCCTCTACCCCTCCTCAGCACCCTCACTGAGGCAGAGGGTGGTACCTTGCCCCCACGGGCACACACAAGGCTGTTCATCACAGCACTTCTTGTGAAAACCATAAATCAACCTAGAGACCCATCGAGGCTGTATAAAATGAGCAATATTTCCACAGCACAAACTCTCCTGCAGGTCTGCACGGAATTACCGGAAAATTCACAAAGCTATGTTGAAGGGGGGAAAGAGAGGGCCAACGATGAGGCCTTTTAGGTCAAAACAAAACCACTTGATAGATATTCTGTGGGAATCTAGCTAGCTAGCTATATCTATAATACAAACACATGGAAACATTCCGGAAGGAGACAAAGAACTGATGGAGATGGTCACCTCAGAAGGGGTGAGGCCTGAGAAGGGATCACAGAGAACAGGAGCGGGGAGACGTTTGATCCAAAAGGACTTTGCCTTTATCTGGAATGCTTCCATTTCCTTTTTTTTTTTTTTTTTACAAAAGAGTGTATTCATGTATTGATAACTAAATTAAATGTTAATCACTTTTTTGGAATGTGAGCCATAATATACTTAGGTTGGTGCAAAAGTAATTGTGGTTGTTGTCATTGAACATAATGGCCAAAACCGTAATTACTTTGGCACCAACCTCATAATTTTCTCCAAAATGTATGGATCGGATCATTTATGAGGATGAAAAGGAAAGAAGCACGTCAGAAATACTTAGATGTCATTAAGTGTCTGCTGTGTTCCTCAATTAGACGAAAATAATTGGGTTACTTGTAAAAAAGAAAGCAAACTATGAAAATATGTCTAATCCATGACACCAAGCTGTTACCAATTTACAAAAATCTTCAAAGAGCATTTCCCAAAACCTTGGGATTTTCTTATTGGAAATTCTCCATGACACTGGTGGTTGTTAAGAGATGAATCAAGTTGAGACTCATCAATGCAGTTTCCTGATTCTTGAAGCTGGGTTCTTTTCTTTTACAGTCATACGTCCCCTAACGACTGGGATACCTTCTGAGAAATGCATCCTTAGGCCGTTTCCTCCTGTGGGAGCCTCATAGAGAGAACTGAACGAACCTGGAGGTTACAGCCTGCTACGCACCTGAGCTATGTGGGCAGCCCCTTGCTCCTGGGCTGTAAACCTGCACAGCCTGTGACTATACTGAGTGCTGTACAGCAGGACTGTACTGAGTACTGTAAGCAACTGTAACACAACAGTATTTGTGTATCTAAACATAGAAAAGGTACAGTAAACATATGGTATAAAAGATAGAAAATGGCCCACCTGTATAGGGCACTTACTATGAACGGAGCTTGCAGGACTGGAAGTTGCTCTGGGTGAGTCAGTGAGTGAGTGGTGAGTGAATGTGAAAGCCCAGGACATCACTGTTCACTGTGTATACTCTATAAACACTGTACACCTAGGTTTTACTGAATCCATTTAAATTCATTTTTCTTTCTTCAGGCCAGGCACAGTGGCTCACACCTGTAATCCCAGCACTTTGGGAGGCAGAGGTAGGCAGATCACTTGAGTTTAGGAATTTGAGACCAGCCTGGCCAACATAGTGAAACCCCATCTCTAATAAAACTACAAAAATCAGCCAGGTGTGGTGTCACACTCCTGTAATCCCAGCTACTTGGGAAGCTGAGGCACGAGAATTGCTTGAACCCAGGAGGCAGAGGTTGCAGTGAGCCAAGATTGTGCCACTGCACTCCAGCCTGGGCAACAGAGACTCTCTTTCAAAAAAAGAAAAAATTTTTTCTTCAATAAAAAATTAACATTAGCTTACTGTAAATGTTTTACTTTATAAACTTTTTATTTTTTTAACTTTTTGTAATAACACCTTAAAACACATTTTAACTGTATAAAAATAATTTCTTTACATCCTTATTCTATAAGCTTTCTTCTGTAAAAGACAAGGTTGGTTTTGTTTTCGCTCTTAGTTCGTTAAAAACTAAGGCACAAACACACATATTAGCCTAGGCCTGCACAGGGTCAGGATCATCAATGTCACCGCCTTCCACCCCACACCTTGTCCCACTGGACGGTCATCAGAGGCTAAACAGGCTTGGAGCTGTCATCTCCCATGGGAACAATGCCTTCTTCTAGAAATCCTCCCCAAAATACCTGCCTGAGGCTGTTTTACAGTTAAATTGTTTTTTTTTTAGTAAGTAGAAGGAATACACTCTAAATTAATGATTAAAACTATAGTATAGTAAACATATAAACCAGTAACACAGTCATTTATTATCTAGTATTACGTACTATACACAATTGTATGTGCTAGACTTTTCTCCAACTGGCAGTGCAGTAGGTTTAAACCAGCTCACCACAAACACGTGAGGAATGTGCTGTGCTATGATGTTACGGCAGCTTCCATGTCACTAGGCGATAGACATTTTTCAGCTCCATTATAATCCTATGGGACAACTGTGGTATACAGGGTCTGTCAATGACTCAAACATCACTGTGCAGCACTTGACTGTAATTCATGGTCACTTTTTAATACCGATACAATTGAGGCAACTTATGTTGAAGAATATCACCATGTCCATAAACTTGGTGCAAGGTTGGGATTTTCATAGCATAAGTGAGGCAGACATCATAAATCAGAGAAGAGCACAGCCGAAACATCCTTGGAGGCCACCTCACCCAACCCTGCCATTTAATGTAGAGGGAAAAGAACTAAAAGGACTAGAGAGGGCAAGTGACAAAACCACTCAAGGAGAAACTCCATCTGAATCATGTTAGCACAGACCATTGCAGAGGACATTCACATTTTCCCAGCTCAGCTATCTTCCCCTTTTTCTAGAAACAGCCCCATTGTCATCTAGCAACTAGGCTGTGCGATTTGTGGGTCCTGGTGCAAAATGAAAATGTGGGGCCCCTTGTTCAACAACTATTAAGAATTTGTAAGATGGTGACAGCAGAAAATTAAACTAAGAACAGGGCCCTTCTGAGAACAGGGACCCCATGCAGCCACCCAGGCCACACACTCAAGAAGTCGGGCCAGTCTCCCCATCTCCTCCACAAGGTGTGGACAAAGGCGACATCCATCCCTAAATGCAAGATCATGTGACCCTGAGCTCACCCAACCCCTACGTTGCAATTCGCAGCCATATTGATTGGTTCAATGGTGAGCATGTGACCCAAAGACGTCCAATCAGAGTGACTCCCAGGGCTTGCGCCAGGAATGCTGGGAAGCTGTATTCTCCTCATGTGGACCTTGGAGCCTGTGGCCCAGCTTCTGCTGGCAGCCTTCCTGTGACCGTGAGGAAAGAACTTGCCTGGAAGGAAGACACACACAGCACGCAGAAGAGCTAAGCAGGGAGCCAGAGAGAACCAGGCTCTGATCGCATCCTTTATGCCCTTATAACAAACTTCCCCATTATGTGATCCAATACAATTTTGTTTGTTTAAACTGGTTTGATTTAGATTTTCTGCCACTTCCACTGAAAAGCATCCTCCCTGGTAGAAGTTTCCACAGATCATTAAAAGTGTACATTTTGCCCAAGTTTGTGTGGATGGCAGTTTGGCGATGTCAATTAATACTTAAAATGTTTGTGCCATTTGCCCATGAATTATATTTCCAGGAAGAAATTTACCCTGCAGAATCCCTCACTCAATTATGCGAAAACTTTTTTAATGGTCTTTGCAGCATGGTTTATAATAATGAAAAATTGGAAACAACCATATCTCCATCAACAGAGGACTGGTTAAGTAAACAATGGTCATTTCATTGTCCTGAGTAACAGAGAAAACTTAAAAAGAATGAGGTTGGTAAGTACTCCCATAGGAAGGAACCCATGATTCGTTGATAAGTTTAAAAAGCAAGCTGTACAAGAATGTTATAGTTTGATCTCATTTTGTAAAATACGTTAACAACCTGCTGCTAGCATAGATCTATGGTGAAAATGTTGCTGGAGGATTGCGGGGATTATTGGAGGGGCTTTCAGTTTTACAGGATACATAAAAATTCAAATGCTGCAGAACTCGAATAAGGATGTGTTGGTTTTACACTGGAAAGGAAAGGTATTTTAAATTCCAAAATGCACAATTTGTCTTGAGGTATTTGGCCATAAGTAACTCCGTGACACCAGCATTAAATAAAACACGATGAGACTCATCCCTGCTGCTGCCAGTGGTTCCTGAAGGTTTGAGAATGTGCGCGATGGCCATTCCAGGCACCCTGGGTTCCCTGTCGCCAATGATGTTAACAGGCTCAGAGTGGTTGATTTTCTGCCTCAGGTCCCCTGGTGAGCGGGGGTATCACTTTTCCTGTCCATTTTCATATGATCACCGTAACATGTCTTTTTTTTTTTTTTTTTTTTTTGAGATGGAGTCTCCCTTTGTCGCCCAGGCTGGAGTGCAGTGGCACGATCTCAGCTCACTGCAACCTCCACTTCGTGGGTTCAAGCAATTCTGCCTCAGCCTCCTGAGTAGCTGGGATTACAGATGTGCCACCACACCCAGCTAATTTTCGTATTTTTAGTAGAGACAGGGTTTCACAACGTTAGCCAGGCTGGTCTCAAACTCCTGACCGAAAGTGATCCGCCCACCTCGGCCTCCCACAGTGCTGGGATTACAGGCGTGAGCCACTATGCCCAGCCTCATAACATGTCTTGAGTGTTCCCTTTAACTGAAAGTTGAATGTTTAAAAGACATGGTGAGTTGGCTAAGCACAGTGTCTCAGGCTTGTAGTCCCAAAACTGTGGGAGAGCAAGGCAGGAGGACTGCTAGAAGCCAGGAGTTTAACACTACCTTGGACAACATACTGAGACACTGTTTCTACAAAAAAATTAAAAATCACCCAAGGGTACTGGCATGCAGCTGTAGACCCAACTACTTGAGAGGCTGAGGTGGGAGGATCACTTGAATCTAGGAGGTTGAGGTTACAGCCAGTTATGATTATGCCACTGTACTCCAGCCTGGGCAACAGAGCAAGACTCTCTCAAAAAAAAAAATGACATTGTGGGTAGCTCCTACATTACTGAGATCTCAAGCCATCATTTCTCAGTGATGAAATAAATGTTTATTGAGCAGCTATTATGTGCCAAGCACTGAGGAAGCAGCACTGGCAGGTTTAGCCCCATGGCTCTGTCTTCCTGGAGCCCTGTAGGGAAGACAGATATGAGGAGTGGTGGAGAGAAAGATGCAGAGGGTTGTGGCCATGTGTCGGAGGCTAAATGCAGCTTCTGAAACGAGGCTTCTGAAAAGAGAGCAGTTTCCGAAGAAGCCTTAGATGAAGTGAGAGTCATCAAAGATAGACATGCATGAAGGCCCTGGGCAAGGAAGGCAACAAAAGGAAATCCAGTCTGTCTGGAACACAGAGAGTTAGGGAGAGAGACATGAGTGTGGAGGAGGAGGCACCTTCGGTTGGGCTTTACAAACCATGTTTAAAATGATGTCATTTCTCTTACACAGGAGGCCGAGGCAAGGAAACCACTTGAACCCAGGAGGTGGAAGTTGCAGTGAGCAGAGATCACCCCACTGCACTCCAGCCTGGGCGACAGAGAGAGACTTCATCACCAAAAAAAAAAAAAAAAAAAAAAGTTGTCATTTCTCTTGAGGAAAACTTAAAGTCCCAGGGAGTTTTAAGCCCCAAGGAGCTTGTGATCACGTTTGCACAACAAAGGAAATCGTCTGTTGTGCAAATGTTGCCGGTGAGTGGTAGAGATCTTGAAAAATCCCCAGGCAGAGGGTAGAGGCTGCAGTGGCATTCTGGAGGTGGGAGTGGGTAAAGCAATCAGAGTCCTTCAGGGCCAGAGGGAGAATCAGCCTGGCTGAGCTGGGGCCTGGTTTGGGCTGGTGAGGAGTCTGGCATGGAGAGCCCATCTGACATGGTTTGGATTGTGAGTCCTTTCCAAATCTCATGTTGAAATGTGATCCCCAGTGTTGGCGGTGGGGCCTGGTGGGAGGTGTTTGGGTCATGAAAGCAGCTCCCTCATGAATGGCTTGGTGACCTCCCCCACGGTAATGAATGAATTCTCACTGTTAGTTCGCGTGAGTGAGAGCTGTTTGTTTCAGGGAGCCTGGCACCTCCTTCTCTCTCTCCTGCTCTCCCTCTCACATGGGACACACCTGCTCCCCTTTTCCTTTCACCATGATTGTAAACTTTCTGAGGCCTCACCAGAAGCAAATGTCAGTGGCATGCTTCCTGTACGGCCTGCAGAACTGTGAGCCAAATAAACCTCTTCTCTTTATAAATTACCCCGCCTCAGGTTCGCCTTTATAGCAGTGAAAACCAGACTAACACAGCATCTCAGCCCAGCTCCCCCTTCAGTGCCATACTCCAAGGCGGACCATGTGTCATCATGCCCTCACCACTTCCCAGCTGTTTGCTGTGCACTAAGGACCACACCAAGCCCTTCCTGTCACTTCCACAAGTGCTCACAACACCCAGCACTGTGTGGTTCTCATCTGAGGTGTGACAAGCTGGACATGGTGCCCAAAGTGACCCCACCAGTGAGGGGCAGCAGGACAGACTGGATGCAGGACCTGCTACAGAACTTGCCATCCCAGAGCAGAATGAAAATGTGGGTCCTTGTTGAAAAGGTGCTGAGCATCTCAGGTCAGAACTGCAGAGAATTCAGTGGAGTGCAGGGCCCTTCTGAGCGCAGGGCTGTGCAACCCACCCGGACTAGACCAATGTGTCCAGCTCCCGGTTCAGGGTCAGTGCTGACCATGGGTGGATTCTGCAACCATATGGGTTACTTGATGAGCACTAACTCACACCGGCTGTCAGACAGAGGAATGGGGAGAGTACAACGTGCCTGCTACGGTGGCTCACACACATTTTTTCCCAGCGTATTAATGGTTTGAAGCAATCGGGGGTAAGCTTTCTGCTACTTGAAAAGCAAACCTTAGTGATTTAGAAAATGCTTTCAATCCATCGAAATACCTTCCTTGAATGCAAGTAGTGGCTGGTTTAGCGGCTTGAAGAGCCACTCCACTCTGCTAGTTAAGCCACCTGCAGCATCTGTGAGTGAACATGAAGAGGCCACAGCTTGTTTCTCCCTGCTTTAAAACAATGATGAGTACATGAAGGCACACCGTGGATGCAATTTGCTTTTCATTTTCATTTTTCAAATGATCTCTATGCAAAGTGAATACGCTCCAGGACCTACAACTTCAAGAAGGAAGCCCAGGCTGCATGTTTTATGGTTGGAAAGAATGATGCTACTACCCCGGAGGCCTCCCCACCTCCTCAAGCTGGGTCCCAGCTCCCTTTCTATGCCCCCCAGCTGGCCCCTGCTTCTCCTGGGACAGGCTTTTAAACCTCTTTACGCCTCTGCTTCCTCATGAGAAAATCAGAAGGACACTCGCCCCTACTCCACAGAATTCCAGGGCGATGAGTACCTGGTGCCGGGCCTACTCTAGGCTCTCAGTATGTGTCCAAGTTCCTCACTGGGGGTCCCATGTGTGCAGTGATTTATATAATGGCCCTCCTCTGAGCTCTGCCCTAGCAGAAACCCACCACATGTGCCACTGCGTTCTTGAAATGGGACTTATCCCAACTGAGATCGACTTTAAGTGTAAAATCCACATCAGATTTCTAAGAGTTTACAAAAAAAGCAAAATAACTCATTTATATTCTTATATTGATGATATGTTGAAATGATAATATTTTGGACATATCGGGTTACATAAATATTAATGAAACTAGCATTACTGGTTTCATTCTATTTTTTTTAATGTGGCTACTAGAAAACATCAACTTAGGCACATAACTCATTTTATATTTCTTTTGGACAGGGGAGGTGTAGACCAGGGGCCAGCAAACTTTTTCTGTAAAGGACCAGAGAGTAATTGTTTCTGGCTTTGTGGGCCAGATGATCGCTGTCAGACCTGCTAAACTCTGCCACTGCAGCCTGAAAGCTGCCACAGAGACTATATAAGCAAGTGGGTGTGGCCGTGTGCCAATAAAACTTTATTTACAGTATCAGGCAGTGGGCCAGATTTGGCCTGCAAGCTGGAGTTTGCACTGTGAGCCCCATGAGGGCAGCAGGGACTCGCTTCCTCACCGCTCTCCTCTCTGCACCTCACAGAGGACCCAGCACAGAGTAAGTGTTCTGTAAATATCTGATGACTCAGCAGATGAAGTTTGTCTAAATCTGGTAAAAAGTATTATTGTTTAATTGAGAAAGGGATAGACTCTGTATTAAAAGGATAAATGTTGCCCTGTGTGACAGCAAATATATGATTTACAGGGTCAGAAATGTACATCCCTGCCCTTAGCTCACTGAGCCATGACTCCAGCAGACAGAGTAATGCAATGTGGGGAGGACAGGCCACTGTGTGCAGGCTGTGTCCACCTGTGCTTGTCAGGGGCCACCTTTCCCTTCTCAGCAGGGTCCTTGCAACCTGAGAGTGGTGTGGGATGCTTCTGTCTCCCAAGCGCCCTCTCTGAGGGCCCCTGCATGGCAGCACACATAGGAGAGATGCTGTTTCTCTCCCCTACCTGCTCTCCTCCACACAGCGTGTCCTACAGCCAGGGCCTCAGGCCAGCTTCAGGCCTGTAGCCTGCTACCCTGAAGGTCTCCAGGGGAGAAAAGACTGACAGTCCAGCCTGATTCTCTCCTCTCATCCCTGCTTGTCCTCTCTCTCCTCCTTGGAAGGGCAGGACACACAGATATACACACACAGACAGAGGGAAAACTGCAGCTATTTAGCTCCGTTTTATCTGCTTCCTCTCAACAAGCAACTCTTCACCATCTCCACCATCTCACTTTCTCCCCTACTGACCCTTCAAGCAGGGCTCACAGGAGCCCCCCAGGCTTCTGCTTTCTCACCACCGCCTTCACATGCCCTCCCACTTGCTCACCAGGCCACCAGGCTCAGTTCTATGGGCACCGTGCCCAAAGGACCTGGCCACACAACAGCTGCATTCCGTGGGGCTGATGCCCCGTGCGGTTATGTTAGGAGCTGGACTCCTATCCAACCTCCCCTGAGGGAGAGGATGCACACCTCTGCATTTCTCAACGAGGTCCCAGGCCCCCTCTAGCATCTGCCACCGATAAGCCCTCGGTAAATGCCTGCTTGTTTCCATCCTAATAATGAGGAACAATCATAAGTATCAGAGCGGCCATTCCCCAGAGCTTATTCGGGGCTGGGCACTGAACTGAGCCCCCCACAGGCAACACCTCACTTACCTCTCACCGAGGAGGGAGGCGGAGTTTGCATCTGTCTTTGGAGGTGAGTGGCCTGAGACGCGGAGGTGAAGTGGCTTCTCCAGGGCCTGCTTGTAGGAGCCGGCGGTGCTGGAATGGAAACTCAGTCTGACTGACTCACAAGCCCCAGTTCTTACTTTGTTTGTAGAACTGTGAGTGTCCATGCCCACTCTCACTCTTGCAAGTTCAAGATCACCGAAATGAGTGTTTCCTGAATGCCTGAGCTTCCCGTTGAAGAAGTCCTGTGCCCACTGGCACAGATCACCATGGCTGTTCAAGACCCATTCCCATTCTCTGTGGACAGGGCTTTACTCCTCCCGGCTCTCCCCTGGACTCTGCTATCTGAATCATTCTGCTCCCCTCCCCCTGCCATACATGTGCCACAAAAACCACTGCTAATTCCAAGAGTTTACTTTCAAAAGAATTTCATTTGAGTTTACAAGAAGGTAACAGAAGCCCTTTGATCTCAACAAGGCACGTCCTGTTTCATTCCACGGTTTATGAAACAATTTTAGACTAATTATTTTTGACAACTTGCAAATGTTTGTAAACTTCTTCAAGAAGGAAATGGCACAATTATGTCTTCCTCTGACATACAGAGAAGGAAGTTTCCTTTGTGCTGAATGGCTGACGTCTGTTCCCCCAGGAGAATTTGGAAGCCTTGATCTTCTGAGGTGCTCTGGTTTCTGCTGAGATACAGAATGAATCAAATTGTCCTCTGAGCCGGTGTGAGTTAAATTTAACGAAGCAGGTGAAAAGCCACTGTGGTCAGAACTGTTCACTGTGGTGACATCCTTTGTCACATGGGCGTGATGGTCACGGTCAGATGCCAGCCCTCTCCCAGCATCTGTGCTGTTTACCTGTGTCTGTGCCCATAGCTGTATAGCTGCTGATAAACAAGCCTTGCCACTAAAAAGAACCTGGGTTCTTCATCTGCTTCAGCATTAAAGAAAATCATCTCAAATCATGGCTATTTGCAATGTGCCTGAGCAAGTCTGGGAGCTTGAAGAAACCCCCAGATCCTGGAAATGATAAATTAAAAACCACAGAATTGCAGCGAAGCAAAGTGAGGCCCCTGGGTTCAATACTACAGAGAAGTAGATTTGGGGTGGTCCCTCCACAGCCCAACTCACATTCTAATGCCCTTTTGATTATTGACCGTTGTTAATTCAAGTATATGCACAGCAAGCAGGTAGAAATATTGCCAAGCCAACCAATTCTTAATCCCTAGCTAATTCCTGGTCAACTAACTATATCCTTCCTTTATTAAAAAGAAAAGAAAAGAAAAGAAAAGAAAAGAAAAGAAAAGAAAAAGGCATTCCAAATCTTTTGTTGAAAACAAATTGCCAACTGAAGAAAAGAACTTTTTCTTCCCTTGAGACCAATGAGCTGAATTTTACACTCTGGCCCAATAAAAGGAATCACTCTCTGCTTCTCTCAAATATTTTTCCAGGGCACCAACAAAGTTCTCATTATTTTCAACATAAATCTGTTTTGTAATTTTTGGATGAAAAGTTCCTTTTCACTGCTGCGACTATAAGAAGAAATTCTCAATACTCACCATTAGGAGACAGTCACAAAAGCAGAAGCTTCGTCAAGCTGGTCCCTTTCTAGAAAGGTAATAAAGACAAACTTCAGATTTTTAATTTTTAAAATGGGACCAGTAGAAGTAGAAATGACGGGCAGGTATTTCTAGCATCACCCACTGAGGGTGCTTCCACCTAGGGAGAAACAGCGAGTGTCTCAGGGCGGGCTGATCTTTAGAAGGGAGGAAGCCCACTCACACTGGCCCAAGAAGGGGCTTAATATCAGGAATGTCAAGGAATTGAAGAAGACAAAGCAGCCGGCCTCCAGCAAGACAAGCAGGAAACAGAAGTCCCCTGGAGACGTGGCCAGCCCCACCTGAGCACCTGGGACCCTTCACACCCATTAAGGGGTGCAAGATGCAGCACCCAAAGCCCAACCCCAGCCCTGCCCTCATGCACCAATTTGGGGGCAAATGAGGGCATCTGTCATCTCTCCCAGAGTATAGACATACATGTCCCTCCTTTCCACTTCTACTGGTCCATTTAAAAATTAAACATCTGGGTCAAATGGTATTTCTAGTTCTAGATCCCTGAGGAATATACCCAAAGGACTATAAATCATGCTGCTATAAAGACACATGCACACATATGTTTATTGCGGCATTATTCACAATAGCAAAGACTTGGAACCAACCCAAATGTCCAACAATGATAGACTGGATTAAGAAAATGTGGCACATATACACCATGGAATACTATGCAGCCATAAAAAATGATGAGTTCATGTCCTTTGTAGGGACATGGATGAAATTGGAAATCATCATTCTCAGTAAACTATCGCAAGAACAAAAAACCAAACACTGCATGTTCTCACTCATAGGTGGGAATTGAACAATGAGAACACATGGACACAGGAAGGGGAACATCACACTCTGGGGACTGTTGTGGGGTGGCGGGAGCGGGGAGGGATAGCATTGGGAGATATACCTAATGCTAGATGACGAGTTAGTGGGTGCAGCGCACCAGCATGGCACATGTATACATATGTAACTAACCTGCACATTGTGCACATGTACCCTAAAACTTAAAGTATAAAACTAAATAAATAAATAAATAAAAATTAAACATCTGAAGTTTGTCTTTGTTACAGATGTAAACATCTGAAGTTTGTTTCTAGAAAGATACCAGCTTGGCCAAGTTTCTGCTTTTGTGATTGGCTCACAATGGTGAGTTAGTTGCATGCCAGCATCACAGCTTTGACCCATCCCCTGCACAGCACTGCACAGATCACCTGCACCATCGTTGACTCATTTCTTTTCTGTCGATCTACAAATAATAAGACCATTTAACAATTAAAAAACTATGACTTCCTTAGGGAGGGCAATTTGACAATGTCTGCCAAAATTAGAAGTTAATGTTCTCTTTTACTTAGCAACGCCACTTCCCAGATATGCTCCTATGCATGTGGGTCGATGTAAGTACAAGCTATTCCCAGCTACTCTGTTTACAGCATCAAAGACCACAGCACCTTAAGTGTCCATTAGTAGGGGATGGTTGAATGAACTGTGGTACATCCAGAAAATGGAATTCTATACAGCAGAAAAAAAGAATGAGGAAATATACAGATAGGGAATGATCACCAGGGTATACTGTTATGCCAAAAAGATACAGAACAGTTCATAAAGTATGCTACCATTTGTGTAGAAAACTGTTGAGGGAGAACATATATTTATAACAGGTTGTATTTGCATAAACTCTTTGGAAGGATGAACAGAAGTCAGTGGTAACACAGTGTGGGTAGGAGCTGGGTGGCAGGAGACAGATGGCAGGCAGAGTTTTCAATACAAACCTTTTGATTTACATTGATTTTTGAGCTGAGTGAGTGTCCTATCTGGCCAAAAATAAACAAAGCAATTATATATTTAAAGGAAGTTAATTTTCAAATCAAAGAACATGAAAACTATATATCACTCCTATACACGGAAAACTTATACCACTTCCCTTAACTGGTGCATAACCTTAAAAATAGATGAAACAAAGATTAGCTATCCAATCATGAAAAGACAGTGGAGAAGACAGAAACTCACATTGCTAAGTGAAAGAAGCCAATCTGAAGAGGCTTTGTATTGTGTGATTCCAACTGTATGACATTTTGAAAAAGGCAAAATTATGGGGACAATAAAAAGACCAGTGATTGCCAGGGACTACAGGGATGGAAGGATGAATGGCAGAGCCCAGAGGATTTTTAGGTCAGTGAGAGTGTTCTGTAGGATCTTGTAATGGGGGATATATGTGATTTTGCATTTGTCCAAACCCATAGAATGTATGACACCAAGGGTGAGCCCTAATGCAAACTATATGTCATCCATCTGTCAATGTCAGGTCATCAATTACAACAAATGTACCACCCTAGGGGGAATCTTGATAATGGAGGAGGTTGTGTGTAGGTGGGGGCAGGAGGTAAATGAGAAATCTTTGCACTTCCCACCTAATTTTACTGTGTACCTAAAACTACTCTAAAAATTAAAGTATATTTTTTAAATGGATGGAACACCACTATACAGTGTTAGTAACCTTTTAGCAGAGTCACCTGCAGAAGCTCCCATGCTGAGGCCCACTCTGTTTGCATTAGGAAAGGGTGTCAAAGAGAAGCTCAAGACAACTAGCACCAGCAGAGACTTCCTATGTCGTCTTCAAAGGCCAAGCAAGAGCTGAAATGCGTGGTTTTCTCACCCTGTGATTCAATGTCATTTTATGCCATGACACCACACTTCAGGAAACATAGGCAATCAATGCTGCTAGTTCCTTTTTCTTCTCCTCTCCCCAGAGGTCAAGTTGCCTTAATGAATTGCAGTACTGACTTGCTCCTTGTGGCTTCTTGTCTTTGATGAACGCTGTAGCAGTTGGACATGGCTCTTGAGCTGGGTAACAAGCAGCTCCGTAAATGCCCAGCAATCTATTAAGTGTGTCACGGTCTGCTCTTCACTCTGCACCTCTCCAAGGTGAACAGAAGAGGTGTCAGCTCCAGTTTGTGATGGTGTGTCAAAGCTGTGACAGGTAAATAATTCTTATTTTATCTTATTTTTTGCAGATGTTAACAGGCCATGTAATCAGATGCATCAATCTGATTTTCACAGACAGCAGCCCCTGAGCCAGTCCAAGCCTCAGTCCTGGGGCTGACGATGACCAGGAGCACGGGCTGAACAAGGGAACAGAGCCCCAGAGCTCTCTGGAGCCAGAAATTATGTTTTAGTTGTGGAGATCACAGAGCACTTCAGAGAGATTCCTGCGTGGGGAGCCATCTTGGACACTGACTGCCGAGGGCTTTCTGGCAGGTGACAGCATAGGACATTTGACGAGGACATTCTTACCTCCTTTGTCATTTACCTTGTTATTCTTGATGAGCAGCTGAGTGAGCATAGACTTGGAGCTGCCCATCTTACAAATGGAATATTAAACAGAGGCACTACAGCAAGGCTGCCTGGCAAAGGGACACGTGCGTGAAAAAAAAAAAACAGTGGAAGGTTGAATTATTTCTGGAATTTGATCTGCTAATTCATCAGCAGCTTAGGGAAGGCAAGGTATAACCAGAGTGCTTTGATTCTCTGTGATTGTTCCGGGCTTTGTCCCTCTCTGTGCATCTCTCTAACCCACAGGCTGGCCTCTGCGTGGAACAAGAGTGGTTGCAGGATCCAAAACCATGGGAATGCAGCACACCATCTGGAAGGAGACAGAGCTTTTCTTTCCCAGCTGCTTACCAAAGACGTGGGTGTCACTCAGATTGGACCGACTGGAGGCATCTTTCCACCCCTGAACAAGGACTACAGCCTTAGGCTTATGAAAGCTTCTCCTGGCATTGTAGATGCCACAATTCCAAGCCCCCTCCCCCACACGCACACGTGGGCACGCACACACACACACACACACACACACACACACACTTCACCGTGGGGAAGGGAGCAACAGCATTCGCATGGGAATTACATTTCATTATAATTGAGGTTTTATTTTAATCACCATCATTATCAGCAGCAGCTCACATCCACCCGGAGCGTCTATGCCGGCATTTTACTAGGAGCTTAGCATGGATTCCCTCACTTCACCCTCCCATCAACCGGAGAAATGATTTGCTCAAGGTCCTGTGGCCCATACATGGCTGAGCTGCAATGGGAGTCCAGGTCCCAACTCCAGTGCCTGTTTCTCTGACTGCGGAGCTATGGCTACAGCCATGCAGAGCACGAGAGAGTCTCCACGTAGGTCAGTAGGTACATGTGACTTGGAGTGGCTCATAACAAAAACTCAACTCAAATCAGTTTCAGAGAATAAGATGGGAATGCAAGGGACTCACTGGCTCACGCAAACGAGGGCTCTTGTCCCAGTTGTGCCCAGAATCTCCAAGGAGATGCCTGGGACTCGACCTTTCTCCTTCTGTCAGTTCCTCCTTCCTAGGTGGTGGCTTCAATCTCAGGACCTTCTGTTCACAGAGAGCTCCTCACCTGCCCCCACTAGCTTAGCAACCCTGGCAGAAAGCCATTCAGCATTGCTGACTTTATCCTCATGGGACCCTGTTGGGCAAGGAGCCCAGCCTTACACCAATCACAGAGGCCAAGGGTTTAGAATATGTGAGCTTGCCTGAGCTGGGTGATGTGTGCACCACATGGACTAAGAGTGGAGAAGGGATATTCCCCTGAGATAAAATAGAGGATCACCCTCCAGAAATTGGGGAATGCGTCCCAGACAGAATAGAATCACGGATACCTGCTACGAAAGACTTTGTCTCCCTCGGGAGAGTGTGAGCCTCTTCCTATCCAGTCTGTTTCCCACAAGACAGCAAAGCCAGCAGTCTGTCTGCCACCATCACCTGTCCAGTCCACCCCCTGCCCTGGCTTGTGTCCTTCCTCTTCTCCCACCTTAGCAGATAGTCTGCAGAAAGGGTCAACTCCCAGAAAATGCATAAAACTGATGGAGATTTCCCCCCATCTATGGACAGCATTCTTGCGCCCATTTGCCCATAGTCTTCCCATCTACCTTGTGAGCTTGTTCTCAGGGAAAGCCCTGCTATCAGTCATTCACATGTTAGTTCAATGTTTGCCAAACTTAAATCGTCTAGGGAACCCCTATATGAATCATACCCTACACGCATATCACCAGGACCACATTGTTTACTTCATATTTTTCTTCAAATTATCTCAGCTTTCAAATGAAAATAAATACACTTAAAAATGAAACTTGCCACAAATAGAAAACAATCAAAAAAAGGAATACCATGAAAATCAATGAATATTATTATATTCTGCTGAGGTACTGCAGCTGTCAACACCTCTGGGCCTCTGGTCCATTCTCCCTGTTAAGAAAGAGAAAATGGCAAGAGCCACAGAGGCGGCTGAGCCCCAGTCTGAGACACTCTCTGAGGCTCTCAGGACTGAATGGAACTGAAGAGGAAGAACGAACGTTTACTGTGTGGATGGTTACTTAATGCCAAGTCTCTGAACACCTCCTGGTGGTAAGTGCCCCTCACTCACCAGGGCACCCCTGGTAAGCACCCCAGAAAAGCCATCAAGGACCTCAACCCTTCTCCTGGAATGAACAAGAACCCCCCACAGGGAGTCATTTCTGGTCCAGGAAAAAGATGATGCCCCACACTCTTGGAAGCAAACCAATCAATACCTGCCCTGCAGTTTATGTAACACACACATCTTAGAATCCTTAATGTACACTTACATGAATCCCTTCCCTCCAATCCAGACAGCATCAGCCAAGAACCTCAATGAATTAAAACAGAGAATGGCAAGCTCTCTCGGGGGTTGTTGGCCCCACTCTCCTGTGGCTTCTTCCCAATGACCCCTGCTTATCGAAAAGCGTGGGGACACACAGAGGATGAAGGGTTGCCCCTCTGTTGTCAGAGGGAGAACAGAGGGCAAGACTCTCAGGAAATGGGGTTTCCAAGGCAACAGAGAAAATAAGCGACTTCATGTCCATGCAACAATGTCACCTGGAGCCGTCCCAGAGAGTAAGACAATCTTATCTACTAATGTGGAGAGATGGCCAAGACAAAGCAGAGGGAGAGAAGAGCAACCGTCTGTGGTTTTATCGCAGCAAGCGATGTCTGTCTCCATACCCAGAAATGAGCATGTGCTCTCTCTATGTATAGATCAGATGACATGGAGACATTCATTAGGCAACTACAATGTGCCTTTGCTCCTCTTACCCTCAGAACTTCCTTGAGGGGCAGGCATTATGATTCCCACTTTACATCAGTGGGAATTTGGACTTGGTGAAGTTAGGTTGTTTGCCAGAGTTATAGGCACTGATTCAGGAACCTGCCGTTCTGGTGTTTACAGCCTGCACCCCTGACCATCAGAGGCCAGACTGCTCCCTGCAAGGATGCCAGCATGTGCATGAGAGAAAAGTCTGGAAAATCATACAAAAGCATCAACAGGCCCTATCCTTAGGGGGCGAGATGGCAAAAAATGACCTCTTTTTTTCCTGTTACTCTACTTACTTCTGTGTCATTTGAGCTTGACTTTACATTGGGCATGGATAGGTTTTGTATTAAAAGTGAACCAGGCAAGAACCCTGGGTAAGGCAGGGCTCTACCCTGTCTCTCCCAGTGAGTGTAACAATAAAAGCTGGGCAAAATTGCATGGAGCACTATTTGTGAGCTCTGAAAGTAGACAGTGGCAGGCAAATCCAGAAGAAGACCAGAATGTGAAGTGCCACTGAGTGGGCAGCAGGCTCGCCATTCTTCTCCTTCTGGACCCCCGAGCCTGATACCAGCACAGCCTGAGACCTGGACATGGGCATCAGGACTCAGACAGAGAA
The DNA here is from genome assembly GCF_000001405.40 of Homo sapiens. Classification (NCBI taxonomy): domain Eukaryota; kingdom Metazoa; phylum Chordata; class Mammalia; order Primates; family Hominidae; genus Homo; species Homo sapiens. The sequence continues at coordinate 60,093,432 of NC_000020.11, read as the reverse complement.
ATCAGTGGGGAGGCCTCTGGTCTGGCTTGGGGAGTGAGAAAGCAAACTCCTAGGACTCTGAGAGAGTGCAGAAATCCCCACATTTTTCTTTTTTCCATTCTCTCAGCCCCCAAGCAATAATCAGTGGCAGAAATAGGTTCCCACAAGAGCCAAAATTCTGAAGGAGGAGATGCCTCCTTTCTAGTCATTGGAGTTTCAGAAATAGAGGAGAAAGAGTGCAGGGCTGAAAAAATATGTAATGAAATGATGGCCAAAAACTTCCCAAATTTCACAAAAGATATAAGCCTGCAAATTAAGAAGTTCAGCAAACTCCAAAGGTGATAAACCCAAAGAAATCCACACCCAGACTATTTTGTATTCAAATTGTAATCAAATATTTCACTATTTTGTAATCAAAATGGTGAAAATTAAAGTAACTAATAATAATAATCTTGAAACTGACAGGGAAATGCAATCTATTTAACCTGTAGGAGAACAATGATCTGAATGACTACAGATTTCTCATCAGAAAATATGGAGGTCAGAAGGAAATGGCACACCACCTTTGAAGTGCTGAAAGGAAAGGATGTTCAAACCAGGATTTATCCAGAGAAAATACACTTCCAGAATAAAGGCAAAATAAAGATGTTTTCAGATGAAGGAAAACTAAGAGAATTTATTGCCAGCAAACATGTACTTCAAGAAGTACTAAAGGAAGTTCTTCAAAAAGAAGGAAACTTGAAGAATCAGGAATGAAGAAGCAACAGAAATGGTAACAATCTGAGTAAGTATAACAGATTGTTCTCCTCCTGAGGTTTATTTGTTTGTTTGTTTGTTTGTTTGCTTGTTTTGAGACACGGTCTCGCTCTGTCACCCACGCTTGAATGCAGTGGCACCATCATGGCTCACTGCAGCCTCAACCTCCCAGGATCAAATGATCCTTCCACCTCAGCCTCCTAAGTAGCTGGGACTAGAGGTGCATGCCACCACACCGGGATAATTTTTGTATTTTTTGTAGAGATGTGGGTTTCACCATGTTGCCCAGGCTGATCTTGAACTCCTGAGCTCAAGTGATCCACTGGCTTCAGCCTCCCAAAGTGCTGGGATTACAGGCGTGAGCCATGGTGCCCAGCCCAGTTCCCCTCCTGAGTTTTAAAAAATCTGCTGGATGTTGGAAAATAACAATTATAACCTCTGATGGGTCTTCACCCTATGTAGATATCATACATAAGACAAGTATAACATACAGAACATACAGGGGGACAGTGAAGGGACCTACAACATTTTCTGAATTCTGAATACACCACTTGTTCAATAATGACTCACAAAAATTACTCAGTAAATACTTTCTACTGGAATGCACTATGTGTTGTCCCAAGCCCCATGCTCACCAACAGGAATAGGGAGACTTTGATGAAGAGAATGGTCTTGGTCTATGAAGACTCCACGGTCTCTCAGTGACTCAATGGCCAGATCCTACCAGGAAATAAAGCAAGGAACCTCCTGCAATAGGTCCCTTGGAGCTTGGAGGAGAACAGTTTTGCTTCCCCTAAGATATCTTCCCCCACAAGAAAACTAGGAGAGCCCAGAAGGTCACACATACTGCAGGAAGCCTGGGGCCTTTTCATATACTTCAGTCATTTTTGTTTGTTTGGCAAATTGCATTTTATTTTTGAAGACTATTGGTCAGAGAGCCTCCCCATCTCACACATAGATTGATGGATGAGCAAAATATAGAGAGATACAACACAGAGAGAGAAGAGAGAGCAAGCTTCTGTGGGTCATCGTTTACTGCTCTCCTCAGCCAATATCGCTAGCATTGCCCAGTATGATCCTCAGGAGCCCTGGGACCAAACTGTTACACTCACGGCCAGAGCCTCCACCTCTCTCCCCTTGGGAATGTTATCCTCGCTGAGCTAGCAGCAGCAATAAATGATCTGATTTGTGATCTGTCCCTTTGCTCTTGGGACTGTAAATGCAGCTTTAGTATGTGATGCACAGGGCCGGGCTGTTCCCAGCCTCCCAAGTAAGCAGCTACCCAAGGCTGTAATTTCACTTTATCTCTCTCCCATTAAAAGGCAATTGAAAGTGAACCAAAGAGAATGAGGGCTGCTTGCAACTCCTGGAACCCTTGAGCAGTGCTTGCTGAAGGGCAGCTGGTGGCCCAAAGGCACCTGGTGCTAAAGGAATGGAAAAAAGGCAACTATTTGCAGAATGGCAAACTCTTAATAATAGTCACAGTAATAATCATCACAATAACTGCTGCTGCTTATGGAACACTTCTGGATGCCAGGCTCTGTGCTAGGGGCACATGTAAATGCCTTTGTTGATATCACAAGACGAATTTGCAGTAGAAGAATCTGAGTGAGGTCCAGCAAAGGTCTCAGCTTATAAGTCAGGGAGCCAGGAGCTGAACTTGGCTCTGCCAGATTCCAAAGTGTCTGCTCAGAACTGCCATATGCTCCTCCTCTTAGAACCTGGAGGAGTTAGCAGAGTCCTTCCCTTAAATTTCTGTTTTTAAATGGCAGAAGAAGGTTCCTCTGAAATTACATTTCATCAATAAGCATTTGGTAGCCAATGAGCACTAGGACTCAAGATTCAGACCCCACCTCCAAATCACGTGTTCTTCTCAGCACTCCAAGGCTCTCCGCTCAGATTCTGCTGAAGCAGCTCCTGGGAAGTTTACCACTTAAAATGACCCACCAGGGGATGGGTGGGATTCCAGAGCCCAGGACACACAAACTGTTTTACTCACGGACAGAGCCTCCACCTCTCTCACCTTGGGAATGTTCTCCTCGCTGAGCTAGCAGCAGCAATAAATGATCTGATTTGCGATCTGTCCCTTCGCTCTCGGGACTGTAAATGCAGCTTTAGTAAGTGATGCACAGGGCCGGGCTGTTCCTAGCCTCCCAAGTAAGAAGCTACCCAAGGCTGTAATTTCACTTTATCTCTCTCCCATTAAAAGGCAATTGAAAGTGAACCGAGGAGAATGCGCGGTGGCAGAGGGGCCACACTGGAACTGCAGGCTTGACAGACAGTATTGGCATCTTTGATGAAGATTCAGCAAATGTTAGGAGAATTGCCAATATACACCCATTCTGATAAACTCAGGCCATCCTCAGGAGCAGAGGAGAATGTTTCCAAGTCAGTGAAAATCCCCAAGAAGAGGAGGAGGATGAAGGGCAGGGACTCTGCCTTCAGGGTCGATTTGCTGGGGCACCTGGCTTCTCTCTTTGTGACCTTGAGTAATTAATTAATACCTGACTGGGGCTCCATTTTCTCATCTGTGACTTGAGGATAAAGACAGTGCCCATGTACCCTTTTGGGAGGAGCAAATTTAAAATGCACTTAAGATGCTTCACACAGTCAACGGAAATTGTTAATTGCATAGTAAACATTAGCAATACATAAGTCCATTCTTATTGATGATAACAGTGCGTGTCTTCTATCAGGCCAGTGAGCACTTTCTTTTTGTTCAGTCTAGTTTCTGTGAAAACGGTGAGGCTGGTCAAGTCTAGTGGCCCTTTTTGCACCTTTTTTGCACCTTTTTGCATTTCTCCCCCTTTCCTCAGATTCCAGGCCTATGACACACTGTTGTCCAGTCCCTAAGAAATGCAACCATCAATGAATTTGTTCCTTGTAAGATACGTGTGGCTAAGTGCAAGCATTTCATTTTAAAAAGGGCATCTAAGAAGAGCTGTGTGGTGGACAACGGGGCACCATCGAAGCTGAGCGGGGGTGGCAGCAGGAGCACTCACACGTTCCTGCCATTGTAGATTGTAGGGCTGCTGACTGGGGAAGGAAGGAGAGCCCCCCTCTCGTTTTACAGGAGAGGGTGGGAGATGAGGTCCACAGAAGGAAGTGGATTGCTCAAGGTCAGTTAACAAATTAACGCGAGATGTGGGCACAGGACCAGTTTCACCTGAGAGCATCGCATGCCCTTCCCACATCATCCCATTGCCTGGGTGACTCCTACTGTGAGGAAGTGAACAATATCTGTTAAGACTCTTCTGCTGCTACAGCGGCTCAGGCCTGTAATCCCAGCACTTTGGGAGGCTGAGGTGGGCGGATCACAAGGTCAGGAGCTCAAGACCAGTCTGGCCAACATGGTGAAACCCCGTCTCTACTAAAAATACAAAAATTAGCTGGGCATGGTGGCGTGTGCCTGTAATCCCAGCTACTCAGGAGTCTGAGGCAGGAGAATTGCTCGAATCAGGACCTGAAAGGCGGAGGTTGCAGTGAGCTGAAATTGCACCACTGCACTCCAGCCTGGGCTACAGAGCAAGACTCCATCAAAAAAAAAAAAAAAAAAAAAAAAAAAGACTCTTCTGTTACAGGTGATAAAATCCCATGCAAACTGGCTACTGGCTTCTGTTTAAAAAGGAAGTTATTTGCTTGCATATCAGCAAAGTTAGGGAGAGGAGCTCTGCCTTCAGAACCAGCCTTGTTCTGGTAGCATTGCAGGGACGCTGCTCTGCCTCAGCTCCTTGTCACCATGTCACAACATGGAAGTGGACAGAGAGAGGCAGCCCCTACTCAATTCAACCAAAACACTCAAAACACTCAGAGCTCAGTCCCATTGCTCATGATTGGCTTCATTAACCCACATGCCCTACCCTGAATCAGTGGCTGCAAAGAGGGCAGTGCGGGCCTTTGATTAACAGGCCTGGGTCACCTTCTGGCCATATGGAGGGTCCATGAGTCAAGGTCTATTCAGGGAAACAGAACCCACCTAGGTCTTCCTTGCCTTCCAGCTTTTGGGTTGGTCAAGCTGGGGTGGAGAAGGCCTTTTGTTTCCAACCTCCCCACCTCATTGGCCTCTCTGCTCTTCCATGGCTGGTGTCATAACCTCTAGAACTAAAGAAGAAATGAGAGGAGGGTGACATTGCCAGGACACAGACGCCAAGGCCATCCTGCTGAAGGTGGAGTCAAGTCAGGGGTGTGCTGGCTGGAGCGGGGAAGAAAGGGGGAGGGGCTGTGCCACGGGAGTGGTGAGGGAAACACATCAGTGCACGAGACCCCCATCCCAGGCCACGGGAGAGAGGAGCAAACACCCTGGCTTCTGCCCTCCTCCCTCCTTCCGTCAGTGTTCCACGTCTTCCCAGAGGCCTGTCCTGGCAGCACCCACCCACCCACCCACCCACACAGAGGGCTTGCCCAGGGCGAGAACTGCACGCAGAGGTCTGGTAGCCGCTGTAGGACCCAAGGCTCTCCTTGCTCCTCCATGGCTCTGAGCTCCCCTCTCTAGGCATACTCAGGTCAGAAAAGCAGTGAGAGCTAAACCTGCTGCCCTGTGGTAGCTCCCCATCCCGGATGGGCTGGCTGTAGCCCCGAGCTTTATTCCTCCCTTAATCCCTGCAGCCAAGAGCAAGGCTGTCACCACAGGAAGCTGTCCCTGTCCCAAGAAAAGAGACAGACTCAGCGGTTCAGAGCAGGGCTCTGCAGCCTCATACCTGGGTTTGTCTCAGATCTGTCACTTTCTCATCAAGTGAACATGAGTAAGATATTAAACAGCACTGGGCCTCAGCTTCCCCGCGGGTAAAATGGGCGGCAGAATACAGCACCGGGCCTCGGCTTTCCCGCGGGTAAAACGGGCGGCAGGATACGGCATCGGGCCTCGGCGTCTCCGCGGGTAAAACGGGCGGCAGGATACGGCGCCGGGCCTCGGCTTCCTCGCGGGTAAAACGGGCGGCAGGATACGGCGCCGGGCCTCGACTTTCCCGCGGGTAAAACGGCCACAGGATACGGCGCCGGGCCTCGGCTTCCCCGCGGGCAAAACGGGCGGCACGATACGGCGCCGGGCCTCGGCTTCCTCGCGGGTAAAACGGGCGGCAGGATACGGCGCCGGGCCTCGGCTTCCCCGCGGGCAAAACGGGCGGCAGGATGCGGCGCCGGGCCTCGGCTTCCCCGCGGGCAAAACGGGCGGCAGGGTACGGCATCGGGCCTCGGCTTCCCCGCGGGCAAAACGGGCGGCAGGATGCGGCGCCGGGCCTCGGCGTCCCCGCGGGCAAAATGGGAGGCAGAATATCTGCGGCGCTGCTGCAAGGCCCGATGAGATAACCAATATCAGCTCCGACCTTGGCACCCTAGCAAAGAGGGTGCCCACAGCAAGGAAGGGCCATTCTCATCTGAACACACTTGGTCCAGGAGGAAGCATGGAGCCATCCAGGGAAGTCCTAAAAACCAGGTGTGCCCTCATTTATTCAATCTCATCATAAAATCCCATTAAATCAGTCAACAAATATCAACTGAGGACCTACCTACTAGGTGCTACAGCCTGCCCCAGGCTACACACTAGGTTACGTAAGTGACCACCAGGACAACAGAAATAACACTCCAGCATCACAGCTCTTCATGACTGATCCCTTTTTATGAGTCAAAACAAGCCTGGGGGGATGGTTGAGGTACTGTGAAAATGCATTATTACTGCCCCAGGCATCCAATTACATATATAAGTTGCATGTTCTAATTAAATTTTCCTAATGTAATGTCGGCTTTGCCCGCTGCTATTAATTATTGAAGCCACGTTCAGCTTAGGTGGATTTTCCTCTCCCGCCTCACCTTCCATTCACTCTTCACTCCTGGCTGCCCTTCGGCTGGCTGCAAACTCCCTGAGGATGGGTCCTCTTTGAGCAAAGGCACCCACCGTGAGGCTCCCCTGTTGGACAGAGGAGGAGTCACCCATAGGAGGAGAAGCAAGCATCACCAGGCTGCTTCGTAACGAACACGTTAAGCACAATGATGGTAATGGAAGGTACTCCAAAACATCAGTGCACTTCCCTGCACTCTCTCCCAAGAGGCTTGTTTGCTCCCTTCTCACCATCACCCACTCCCTGACCTAAAAAGGTGGTAACTACTCCCTCAGAAGGTTGAAGACTGTGGTCAGATCCCAAGACGCAAGCATGCAGGTGGATCTGGCAGAGGGACGTTCCCAAGCCCCTGAAATCAGACTTTAAAATGTGCTGTGGAGGAAGGAAAGGTGGGGACCGGAGAAAGAACATGGAACCAGGCCTGGAGCTTTTTCTGCTGGTGGCCATCCTGGGAGCTGCCCCAAAGCAGCAAGCCTAGCCCTTCGCAAAGGCTCATCCTGCAGCAATGCACCTGCCATGCCCCAGACTCTGCCATGGCTCTCACCCACAACCAGCCCTCCTTTTGTGGTAAGCATCCAAGAGCTGCATAAGACCGATATGTTCCTGAGCCCTGGACCGTGCTTGAGGTGTGCCAACAAGCATAGCTGGAATGAATTCCTATTCACAACATTAGGAAGAAAGACATGCCACATTCTTTATTTTCTTTAAGCCAAAGTTCATCTGCAAATAACCGCCACTATCCAAGAGACAGCAAATTCAACTGCATTCATTATTACTCCCCCGACCCCATGGTATCTTTAAGGGCCTGGACTCACACGTAGTGGACACCCCACAGAGATGGGGCCACGAGGGCGGGACCTCAGCCCAAGTCTTCTACTCTACATGCTGGTCCCCTGAGCTCAAGCTGTCACTCAGCTCCAGGGAAAGGGCTCAGGGCGCCCCTAGCTGCAGTCCATTCTAGTACAGAGTGACCCACAGGACCCTCTCAGCTGCTCTCCAGGCCATGGGAAATAGTGCCTAACTGCCCAACCACCCACAGCAGCTTCTCATCAGGCATGCTGCAGCCTAGCCCCATTCCTGTCCTCAGCAAGAGAGGACGCCCACTGCCATGGTGTCTGCCAATTCTTACTTTTGCAAAAGACAAGTCACTAAAACCTCCGTTTTCTAGACACAGAGGCTTAGACCTGCAAAATGAAAGCTTGGCTGCCATCCATATTGGGAGTGGAAGTAGGGAAACACCAACCAAGAGGTAAAGTCTTCTTCAGCATACGACTGTATCCAAACACCTCATATAGGGGCATCTCACCTGCCACATGCAGACACTTTTGCTCTCTGCCCCCAAATGAATCTGAAACACACTGGGAACAAGAGTGGCTCCAACAGCTGATATGCTTAGGGAGAATTTTAATCTTTTATTCATTCAACCAGAAAACATCTTCATGAGTGCCTGTGACATGCTAGGCATTGTGCAGGTACTGCGGACACACCCGTGGACAAGACAGACACAGTTCCTGTCCACGTGATGCTGTAACTATAGAAGGGAGAATAATGCCGCATAAGCATTAGGGGTGCAGTGGAAGTGAATTCCAGGCTACAGCAGGTACAACTCAGCATAGTCTGGAGTCAGGGTGTAGTGATTAAAACACAGACTAGGGAACCAAGACGCTTGCATTTGAATCTCAGCTCTTCTACCTTGCATGTAACCTTGGACAAGTTCATTTATCTCTTAGTGCCTCAGTTTCTCCATCTGCTAACTGTAGACCGTATGTTATCTATGTCATAGGGTTATTGTGAGGATTGAACAGGTTAATCTATGTAAAGGCAAGTATCTGTCACATAGCAAGAACTTTATTAATGTTTGCTTATACGGTTATTCAGGGAAGTCCCCACTGAAGAACTGAGACTGAGACATGGAAAATAAGCAAGATTTGGCTAGGCAAGAGCAGGGAAGGATGTTCTTGGCAGAAGAAACAGCATGAGTGGAGGCTGGGTGTGGGGAAGTGTGGCATTAGAGGAACTGGAAGAAGATAGGGAGGCAGGGAGCAGGATGGGAGACAGATGGAGAAATTCGTTGGGATCATACCCCAAAAAGCCTTAGGCCATGTAATGAGTTTGAACTTTGACCTCAAGAGCCATGGAGGTTTTAAGTAAAGGTTAACTAGATGTCATTCCAGCTACTACATGGAGAATGGATTAATGAAGGTGATGGCAGGAAGACCAATTAGGAGATTGCTGAAACTGCAGATGCAAGAAATGGTGTTGGCATGGTCCAAGGAGGTGTTGGTAGAGATGGAGGGAAGTGGACAAATTCAAGAGATCATGAGAAAATAGAAGAGGCAGTGCTTGGTGAATGATCTGGTATGTGGGGCAAAGGAGAATGGAAATTTAAAAATGATGCCAAGCTGTCACACTTACTTGGAAGACTGGGTAGACAGTAACACCATTCACTGGACTTCACATAAGATAAAAAATTCTTGAAGGGGACATTATCTGTCCTGTTCTGGTCATTTGGGATCCAAAGGGAGAAATTCATCAGGTAGTTGGATATGGAGATTTTGAACTGGGAGGAGTGGTCATCACAGTGCCTGAGATGCCAAAATTCTACACAGACAAGGTCCTTTATAGAGTGTATTTGGAATCAGCTCTCACTGGACCAGCTCCAGCTAAGTGCCCTGTGAAGGGCACTAGGATTTCAGAGATGAATAAACATTGTCCCTGCCGCGGGGGGTGACAATCTCATTGACCCTGCAGTCATTCTCCATCTGCCTTTATGGTACGGCATCTCTGTTCACCAAAAACACCATGGTTCAAGCCCTGTGATTTAGCCTGTAGAACGCTAAAAGACTTTCTCTACTTCCTTATTGTGACAGACAGATTCCATTAAAGCATCCACAACCCTGAAGCTCTGTTTCTCCCCCACTGCCTCCCCCCAAGAAGTAAAAGAGGATGATTATTAAAAATTACAAGTGCCACCTTCCACACTCCATCTCCCAAACTTCATTTCACAATGGCTGCTGACATCAATAATGTCAGACAGGATAATCAAGTTTGCATAATGTAACAGTTCTCCAAGGGTCCCTCTGCACAATCACCCCTCCCAGCCTGCATATAGGGAAACAGACCTTAGATTAGGCAGAAAAGGCCCTTAGACTGTCAAACACAAGAGTCCTTTCTCCACATGCGATTTTACAGGAGTTAGCCTCCATCAGAAAAGCTGACTTCTGATTCCAGTTTGACCCTTTATTGGCAGGAGGACAGGGGCAAATCATTGAATCATCCTGTGCCTCAATTTTCTCTGCTTTAAAGTGGAAATAACTCTGTAGTATTCTAAAAGAATGTCGATCTTGAATGGCATATATGTACCATGTAATTGATGAAGTTTATTAAGAATAAAAATATGGTGATAGTTCAATAAGTTACTTTGTCAACTTAATATTTGTTAACATACATTGCCAATAATTTATTTGGAAAATAACTAATATTTAGTAAAATAGAACAACAGAATTGCTGGCTTCTGGTATGTCTTAACATGAACTCCAGAAAAAATATTAAAAATTCAAAAATCAATGACACACTTGGGAAAATCGGGTTAAAATGAACAATAAATTAAAACAACTTCTTGTGGCCTCTTGGTAACTTTTACTTATAACATGTAATTATTTGCAATTTATTGCAGATAGATACGGTGGGCTGTATGCCATTTACATTCAGTTTAAGATATGAAACGCAAAAGAACACTTGATAACAAAACAATACATCTGAGAAGATCTCCACAAACTTGCCGTGTTTTTCTGAGCCAGGCTTTGACATACTGGGTGCTTCTGCCTTGCATGCCTCCCTCCACCTGCCTCCTGACTGTCCTCGTAACTACTTCCTGTTCATCCTTCCATAATCTCCTTACATATTACTTCATCTGGAAACTATGTCTGACCGTGCATGCTGTACCTCCACTGCCCAACACAGTGCATGGCACAGGGGAGTGCTTATGTACATTCCCTAAATGGATAAATGAAATGATTGAGGCAATCATAAAGCTTAACAGTTAGTGAATGGCTGAGGCTTAACGTGCATGACCAAGGCCTCAGAATCCTACTCTAAGAGCAAGCAGGAAAGGTGAACCCTTAGGACGAAGACATTATAAAATTTCCTTTGGGAGGCCGAGGTGGGTGGATTACTTGAGGTCAGGAGTTCAAGACCACCCTGGCCAACATGATGAAACCCTGTCTCTACTAAAAATACAAAAATTAGCCGGGCATGGTCGTGTGCACCTGTAGTCCCAGCTACTCAAGAGGCTGAGGTGGAGGATCGCTTGAGCCCAGGAGGCGGAAGTTGCAGTGAGCCGAAATCATGCCACTGCACTCCAGCCTGGGTGACAGAGGGAGGCACTGTCAAAATAATAATAACAATAATAATAATAATTCATGCCATATCTTTTTCAGAGGGCTTGGAAGAGACTCAAAGGGAAAAATACTTTCAAAAACACTCTGTGGACTACAAAACACTGTCTGCCCCGTGATGAAATATCTCATTTCGCAGAGGATGTTTAAAACACCTTTGCAATTTGCACAAATGCACACCAGTGCCCAGTCTTTGCATGGAATAACATTCAAAGACACACATTCCAACAGCTAAAAATGATTAGCAATAAATTACCATCTTTTCTTGCTTCTCTCCACAGACATTAATGGGAAACCTATTCATAACCCAAAGCATCACTTCTCCAAATTTCCTTTCTTCCCCAATTACCTTATATCCTCCTGATGTCCCACCTGCCAAACCCCAAAATCAATCTCCTGATATCCAAAGTGATCCTCTCTTCCCCTCCTCCTCCTCCACCCACCCCTTCTCTATGTCAACTTCCTGGGCACTGCCGCCACCTCTCCCAGCTTCCTCTTCATGCCACCCATAACCCAGATATTACAAAGAACAGAGAGCCTGGATGCTATTCCAGCCAGTATGAATCCCTCCATCGTCTTTCCAGTGGGCCCTGACTTTTCATCTCTGAATCTCACGTCTTAGACAGAGGAAGAACTGGGGACAGCAAAGTCAAGTCCTTAATGGTTTGAGGGTCCTGCGAGGAGGTGCCTGACAATGCCCAGCCATTCATCAGTCCTGTCTCGCTGGAATCTCTGCTTCTATTTTGACAGCATTTTGCAGTTTACAAAAATGTTTCCTTTCCATCATCTCTACCTTTCTTTGCCAAACTGGGAAGTGATTCTCCCTCTGCCCCGACCTTTTTTGTTTTTATTTTTTCCAGATGAGGAAACTGAGGCTTAGGTAATCAAAGGGACCAAAGAAAAGTCACACATCAAGTAGGGAACAGAACGGAGCTGAAACAACACAACCTCTGACCGTGAGTGCACAGATCCCAGCTCTCCTTTATGCTCTGTGTACTAGCTATCAGGCATCACACTCTAGTGAATGGATATGATTACCATCATCCTCACTTTACAGATGCATAAACTGAGGCTTGAAAAGGTAGAGTAACTTGACCAAAGTCTCACAGCCAGAAACTGGCAAATTTGGCACTTGATCCCAATCTGATTAACTCTAAGATCCGTGTTCTTAACCGCTATGACATCTGCCCCTTAGATGTTTGTCCCATTAAATATGATAAAAAATGCTAATAGTTCCTCACTTCTTTTTTCTCTGCTTGGGGCATAGAGCTCACCCTTCAAATATTAATGAAGTCAAATAAACATGTCTTTTGTGACCTTCCTCAGCACCTCCTTCCACCGGTGTCCCAGGACAGCGGCCTCTCACCTCCAGGTGCACACCTTGCCCATTCCTACTTTGGAGGCTGCATCACCTGGATCCTCTCAGTGAAGGGCTCTCTGCAGCAAGCTGTCAGGGAAGGAGCTTGAGTCCACAAGTGAAAACTGTGGGCACCTCCACCAGCAATAACACCAGCTCAAGTTCAAGACCAGGACTGTTCCCAAAGGGCTGTCTTTTACTTTATTTTTATAACCTCAGATGAATTCTCTAGGTCTTTGGGGGCTTTTATTTGGTCAGGGAAGAAAATCAAGCAAGATTGATTTTTCCCTTAACCTCAGTACCAGAAAACTGTAACGAGCTTGGCCCTTGGGTCAGACAGACTTGGGTTCCAATTCCTGCTCTTTCCGTTGCACCCTGGGGGACCCAGGGCAACTGTTTAACCCCTGAGGTTGAGGTTGGGTCTGTCTGCAGTGAAATGGAGATGAAGCATATTGAAGACCCAGGTGAGACTCCCTGTGTGCTGTACCCCTATCCACAGAAGCCAGCACACACGATACTCACCTGGGGGACAGAGGAGGGCTGAGTTACATCAAATCCTTTCTGTGCACCGTGAGCCACATGGTCTCCTTCCCACTCCCACACCTTCGCTCAAGCCTAGACCCAGGGGCATTGTACAGCTGGGGTCTCTGCCCTTCCGCCCCTTCCCTCTCTCCGGTTCCCATTGTGCTATGATGGCTCTGAAGTGTCAAGAAAGTCTATTTTTTTCAATCGAAAAAGGAGAATTCTTACATCTTAAGTCTGGGTGCTGCCTTGAAAGGTCACCCAGTACATACCCTTGACTTTAGATGGGGTCATTTTTAACTAAGCCAGACAAAGAGGAGCTTTTTCCCCATATTTGCTTAAAAAGGACACTCCTTTCCCTTTTTGTGGTTGGGAAGAAGCTAATTTTAACACATCAGAAGAGATATTTAAAGGGCCGAGTAATATGCAGTCAAATGTGCCAATTATACCTTTGAGCCATTTGGGTGACCGCATAATGAGTGGGCCGTTTTTATAGGCGGCCGTCTGGGTCAAGGCCTCATAGGGGCTGTAAGGTCAACCTTTCTTGTTCTTGGTTTTGTAAATCGAACAGGGATAGCCTAGACATGCAGATAAAGACCTAAAGTCATGATGAGCAAATTGGGACAGATTAGTTCACTTGATCTATAAGTGATCATTCTGGAAAAAATCAGAGCATGATAGCTTCCTAATCAAAAGCCCTCACCTGCTCAGCCTCCTGAATGGAGGACTGCCAGTCCCTGCAGCTGACAGCCTAGGCTTTGACATATTTTTTGTCTTATCATTTGAATACCTCAAGAAAGATAATCCAATAAAAAGAGGAAAATAATATTGGAGCTTCCAGCCAAAAGAGAGAGGCATTCATTGAGGCCCAACACCAGCTTTAAAGGGAGCCAAGGGCCTGGGTGTTCCTGATGAGCGATGAGACTTAGACGGGACAGCGCTGAGCATGACAGAGGGGGAGCCCTGTCCCCATAGTCAGAGCCTCCACCTGTGCCAAAAGCAACCCTGCAGAGGAAGAGCCACCTCAGAGGTGCAGGCGGGAGGGGTTCTGCATGCAGAGCACCCCAAGGCTGAGAGCAAGGCCTGGGCAGAGCTCACACGGAGGGGTCAGGGGTCAGGTGAGCAGGGTCTTTGATAGGCTCCATCAAGGCCTCTCAGGGGCTGACCACCTGCTCTTCAGTCACGCCTTGTCTGCACCTTCCTGTCTCTCAATGGGTCTCCACTGGCAGCGATTTTGACTTCCAGGGAACATTTAGCCTTGTCAAGAGATGCTTCTGGTTATCATATCTGGAGAGGGAGTGCTACTGGCATCGAGTGGGTAGAGGCCGGGGTACCGTGCACAGCACAGCCCCATGACACAGAAGCATCCTGCACAAAATGTCAATAGCGCCGAGGCTAAGAAACCCTGCCCTAGAGCCTGGGTGGACATTTCGGAAACGATCATGCCAGCTCTGCAAAGTGCTGAGACGCTGCCACTTTGGGAGACTGTGCTTGCGGAGTGAGCCCTTCCCTGGCTCCCTGTCAGGCACCTCACAAATCAGAGGACGGTGATGGGGAGGGTGGCTGGGAGGGCGCTACCTGCTGTGTGTGGAAGAACAGTGAGATGAGACAGGAAGGAGGCCAGGCCCTCTTGCTCCCCCACGCAGGGCCCAAGACCACACAGGTGGTAGCAAGGACACGGCCAAGTGGAGGCAAAATTGCACCTGCGCTTGGACAAGATGTTCTCCTAGACACGGGCTGTGGTGATTGCATTGTCTATTTCTGTGTGTGGTTTATCTGCAATGAAATGAAATTGGATGAATGTGACTTGGGGAGTATGTGCAAGGCGGGGCAAGGGTGATGCATGTATAATCAAGGCGGACAGGGAACTCTCCCAGACATGCAATTGTTTGATTAAACCAAATCACCACTGGAAGGAGCAGACAGAACTGATTGGCCTTGTTCCAGCACAAAAGGCCAGGGAGGTGAAGGTTGGAGTATTCTGGCATGGAACAATCAAAAGCATTTCCTCCCAGGCTTAGCTGTCAGGTGTCAGCCCTGCCACTGGGGCCTACACCAGTTTAAGACAGAGCCTCAGGGCACAGGAGTTGCAAAAGCATTTGTGTAAGGAAAAGAGAAGTGCCTTGAAGGGCAGCTTCATCAATCCATTCACTGCTGCAAGGCCTGAGCCCCACCCATCCTGCAGCCTTGTGCAGGGGCCATGGGAGAGGCAGCAAAGGAAGGGAACGTCTGCAAGGAGGGGGCCCCAGCCCAGGACCTGGCTAAAATCTAGGTATCTTACCTTAAAAATTCACAAGCATTTTTATTGCTTTCTGTAATGTAACTGCATTTGTCTTAATAGTCTTCAAAGGCTGACATTGCTGACTGTGGAGGAAACTGGTGCTCCAGGGCAACACACCAGCCTTCTCCCTGGGCTTGACTCAGCCTCTGCCTCTCAGCCCTGCACCCCTGAGGCCTGCACCCCAAACCAAAGAAGTTCTGCCCTAGGGTTAAACCAAGGGGCACACACAACCAACTGGCCTTGTCCCAACAAGAGAAAACTAAGGTGCACTCCTCCAGCCTTAAATGATACTAACAGTAATTAACACAGATCAGCCACTTAATAAATGCAATGAACACTTTATATGGTTTTATCACATTTGATACCCTTGAGATTAGGGTAAGTGCTATTATGCCCACTTTACAGATGGGGAAACTGAGGCTCGGGGAATTTAAGTGGCTTAACCAGAGTCACATTGCTGAGGCACTAATTGAACCCAGTCTCCAGTCCAGAGCCCACCACAGCATAAGACCTGGCAGGCTCAGGCACTCTGCAGAGAAGGAAAAGAACGTGCATGAATCTCGTTCACTTGTTCATCCAACAGACGCTCAGCATTGCCGTCCCTGTGGACTCGAGGCGCTGGGTGCTGGGAAAATGGAGACAGAAAGACAACATCTGTGCCTGCAAGACATGTGCCCTGTGTGGAGCTGAAGGGAAGATTTCTGTGGTAAATGCCACAGAAGAGAAGGAAAGGGTGAAACCCATGGGTTGGAGACACCAGGAAGCTCTGGGCAAAAGGGAGCCTCAAGGGGGAAGACAAGAGTGACAAGAGCCAGGAGCAGGAAGAATGTTTCAGAGCAGTGGTTCTCTGAGTGTGGCCCCTGGACTGGCAGCATCAGCCTTACCTGGGAGCTTTTTAGAAATGCACATTGTGAGCAGAAACTCCAGGAGAGAGCGTTTTAGCAAGGCTCCCAGGTGATGCTGATGCCTTCCCAAGCTTCAGAACTGCTGTTTTAAGCAAAAAGAAAAAAACCTACAGAGAAGATGGAGTTTGGCATATCTGAAAATCAGGGAGAGCTTCTGGGGCAGACCCTGCTGGCTCCCTGCCTTCTTCTTGATTCTTAGAAATCTATGTTTGAGCAACAATGTGCTTAGGAAAAGTGGATGAATCTCGCTTGGCCTAATCCATTTATCTCCTTTTGGTGATTAAAGAGAAAAAAAAAAAAAAAAAAACAGAAAAGAAATCAGCTAGGGGCTTCCAGGGAACATTTTGCTGATCTGTAGTGGTTTGAAAAGTGTCACTCAAAAGATATATCCACATCCTAATCCCCAGAATCTGTGACTGTAACCTTACTTGGAAAGAAGGGCCTGGTCTTTGCCGATGTAATTACAGATCTTGAGATGAGATCATTCTGGATTAGAGTGGGCCCTAAATCAATGACACGTGCCCTTACAAGAGACAGGAGAGAAGAAGATGCAGACACAGAAGTCTACATGACGGCAGAGACAGAGATGGGAGTGATGCAGCTACACAGGGAGGAAGGCCAGGAGATGCCACCGAAAACCAGAAGAGGCAAGGAAGGATCCTACCCTAAAGCCCCCAGAAATAGCAAGGCCCTACCAACACCTGGAGAGAATATGATTCTAGTGATTGGAGCCATTGAATGTGCGGTGTTTGTTACAGCAGCCACAGGAGGCTAAGACACCGCCTACATGGGTGGATTCCCTGATGCTCTTATTTCCTTTCTGCTACACGCTACCATCTCCAAGACATACAGTTATCTGTGTATTTGGTTGGGTTTTTTCCCCTGTGTTCCTACTGGACTGAGAGCACTAAAAGGGCATCATCTGGCATGATATCCAGCACATAGTAGATGCTCCGTAAATAGTTGTTAAACGCATGCATGAATGGAAGAAGGTGGCATAACAAAGATCCATCTTCTGACTTCCAGTAATATTTCCTCCTCTACACATTAACAAAATGACAATGCAAATGATAATCTAATCAGTCATATTATGATACTAAGGTGCCTGGTGCTTGTTACATCAGACCACATCAATGTAAAATGCATGCTGTCTCTCCGAAGCCCAGCTGTTGAAGCAAAGTGAGGCATACCAGAGTAAAATTGGCTCATTGGGCCTAAGGCAGAGTTTCTCAGCCTGGGCACTATTTATACTTCAAGGATAAATCTTTGTTTAAAGGGGGGTGGCCTGTCCTGTGCATCTTAAAACATTCAGCAGCATCCCTGGTCTCCACCACTAGATGCTGGTAGCACACCCTCCCTCTGTCCCTGCCCAGCTGTGATGACCAAAATGTGTCTAGACATTGCCAAATATCCCCATCATGCAAAATCACCCCAAAGTAAGATCCATGGACCCAAAGGATCCACAAGTAGACTAGTTAAGTCAGCCTTCCCTGAAACTGGGGAAAGCACACCGCCATGCCACACTGATGGAAATCCACCAGAAGCAATCCAAATCAGGTCAAAGTGAAAGGTGCAAAGGAGGTGAGTCACTTTAGCTCATGGACAAGTAAGAGAAGATGTGAGAGTGGGGCCTGGACCACAGGTTACCAGGAAGAAAGAGAAACTGTCTGCCTGGGCTGGTGCCCCACCCCAGCAGGTCAGGTGAACAGCAGGACCCAGGTGAGAAGGGACAGCCCTGTCATTTTCACGAACTGGCAGGCAGTCCCGAAGTGTAACCTAGGAATCAGTGTTGCAAGTCAAAGGAGTCAAAAAGGGACACACATAATGTTCTCACCAAGCACAAGGGCCTATGCTCCAACTTCTCGATGGGGCGCCATGCCCACCTCAGCCTGGGAAGAGCTGGGAGCCACGGGGGTTCACCTTGAAGCGCACTGGCTTCACACCAAGGCAAGGGAACAGAGGATTTGGAGGGATGCACACAGAGCCAAAGTGTCCAAGAGGATGATGATGCCACCTAGCGCTTATTGGACACCTGCCCCGTGCCAAGCACTGTGTTATCTAACTCAAAGTATCTAAAGAATAACAATTGTCAGTGTCCAGCCTCCATCTCCAATTTTTAAAAGGAAGATGAACAGACAGAATTGGTAGAAATACAATAGGAGCCTTTGAAATACCTCTCTAATCCTTAATGGAGAAACCAGATAGAAATTCATAAAGACCATAAATGAAGTGTGGTTAATATAACAAATATCCATGCCCCACCACACAGCTTTCAAAGATATCATGTGTTTCTGTATTTACAACAGACCTTTTTTGGTTAATGCATGAAATACTACAAGACCTTTGAAGCTCCACTTCTCTGTTACCATTTTGTCTCCGCTCCCTCCCTCCACAGGGGAAACCCTGATTCTTGAAGGTGATTAATACCCCTCTCTTCTGTGCTTTTGATGATATATGTGTATATATTATCCACACTTGGTGCACAAAATAATATATAACATTGTTTCCTGTTATTTGTTATATAACAAAATTATATATAACATTATTTCCTGTTATTTGTTATATAACAAAATTATATGTAACATTGTTTCCTGTTATTTTTACACAAATTGTATCATGATGAACATGTTCTTTTTCACTTTCTTCTCACTGTCTCCTCCCCCATACTAATTTTTTGAGAATTTCCCAGGTCGATATCAGTAGACCTAATTTAATCATTTCATCTGTGGCAGAGTAATCCACTACATAAATTACCTAATCCAATCCGCTACTAAGGAACATTTAAGTCATTTCTGATTTGTTAACCAGCACGAACAACACTGCAATGAAAATTCTGACACATACGATTTCTTGGGCATGCATAAGAGAGTTTCTCTAGGGTAGGGCCCCCAACCCCGTGCCGTGAACCGGTACAGGTTAGGAACCAGTTAGGAACTGGGCTGTACAGCAGCAGATGAGCGGCCAACGAGTGAGCAAAGCTTAACCTGTATTTACAGCTGCTCCCCATCATTTGCATGACCTCCTGAGCTCTGTCTTTTGTCTGATCAGCAGCAGCACTAGATTCTCATAGGAGCGTGATCCCTACTGTGAAGTGCACATGCGAGGGATCTAGATTATGTGCTCCTTATGAGAATCTAAAGACTAATGATCTGTCACTGTCTCCCATCACCCCCAAATGGGGCCAGCTAGTTGCAGGAAAACAAGCTCAGGGCTCCCACTGATTCTACATTATGGTGAGTTGTATAATTATTTCATTGTATATTACAATATAATAATAGAAATAAAGTGCACAATAAATGTATTGTGCTAATAATAATAGAAATAAAGGGCACAGTACATGTAAGGTGTTTGAATCATCCTGAAACCATCCCCCACCCAACCCAGTCCCTGGAAAAACTGGCTTCCACATAACCCGTCCCTGATGCCAAAAACGCTGGGGACCGTGACTCTAGGGCCCAGATAGAGGAGTAGAGTTGCGGAAGCATAGGGTACAAGTGTTTTGACTTAACTAGATATTAACAAAAGACTTTCCAAAGTGGCTGAAACCATTTATATTCCCAACAGTGGGATAGAAGTTACTGCTTGCCAGAGTCTTATTTTCTCAAATCTTCAAGGAACTGATTATTTCTGTACTATGGAAACAATTCCAGTACATTGAGAAAGACAAAAAGTCACTGAATGGTTTCTCCACAGTCAGCATAACCTGAATGCCAGGGCCTGACACAGACTCCCCGCAGAAAAGGTAATTAGAGAAAGTTCACCCAAAAAGCTTGAGAAAAGCGCTGGTAAATAACACGCCATGATGATGCGGAACTCATTTGCAAAATCCAGGAGCTATATGGTTTGGGAAACTTTAAAAAATACTCTCAACGTGTTAATAGGACAAAGGATAAAGAAGTATATGATCATTTCTTATAAGTCATAAAGACATTTGATAAGATTTAACATCCATTTCTGATACTTGAAATTATCAATAACTCCTTCTTATAAGATTTTGTTCGTTTGGTTGGTTTTTGATTTTTTTTTTTTTTTTTAGAGACAGGCTCTCACTCAGTCGCTCAGACTAAAGTGCTGTGGCGCCATGCCATCTCAGCTCACTGCAACCTCCACCTCCAGGGCTCAAGTGATCTTCCCACCTCAGCCTCCTGAGTAGCTGCGACTACAGGTGTGTGCCACCATGCCTGGCTAATTGTTGGGTTTTTTTGTTGTCGTTTGGGTTTTGTTTGTTTGTTTTTTGTAGAGACAGGATTTTGGTATGTTACCCAGGCTGGTCTCAAACTCCTGGGCTCAAGCGATCCACCCACCTTGTCTTCCCAAGGTGCTGGGATTGCAGGTGTGAGCACCGTAGAATTTTTTTACTGCACATTCCAATCCAAAAATTATCATCAAATTTTCTTGTAAAAATACTGTCCGCATCCTATGAGAGTCACAAGTTCAGAGTACCCTTTATCATTAGTATTGCATGACTTTATTCTAGAAGTGCTGAACAAAGCAATCAGACAAGAATATAAAAACAGTTATGAACATTGGAAAAGGCAAAACAATCATAATTTGTAGATAATAAGGTTGTATTCCAGGAAAACCCAAAATAATAGAAAAACTATTAAAACAATACAAATACAGTAATATGATCAGTTATAAATAATATACAACAATGACTATCTCATATGTAAATTATAACAAGCTAGAAAATACAAACTTTAGAAAATCATTTCCCCTAAAATACCTAAAAATAAATTTAACAATACATTTGCAGGACATGTGAAAAGCCAAAAATAAGTCTCAGTGAAGATTTCAATACATGGAAATTCATATCTTTTTTATTGGATAAGAAGACTCAATGCAATAAAGACATACATTTTTTCCTGAATTAGTCTGTATATTCAGTATGATCTCAATGTGGGATATATTTTACCTTGGACAAAAAGAGTGATTCTAAAGTTTATCCAGAAGAATAAACATCTTACAACCACCAGAAAAACTCTGAAAAAGAGTGGCATTGAGAAACTTGTCTTGCTGAGTATTAAAAATGTATAAGATGATGACAGTTCAGTAAAGCAGTGTGGTTTGAAAAAGGAATCAAAAGATAGCTCAAAGAGATGAACTGAGATTATAGGAAGGGACACAAGTACGCAGATATTTTAGAACATAATATAGTGGTCATTTCTAATAAGGGAGAATATGGAAATGGAACAGCTGAATCACCATTTGGGAAACATAAAACTGGAAGCCAGCCCATTTCTTACCGCAAAGTAAATTCCTGAAAGAACAAAGGGTTACATGAAAAGAAAAAAAATGCTAAGAGCAAATATGGGAGAATATTTAAGTAATCATAAGTTGGGATTGCTTGACCATTCTAAACATATGAGCATCAGAAAACACAAAATAAGACATAAATTTAACAACATACACATTTACAACATCTCTGAATGGCTTTAAACTTGATAAGCAAAACTAAAGACAACAACAATTCCATAATTCTGATCACAAAAGCTAATATTCACAATATACAAAGTGCTCTAACAAATCAATAAGAAAAGTTAACATATGAAGAGGAACATTGACGAAGGATAGGAACAGATGTTTCATAAAAGAATACATGCAAAAGGCTAATGGGCACGTTCAAGGTCATTATCAATCAAATAAAAATTAAATATCATTTTTTGCCTATCAGATTGAACAAGAATTAAAATGTAGTTGGAAACCAGTCATAGTAAGCATTTAGGAAAATGGGCATTTTCACACAGTCTTGGAGGGAAAGTAAAGTGAGCATCATTTCCGGAAGGTAGTTTGACATTATTGTATAAAAATGTAAAATGTTCATGCCTTTGAACCCAGCAATACAATTTGGGGAATTTATTCTAAGGAGATCATTTCAGAAGTGGGAAAAATGCATGCCTGAGAAAACTTTCTATTCCCACCAGTGAGTGACTAAGAAAAATGCAGTATGTG
The DNA here is from genome assembly GCF_000001405.40 of Homo sapiens. NCBI lineage: Eukaryota > Metazoa > Chordata > Mammalia > Primates > Hominidae > Homo > Homo sapiens. The sequence goes on along the minus strand of NC_000020.11, from coordinate 60,071,449 downwards.
CTTGAATAAGTGCTCTGCAGAAATTAAACACGATGGTGAAATATATTGATTGATTGGTAATATTACCTTTGACATTTTCATTAAGCAAAAAAGGCAGGTGCCAGCATATAATGTGATGTCAATTACATAAAATTATACACATGTATCTTTATTTGTATGTATATATGTCAAAGGATTTTTCACTCTAGCTCTTTCCTAAAACCATCGTAGCCCCCAAAGTTTGCATGGTTCATTCTATCTCATTGTCGAGAAGATTGTCTCAAAACAGACAACACCTGGAGCTCTTTTAGCACATGGTAGTCATTATCAGCATCTGAAAGTACCTGTGTGTTTCTTCGTTTTCTCAATGACTGCTGTGCAGCCTCTCCCATGAGAAGAGACACCATGGAGGTCAGGGCTGGCTGGTCCACCTGCAGAGCCTAGCACGGACCTGGCCCAAAGTCCCTGCTTGGTAAATACCTGCTGGATGAATGCACGGTGCTGTGAGACCAGTGTTTTTCACAGCACACTCTCTAGAAGAAATGCCAACCTGTGTTATGGACTAAGGTGTCCCACGGGCAAGTAGGTTTTGGAAACATGGCATTGGATCAAGCCAATCCAAGGGTTTATTTGGTGCAGAACTTTGCAGAGCCTTTAATACCCAAATGCACATTGTGACTGTCCAAGAGTTTCCCAGCTCTCTTGACTGCAGAAGTCCCTCTATCTTCAGCCCCTTGGAGCGTCTTGTGTCATGGGACAGTGTGGGATGGACTATGTTCAGAAGAATATTCAGCAATGCATTAAATTGGGGGCCGAGATTAGAGCTGATCTCCAATTTGTCATTGTACTGTCTGTGTTGTTTGAAGTGTTGACACTGAGTGAGCACATATCATTTCATAAATATATCAGTTTTTCAAGATAAAAGAATAAACATTAAAAATGCACTTATTGTCTGAATCTCAAAATCAAGTTTATTTTCCAAAACCATGAATTGCACTGAAGTTGTTTTGAAAGAAGAAAGGCTGGTTTGAACCAAATAGAAACACAGAAAGTAGCAGAACCAGGTCTTCTGTATTCAAATTCTACTTTCACCATATACTTAATGAGCATCTTTGGGGAAATCATGCAAGATCATAGTCTGTAAAACGAACCCCCTCGTAAGTTGTGAGGATTCAGACTAAAAATCTAATAAGCCCCAATAAATACTAGCTTTTTCTATATTAGCACTGATAAATCTAAATTAAGTTGTGCCATCTAAATATGTTTGCATTCCACTTATATCAGTCTGCTCAAGTCATGGTCTCCTATACCCGAACTCTCCAGAGCCTAGAGCTGCCTCCATTTGCTAAGAAGTCAACAGACAAAGGTTTCGGGTGGGTCCCATGTTTACTCCTGTTCACTGTCAGAAAGTTGTGTGCTGGACTCACCTTCAGCCTGTGGCTGTGCCCGTAGCCGTCTGCCTGCCAATAAGGGCTGTGCTGAAACAGGGCAACCATCAGAACCCTGATGGGTTCTTCCAGGGCTGGCCCCAGAAGAGCCTCTGCTGGGACGAATGCTGAGAAGCCAGTTCTCACAGCTGGGTGTTCCTTTTGTTTATGGAGTGGTTATTGCAGTAACATCTGGATTCCTTAACCAACACTACGGAAACGCAAAGATTATGTTTAGCTGCCTGGTGTATTTCAAGGGACGTAGCTTTTATTCTGCATGATCAGGAAGTAATTAGCAGCTTAAACTTGATGCCTTCACTCAGCGTTGATTCCACGCCTCTCTTTCAGCAAGGAAAGCACTGGAATTCATAATTAGTAAATTCCCAGTGTCTACCCCAAATCCTTAGGGTAGGTGCAAACAGAAGACCTTTCTGTCCTTCCTTTGAGTAATTTACAACTTGAGCTGCCTTTTTCATGGGGCCCCATTTCACTGGGAAAGGTGAAATGTAAAAACTAACCAGCAGCCTGATTATTCAGCAACCTTTACCAAAACCCAGTCATGGCTACTGTCCACCAAGCAGCGATGGGATATATCTGGGGGTGGGGAAGTGGGGAGAATCAACCAGGAAGAGAGATTGAGCTTCAAGCGTAGCGTGGAATGGAAGAATTCAGGCTTGAGATTGGATTAATCTGTCTGGATCCTATTTCCACTGCGTGACCTCCATTTCCATCTAGAATTTGTGCTCTCCTCATCTTCAAAGTGGGGGAAGTGACAGTACTGACCTTACCATGCTATTTGGGAGGTCAATAAGATAGCACACACAAGAGGCTTTGCACCAAGCTGGGCACAGAGTGTCACACTTACCTAGTGGCTTTACTTCTGAGGAACGTGGCACATGGCATTTCCACTGAACAGATAAGCACGGGCTCAGCAACTGGGCCGTTGGAGGGTTGGGAGGGAAGCCCTGCAGCCTTCTGGGAGAGTTCCCTGTGTCAGCTCTGGGTCTGAGCAGGCACTCCTCCACCTTGTGATTATTAACTGAATGTTTGCACACACATTTCTCTTCATATGTAATGGTCCATGGTTTTATACATTTAAAAAATATTTTTAAAAACAAAGCTCAGGGAGCTGAAGTGACTTGCCCAAGGTCACACAGAGAACTGGAAGGCAACGTGCATTTGGAACCCGTTTCTCGAAGTGTCACCACTTCTCATGGCAGCCCCAGGCACAGTCTCCTCCTGGGTTGGAATTCTCCATTCCCACACATCACTTTCTTTCTACATGTGCACACACAGGCACACAACACACACATGCACATGTACACGCAAACACACACGTGTGCACACACACACATGCATGCATACACAAATGCCAGCACACAGTAAGGGTTTAGTAATGGCAGCACCGATTTCATTGCTGACATAATGACCCAAGGACAGTCTTAACAGAACGATTGCCTCATCTGTGTGATGGGGACAAACCTGGGAAGCACCTTCAGGACTCCGTGGAGATTAAATGACAGAGGGCACTCACAACACTTAGAATAGGGCCTGGTACCTAACGCAGGCACAATTAATGGTTGTTATTATTATTGCTATTGTTAATATTAGACTTCTTTTGACTTATTTTCAAACCAAGACATGTCAAATTCTCTCCATCTCACTCTTTGGAATCTGCGTGTTTTCTCTGAGCAGAGAAGAAATCTTGCCAAGCAATGCTTTTGTTCCTGGTCTGTAGAAAACCCAGCCCTAAGCTGGGCTTTGCACCTCTTCAGCAAAGCCTTCTCTGCCTAAGTCGGGACCCCATGCCCCTCCTCATACAAAAGCTGCTACCAACCAGTGAGACCATCCCGAGGTAATACAGCTCCTGAGAACCGCCAGATCCCCAAAGTGGATTCTTCCAGCTTTCTCCAAATAGAAAGGTTTTTAACATGTTTTAAAACTGAAACTCGTTAGTTTTAAACCCCAAAGTGTGATTGTACACATTTATTTCCCTGGAATTATTTTTGAGATCGGAAAAAATACAGTTTTCCTTCTTGAGGAAAATCAAATGACATGTGCACTGACTTTCTCCAAGTAACACAACCTCAGCCCTATAATTAATATCACCACCTTCCACAGCCTCATAATTAAACATGAGATGCACAGGACTGGGAGGAAGTCACGGAAAGGCAGGAGGTAAATCACCAGGCTGGTCTCTGCCACCCATTTCTTGGGAGCCCATAGGAAGGAGGGAGTTGGCATGGGGAACAAGGGTGGCCCTGAAGCAGGCTGGAGGTCACCTGCGCCCACGCAATCATTGATTTCCCTTGGTGGCCCATTGTCCCAGGGCTGTCTGGAGCATGAGGCCAGCAGTGCCTACGAATGGCTGTGGAGTCTTTGCGCGCTGCTTGACATGTACACTGCCGGGCCGACCAAGACGCAGACGCTCCAGCCCATGGGCCAACCTAACCTGAAAGGAGATGGAGGGTTTGTCCTGAGTCTATGCCTGCTGTTCTCACTGAACATGAGTTTCGAGAAACACCTATGCAGGGATGATCTGAAGGAAACTGCAGAGTTTATTCCGTTGGTGTTCTCCCTGCTTGTCATCTCCTCCTGCCACGGACCTCGGGCTGTGTGGCTCTTCCCCCTCCCCCCCTCCTCCCAGAAATGCCCACCCAGCATCCCTCCTCCTGGCAGTGCCCACCCAGCGTCCCTCCTCCCAGTAGTACATACCCTCCTCCCAGCAGCACCCACTCAGCATCCCTCCTACCCTCTCCAGCTGTGCAGTTCTCCTCCCTCCCCACTCTTCCTAGTGTCTTTCCTGCCTCCTCTGTTCCCCACTCTCCTGCAGGTGGTGGGAGCCACAGGACTGGTCAGGCAAATGGGCCAAGAACAGAAGTGAGCCTGTGGCTGCCAGGCTGATAACAGCTAGTGTGTCTCCATTTTCTCCTCTTTGGCAAACCTCATAGGCCACATATTCCAGGTAAGGAGACCAGGAGGTGGAGAAGGTTCTTTAGGTGGAGTGGGGAGAGCAGAGGTCCATGCCCACCTGCTCTGGCTGAGTCATGTGATCAAGAAATAAACCTTTTTGGCTGGGCGCAGTGGCTCACACCTGTAATCCCAGCACTTTGGGAGACCGAGGTGGGGGGATCACCTGAGGTTAGGAGTTTGAGACCAGCCTGGCCAACATGGTGAAACGCCGTCTCTACCAAAAATACAAAAATTAGCAGGTCCTGGTGGCACACATCTGTAGTCCCAGCTACTCAGGAAGCTGAGGCAGAAGAATCACTGGAACCCAGAAGGCGGAGGTTGTAGTGAGCCCCGGGATTGCACCATTGCACTCCAGACTGGGCGACAAGAGCGAGACTCTGTCTCAAAAAAAAAAAACCTTTCCAAGATAAGCCACTGACGTTGTCTGGGTTATTCACTGCTGCTGCTTGTATTAATTACTCTACTGAAACCAGCACATTCTCTGTGCCGGGCACAGGTCCATGCAGCATTCAACAGCCTCGTGGAAGAGACAGGAAAAACAAATATATATTTAAAAGTGTGATTAAGTCCAAAGACATCAAGAAGATAATGTCACAGACAACAATAGGGTCAACCTACCTATGTATCTGGGCTAAAGAAGGCCTCTCTGAAGAGTGTGACATTTAAGACAGGATGATGAATTTCTGGGAACAAGCCAAGTGTGGGGAAGAAGGGCAGGTGTTGCAGGCTGTGGGAAAAGCTTGTGCAAAGGCCCTGTGGGAGAAGAGAATTTGAAATTCTTTGAAAAACAGAAAGCAAAAACCATGTGGCTATGATTTGATGCATGACAGGACCAAGTGAGGGGGAGGAAACAGGCAAGGACAGATCCCCAGGGCTCTTGCTCTAATTTTCACAGTGCAAAGGAGCCTCGGAGGATTTTAAGCAAGGGAAAGACATGGATGGTTGACTTGTTAAAGGATCGCCCTGTGTGGAGAACAGGCTGCATAGGGGCAAGATGAGAAGCAGGGAGATCAGAGAGGAGATGTGGCTGTCACCCCGGTGGGAGACAGAGGCAGCTCAGGGCAGTTTTAGGAGACAGGGAGAAGGCCACCAGCTTGAGAAACTGTCACGTGAATTCCTCGTGCGCCACTCAGTTCTTAGGACATGCTTCCTCGCCCCAGATGCAAGGTGTGCAGTTCCATCTACCCAGACCCTCAGTGCTGAGGGTCCTGGCCCCTGCCAGCAGCAGCTAGGGCTTCCAGCTGGTCCCCGAGGTCGAGCATGTGCATCCCATCATAGGATACTGATGTCAGGACCATAAGGACATCTGAAAGGTCCAAGGGGGGACATATGGAGAAGGAAGAAGGCCTCGCAAGTGTCTCCAGAGCTTAACACCCAGAAAGGGATGCAGGGTCACCAAATATGCCTTTTCGTAGACTGACCTCAGCGTAAGGACGCAGGCTGCAGCACTGACCTCCCGGCATGGAACTTTCTATCTGCCGTCCCTTTGTTCCCTGACTTGTTAGAACACTGGGGAATGGCCTCCCCAGTTTTCTGCATTTTCCCTTCTTTCAAACAGATTTTCTCTTTTTGGGAGGTATGCCTGGCTGCACTGGAAAGTTAGTCTCAAATATGATTCTGCCTCAGTACTACTTAGGAAAGCTTTTCAAAAATACAGACTCCAGGGCCCATTGCGGGACTATGGGATCAGAATCGTTCAGGAAGGGTTCCAGAAGGCTCTTCTTTCTAAAAGCCCCCTAGACAATTCTGAGGACCAGCTGCTTTAGACCGGGACCAAATGGAAATATAGATGCAGGGATGCTTTCCTACCATTCCCCAGAACTTGCTTTAGGGACTGCAGTGCCATCCCAACACACAACACCCAGAACTGGCTCAGACATCAGAGGCCAGGTACACTGTCCACAAGAATTTCCAGCTAGGAGCTCCAGGCTCCCCAGAACTGGCACTTCTGACCAACTGGCCAAAAATTTGGCATTTCCCACAACCCCCTCAGGTTTCATAATTTGCCAGAACGACTGGCAGAACTCAGGAAACTGCTGCAGTGATAAGATTACAGTGTTATTATCAAATGGTGGAAATACAGCCCAGCCCAGTGAAGAGATGCATAGGGCCAGGCCTGGAAGGTTCCATGGCATCACCCTGTGGATCAGGACATATCACCTGTAGGCACCTTGATGTGTTCACTAATTGGGAGCTCACCTGAGCCCATGTCCAGAATTTTTATTGGAGTTTCGTTACATAGGCATGATTGATTAACTCACTGGCCATGCAATTAAACTCAATCTCCAGCCCTCCTCCACTCACTGAAGGACTGACGTCATGTTGGTCAAAGCCCCAAGCCTCCAATTACCTGGCTGACCTTTCTGGTGTGGTCAGCTTCCATCCTGGTAATTTCATAAGCATAAACTCAGGTATGGTTGGAAAGGCCCACCATGAATAACATAGATTCTCCTATCACTCGGGAAGTTTCAAGGATTTAGAGGTTTCCTCCAAGAAACCAGGGCCATAGCCCAGCCAAATCCTTTATCATGGAACCGGGAGATTTGTAACTGGACTGACGCTGTCACGGAAGAAAGCCATTTTGGTCTGGCCTCCAGCAGAATCAGTTGACAATAGCCTTGAGACCTCCACCTCCTTGTTAGTGGCCTGAGACGCCTGGAGTAAAACAAAGACAGTAAGGGCTCTGGCCATTTATCATAGGGTGTGGGTTCTGTGGTGATGACAGTTGAATTGGAGGAGGATTTAGAGAACATTCTGGAAGAAGATCTGTGTGCATTTCAGGGAAATTTCCTCTTTAACTTGTGCTTCCTTCCAGAACATTCTGGAAAGAGGTCTGTGTGCATTTCAGGGAAATTTCCTCTTTAAGTTGTGCTTCCTTCCAGAATATTCTGGAAGGAGGTCTGTGTGCATTTCAGGGAAATTTCCTCTTGAAGTTGTGCTTCCTTCCAGAACATTCTGGAAGGAGGTCTGTGTGGATTTCAAGGAAATTTCCTCTTTAAGCTGTGCTTCCTCAGCACCAGAGTACCCGGGGAGCTCTCCCACTTCCTGCAGGGTGGGCTGGGTTCTGTGGGTTCGTGCCACTCCCAGATCACAGGCAGGCACAGCTTCAAAGGCAAAGGGGTGCAGGACCAGGCCACATCCTGGCACAGGAGACAATGTCTACACCACAGTCCGTGACACCAATGACCATCCATCCCATAGTGGGTTCTAGGCATCATGCTTCCATAGCAACTCCAGGCCCTCCACCCCAGCCTCATTTCTTGTGACTTTCAATGGGAAACTAGCAGGAGAGAGAATAAATTTTGGTTTTTCATTAAAGAGGACCACAATCAAGGGAATTAAATTGCACTTATTTAAGGCCGTTCTCTCCCAGTCCTGAGGGGAGAGGTAATTTCACAAATTAGCCCAAGAACCCAGAGACTGAGTTAGGTCTGCCGAAGCCAGAGTCCTATTCCCTTCACTGCAGAAGGCTTGGGCCTGCACATTTAAGATGTTTTCTGCCACCCCCAACTCAGAGGACACCCTCCCTCGGGCCTTTTCAAATCCCTCCAATTTTTCTCCAAGCAGCCAGCTCAGTCTTGGGCTCCAAGACCCACCCACGTTCAAAGCAGCAACTTTGGCCAGAAAAAAATGAAAGAAGGGAATTCTCTGTGTGAAATAATGGATTACAGATACAGCCACTCCCCCGTCACTGCCACCACTTTAAAATGAATTTCCAATTGAAAATAGCCATTGGACTATAGATAGCTTGGCGCAGAGATGGCCGGTCAGGCTGTACTCCCAGATGCCTGGGTCAGCAAATTCCAAAGCATCTACTCAGCAGTTCCACATTCTTCCAAGAAAGTTCAGTTCTCTCCCTCCTCTCAGCTCTGGGACCCAGGGGCTAGAGATGAGGGTGGCCACCCCCACCCTGTGTTGATGCCAGGCACCTCTCCCCATGAGGACTCCAGGCACCGAGTTAAGTAAATTAAATAAAACTATTTGAGCTTATTTATGGCTTGTGGGTTTTTCTGGTCAGCCTGACCTCCGTGAGCACCTTCAAAATAAGATTTCTATTAGGGAAGATGACTTCAGCGTTTTAAAATTTTTTCTTGCCCCCAGAGTCATGGTTTTAATTAACAGTATCACCGAGTGGCTCTCCCTGGCAGACAGTGGCGTTGCAGGCCTGTTGAGGCCCGGCGAGGAATGAGCCAAGCAGATTCTGTTTGCGTTAATCCTGCCAGTGCAGAAGCTGCATCCCAGGGTAGAGCGACTACAAAATGAGCTTTCAGGCCACGAGCATCTTCCAGCAGAATCTGGGGGTGTCAAGGCTGCCAGACACAGCAGGCATGCCCGCCTGACCCCACGTTGGACAGGCAGGGCTCATGGCTACCCCAGCTTGCTGCGGGGAAGGCTGCAGAGAATCCCAGCTGCAGCTGGTTCCTGAGAGGCCAGGCAGCACTTCGGCACTGCAGATTCATCGTCTTCTCAGGCACCCAGCGTGAGCGCCAGCCTTGAAAATAATCAGCTGTGGCTCTAATTCATTATAAGCTCCGAGCAGCCCGAGCCTGTGCCATGAGACGGGCCGAGCTCTGCATCCTGGCTTGGTGGAGCCCGTAGATATGACCAGCCTCCTGCTGCAGTGTGGCTGCAAGACGCCTTCCCCACGGCCCTGGGTAGTGTACCTGCTGCCTGACAGCGAGCAGCAAAGCCCTGAGACAGGATTGCCATCAAGCGTTCATGGTGCAGGGTTCTTTGGGGGCATTTATTCTGTCTCTTGTCAATGGCAAGGCGAGGCAGGGATTCATCATGTCAGACCCTGTTCTTCCTGATTTGATTCTGTGTTTGACCTTGCCCAATCATACAAAAATATCCCCCTCTACCAGCAGTTTAGGTCAAGGAAAGTACAGACACCCCTCATTATCCAAATATTGTCAATTCCTGGAAACACTTTGGAGAGCAAATTTCCAGACATCAGGGCTTCACCCCTTTATGTGAACTGGGAAAAAATAATAATACATTCCCAGGCCAACAAAAACAATCCCCAACCAATTTTCCAAATATCTCTTAAGACACTCTTAAACACCTATATAGCAATGTGCTAAGGATGCTTGCACAATGCAAACATTTAGGACTCCTGCTTTTTGATGAGTCTACATTGGATGAACTTCTGGATGGGGATGTTCACATGCAGTATTTAACATCACTGAATGGAGTCAGATTAGAATTATGTTTTCCTTCTACACTGTAAGGGACGTGCATAAAATGTTAACTGCACAAATGAGGTAACAGGTAAAAGACAGAAGCTAGGTTACATCCAGCTTGGGAGGGGCAACACTGGAGCTAGAAACGGCTAGACCCCAAGGAAAGGGAGGGTGGGGAGGAGAGTGACACTGAGGAGCTGCTCTGAACAACCTGGCAGGATCCCCACGGGCAGAGAGCCGAGATGCCCACTGCTGTGCGCCCACCCTCTAGTGGGCACCTCTACGCACTTTCTTATTCTGAGTGAACTTGGGTAAAATGTTAACACATTGTTAAGGCAGATCATTCAGATCAGGAAAAACTGGAGTAGGCGGAGTGATCAGTACTGGGTTTTCCCTCCCAAAAGGTAATTGGACAATGACTGTGTGTGACAGGGACAAATGCATTCGGGCGCTAGAGGTTCAGCCCTCCTCTTCCCCTACCCACTAAAGAAAATGTCATGTTTGCCGTATAGCATGCCTGCCTCATGCTAAAACGTGGAGCAGAAAACAAGGCCAGAGCCGTGAGGGCTGGCTCCAAGGAGCCTCTGGGAAAGAAAAGGGCTCTGGAAAAGCTCTGGAGTGAGACCATGGGAGGGGAGAAATACGGGGTGAAAGAATCGTAGGGAAAGTCATAGAGAGGTTTCTCCTTAAAGGGTTTGGATGAACTCAGGTCATTTTTCCAATTGCTTTGAGTGTCTGCTGCTTCTCTTAGTGGGATGCTAAGAGCAGGGCAGATGGGGCCCCAGAGACGTTGAGGTTATGCTGGGACGTTCAGTTCAGTCTGCTCAGATTTAATTTGGGCAGCAGCATTCACTTTTTAAGGGTGCTACAGGTGCCACCAGAAAGTCTAGTGTTCAAAAGTCTGCTACAAACACAAGGAGGCTGAGTGCCACCTTGTGCCCCTGTCGCAATACCTGGTTACCCGCCCACCCCAACACACCTGCGCTTCCCCAGGACGGCCTCATTCACAATCCCTTCCTCTCTGGTGGTGTTGCAAGCACTCCATCATGAACATGACTCAACTGAGTCTTCTTAGTGTTGAAGAGAAACTAAGCCCAGAGGGAACAGGCAGTTCCCCCAAGCTCCCTCAGGACATGGTGAGTCTGGGATCTGGACCCAGGCAGGCTGGCTGTGCAGCCAGGCCCTTCACTGCAGCTGCCCTTCAAAGAATGCCTGGCTGTGCAAAACAACCCTGAACCACCTCCTGTCACCACTCATGAGGCCTGTCCTGCCCCTGCATGGCTCACACTTGCCAGTCATTGTCAGGACTTACCTGCTAGAATCACACAACCTTGATTCTTGACCTGGTTCTGCTATGAGCCTCGCCCATAACACCCCTCAAATCTATAGACCTCCCCAAGCCCCAGATTCTTCCTTGTCAAACGGGGGTTGTTGTGAAAGACCCATGAGGCAGCACCTGTGTGGAGCGTGTGGTGGCCCAGGGCCCACCTGCGATCACCTGCAGCACAGGTCCCCAGCCTCTGCCTGTGGACCCTCGCTGGCCCCAGGAGCACATGGCCTATGCTGGGCAAACTAGAAGCACCAGGAGTTCATGGCCAGGAGCAGGAAGTGGCAGTCAACACCCAGTTTTCCAGTCCTCCAGAGGGCAATTCTGACACGTGACGCAACATAGTGGCTTAGACACCCCCACTGGAGAAATTGAACCCCAAGGTCCTCAGTGATGGCCTTGTCTGTGGTCACCCTAATCCCCGGCCTTGCTCCCTTCCAGGTTTCAGCCCCACTTCCTCACGGTGCTGCTGGATCACCGTCCATGTTAGCCGCTTGCACCCGAATCCTCAGCTCAGGGTCTGTTTTGGGGCGACCTTATATTAAGAGAGCAGAGTCTGGCACCTAGTAAATACTAAGCCCTCAGCAAAAGGTATGTGTGTGATATAGAGGGAGAAAAGATTCATACATACACATATGTATGCATATGTGTACCAATATGCACTTGTAAATGTGGAAATCTAGATGAATGTACATGTGTTTATCTGTATGTATATATGTGTGCATACAGATATGTGCATGTATGTGTATATCTGCTATTTTTCTATATCCACATATGTGTATGTATGCATATAGATGTGTTCATGCATGTATATATGTGTGTATATCTATATCATTGTGTCATGCATGTGTCGATGTCAGTGCATGTGTGTATATGTACATGAATGCACATGCATAAATGTGTATATATGTGTGTATATATGCATGCATGAGCATATTTAAATATAGATGTGTGTATATGTTTACATAGGTGTATGTGGGCATGTATGTGCATATATGTATAGGCATGTGCATATAGGTGTGTGTTTATACATAGACATGTGAGTATATATGTATATATCTATATGTGTATATATGTATTATACATATATGTAGATGTGGGCATAAGTATTTGTGAGTACATGCATGTGTACTGTATATGTACGCATCTATAAGGATGTACATTTATGTATCTGTAGGTCTATATGTGCATGTGCATGTGAGTGTATGTGTGTACATGTGTATACATAGGTATGTGTGTATATATGAATGTGTGTCTGTATGTGTATTCATCGTGTGTATATGTGTGTCCATGTGTGCATGTGTTCCTGTGTGTGCATATGTGTTCCTGTGTGTGCATATATGTACATACGTGTGTGTCCACAGCTGGGTTGTGAGAGTCACACAGCAGGAAACAGGTGTTCCCTGACTGCGTCCCCAGAACGTATTCTCCGAGGGCCTCTCAATGACTCTCTGCTGGCCTCACTTTCAGGCCCCCACGCTGGGTCTTATCCCACCTCTCCCTGCCCTCGGCTCCTTCTTTGCACAGGTTCCCATTCACCAGAGGCCCCCGGCTTCCTCCCCACACCAGGTTACCTTGGGAAGTGGGAAAGCCGGAAGAGGAGACCTCACAGCAGAGCCTACCAACAGCTGCTCAGTGGCAGGACCCAGGGCGGCTGCAAGGAAATGAAATCCCCTCTCACTTAACAGCCTAATAAGGATTTGAACCTGAGTCTGCCAGGAATTTCAGTTTAACTGCTTTCTCAGATGTGAAGAACATGTCTGGGCTTTCAAGCATGCCCCAGGGAGGAGCCGCGACAGGCTGAAGGGGAGGATGGCGCCTGTTGCTGAGGCTCCACCTGCCTGAGCTTCTCTGTGAGGCCCCGGAAAACAGCACAGGCCTGGCAGGGGAGCTAGATGTGCAGATGAGAGGGGGCAGCCGCCCCAGGAGACCAGCGCTTGTTGCGGGGAAATGATGTCAGCAAGACGCAGCGGCAGCAGCAGCAAGGAGTCACTTAAGGACATTTCCAGCTGCCCTGGGCAACCTGATCCTCCTGGGAGAGGGGCCCACAGACTCAGAAGGGCTGCAACGCTCAGAGCCCAATCCTCAGGGCTGCGCACTTAGCCAGACAGGCTGAGCTGCATGAAACTGCTTTGTCATTCACACTGGGCCATTCACACTCTCCCAAGTGGAGTCCTCACCCCTGATCTGCCGGTTGGTGGCCAGGCCCAGGGCCCCTCACTTCCTCCTTCCGCCTCATGTGTTCTGCTCAGCCACATTGGCCTCCTTCTAGTTCTTCAACAAGAGGCTCATCCCCCTCCCAGGGTTTGCTCTGGTGCTCCCTCTGCCTGGAGTGCCCTTCCCAGCTCCTCACAGGTGCGGCTTGTTCTGGGCAGTCAGGTGCTTCAGGCTTCCCTGCCCCCCTGCCACCAGCCTCCTATTTAATTTCATTCTTGCAGCTGGCCCTTTTCTACTTTGTCGTGTTTAACTCCCTACCATTTATTTTTCTCCTCTCTCCCTGGAAGGCGAGCTCCCTGGTCATCGTGGGCCTTCCGTGTGTTTCTCATGCTGCGTCCTCAGAGCCTAGAGGCATGGAGTAGCTGCTCACTGAATCCTCACAGAATGAATGAATGATTGACCACACCCATCACATTAGGCCTTATGGGATTATTATCAAGAACGCCCTATTTAATGATGGGGACATGCTGCCCCACTTCCATCCCTGGGCCTTGGTGCACAGGCCAGAAAGTCCGAGACAGACCATCTGTCCTCCCTACAGGGGACCAACTTGCACAAACAAATGGGCATCAGCACCCACTGGGAGCAGCCGTGACCCCTGGGTCCTCGGTACCAGCCACAAAGCCAGTTCTGAGTTTGTTCAGAATCCTGCTTAGAATGAAGGATGCTCCTACACCAGAGATCTCTTAATACGACCACCAAACACCACGGGATTTTCAAAGGTAGCTGCCACAGCCGCCGCACACAAGCTCTGTTCCTGGCTTGCTTCTGCCATCTGCTGGCCAGTTGATAAAAGGCACCGGGGGTTATTTTCCAGTCTCTCTGAGGCTCTTGTTTTGTGGGAGGAACTCATCACCACCTTTATCTTCACAAGGGCTGCTTGGCAGACCTGTCCCATAAGTAGTGCAACTTGGGAAGATCCTAGGCCTCTTGTGGGTAGGGCAGTCATCCAGTCCTGCATCTTATGACTTCACACGTTACAAACGTTAACTTGCTAAACACTCAATGTGAAACCTAGGAGTAAGGGACAATTATCTTTACTATCTACAAACAAGGATGTTCAGGCACAGAGAGGCTCAGTACATTGTGCAAAGTCACACAGCTACAGAGTTGTGAAGCCGAGATTGGAACTCAAGCAATAAGGCACTTTGATGGCAGGCACCTTAATGGGGGGTGGGGGAACACCCTTTACCAACAACCATGCAAATGGCCCAGGTGCTCCTGTGACCCCTGATCCCAGGGGCTCCACCAGAGCACCAGAGAGAGAGGGATGTGGGAAGAGCAGAGGACAGAAGAGGACACGTGCATCTAACCACTCGGAGGACAGGAGAAGGCACCCTAACCTTCTGAGCTGCCATCTTCCAATCAGGAGGAGGGGAGCACTGGATACATAATCTCAAGGCTTTCCCTACAGTTCTCTCAACAGGACAGACAGGCAGGGGTGCACAGTGGTTAGAGCACAGGCTTTTTGGTCAGACAGAACTGGGTTAAAGATCAGACACGTCCACTCACTCTCAATGAGTCCATATCTGTAAGCCTAAGCTTCCGTCCTCACACATGTTGATAAAAGAAAAAGAAAAAAAAAGGCCAAGTGCAAAGCTTTTAGCATTGTTTCTGGTTCAGGGTATGGACTTAATACTGTTTTCTATCATTATAACCACACTAAAGGCTCTGAGAAGTCCTGCAGGAAGGAAAACTACTTGTCTTTATCTCAGCCATCCCCAAGCTAGCTGCCCACAGAGCCACCATGGAGCCCACAGCTCTGTCACCCCACAGGGCCCATGTGCCTGGCCCATTCATGTTCCCTCACACGGGAGCCTCAGGCCCCAGTGGAAACAGACTCAGGAGACAAACCCAGGCCTCCTGCTCCCAGCTCCCCACTCTGTCCTTCTGCTTCTACATCCAACTACCCCCAAAGCAGTTTCTACAATCCATAAACAAAAGAATTCAGAGACAATTCTCCAGGGCTCCCAAGACGACATATTTCATCTGTGGCTTCTACAGTGCTTATTTGTCAGTTTTACAGACCAGAGGCAATTAAGAGTCTAAGGCCGAGAAGGCTGTTTTTAATAATTCTGTCATTATTCTCAATTTTCAGCACCACCACACATGAAAAACCCATTTCCAATTCCCTTAAAGGTGTTAAATGGTTTTTGCACTGTGTTGCAAAAGTTTGCCGTCCGCCAAACTGCTACAAAGTGGGCTTGTAGCGTCCGGTCCTGAGCTGTGGGAACGACTTGGTCGGGGCTGATCCGCTGGAGCCCAGCTCTTTCCCCAAGCGTTCAATTCCCAGCACATGCCGCGTGGGTCACTGTGGATTTCAGGGTGGACTCACCGCGCTGCTGGGTGTTGCAGTCCACGCGATTTCACAAGACTCCATGCAGGACACCTCCACCCGGCCCAGGCTCAGGCAGGATATGAACAGGAAACCACTGTTTCCTGCCGATCAACACCCAGGAACTGATGAAGTAACCCAGTGCCCAGCCCCTCTGACAGCCACAGAGCCAAGAAGAGGGAAGTGAGGTGGCATCCAAGGCAGCCCCTGAAAGAACTAAGCAAGGCAAGTTCAAGGGGTTCAGGGCTCTGCAGCAGCTGATGGGGAGCAGGGAGGAGCATTCCGTTTTCAGGGCATTGAAAGTCCTTGAAAGGAGAAAATTTTATAAGGAATGACAAGGCCTGGATGCAGAAGGTGGGAGACCCCTGCCCTTGATAACCGTCATAGTTACCAATGACAACTATGATAAAGAGATGACTTTCTGTGGCTCCCACTTGCTGCCCTCTGTGGTTCCAGGCACATCACAGAGAACTCTTCATTTTCATGAGGCCCCATAAGGACATCCCTATTACTATGATCCTTATCAATATCCTGATGTTACAAATGAGGGAACCAGGACACAGAGACGCTGAGGAACTTGTCTGAAGTTACATGGTGGAGACATAGCCTGGGACGCAGCAGTGAGAGGGACAGACGAGCCCTGCCCCTGTGCACCAAGCCATCTGCTGGGGACGCAGAAATCAAACAGCTCGTGGCTGCCCTTGTGCCCAGCGCTGTGGGCATGAGCGAGCTGCTTTGAAGAGACAGCGTGGTGACCTGCCCTGCTGGCCCAGGCAGCATCACACGGCAAGAAGGCGGGCTTTGAAGGGTTTTAAACAGAGTCGTGTTCCCACGTCTGCAGTGAGAGGGCTGCAAGCCTTTGTGTTTTTCACACGGTGTTACACAGCGTTGGGGTCCACGGACCTGCCTCGGAAGCTGCTCATGGGCAAATGGACGACCACGGGTGGGGAAGGAAATTTCCCCCAAACACACACATGCTTCACCCAGAGCAGCCAAGCTGTTTGTGTGTTTGTGTGTATTCACGTGTGTATGTGTGTGTGTGTGTCTTATGCCTAATGGTTCATTGAGTTTAAGGATCTCTCAGCTCCCTTGCAGCACAAATGTTTCATAATTTGGTGGTTAGCGCGCAGTGACCAGGCAATACAGGTTCATCAAAATGCACCAATGAGACAGAGACAGGAGAGGATGTTTTGGCAGCAGACAGACATCCAGGAGGCCTAGCACACCCCCATCCCCCGGCCCCAACCTCAGAGAGATAATCAGGGGAGCAAAGGGCATTAGTATGAAACGACCAAAGAGACTTAGCGAGCAACGTCAGACTCCCTGCAACACGCGTGCTGATGGGACAGAGGGGGAGTTATTTTTATACTTCAGAAATAACCAAGCATTCTGCATGCCCAAAGCCAGTTTGGGTTTTAAATACCTTTCATAATTTTTCTGACTATGGAGGTAATACATCCTCAGGGCATAAAATTTAGAAATTATAGAAGAGTATTTTTAAAAATCCAACCATTGAGCAATAACCATTATAAAAATCTTACTGTTTTCCTTTCTTGTCATTTATCTAGGCTCATACAGATATTTGGGGCTTTTTTCACAAAACTAGGAAAATGTTAAAATATATATTCTAATATTGTCTCGATTTTATTATTAGATTTATCATAACCATAAAAGATTTGAACACTTTTAACGACAGCGTATTATTCCATTTCCATGGAATTACTGTAATGAATCTCCTACTGTTGGGTTTCAGTTGCTTCCAAATTTGAATGTAAATAATTTGGGGGCAGTTCTCACTCCATCAATGGCAGACTAGGTTGAATACAGCCGAGGTTTTGCAGGCACACACTATGCCCAAATTAAAGCCACAGCCCAGGATGTTGGCCATGGAGAGATGATGCTTTCAACTGTATCAACTCTTGAAGCTGGTGAACCATGGCTTCTCCCCTTCAGGCGCTGGCAGACCTTCTCCTCACACTCTTGGCTCTTTGCTGGGCTGACAACTCCCTACTTGCCCTGCAGGCCTTCCCTGAGCTCTGGGGTCTTCTTTCTGCCCCCTTCCATAGCTCCCCGTGGCTGCCACATCTCAGCACTGACATCCTACGTGGCTCTTTGTCCACACCTAGCTCCCTAGACCATGCACCCCTTGTGAGCTAGGTCTTTGTCTTCCACATGGAAGTTCTCACTAAACACTTGAATAAAGGAATGAATAAACAAATGAATGAACAAACAATCTAACAAAGAAGGAGCACATGGGCTGACCTTGCAGGGCTCTCACGCCAAATCCTGGAGGCGCCTTCTGCAGCCGTTTCTGTCTCCCAGCCAGTCCACCTGTTGCTCGGGCTGCTACTCAGAAGTGGCGCGTACAGGAAGCACGTGCTTGTTTGTGCTGGCCCCATGTTTGTTTGCATTTAGGATCACGGAGTTTACTCAATTAATAAATAGAGTGGAGAGGGGGTACTGCCTCTGTTTGGCAGACAAAACAAACAGAGGAGAGGGGAAGATGTCCAGGGCAGATTTCTCCCGCTTTCAATCTTAAATAAATAACCAGTTTCCCGATGCTAATTTTTCCTCTTTATGATCTTGTCTATCTGTGCACAGACGATGAGGTCTGATCCCTTGTGGTCCCAAATGCCACGTGGCAGTGAGCTTCCAGGCCACGTCCCTATTGCGCCAGAAGAGCCCATGTGTGTCTTTGTGAGCATGTTCATAGTTAACCTTGTTGATCATTACATGAACGTGTTTAATCCTTACCACAAGCCTGGGAGATAGGAACTCTTACTGTCCAAATTGCACAGATGGGCAAGCCGAGACACAGAGAGGTAATGTAACTTGCTCAAGACCACACAGCCAGCAATGGCAGAGCCTGGATTTTAATCCTGACAATCTAACTTCAAAACCTATACCTGTGATCACCAGCTAGTCCTCAATAGCCAATGTGCTGATTTCTAAAGAAATTCCAGCACATTCCCGCCATATATAAGCAGCCTGTTATTCCCAGGGAATATAAATGCCTTGGGTTTAATTTAATGAAAGCTGTTATTGGAAAAGATACACCAAGATAATTAATTTCTTAAACAATGGAAATGAGGCTGCGGTTGTGTACAATTTTGTTTTTAACTGGAGGTCTCCCACCTCTGGAAGAGGGTATGCTAGAAAGCTGAGAATCCCAGGAAGAGAACTGGTAGGTGAGTCTGGAGGCTGCATGAGCCTCAGGGTCATGGAAGGTGTGCCAGTGTGTGGGTGCCAGACCCAGAAGAGGGTGCCAAGATCACCTGGAGCAGAGCATCCAGGGAGCTGGGCAAAGCTCTCAGAGATCTTTCCCTGCTTTGAAATGAGACAACCAATCCAGGGTATAAGTCCATGCTGGAGCCATGGCAAAGAAGAACTAGGACCCAGCCTGCCAGCCCCTTTTTGAGGCTGGGACTTCTTGTTACCTCTACAGGATAGTATGATAGAAGGCCCCCTGGCACAGGGCCAACTGGCATATAGTGGGTAACTTCTGCATGTTCGGAGGTTAGTCTTAGCCTTCTTACCCTTTATGATAGCACCCTGATCCCCCCGCCCCAACTTCCTATTGTGTGAATCCTGCTGGGTGGGACTCTCCAAACAAGGATCTCACCCTGCCCAGAGGGGAGGCACGTAACCTGAGCAGATCCACTGGACCCTCTTGCTCAAGGTCCCCACCTTTGAGGAGAAGACCCCCAAAAGAGTAGAAAAGGTGCCTATGTCTTCTGGCCACAGCCCTGAGGCCTCCCGGACACCAGAGTGCCTAGGCTCTGGTTCTTTCTAGGTCCATTTCTCCAGCTTCTGCCCTACATTTGTGCATTCCCCCAAGCCCTTCCAGCAAACTCCCTCTCTGCTTCCCTGTTATTCTGGCTGTTGCCGACACTCAGGGCCCCTGGCAAAGCAGCTGCCCCACAGCTGGTTGTGGAGAGAACAAGCAGCATCTGAGAGTGGGAATGTGTGTCCTCTGCAGCACCCCGTGCCCTGGTCAAGAACTCTGCTTTTGTTTTACTGCCAGGAGAGCTTGGGACCATCTCTGCACCCCACTGAGCCTCTGTGTCCCCCATAAAATGAAAACCATAACAGTTCCACAGGGCAGGAATGTGGATAGAACAAGGTAATGAAGGTGAAGTGCCAAGCTCAGAACTTGGCACATGGCATCTAGTACAGAACAATGATGGTCTATCTCCAGAGCCTGGGCTGGAATCCCCCTTCTTGAACATCCTCTCTCTGCAACCTCTTTTTGGCTCTGTTTCTTCAACTCTGAAATGGACGTAACAGAGCCCAACTTGAGGAGTGAGAAGTATGGGAAGTCAAATACATGAACACCCCTGATGCCTGAGACACAGACCTTGGTGATTTTTTGAGGTATACCAGTAGAGACATGATGAGAAGTGCTTTATTTTTTCTAACTGCCCTTCTATTTCTCTGGTTACATAAAAAGTCTCAGGTCAGCACTCACCTCTATTAAAGACCCCATCATAATAAAGAGGGTGCAGGGCTCAGCTGGGTCCTCACAGGCAATACTACCAACCAGCATTTAGTTGTATGTTTTATGTCATATTTTGTATGGTTTCTTTCCATTCTTAGAAAGCCTTACTAGTTTTCTACTTGGAAGAGAGTTGGAAATCTTACTTTTTTATTTTTTAATTTATTTAATTTTTAATTTTTGGGGGTACATAGTAGGTATATATATTT
The DNA here is from genome assembly GCF_000001405.40 of Homo sapiens. Lineage (NCBI taxonomy): Eukaryota > Metazoa > Chordata > Mammalia > Primates > Hominidae > Homo > Homo sapiens. The sequence continues at coordinate 60,051,304 of NC_000020.11, read as the reverse complement.
ATAGGGTTCATGAAATGTTTTGATCCAGGTGTGCAATGCATAGTAATTACATCATGGAGAATGGGGATATTCATCCCCTAAGCATTTATCCTTTGTGTTGCAAACAATCCAATTATACTTGATTAGTTATTTTTAAATGTACAATTAAGTTATTATTAACTATAGTCACCCTGTTGTGCTATCAAATAGTAGGTCTTATTCATTCTTTCTAATTTTTTGTACCCCACTTTAAAAATACATTTAAATAAAAAATTGAGTTGATTTAAAGAAAAAACTGAAGTAAATAACAGTATCAGCGTTAGAAGAACACGGCCAAGACCTTGAAGGTGGCACATGCTAGACGGTAGGGAGGCTGGAGATAGTGGATGTAACGCAACAGGAACATGGCAGGTGTGCTGTCAATCCAAGCTGTCATCATTATCATCATTAGCCCCAGTTAGCAGGACTGGTGTGAGCAAAGGGGCCAGCCTGCACTCACCTCCTTCCGAAAGCCGCTACCCTTTGGAAGCATAATCGGCTCTGAGGGCAATAGGGATAATTACACAGGGGATCCATGCCACTGTGCCTGGTGATTAATCACCAGCTCTCCCTGACGCTTCCAAGCAACCCCGGCTGATGGGCATAATCAAACCCTGCAACATGGGTCCTCCCACCAGCCACAAAACGTGCCGCTTGTGGCTCAGACAGATGTTCCTTGGGTTTCAGACCATGGGAAAATAAATGGGCTAATTCATCGCCGCTCCTCTGAAAAACACAGTCCAACCCTGCAATATCCACCAACTCCCTGCTGGCAGAAGTCACCCACTGCACTAGTGAACCCAAGAGACAAATGGCATCCTTTGCCTATGACTGCTTAGTGGACTCCTGGGGTGCCAGACCCAGACATGGCCATCAGGCGGAGTTCATTCTCAACCCCACCTCCAGGTGGCACTTTTCACCTGAGACGCTCAGCCCCAGCCAGGTAAGCCCTGCTGTCCTTAGCTATGTGAGCCACAGGTAGGAACTAGAGACAATGTTCATAATACACCTGGGCAGGGGGTAAACACAGGCGGGCTCTTGTGATGGTTTGCTTGCATAAAAATGAAAATGAACCAGGCAGAAGCCTGCAATATGAAGTGTGGCTCTGACTGGAGCTGAACAATATTTGACCCCCTCATCCAAAATGTCAACATCACCGCATCTTTCTCCTAATAGAGCTGTGTGCCTATGAGCCTTGAAAGATCTGCATTATAATCTGTAAATGTCTAGGAGTCAGTATGACAATTATCTGAGGACTCCACGGATATGATGAATGGACAGAAAGACAAGGACAAAATTGGGATCCAGGCTAGGAACTAGGAGAGACAAGGACCCTAGGGGAGAGAGGAGCAAGAGGGTGAAGGAAGGGAGTGGGAGGGCAGAGAAAGGAAGGAAGAAAAACAAGAAAGAAGGAAAAGAGATGAATCATATATTAGTCAGGACCTCTTGATGGGAAGTCACAACAACCTAAAATAAACTGGATTAAAAAGAAGTAGAAGAATATTGACTCATGGAACTAAGATATCCAGCAAATGAAAAGACTTCAGGCAAAACCGGATGCAGGTGTCGAAACAATAGTATCGGCACCCATTGTCCCTCCATCTCTCCACGCTGCTGTCCTCTGCACCTCAGGAAGGCAGGTATGGAGCAAGGCACATGCTAGACGGTAGGGAGGCTGGAGATAGTGGTTGTAAGGCAACAGGAACATGGCAGGTGTGCTGTCAATCCAAGCTGTCATCATTATTATCATTAGCCCCAGTTAGCAGGCCTGATGTGAGCAAACCGGCCGCCTGCGCTCAACTTCGGATTTTCACCACCTTACAGACCAGAGAAAACCCTGCATTTATATCGAGTCCCCCTCCCCGAAAGACTCTCATTGGCTTTCCCAGGTCATGTGCCCACTGCTGGACCAATCACTGAAACCAGGAACAAAGGAGTATTCTGATTGGTCAGTTTGGAACATGTGATTAACAGTCTCAATAGCAACATGGACAGAAGAGAAGTTCCCAGCATGAGGGGTGTTAGGCAGATAGAAAAGGCAGAAAGGGAAGAGAAGGAAAATGAAATTTCCTGGACACCTGCTCTCTGTCAAGCACAATTGAAATAGTTGTTTTTTTCCAATTTAATCCTCATCATAACCCTGCCAGATACGCATTTGTATCCCCATTTTACTAGTGAGAAAATTGAAGCAATGTCAAACTTAGCCGCCTCCAGCTGTGCAGACATATCAGACACTGGGATATGACAGTTGGGGATGGATTCATGCAGCCCCACCTCCACCACACTACCCAGGACTGATGTGTTCATGAGCCCACCTGGGCTGCTGGCCCATGAAACTTCAGCTCCTACCTTGGCTGATCAGTCAGGCAGCAGCCCTGGCTCCAGTGCAGCTCCTGGAATCGTCAAAGACCTTTGTTACTTTGTTACTAAGCAATCATTGGCGCACTTACTCACCCATCATGTAAAAATACTTTCGGAGTCCCTACCATATACCAGCTGCTGTAATAGGGATCAGGAACACACAAATGAATAAGATACAACCCAGCCCTCAAGGAAAGACAGGCAATCAGGAAAATCAAAAACAAACATTTGTAAAATATTCTGAAGAGGCAAATGCAGGAAGATCTTGATTATGAGGAACACTCCAAAAATGTATCTACTTTGGGGCTCAAACTTTCTAGATAGCTAAGGCCTTAGGTTTTTTGGGTTTTTTGTTTGTTTTCTTTTTGTTGTTGTTGTTGTCATTGTTGTAGTTTTTTTAGATGGAGTCCCGCTGTGTCGCCCAGCCTGGAGTGCAGTGGCATGATCTCGTCTCACTGCAACCTCTGCCTCCCTGGTTCAGGCGATTCTCCTGTCTCAGCCTCCCAAGTAGCTGGGACTACAGGCACTCACCACCATAGCCAGCTAAGTTTTGTATTTTTACTAGAGACGGGGTTTCACCGTACTGGTCAGGCTGGTCTCGAACTCCTGACCTCAGATGATCTACCTGCCTCGGCCTCCCAAAGTGCTGGGATTACAGGCGTGAGCCACCGCGTCTTAGGTCTTTAAGAATAAAACTGGCTACAGTGAGCTATAATTGCACCACTGCATTCCAGCCTGGATGACAGAGCAAGACCTTGTATCTAAAATAAAAATAAACACAAAATAGTGAGGGCCCTTCTAGGGTAGAGATATTTCTTAACTGTAGCACATACTTTTCCTGACTACCTGAGTGGCATTTGCTGCACCCAGTGGAACCTTCCTTGATGACTTAGGGTCTTCATGGTCAACATGAGTGATGTAATGAATTGAGTGGCCTCACAGTGGACCTGGCTGCCCAGGGGCAAGTACTGGAAGCACTGGGGGAGAGACTGCATCCCCATGTGGGTGAGATCTTGTAGGTAGATGGAAAAGAATGCGGGATTCTGCAGAGATTCTCAACAGGGGATGATTCTGTCCCCCAGCGGATATTTGGCAAAGTCTGGAGACACTTGTGGTTATCAAAACTAGGAAAGGAGAGGTTGCTGCTGGAGTCCAGTGGGTAGAGGCCGGAGATGCTGCTGAACATCTTACAATGCACATGATGGCCCCCCACAATGAAGAATTATCCAGCCACAAATGTCAATGGTACTGAGCATGAAAAATTTCAGGCTAGATGGAAATTAGTTTGTTGACAGTTTGAAGAAATAATCCAAGTAGATGATTTAGCTTAGTGTATGGCAAATAAGGAGCTGTTAAAATGTATTGAAATATTCGCTGCTATTATCTTCATCACCACCGTCATAACCGTCACCATCATCATTATTATTATCATAATTTTTTTTCTTATAAAGCCACTTCCAACCTCCTGTATTACACTCGGGCAATGGTAACAAGGATTGCTGGGTTAGACCTGCATCGTCAGAGCACACACATTGTTGTTCCGTCACTGACTCCTAAGATGACTTTCAATACATTACCCTGATCCTCCTAAGGACTCAAGATACTCACCTATAAAATGGGCAAACTGCTGTCCTCTTCATATGATGAAGACAGAGCTCAGTGCGTGTTAAGTTTCCTGCTGTGAATTACTTTGAATGTCACGATGAAAAGCCAGGTTATACATCCAGGAAAGTGGATTCCCATATTCCTCCATGGCTGTCAGTTTCACTGCTGGAAACACCACAGCCGTGACCATGACTAACCTTCAGCTGCATTCTTCTCTTGCAATCCTCCAGCCCTTCAGCATCCAGGCAAAATAACTGGCCCCCGCCCACCCCCTGCAACACACATAATCTCCGTGGACTATCTGGCCCCCTCCCGAATATTTCCGAAGATTCTAAGAAGTGGGAGAAGGAGGCCCTGGGCTTTCCAATGGTCACCTTGCCTGTCTTCTTGCTTTGCTCAACGTCACTAATGTCTTATTTCTATTGTGGCTGCTCCATTCTGTCCCAAATGTGGCAGCGCCTCTGTTTCTTTTCCCAATATACCACCTGGTACAGTTTACACCAGGTGAACCTTACCTACCAAGTTAGTGGATATAAAATCTCATGATGAATTGGAGTAGGAGGGCTGTAGAGAGCATGACGAAGGCAGATCAGAGCAGAGCAGAAAGCAGCTTCACACCAGATGCCAGAAGATGCCTGATGATGCCGGCTCAGCCCCTCAGCCACAGCCCATTGTGGGAGCCCCAAGCTGCTCTCTCCTCCAGTGCCAGCCCACCCTGCCACCCACTCTCACACAGGGCCCATTCTTCCTTGGGGCCCCATGCCCTGCCTCAAATCTATCTTCAGGGCCTACTCCAAAGAATTGTGTTTAGGAGCTACTTCTCAGAAGACTGAGAAGTGTAAACTAGAATTGAGGAATATTTCTGTCTCAAAGAGTGAAAAACATTTCACACTGGAACACGGAGGACTCACATTTACTTTATTGTGTAAAACAATGTGGCTTTCTTTGCCAATATTTCCCCATTCCAGGCAACACTAGATACTTTACCTCTCATGACAAATAGGCCTAACAAACGTTTTCCTAGCAGAATGGCTATTTTGTTAGGCAATAAATTTTCCTTCCACTTCCTCATGCAACCAGCATGTGTTATGTCTAGTTTTTAAAAGAGGAACTTCTCCTTGTCCTGGTGCACTCTCTTTCAGAGCTACATCACTGTGGCATCTACTTTCCACTGGGAGCAGTTCTGATCCCCTCGGGCCAGCCTTCCTCCTGGGAGACTTCCCAAGAAGCTGTTAATCCCCTTGATCTTAGCCACAAATCCATCATCTACTGGACCGTTCTTCTTGGAAGGCATTCAAAATGTGATACGTTTTAAAATCACTTTTCCTTTGGTGTCCAGTAACTTGCAGGTCTCATAGAGCTTATTCAAAAGCCAGTAGAGGATGTTTGTTTTCCTTCTCTTTTGCTATTCAATATGGCTTTAAAGCCTTTCCCCAAAGTAGAGGTAAAACTCATATGTGTATTATACTTTCGACTCAAACTCTATTCTGCCGTAAAACACCAGAATTTATTCATCCTATTTAACTGTAACTTTGTACCCATGGCCAATCTGTCTGCATGATCCTCTTCCTCCTACCCTCCCCTGCCTCTGGTAAACACTATTCTATGCTCTGCTTCTATGAAGGCAGCTTTTTTAGAATCCACAAATGAGTGAGATTATGCCTTATTTGTCTTTCCGTCCCTGGCTTATTTCACTTAACAAATGTCCTTCAGGTTCACCCATATTGCCACAAATGATAGGATTTCATTCTTTTTATGGCTGAATAGTATTCTATGGTGTGTGTGTTTGTATGTGTGTGTGTGTGCATGTGTGTGTGTTTCTTTGTCCATTTATCCATTGCCAGACAGTAAGGTTGACCATATCTTGGCTATTGTGAATAGTGCTGCAATGGACATAGGAGTTTGAATCTCTCTTAGATATACAGATTTCATTTATTTTAAATAAATATTCAGTGGTGGAATTTCTGAATCATTTGATAATTCTATTTTTAATTATTGAGAAACCTCTATAGTGTCTCCATAATGGTTGTACTAATTTACATTCTCACCAACAGTGTCTAAGTGTTCCCTTTCTTCACATCCATGCCAGCATTTGAAACTTTTTGTCTTTTTAATAATATAGTCATTCTAATTTGGGTGAGGTGATATCTCATTGTAGTTTTTATTTGCATTTATCTTATGATTAGTGAAACTGAGCATTTTTTCATGTACCGATTGGCCATTTGTATGTCTTCTTTTGGGAAATGTCTACTCAGATCTTTGCCCATTTATTAATCTATTACAGTCATCCCTCAGGATTTCAGGACCCCCCTCAGATGCCAAAATCCTCCAATGTTCAAGTCCCACAAATACTACATTTTCAATCCACATTTGGTTGAATCCACAGATGTGAGACCCTCAGAAAGGGAGGGCCGGCTGTATTTGCTTTTTGCTGTTAAGTTGTTTGAGTTCCTTATGTATTGTAGATATTAACTCCTTGTCAGTCTCATAGTTTGCAAATATTTCCTCCCACTCTGTAGGTGGTCTCTTTACTCTGTTGATTATTTCCTTATCCTCTCAGATCTAGAACAAGACAAAGATGCCTACTTTCACCACTTTTATTTAACATAGCACTGGAAGTCCTAGCCAGAGCAATTAGGCCACAGGAAAAAAAAGGGGGGCCTCCAATTTGAAACGAGCAAGTCAAATAGTCCCTGTTTGCAGAGGACATAATTGTGTATATAGAAAGCCCTGATGACTCCATCAAAAAAAAAAAAACTGTTAAAACTAATAAATTCAGTAAATTTGCAGGATACAAAATCAACCTATAAAAATTAGTAGTATTTCTACACACAATAGTGAACATCTGAAAGAGAAATCAAGAATGCAATCTCACTTATAATAGCTACAAAAATAAAATAATCTGCTTAGGAATACATTTAACCAAGGAGGTGGAAGACTTCTACAATGAAAACTATAAAACATCAGTGAAAGTAATTGAGGAAGACACACATAAATGGAAAAATATCCCATGTTCATGATTTGGAATAAATAATATTGTTAAAATATTCATACTCCCCAAAGCGATCTACAGATTGAATGCAATTCCTATCACAACACCAGTAACAGTCTTCACAGAAATTTTTACAAATCCTAAAATTCATATGGAACAACAAAAGAAGTTAAATAGCCAAAGCAATCTTTAGCAAAAAGAACAAAGCTAGAGGCATCAAACTATCTGGCTTCAAGATATAATACAAAGCTATAGTAAGCAAAACAGCATGGTATTGACCTAAAAATAGGTCAATAGAACAGGATAGAAAACATGGAAATAAATCCACACACTTACAACCAACTGATTTTCCACAAAGACACCCAGAAAACACATTGGGGAAAGGACAGTTTCTTCAATAAATGGTGCTGGGGAAACTGGATATCCACATGCAGAAAAATTAAACTAGACCCCTATCTCTCACCATACAAAAAAATCAACTCAAAATGGATTAAAGACTTAAATGACTTAAATGTAAGACCTGAAACTATAAAACTACTGGAAGAAAACATAGCCATAGGGGAAATGCTCCATGTCATTGTTCTGGGCAAAGAATTTTGGACAAGAACTCAAAAGTCTAAGAAACAAAAGTGAAAATAGACAAATTGGATTACATCAAACTAAAAAGTTTCTACACAACAAAGGAAATCTATTTTCATTTTCTTACATCAATCAAAGTTCGCCCCATTCCTGCTATGGGGTTGATGGGAGGTGCCAGGCCCTTTGGCTCTCTAATGCTCGCCTGCCTGGAAATGCTACTCTTCCCCTCCGGGAAAAGACTCAGGGAAAGCTTGCCTATGGCATGATCATAGCTCCCCCTTGACAAATGTAAACCAGTGGTTCCTCATCTTTAGCATGCATCAGAAATTACCAGAAGGGCTTGTTACAATACTGATTGCTGGACCACACTCCCAGGATTTCTGATTCAGTGGGACCTGATAAATTTTTATTTCTAACAATTTCCAGATGATGCTGATGCTGCCGGTCCAGGGACCACAGACAATAAGTTATGTCAATAGTTCCAAACTACCTCAGTGGTGTTTAGACTTTTGAATATACAAGCATCATCAAGGAGTTATTAATGATGAAGATTCTAGATCATCAAGAGAAATAAAATGTAAGCCACATATGTAATTGTAAGGTTTCTAATAGCCACGTTTTTAAAAATCAAAAGGAAACCATGAAACCAATTTTTAAGATATACTTTATCCCAATACATTCAAACTTTTACCATTTCAACATATAGTCAATATCAAAGTGATTAATAAAATATTTTCCTTATTTTATTTATACCAAATTTTCCAAATCAAGTGTGTATTTTGCTCAATGCAGTTTCAGATGACCCATAACAACTGGGGGCTCATAGCTCCTGTCCCAGACAGTGCCGTTCTAGGGCCTTCCCTTGGGAAACTCTAGAAGCTGCTCTTCTAGAAAGCCCTTCCTGCCTCCCTCCCACCCCTGAACTTCCCTCTAGCACCAAAAAATTCATACCAACTTTCCCTAATTCAGTGCTTCTCAACCCTAGCTGCACTCTGGAATCTCTTGAGGGACTTTAAACATCCTGAGGCTTGGGCTTCACCCATCTGTGTTCTGATGTCAGTGGTCTCTGGCGCAGCCCAGCAATGGGATAGTTTTAAATCTCTCCAGGTAATCCTAATGTGCAGCTCTAGTCATCGCATGGAAGCTCCCTGACCCAGCGGGACTGTTAGCTCCTGAAGACAGTGTTCCTCACCTCCTGGGACCATGCAAGACGTTCTCAATCCCAGGCCTCATCCAGAACTGCTGAGTTCAATCTGACATTTTTATAAGATTGCCAGGTGATTTCTCTGCATATTGAAGTTCGAGAAGCACTACCTTAAGGGGAGCAATTAAGAAATTAATTGGGCAAATGTTTCGCATTGTCTGTGAGAGAGCTAAATAAATCTTCTCTACCCTCCAGGCTGGGGGCCAGGCCTAGTGAAACTCCTCAGTAGAAAGATGGAGGTTGTGCAAAGGGTTCTTGGAGGGCATGTGGCTCTGAATCCAGTCCAGCCATTACACTTGCTGTTCTATGTTTGGAAAACCACTTGCCCTCTCTGAGCCTCAATTTATACAGCCATAAAATGAGGGAAATGGGCATAATAAAAATGATAAAAGTCTAGTTTACAGATGTGGGGAAAAGAAAGAGAGATCAGACTGTTACTGTGTCTATGTAGAAGCAGACATAACAGACTCCATTTTGTTCTGTACTAAGAAAAATTCTTCTGCCTTGAGATGCTGTTAATCTGTAACCTTACCCCCAACCCTGTGCTTGCAGAAACATGTGCTGTGACTCAAGGTTTAGGATTTAGGGCTATGCAGGATGTGCTTTGTTAAGCCGATGCTTGAAGGCAGTATGCTTGTTAAAAGTCATCACCACTCCCTAATCTCAAGTACTCAGGGACACAAAACACTGCGGAAGGCTGCAGGGACCTCTGCCTAGGAAAGCCAGGTATTGTCCAAGGTTTCTCCCCATGTGATAGTCTGAAATATGGCCTCGTGGGAAGGGAAAGACCTGACCATCCCCCAGCCCGACACCTGTGAAGGGTCTGTGCTGAGGAGGATTAGTAAAAGAGGAAGGAAGGCCTCTTTGCAGTTGAGATAAGAGGAAGGCATCTGTCTCCTGCTCGTCCCTGGGCAATGGAATGTCTTGGTATAAAACCCGATGGTATGTTCCATCTACTGAGATAGGAGAAAACTGCCTTAAGGCTGGAGGTGAGACATGCTGGCGGCAATACAGCTCTTTAATGCACCAGATATGTTTATGTATGTGCACATCAAAGCACAGCACATTTTCTAACCTTGTTTATGACACAGAGACATTTGTTCGCATGTTTTCCTGCTGACCCTCTCCCCACTATTACCCTATTGTCCTGCCACATCCCCCTCTCCGAGATGGTAGAGATAATGATCAATAAATACTGAGGGAACTCAGAGACTGGTGCCGGCGCAGGTCCTCCGTATGCTGAGCGCTGATCTCCTGGGCCCACTTTTCTTTTTCTATACTTTGTCTCTTTTTCTCTTTCTTTTCTCAGTCTCTCATCTCACCCAACGAGAAACACCCACAGGTGTGAGGGGCAGGCCACCCCTTCATCAGAACCATTTTTCTTGGTTAATAATTTTCAAAAATCAAATTGGTTTCTACCATTTTAAAAAGGGAATTTGACATAATATCCCCAAATTCTAGTTTATCCTAAAAAATTCAAAGATCTGGCAGCTCCAGGTCCATATTTATTCTGGCAGACAGTTAGGTAAAGCAATTCACTCTCCAGGTGCTCACAACCTCACCCAGCCCCGCCGCTCGTTACAGTACTCACCTAGCGCAGGAGAAGGTTGAGTTTGACAACTTGTACTGCAGCAACAATATCTAAGCTGGAACTGTGCTTCCCAGAATTCTTTCTGCTTTATGTTTCCAGGCCAAGGTTGGCCACAAAAGAAACCTGTAGTGAACTGGAAGGCAGAAGTGAAGGCACATCCAGTAGGCTCAGAAGGGCTGGGCGATGTTGAAGCACCTGCTCGGTGTTGCTGATTATGGGCCAGGCCTGCAGCTCTTCCAGCTCCAGTGAGTCCTGGGCCAGGTGCGCGAGCAGAGCAGCCTCCTGGCAGCTTCCTTCTGCAGGTCACCTGTGACAGATCTGGGTTCTTCTTGTCCCTTGTGCATTCCAGGTTTTCCTTATTCTCCCCTACTTCCTGTCTCTCAGACTCTCAGCCCTGCTGATCTATGGTGAGTTCAGGCCAACCACCAGGTTTGGAGACAACAGCCTTCCATAGACTTCTTCACCATCTTCCATACTTGCATAATGTATAACCCTAGAAGAAATCTCTAGCTCCAAATCACTCACAGGGATTGATCAGGGAAGCAAAACCTTTTATCAACACTGCCCTGGACTTCACACATCTCCAAAGCAGCGATTAAATTTTGTAGTCACAGGTCAATGTGAAAATCACATGAGAACTCTGGGATCCCTCACAGACAATGCAAAACATTTTGCCCAATGGATTCAATAGACCAGTGGGTCTCAAACCTTAATGTACACATGTATCACCTGGGGATCGTGGTCTCTTTTTGAATTGCAGATTCTGGTGCAGCAGGCCTGGGGTGGGGGCTCAGATTCTGCATTTGTAACAGGTTCCCGGAGAATGCTGGTGCTGCTGGTCCAGTGACCACACGTTGAGTAGCAAGGTGTTCAAAGGTTCATGAACCCCTCATAGAAGACCTCCCCTAAGGTCTCTCCTAATTATAATGTGCAATTGTTTGCCCGGCAGTTTGGTTGAATAGATTGCCCAAACTGAGAGGCAAGTCTGGGGTGGCCTGAGCAATGTCTGCTAAACCTCATAATAAATTTCCCCATGGATCCCCACAATGAAGCTGCAATGAGACAGAAAGCCCCTCACACCATGGGCTTTGCAGCTGTTACAGAACAGCTCAGCCAACTTTGGTCAGCACAGCCTTACTTCTGGAAAGGGGATTCTTGCCTGCCCTGAGCAGGGAGTGAGTTCAGACAAAGACCTTGGCGATGGGGTACTCTCCCCCCCACCCACCTGCCGCCTGTGGTGAAGTAAGGCCTTCACCTTCTTCACTTTCTCATTGAGTTATACAACCCAGAGCCTACCAGATTGCGGGTTTCTGTGGACTCTGTCATCCCTATTTACCTTTTTCTCTAGCTCCTGGTCCTTCCTGATACACATAGTAGATGCTCAATAAATGTATGCTGACTGAATGAATGAATATGCAATTTTCACTATAGTCCATCTGAAATTAGGCTCCCTTGGCCATCCAGACCTTCTAGGGCTTCCCACATGCCTCCCACTGTTTATTTGTGAGCATTCAAAGTCCAGAGGCTCTTGTCACCATTGCCCTCAACACAAGAGAGTTAGAAAGGTAAGACAAGGCTCAAGGTCACAGGCATGGCTTTTAGAGGCAAAGAAGAAAGGTTAAGAGCAGAGGTTCTCAAATTTCAGCAGGAACTCCAGTCACCTGTGAAGACTGTTAAAAATGTAGATTCCAGCCAGGTGCAGTGGCTCACACCTGTAATCCCAGCACTTTGGGAAGCTGAGGCGGGTGGATCACTTGAGGTCAAGAGTTCGAGACCAGCCTGGCCAACATGGTGAAACCCCGTCTCTACTAAAAAAGTACAAAAATTAGCCAGGTGTGGTGGCGGGCACCTGTAATCCCAGCTACTCAGGAGGACAAGGCAGGAGAATTGCTTGAACCCGGGAGGTGGAGGTTGCAGTGAGCTGATTACACCACTGCACTCCAGCCTGGGCAAGAGAGCGAGAATCCATCTCAAAAAAAAAAAAACAAAAAAAACAAAAAACAAACAAACAAAAAACCAGAAAAACAGATTCCCAAGGCCTCAGCCCAGACCTGCTGAATGAGCCTCTGGAGGTGGGACCCCAGCATCTGCATTTTAACACACTCCCCAGAGACTTTGGTGCCTGGTAGGTTAGGTTCCACCCCTCATGACCTACTTCTGTCCTGCAACCACCCTTTGTTAGCATAAAACATCAAGGGGTGTGTTCGTTCACCCTTTAGTGCAACATACATTGATGAAGGTTTCACCTCTCACCAGCACTGTGTTGAGTATGGAGGCTACAGAAGAAGATAAGACACATCACTGGCCCCCAGTGAGCTCGCCTACAGCCTAGAGGAGGGGCAGACAAGCCAGGAGGCAGTGTGTTTTCCAGTGGTTCTGTGAGGCACTGCAGGGATCAGAGGAGAAATCTGGCCCAGTGACCATCCCTGCTGGCACCTGAAGGCTGAGAAGGAAAGAGCCAGGAAAACCTCAGTATGATTGGGACACAAAATTCCAGGCAGAGTGTGGAAGAGATAGGCTTGAGGGTGTCAAGTGCAGAATCTGGCCTTCCGTCCTGGGGGCAATGATGACAGGAATGCAACATGTGAAATCCACACTTCACAGTTAAACTCTCATGCGATGGGCGTGGAGTGCCCACAGAGTATGAATAAGAGGTGAGGAGGAAATACCCCTCCTGGAAACACCATCCACTCTTGAGAACCTAGGTGACTGTCTCCCATCTGAAAAGAGTCTGCAATAAAATAGTCTTTACAATTATTCAGAGTTTTCCCTGATCCTGCCAACCTCCGTACTTGATTTAAAATCTTTCCATCTGGAATTATTAGTCCAGAGCAGTTTATCAAAGAAAAGATGGATGGTGCAAGCCGACTGCTGCTAGCGTTCAGAAAAACGTGTTCTCTCTCTGCCATTCAGCGAAAGTTCTTTAATCACTGTTGATTGGAGGTTACCAACCTTGAATTGTTAGTTAATGGCATCTCTGCAAAGGAATGATTTATTGGGTGAGTAAACTTCGCAAACAAACACAGATCCTCCATTGCTGGCTATTTCATCGGAAGCTGAAATGTACATTATTTCAACTGTCTTTCTAGTGGAATCAAAATCCGAAGCAGAGGCAAATATTTAGCCTTGATCTCAGATTTCTCTGCCATCGAGATATTAAGAATACAGAAAGTCAAGGCACAGAAGAATCCCCAGATGTTCTGTTTCCAGTGTTCGCCTATGCTCTCAGGCTCCCTTGCAGCTGGCACCCCACCTGGGAGCAGCCTCCCTTTTGAGGATCACCATCGGGAGAGGAGCCTGTGGTTCAATGGCTGTACCTCTGTCACCTTTCACCAGGACCCTATCCTGAAACACCAGCCAGGGCCAGCACAACTCACTGCTGGAGGATCCCTGCTCTGCCACCTCTCCTTGGTCCATTTGTTCTCAAGCAAATGACATTGGAACCAAGAAAGGAATGTGCTCTGTTTGTCAATTGTCAGGCAGGGGACACATCTTCCCTTTCTTCCCTCAAAGAGGGACTGGTTCAGCCTCAAACCCTCTGAAGGGCAAGATCAGGGGAAGCAGGAATGCTGGAGCTTCCTCAGCCCTCTCCCCAGCCGTGTGAGTCACGGGTGCACCAGGCTCCCTCCTGCTGTCCCTCCACTGGGACACTGCCCCCTCCAGTTCGCTGTTCATACTCACAGGCAGCTCGGGCATTTGTGGGGCTTCCCCAACCCCCAGACTACGTCAGACCCCTGGAGATACACTCTCCTGATTCACAAACCTTTTGTGTGGCACTGAATGTAGTTATGATTGCATTTTTTTCTGTGTAGTTATTAGATTAATTTCCATCTCACCTCTTGGGAGGCTCATTGTTTTTGCTCCCTTCAGCATCCCTGGTGCCCAGTGTTGGAGCTGTGGTTGGTAACTAAGAATGACCAGTGGTTAGAATCACTTGAGAGAGCAAGAAAGCCCCTGGAGGTGGCAGGTGGAGAGCAACGTTTCCACTTCATTACCCAGAGGAGGCAGCTGACTCGGGCGTGTAGCTCATGGGCTGGCCAGCCCTTGCTGCTCCCTATGCCACCTGCAGCCAAGTCCCTGGGCAGCTCAGCATCCTCAGCTCTTTGTTAACAACTCTGGAGGAGGTAAGCAGAGCACCAGCAGCCAGGGGGAGATACAGCAAAATCTCTGCCATGATGGCAAGAGGACCAGAGCCCACACGTGACCTCGGGAGGTAGACAAGTCTCCCTGTGCGAGGACCATCGGGGCAGCCAGGAGGGCTGGTGGAGTTTCTGTAGATAGGGGTGGGGACAGGACTCCAGGATGAGGGCACAGAGTAAGCAAAAGCCTGGAGGGAGGCCCAAGATGGTCTCTGGGGTAAAGATCTGTAGCTGGGGTTTTGGGCTTCAGGCAGAAAAGGCAGGCTCATGGTTCGGAGGCCATTGAATGGAAATTCCCAGGCACTAGGGAACCACTGATGGGTTCTGATCCAGGGAATGTGTGGCGGGGGATCTTCTGGGGATGTTTGTACCCAACAGATGAGAGACACTGAAGCAGGGAGATTTGTCCAGAGGCTGGGGGAAGGGTGGCAATGGGGACAAGACAGAGTTTGGGGAGGTGATGCATGTCCAGGATGACTTCGCAGCTTAAAGGCTAAGCAGGTAGGAAACAGAGGTGACAGTGACCAGGATGAGAGATGGGCCATCAACCCACCACACATGAAACACGCAGCCAGGTCAGATTGCTGTGTTCCAGGGTCAAGTCTGGTTTGGTGCAGGAAGGTGCAGAAGTTTCTTGTCACCTCCTTTTCTCACCATTCAGAAATCAGTGTCCTCTTAAAGCCATAAAGAAGAGTGATACATTTGACTTCATCTTTTTTTTTTTTTTTTTTTTTTTTTTTTAGTTTTTGCATGGAAAAAGATATCAAAAACCAAAGGACAAACTGAAAAAAAGGTAACATAGATAACAAACAGAGCTAATATCCTCATATACTGTATTAGCCTGTTTTCACACTGCTTTCAAGAACTTCCCTGAGACTGGGTAATTTATAAACAAAAGAGGTTTAATTGATTCACAGTCTGTAGGGCTGGGGAGGCCTCGGGAAACTTACAATCATGGCGAAAGGGGAAGCAAACATGCTCTTCTTCACAAGGTGGCAGGAGAGAGAGAAGAGAAAGTAAAGTGGGGAAGAGCCCCAAATAAAACCACCAGGTCTCGTGAGAACTCACTCATTATCATAAGAACAGCATGGGGGAACCGCCCCCCGTGATCCAATCACCTCCCTCCCTCAACATGTGGGATCACAATTCGAGATGAGATTTGAATGAGGGCACACAGCCAAACCATACCACATACAAAGCATTCCTACAAATAAATAAAAAGGACCACCAACCTATCAGAAAAAAAAAAATGGGTAAATGACAAAAACAGGCAGTTCACAGGAAAATAAGTGGCTCATAAACATAATTTCATATGTTCCAGCTTCATTTATAATGAAAGTTATGGAGGTTAAGACTAAAATTACAGACCCTTTTTAAGTTATTTTACTTAGGCTGGTAAATATTTAAAAACTGATAATACACACTGCTGGTGGGAATGTTGGAAAACAATTTGTCAATAGGTATTAACATTGTAAACGTATGTTCCCATTCCTCTAGGAATTTCACTGCTAGGACTGTATCCTAACAATATGTTCATGCATGCATAGAAAAAGTGTGAATTAGAATGTTCTCAGCAGGACTGTTTGTTGTAGCAAAAAGCCAGAAATAGCCTGAATATTCTCAGCAGAAAACTGCTTAAGTTATAACACAGTCGTACAAACAATGACATAAAAACTCTAAAAAGTGCAATAACTATACCTATGTTGACAGGGCAGGATCTCTTAGGTGGATTGTTAGGTGAATAAATTAAAGTGTGGTTCAGTTTACACATTGGTATTAAAAATTTTAAATGATATGCATTTCTATTTAGAAGATACTATGAACCATAATCACCTCTGTGAAGGAGAACCAAAGAGCTCAGATCTGGGATGGGAAGGAGTCCAGCTCTGAGCTGTTGGAGCTTTGGTCCTGTCCTTGTCAGGCCTTCTGAGCCACTGGCCTTCCCCACCTGTGCCGGAGCCTCCACCATCAGGTTAAAGCCCACTGCTGTTGTTTGTGGTGTTCAGTCGCCAACCCATCCATCTCTCAGACTGGCTCTTTCAGAAAGTAAAACAGACAGGGCCTTGGCTCCAGTCTCCGACAATGTCAGGAAAACTTGCTGAAAGTGGCCTTTCATTTGAGCCTGAACACTAAAGGAGAACTGGCAGAAACACCCACCTGAAGGCAGCTGGGGGCTGGCTGACCTTTGTAGCTGGTGGGGGCCCTGGCGCCCACACTGCTGTCGGCTCTCCCCGGGCTGCCTCTGGAAAGCAGTCTCCTAAGTGCAATCTCTAGGCCCCTGACCAAGGTATTTTTAGCCACCCTCCCTGGTAGCCACGGCTCCGAGGCTATGAGCAGAGACTTCAAGGGCAGGGCCAGGGAACATTCCTGAACTCTGGGTCTCTGCTCTGGGCCTGGCTTGTTCCCAAGGCTAATTTAGAACTTTCCTGGCTACTCTTGTGACCTTTTGCCTCATGACCCTTCCCCCAGAGCACAAAGCTCTGGCCCCACAGTTCCTGACACAGCACTGTCTTTTCATGGTGAGCAGTGGCAGAGGGACATTGCCTTCCCTTCGAACAATGTGGCTTTATGGACAAATGGAGCTGGTGACACTCTGTCTTGAAGAGCAGCACTTCTAAGCTGGAATGCAGGGAGACACTCTCTGTCCCAGGGTTCCTGAAGCTTCAGCTCCCTGGGCTTCCCACCTTTGCTATATTGACAGTTCCTGGTTTTCCCTGTGCTGCCGGCTGCACTGATTCACCCTCTTCACCTATATATTCACTTTAGTTGCATCCTAAAACATAGGATATATGATATCATGGGTTGAACATGCTAGTTGCTTTTTTAATGCATTAAAGGAAGTTCTATGAGAATTTATAGAAGGGAAAAAAGAGAAAAAGTAATTCTTACATGCATATTGGATAAGCAGTGACCAGGCCAGTGGTGAGAAACATGGTGAACTGCCATCCACAGTTTGCAGAGGAAAAGTTATTTATGACCAGGGCTTTGCACATTATTTCTTCTTCATGATCACACACACACACACACACACACACACACACATCTTGTCTACCTGGATAATTGCCATCTCCTCCAGGAAGCCATTTCCAAGGCCCTCACCGCCAACAGCAGGCCCATGCCCCTCCACCGTACTCTCTGCTCAGCCTGAGACAGCCCTGCAATTGTGACCACCTGCCGATTCTCCTCTGTAGTCTCCTGGGAAACATGCCTTTTTGTTAAGGGGTGATGGGGAATGCGCACTCTGGACTCGAACCCCACCTTGTTCATTTCTCAGCTGCATAACCTTAAACAAGTGGCTCCTTTGCTTTCTCCCAGCCTTGTTCTCCTCATCTGCAAAATGGGGTGAAAACAGAAAGTGAGAATTAAATAACGTAGGCAAAATGGTAACACAGGCTTAGCATTCACTAAGCATTTGATAAGTATTTGCCACGTGCATGTATGCATGAAGGAAGGCAGCCTGTGTACACGAAGGAGGTTAAACAATAACCCACAGCTTCAGATCCACCAAAAATCTTATTACAAAGACAAGTTCCCGGGGCAGTGATGGTGGTAAGAGTAATAGCAATGACTTCTCAAAAAACCTGTAAGAGGGGTGTTACTATTTTCCCCATTTTACCGACAAAGCAATAAGGACTCAAAGTGTTGAATACACTTAATCAAGCTCACACAAGGTGAATAATAGAGCTGGTGTTAAGCCCTGGCTTCCTCCCAAACCAAAGCCAATGCTCTAAATGCCCACATCATGCGTCTTTCATACACTGTTTTTTGATCCTCTATGAGACACCAGGATTGGAAATGTGATTCTTTTTTTTTTATTATTATACTTTAAGTTTTAGGGTACATGTGCACATTGTGCAGGTTAGTTACATATGTATACATGTGCCATGCTGGTGCGCTGCACCCACTAACTCGTCATCTAGCATTAGGTACATCTCCCAATGCTATCCCTCCCCCCTCCCCCCACCCCACCACAGTCCCCAGAGTGTGATATTCCCCTTCCTGTGTCCATGTGTTCTCATTGTTCAATTCCCACCTATGAGTGAGAACATGCGGTGTTTGGTTTTTTGTTCTTGCGATAGTTTACTGAGAATGATGATTTCCAATTTCATCCATGTCCCTACAAAGGACATGAACTCACCCTTTTTTATGGCTGAATAGTATTCCATGGTGTATATGTGCCACATTTTCTTAATCCAGTCTATCATTGTTGGATATTTGGGTTGGTTCCAAGTCTTTGCTATTGTGAATAATGCCGCAATAAACATACGTGTGCATGTGTCTTTATAGCAGCATGATTTATGTTAGGCCCACATTCAAGTTCTTCGTAATTCCATCATCTAAATGAGTTTTGAGTTTCATTTCTGACTAACAACAGTAGAAATCCGCCTTACATTGCTAGAGGAACCACATGCATTCAGTATCTATGTGTTCATTCTCACCTCCTCGTCTCCCTGGCAAATAGATCATGGTCACAGGACTAGTTCTGGCCAATAGAATTTAATAGCCACTGTGCTTTCTTCATCTTTTCCCCTGCCACAGCCAACCTACAGGCCCAAATTGTGCACTTACTGGACTTTGCCTGATGATAAATAAACCTTCATTGGGTTAAAAGCCTTGGTGGTTTTACCTGTTTCAGCTGCCAGCATTAATTTCTCCGACTGATACACAGATGAATTTCAGGGTGAATTTCTCACTCAACTTCCCCCACACATTGCAAAGCTTGGGCTTTATGCCACCATTTTAATAATGATAGTTATTGAATTATAATACTGTGAGATTATGATTTTTCTTTACTATTCTTAGGCTGTTTGGCTTTTGAGAAACAACTTGGTGTCATTTCATATTAATAACTGACTTAAAGAAAGAGGCAGGCCTTCCATGCAGTGTCACCTGTGTCATGAAAGCTAATAGAAGCAGACAGCTGCCTGTTGGGGTCTTGATTTACAAATCGCATGACAGATGAAGTCCATAGGCTTCCAAAGTGGGAGGATGAAAACTTTAAAAAACAAAACCAGAAACTGGGAAAGTGAAGACAGTGGCCGCCACCCAGCTCCATGATAAACTCCCAAGAGGCTGTGAGCCAGCGTGGGAAGAACACAGCCCTCTCACCTTTGGCCCCCCAACTCTCTCCCAGCCTCTCTGTAAAGAACTTTGCACATCACACAAAGCCAATCAGCAAAATACAACAAAATACATCAACTGCTCTGGGAATTACAAGCAGAATTCTGTGAAGATCATACTCCTTTCATCTGAAGAAACTGAGGATGTTTTTACAAATAATTAATTCAATTGATTTAATTCTCAAGGATTAACTTGAACGCCTGAATTCATAACTGAATCTTTTTTAAAAGGAGAAATCTAGTACATGCAAAAATATAGAGACTCAAACCTTCCTTGTGGTCATAAACAACTTTCTTGAAAGAGGGTGTTCGAGCCAAAGCCCCGTGTTTCCGTTTACCAGTCTGCGTTAGTCTCCGTGGCATCATCTCCTTGTAAATGTCTTGTGGCAATCCTCGCCCAGCTGTGGCTCTTCCCTGGGGGATGATGCAGCCCCTGCTGAGGCTGAAGCGATTTCTCTCTTTAGACTACACAAAGCAGGTAAGAGGTGCTCATTAGAAGGTTCTCCTGGAAAGCTGGACTTCCAGTTCATCCCCACTGCTACATTCCCGCCAGCACCATGACAGTTTACAAATGCCATGGCAACATCAGGAAGTTATCCTACATGGCCTAAAAAGGGGAAGCATGAATAACCCACCCCTTGTTTAGCATATCATCAAGAAATAACCATAAAAATGTGCAACCAGCAGCCCTCGAGGCTGCTTTGTCTATGGAGTAGCCATTCTTTTATTCCTTTACCTTCTTAATAAACTTGCTTTCACTTTGAAAAACAAAAACTTTTGAAGGAAATGTTTTCACTCCGGGCTGGTTTCCAAAAACTTGAATCAAGCACAAAAGTGAATTCACTGGTGCAGGTAATTGTCCAAGGGGAGTCATGGCTTCTTAACTAGGTGCAGGACTTAAGCAATGTCATTAGAACCCACTCCACTCCCTCTCAGCTCACTTCCATGCTTCCCACATCTGGTGGCCCCCAACCACTCTGCCTCTTCCCCTCATGTTCTCAAGGTTGCTGCAACTGCCCCTGCACTTACAGCCTCTCAGCTTCAAAGTCCATCCAAAGAGTTGGAAAGACCCTGGGCCCCACTCTCACTGGCTCAGTTTGGGTAAAATGCACATCTCTGAACTAATAGTGGTGGCCAACGGGGTGGGCTACATTAGCTAGTTAAAATCTTCCAGGATCTGCCTCTGGAACTTACAGAAACAGAGGATGAAGAGATGGGGAACTACCCAAAGGAAGTCCAGATGTTTTCCTAGAAGAAGGTGAAGGGATACTGAAAAAAACAAAAACAAAACAAAACAAAAAAAAGCAAACAAAAAAAAACCCAGATACTTAAAACACCAACAGACCAAAGTTTCTCTGCTGTGATTGACTTCAAATCACCCTGATGTCCTGGAATGCTGAGGCTCTGGAGAACTCAGGTGGAAAACCCTCCAGTCAAAATGAATCCTCAATTTTTCAAATAGACACAGGCCCAGACTGGGGAAGTCACCCAGCAAAAAGGTAGCAGAGCTCCACAAAACTTGATTCTGGTGATGGTATACTATCATATCAGATTGTAGATATTCAATATATGTCTTTTTTTATATTAACATATCAGTTATACCTCAATAAAACCAGGGGTTGTGGGGGAAGGTGGCAGAAGGGATCCCCAGTTCACTTTCTTTCTCCCTTCCTTGTTTTTCAACCTCAGTGAAGACTGAATCTCTTGTCTCTCAGTGACCATGTGTTCCTTTGCTTTTATATATTATTTATTTATTTATTCATTTATTCATTTATTTATTTTTGGTGGTAAGGACACTTGACATGAGACCTACCCTCTTAAGAAATGTTTAAATGTGCACATATACACCGTGGAATACTATGCAGCCGTAAAAAAGAATGAGTTCATGTCCTTTGCGGGGATGTGGATGAAGCTGGAAGCCATCATTCTCAGCAAACTAATGCAGGAACAGAAAACCAAACACCACATGTTCTCACTCATAACTGGGAGTCGAGCAATGAGAACACATGGACGCAGGGAGGGGAACATCACACACTGGGGCCTGTTGCGGGGTGGGAGGCAAGGGGAAGGAGGGCATTAGGACAAATACCTAATGCATGCAGGGCTTAAAACCTAGATGACGGGTTGATAGGTACAGCAAACCACCATGGCATATGTATACCTATGTAACAAACCTGCACCTTCTGCACATGTATCCTAGCACTTAAAGTAAAATGTTGAAGTGCATTGTTGACTATAGATGCTACGTTGTTGACTATAGGTGCTATGTTGTTGACTATAGGTGCTACGTTGTTGACTATAGGTGCTACGTTGTTGACTATAGATGCTACGTTGTTGACTATAGGTGCTACGTTGTTGACTATAGGTGCTATGTTGTTGACTATAGATGCTACGTTGTTGACTATAGGTGCTACGTTGTTGACTATAGGTGCCACGTTGTGCAGCAGACCTCTAGGACTGATTCCTCTCATGTAACTGTAACTTTATACCCGTTGACAAACAGATCCCCATCTCCCCCACCCCATCTCCTGGAAACTACCATTCTATCTTCTGCATTTTCATCTGACTCTTTTTGATCACTCACATCGGTGAAACCTTCCAATCCTCATCCCTCTGTGTCCCCCTTATTTCACTTAATAGAATGTCTTCCAGACCTATCCATGTTGTTGCAAATAGTAGGATTTCCTCTTTTTGGAAGGCTGAATAGCATCCCCTTGTGTGTCTATATCGCGTCTCTTTACTTGTTCATTTATCTGTGGACATTGAGGTTTTTTCCACACCATGGGGACCGTGAATAACGCTGCAGCGAACGTGAGAGTGCAGATACCTGTTTGAGATCCGGATTTCTATTCTTTGAATATATCCTCAGAAATGGGATTGCTGAATCCTACTGTAGTTCCATTTTTAATTCTTTAAGGAATATCCATATTATTTGTCACAGCAGCAGTACCATTTTACATTCCAATCAGCAGTGTACCAGGGTTCAGATGTCTCCACAACCTCACTTGCCATGTCAGCCTAAGACACGCTATCCTCACAGGCCAGGCTGCAGCCTCCTGATCAGCCCTGCCTCCCAGCTGTTGCCCATGCTGTGTCCCTCTGAATGTCTCCTGCCTATGAACTCCCTGCTCAGCGTTTTGAATCATCTCCTTCTGCAAGCTTTTCTCTCCCTCCACTGCCCCCTCTGCATCACAGGGACTGGCACGTAAATGCTTTTTTATTTGGATTGCCTCTCGCTAAATCAATAAACATAGAGTGCCTACTACATGTCAGGCCCTGGGGATTCAGCCACAACCAGTTCCTTCCCTCAAGGAGCCTGCAGTCCCAGTGGGGAAGACAGGCTTTTAAAAACGTGGCAGATCAAAAGAACCCAATCTCAAAGGATTACATACTGTATAATCCCATTTATATCACATTACATAAGTGAAAACATTTTAAAAATGTTTAAAGCTGATGGTCACCAGTGGTTGCAAGAGTGAGTGGGAAGAGGAGAACAGGTGTGGTTATACTGGAGCAGCCTGGAGGTCCTGGGGGTGCTGCCCTGCTCAGCACCTTGTTCAGCATCAGTCAGTGGTGATGATTACACAGACCTACCCAGGTGGCAAAACAGTGCAGAACTTAATGCATACACAGAAGAGCACAGGTGAAACCAAGAAGCATGAGTAAGGTAGGTGGAGCATTTCAATATCAGTGTCCTGGTTGTGATACTGTCCAGTTGTCTGGTCAGATGTTACCCTGAGAGAAAACCGAGTGAAGGGTATGAGACCTCTTTGTATTATCTGTTACAAATGCATGTGAATCTATCATTATTCCAACCAAAATTTCAATTTTAAAAGGTAGCAGGTCACCCACATAGAATATAAACTTAAATTATTTAAAATTAAATAAAATCAAAAATTCAGGTCTTCCAGCTTGGTAGACACATTTCCAGTACTCAGGGACCACCCATGGTGGCTGCTGTGCTGGGCAGCACCGACCATTTTCATCACTGCAGATCCTGCTGTCGGCCAGCAATAGTCTATACCTCTCTGGGATGTGGGTTACACAGTTGAGTGCGTTCGTCAAAACTCATGGAATGGTGAAGTTAAGACCTATGCATTTCATTTGTAAATTTTACCTTTAAAAGTATCAAACTCAACACTACCTAGGCAAAGTATTTAGGGGTAAAGTATACTGATGTCTGCAACTTACTTTGAAACACATCGAAGAATAGGATGAAAGAAGAAGAAAGAGGATATAGAGGAAGAGGAGGAGGAAGAGGAAGAAAAGAAAAAAGAGGGATGGAAAGATGCATTGATGTGTGTTAAAGCAAATATAGCAAATGTTAACTACAGAATCTAGATGATAGGTATGCATGACTTCATTGTACAATTCTTTCAACTTTTCTATATCGAGGGAAAAAAACAACAGAGATTCAAATGTGACCCTATGACCATCACCCTCCCACCACTGTCCTTCTTTTTCACCTGAGCCATATACAAGCAGTGACCTTGAGGCCCCTACTGGCTGAGGGGACAGAATCAGAGTCTTGTGATCACATCAGCACTACTTCTCCTCTGCCCAAGACCATAACCCTGTCCCCAGAGAGCTAAGTGACCACCTACTGCCCCTACCCTCCGCATGCCCCTCAACACACACACATACACGCTGTCCTGGCTCCATTTGCTGCTGTGGCCCCTCGTGTCTTCTCCAGCCTTCTTGCAGGAGCCGCATACCAATAGTCGCCATATCACTCATTCACTCAGTGAGCACTTAATGAGCACTTATGCTGTTCCAGACACTGTTCCAGGCACTGGAGATGCCTTGACAAAGCTTCCCTGTGGAAGTTTACATTCATGCTAAGGTTTGATGTCATACAGATTACCAGAAAATTCCCTGCTTAAAAGCAGCATAAATTTACCCTACAGGGTCTGTAGGTCAGAAGTGTGGGCACAGTGCAGTTCAGCTTGTTCTCTGCCCTGAGTTTCACAGAGCCAAAGTCAAGGCATCAGCCAGGCTGCACTCCTTCCTACAGGCTCTGGGGGAGAATGCATGCCCAAGCGCTCTCAGGTTCTTGACCAAATGCAGGTCCTTGTTTGTGGGACTGAGGTTCTTGTGTCCTTGCTGGCAATCACCAGTGGGGTGAGGGGATGCTCAGATCCTGGAGGCCATCCACATTCCTTGGCTTGTGGCCCCCTTCAAAGCCACTAATGGCAGGGTGAGTGCTTTTCTTGCTTCCGGTCTCTGTGAAGTCCCTTCTGCCTCACCTCCCTTCTGCCTCCTCTTCTCCCTCTCTCTCTCTCTCTCTCTCTCTCTCTCTCTCTCTAACTCCAGCCAGAGAGCTGTCTCCACTCTCGTGGGCTCATAGAATTGCACTGGGCCCACACACAAGATGCAAGATCAATGCCCTATTTTACAATCAGCTGGTTATTCACCTTAATCCCCTCTGCAAATTCCTTCACAGTAATGCCAGATTAGAGTATGAGTTGAAAGGCCTCAGGAATCTTGGGAGGATGTCTTCACCATTCTGCTCCCCATAGGGAAACAAACGATAAACCCCAGAGCAAACACAGACTTCCCAGAGCGGGTTAAGGCAACAGTCACTTTGTGGGACTTCACCTCCTACTAGA
This sequence comes from Homo sapiens, assembly GCF_000001405.40. Taxonomy (NCBI): domain Eukaryota; kingdom Metazoa; phylum Chordata; class Mammalia; order Primates; family Hominidae; genus Homo; species Homo sapiens. The sequence continues at coordinate 60,026,086 of NC_000020.11, read as the reverse complement.
TTCTAAGTCAGAATGAAGCCTTTTTCGGGCCATGCATCCCAGTGAGGCCTGGTGCCTGGCTCTGGGCTCTGAGAAAGCTAACACCACAGATTCCACATAAATGAAATAGTGTCCAGCACATAAGGTCCATTTCGGTAGATTGAAAGCATTCAACACTACGCCGGGTTCATTTTGATCAGGGGCAAGCAGCTCCTAATCACCTTTATTGTATTTTCAGACTCTTGGTTTAAGGGTGTTTTGATAAAGGACAGTGTTAGCTGGAGTCAGTGCTTGGCAGTCTAGGTGCTGGGGAAACTGGCAGTGCCAGCCCAGGGTTGGCGATCTAGGTACACACTTACCCCACTGCTTAATACTCCTCTCAGTTGGGCTGAGAGAGGAAGTTTTTAAAAACATTTAAAACAGGTATGCCCAAGGGCTCAAACCCTCTACAGGCCCATGTGGGAATGAATGGCCTTGTGCCTCAGGTAACGAGTTCATCTGCCCTTCACCACACCTGCTCCCAGCCCAGAAGGGTGTCGCTGAGGCTGATCACCCACCTGCTTACCCCGAAGGCCCTGGAGGACTTCTGGCAGTTTCCAAAAATCAAATCCAAGCTCAAAAGGACACTGTGACATTGTGAGGTCAGTGGAAAGGGATATTTAAAAGGATATGCCATGGGGCAGTGACAGGCATTTTGGAAGAGAATTTTAGGAATCTGTTAAGCAATAGTGTAGCACGGTGTAAGGAGGAAACTCACTCATTGTACATATACTTGTTTAAACATAATGGGAAAAATCTGTTCACTGAATGCATTTAACTCATCGAGGCAATCACTCTAAAGCATAGCACACGTTTATGCATCAGTGGTTTTCTATTTATTGGTTTGTTTTTTAGGCCACATTACTGGGGCTACTTAGTATTAAGTTCGACGATGAATGACAGAACACAGTGCCCCCACAAATGCTGACTTACATTTATTTCTCTTTTGTAAAAGTTTGGGGATCCAGGCCTTTTTGGCCTGCCAGTGTGAGGGACTCTGGCTCCTTCCAACACAGGATTCCACTGTGGATGCCTCCCTTCCCAAGCTCTGCAGATAGTCCCCCTTCAGGTCGGCAGCCAGCCTGCAGGGAGAGGGAGGAGAGGCAGAGGAGGGCGCACCTGCTCTCTGCAGGACCCTTCAGAACTTGCACGACCACCTCTGCTGCCACTACATGAATCCCATTGGCCAGAACTTAGTCACCTGGTCACAGCTAGGTCAAGGAAGTCTGAGAAATGCATTGTACATTTGGGAAAGCCATAGCCCTGGCTAAATTCAGGGTTTTATTTCTTAAGAATAAGGAAAGAAGAGATCATGGGAGTGGGTGGGGAGATAGTAGTTTCTGCTACAGTCCACTCCTTTGGCCACCCACAGACCTGTGTGAGCCTTTCTTCCCATACACAGAACATGCTCATCTCTTGCCCCCAAGAGATACATCTGCAAAATTCCATCCAATCACTGCATCTGACTCTAGATCTGGCAACCCAGGGTAAAGCACAGTCCTTTCTCTGAGATATGAATGAGGATTTTAATGGTTTGACAAACTACAAACTAAGTAATAAGTTACTTGCTCTCAATACATCCAACATAAGGGAGATGAGTAAGAACAGAAGAGCTGTGACTAAAACTATCACTTGGTAGTTGGAGGCTGATAAACACAGCCATCATCATCTACACACGTGAGCAAATCCCAGTGGGCAGGAAGAGTGGAGTCTCCTTCTGTAGCATCACCCGCCATGGCCATGGCCTTGTGTTCTCAGAGGCTCTTCCCTACTATTATCTCCCCTGCCGTACCCAGTGTGGGGGGCAAAGGGTATGCCCTTCCTGAGGCTACACAGCGTTCACAGTTTGCTTCTTGCTTTGAAGGTTGGTTGTTCCAACCCCCCAGAGGAATCACTTTGGGGTTAAACAATCACAAGCTTTTGCAGACAGACCAAACTGCTGGTTTCTTTGGTAAAACAGTTTTTCAAAAACATAAAGACTTCAGATCTACTTGTTTCCGGTGAGCTCTTCTGTGAAGACACGTTTTTAATGCTGAAACTTCTGGTTTTTCCTTATGGGCCTCCATGCTCTGCTGATATTTCTCTCTCTCTCTCTCTCTCTCTCTCTCCCTCTGTCAGCATAATGGTACCCACCTGGAGCCATGGGAAGGAAGGGCTTAGCTGGGAAGACAAAACCCTTCAAATGACTTTTGACACAAGGTTCCAAATTGGCAGGATGGGGCACTAGTTTTATTTTCTGCTAAGCAGGCTGCTTTGCAGAAACCATTTCTACGACTGATATAGTTTGTGAAACACAGCAGTTGTTTTTTCAACCCTGCAAGGCTCCAAATTACCAAGCTCTCAGTCAACTTAAATTGCAGACTGCAGGTAGAGTGCCTCCATTAGCACACTGTGTTTCCTTTCATTCTTGCTCAGGTACTGGCCAGCAGTAGCCAAAGTCCAGCTCTCTCTTGTAGAACATTGCTAAAAGCAGTGATAAGCAGCTAATGCTTTTTTTTTTTTAACATTATAAATTTCTCCTGCCATTTCCTGCCTCAGTCCTTATTCAGGACATGGGCTGCTTTTCAAAAAACAATGGGCAGTGGTTTTTATCAAATGCTTTGTTTCTGTATAACAAGGGTCACTGGCTCTCTAGCTCACAATATTTGAGCCCCTGCCGCCTGAACACATCCATTAAGCCAAGGCCACGTGCTTCGGTTCTGCTACTTGTAGCTCACTTCTCTTGGTCTCTATTTTGTATCAGTTAAGATTAGACCTGGCCATGAATGACAGAAAATCCAAAAGAGCAATGGCTTAAACAAGACACATTTAATTCTTCCTCACTTTGAGTCTAGAGGAAGGTGGTTCAGGAGTGGAGTAGGGCTCCCTGGTGCACAGGCACCTCTGCCTCTTCTATCCTGCACTACACTGTGTATCAGCTCTGACGGCAGTGACCAGAATGGCTGCCCCACCTCCAGCCATCACATTCTAATTCCAGCCAGTAGAAGAAGAGGGAAACAGACACATCTCCACCCTCTTCAAGGACACTTCCTGGAAGTTGCCTCCCATTGGCCAGAATTTAGTCACATAGCCATGCCTAGCTGAAGTGGAGGATGGGAAATGTTGCTGCCATTCTGCCTGGCAAGTGCACAGCAAGAATCAGGGTTCTTTTACTGGGGAAGAAGAGGTAACATGTTTTAGGGCAATCAGCAGTCTCTGCAGCCTCATACTTGCACAAAATTTCAGCAGTAGAATGCTTGTGTTGGGAACAGTGAAAGGACTGTTTTCATGGCTCCAGAATTCTTTATCCTTCTCCTTCTTCATAGCAGATTTGTTTGGCCTTTGACACACAAATTTCAGAGAAGACAATGACTAGACAAGGGTTGCAGTCTCTGCCACACAGAAAAACTCTCTGATGAGAGGAAACCATCTTAGAAACGCCCTCTATTTGGCACTGTCTTGATATCCTTGACGGCTGCCACAGGTCATCTTTGAGGGGACCGTTGCTATGCCTACTTCACAGAAACATACAATGAGGTCTCCTCGGTCAGTGTTTCACTTGGGAAAAGGAAAGTTTTAACAACTGAGGTATCTGCTGTGTTTAGTAAATCATAAAAGTAAGCACAATGAACATCTTAGATGAAAAGCTCCACAAAACCAATCAGATTGTTATTGCACATAAAAACCAAAATTGATGAAATGCAAAATAAATATTTAACTTCTCAGACTGCCGCTATCTTTGGACTGCTGGGTAATTTGGAGGCTAATGTTCATAATAAAATCACATTTTCTCTGAAAATATTTACTATTTCTGTTTATTGCCTTATTCATTGCCGTTAGCAAGAATTAGTTTAATTCATGAGTATATGTGAATTCCATTACAAGCTAGGAATTTTCACCAAAACCTCCTGGTGCTGATATTTCTAATGGATGCTTTCTTTAAGCATGTAGGTAGACTTGAGAATGAACTTGGGAGGAGGACCAGCAGACATCCAGGAATGTCTCCTGCAGACATCAGTTGGGGAAGGTGATAATATATAATATAGACTTGCATGTAAAGGGAAAGGCTGAAATATCCTATGCCAGGGGTACTTCATAAAGATGCCAACATGACCATTTTCTTCACTGGACACTATAATTCCAAGACCGAAAGGCCTATGAAAATAGTCAGGATATATATATATATATATATGTGTGTGTGTGTGTGTGTGTGTGTGTGTGTGTGTGTGTGTGTGTGTGTACAGATAAGGATATCGGCTTCAAAATACACAAAGAAGACAGCAAACTAAAAATTCATAAATGTCTAACTAAATATCTATAAAACATGATATTTTGTTACCTCATTAATTGTTAAATTTGTTGTTCATGAGTATTGCATGAATATTTTATTACTATTGAAAACAATTTGTCAGAGAGCATCTCATAATGCAGGAATTCACAAATAAGCAAAACTGCTGACATTTTGTAGCCAGTAGTAAGCTAAATAAGTTACCCATAGTCAAAAGCAAATTTATTTAAAACCTTTCAAAATTTGTATGGCAATGTGTTCATTTTTAATGTAAGGTATGAATACATCTTAAGATGTCTGATATGATGTAGAGGTTCCAAATAGAATTCCCCAGAGAAGGAGTCAAGCACACTTTTTCTATGAAGAGCCAGAAAGTAAATATGAAGGCTTTGTGGGCTGTGGGGTCTCTGTTGCAATTACTCAGCTCTGCTGCTGGAACACAAAGGGAGCCATAGATAATACCTAAACAAATGAGCATGGTTGTGTGCCAACAAAGCTTTATTTATAAGAACAGACAGTGTGCTATATTTGACTCATGGTAGTAAGGCAAATCTAGAAGGTCTAATAACCACCTATTGCCCTTACCAACAATTCAGACTCAGAAGTATATGTTTCTGGGAGTGACATCAGCAAGATGGCTGACTAGAGATGTCTGGTGCTCTCCCAGACCCCCACGAAGAAAGAATCATGGCAACAAATAAATAACTAAGCTTTAACTGGAGTGTTGAAAAGAGAATGCTGTCATGCAGCAGAGGAATGGAGAAGTACCTGTGACGGCTAGAAGCCCAGGAGGGCAGTGTAGAGGCACCGTGCATCTGCACCCCATCTCCCCTGCCTGGATCTGATCAGCCCAGAGACAGGAGGGACTTTCCATTTCAGGAAAAAGGTAAGCAGAAGATCACTAACAGTCCCTATTGCCACTGCAAACACCTACAGTCCTTACATACAAGACTCCCACAGTCCTCACAAAGCCCTGAGCCCAGTTTGGAGAGCTGCAAGGATTTCACTGAACTGCATTGTTCCAGATTAGTAGCACAAGGTGCTTACCCCCCACATTGTGAGCCAAGCTCTCACCCACACATACCCACCCACTGTGAGCCAAGCTACTGCAGGACAGCACCATTCTGAGACCAGAGCCACACTCTGGAGTGTGTTATGCTCTGGAGATCAGTCGCAACTGTACCTCTACAGCACCAGCGCTCCATATTCATTCCACCAAGCCCACATGAGTGTCTGAATGTCACAACCCCAGCTGTGTAGATTCCAGGCCCAGAGTTAGCTGTGACTCAGGATGAGCCCAAAAAAGAAACCCACCCTTCACCGCCCACATTTCCAGTGGGACAAACGGCCTTGCAGTCCTGCCCAGGGTGAACCCACTCTTAAGCCAGCCAAACCACTGCATGCCCTACCCCAAGTGGGAGAGGTCCCTGAGGCACTAAGCAGCTGATACATCCCCAGGCCAGCCGAGAAACCATGTGCCCCCATCTCAGGCCAGAAAAATAGCCCTGTGGGCTGCTGCAGGAAGATACCTTCCAGGCTGGCCAAGAGGCCTTGTGTCCCTGTCCCAGGCCTGAGAAATAGCCCCATATGATGCCCCTGGCAGGCATGATCCCAGGTCAGCCAAGCAATTGTGTGTCTGTGCCCCCAGCCAGAGTAATAATCCCACGGTCCCAACTCCAGAAAGCCAGACCACAAGTTGGCTCACCCACTGTGTGCACACATATGCCCCTGACCTAAGAAACAAACCAATGAGCCCACCTCTAGCAAAGCTGCACCACCACTGCCATAAACTCTCTCAGCCCAGGCCACTGAGACAAACATCACTAGCATGGATTATAGTTGAAGACACTACATAGAGACTACACTACTGTGTCCACTTAGAATCAAAGCCAATGCACCCCATCAAACCAACACCCCAAAACCCATCTATATGAATAAGTTTTTCCATATGAAACCTACTCCATAAAATTAGAAGAGGTGACTGTTTCACCAGATATGTATAAATCAATGCAGGGACACATTAAACACAAAACAGGCAAGGAAACATGACACCTCCAAAGGAACATAATAATTCTCTAGTAACAGACCCCAATTATAAGGAAACACACAAAATTCCAGTAAAAGAATTCAAAATAATAATCTTAAGGAAATTCAGTGAGATATAAGAGAATACAAATAGACAATTCAACAAAATCAAGGAGCAATTTCTGATATGTACATGAAATTCAACAAAAAGGTAGATATAATTAAAAAGGATCAAGTGGAAATTCTGGAATGGAAGAATTCAGTGAATGAAATTAAACAATATAATTGAGAGTTTCAACAATGGACAAGACCAAGCAGAATAATAAATTTCTGAACTTGAAGACAAGTCTTTTGAAATAACAGGCAGACAAAAAAAGAATGAAGAAAGACTACAGGATTTATGGGACACCATTAAGTGACAAATATTCACATTATGAGTGTTCCAGAAGGAGAAGAGAATGGAAAAGGTGTATGAAATATATTTTATGGAATAATACCTGGAAACATCCCAATTCCTGTTGAACAGATAGGCACTCAGATCCAGGAAGCTCAAAGAACTCCAAATAGATTCACTCCAAATAGATTCTCTCCAAGTCACATTATAGTCAAATTGTCAAAAGTTAAAGGCAAAGGAATAATTTTAAAAACAGCAAAGGAAAAGCATCAAGTCACATATAATGGAATCCCCATTAGACTGCGGATTTCTCAGCAGAAACCTTACAAGCCAGGAGAGAATTGGATGATATATTCGAAGTACTGTAAACAAAACAAAACTTGCCAGACTATAATATTATACCAAGCAAAGCTATCCTTCAGAAATGAAAAAGTAAAATCTTTCACAGACAAGCAAAAGTTAAGAGAATTCATCACAACTATTCTGATCTTACAAGAAATGCTCAGGGGAGTTTTACATCTAGAAGTGAAAAGAAAATAACCACAATCATGAAAACATGCAAAACTATAAAACTCACTGGAAAAGCCAAAAACAAAGGGGAAAAAAAGTAATAAAAGCTCATCACTACAGGAAACCACCCAACTGCAAAAAAAAAAAAAAAAAAAAAAAAAAAAAAAAAAGGCAGTAAGAGAGGAAGTAAGAAACAGAGGATATACAAAATAACAACATGGCAATCAATAAATCAATAAAATGACAGGAGTAAGCCCTCACTTATCCATAATAACCTTGAATCAGATTATATTCCTCATTTAAAAGATAAAGACTGGCTGGATGAATTTTAAAATAACCCAACTATATGCTGCCTTCAAGAAACTCACATCACCTGTAAAGACACACATAGACTGAACATGAAGGGGTGGAAAAGATATTCCACACAGACAGAAACTAAAAGTGAGCTGGAGTAGCTATACTTATATCAGACAAAGCAGACTTTAAAGTCAAATGCTGTAAAAAGAGACAAGAAAAACATTAAATAATAATAAGGGGAACAGGTCAGCAAGAGAATATACCAATTATAAATAAACATGCACCCAACACTGAACCACTAGATCTATAAAGCAAATATTATTAGATCTAAAGGCAGAAATAAGCCCCAATACAATAATAGTTGGGGACTTCAACATCTCACTCTCAGCACTGGACAGATTATTTAGATATAAAATCAACAAGGAAACATCAGATTTAAACTGAACCTACCAAATAGACCTAGTAGACTTTACAGAACATTTCACTCAACAGCTACGGAATACACATTTTTTTCATCAGCACATGTAACTTTCTCCAGGAGAGGCCATATGTTAGGATACAAAACAAGCTTCAAAAAGTTTTTAAAAATCAAAATTATATAAAGTATCTTATCTGACCACAAGAGAATAAAACTAAAAATCAAGAACAAGATGAACACTCAAAACTATACAAATACATGGAAATTAAGCTACATGCTCCTGATGACCAAGGAGTGAGAAAATCAATTAAGAATGAGATTTTAAAATTCCTTGAGGCAAATAAAAGTAGGAAACACAGCACACCAAAATCTATGGAACATAGCAAAAACAGTAGTAAGAGGCAAGTTTAAAGTAACAAATGACTACATTAAACAACTAGAAATATTTCAAATGAGCAATTTAATAATGTATCTTAAGGAACTAGAAATTCAAGAAGAAATGAAACCCAAAATTAGTAGAAGGAAAGAAATAATAAAGATCAGAGCACAAATAAACAAAATCGAGACCAGAAAAACAATACAAAAGGTTAATGAAACAAAAAGTTGATTTTTTGAAAAAATAAATGAAATCAACAAACCATTAGCTAGACTAAGAAAACAAGAGAAAAGATTCAAGTAAATAAAATTGAAACAAAAAATTGAGATGTCACAATAGAGACCACAGAAATACAAAGAATTATTAATTACTGTGAACAACTATATGCCGGTAAATTTGAAAACCTAGAGGCAATGGATAAATTCCTGAACACATACAACCTACTAAGATTGATCCAAAAAGAAATAGAAAACCTCAATTGACCAATAACAAGTAATAAGATTGAATCAATAATAAAAATTATCTCAAGAAAAGAAAGTTCAGGGCCGGATGGTTTCACTACTGAATTCTGCCAAACTTTAAAGAAGTATTAATACCAACTTTTCTCAGACAATTCCACAAAACAAGTAGAGATAGCTCTTCCTTTCTTACTCTATGAGGCCAGCATAACTCTCATTCCAAAGCCATACAAAGACACACAGAAAAAGAAAACTACAGGCCAATATCACCAATGAACATAGATGTTAAAACCCTCAACAAAAATATTAGCAAACCAAATCCAAAAATATATTAAAAAGATAAAAGATCATGGTCAAGTGGAATTTATCCCAGGAATGCAAGGCTTTCATATACCCAAATCAGTACACATGATACATCACATCAACAAAATGAAGGACAAAAACCATATGATTATCTCAACGGATGCAGAAAAAGCCTCTGATAAAATTCAGTATCCTTTCATGAGAAATCTTTTATACCAAAAAATTAGGTATAAAAGGAAAGTGCCTCAACAAATTAAGGCTATATATGACACACCCACAGCTAACATCATACTAAATGAGGAAAAGTTGGAAACTATTCCCCTAAGGACTGGAACAAGACAAGGGTGCCCACTCTCTCTTCTTGTATTCAACATAATACTGAATGTCCTAGCCAGAGCAATAAGACAAGAGGAAGAAAAAAAGGGAATTCAAATTAGAAAGGAGGAAGTCAAATTGTCCCTGTTTGCAGATGACATAATCTCATATATAGAAAAACCTAAAGATGCTACCAAAAACTCTTAGAACTGATAAATAAATTCAGCAAAGTTGCTGGAGACAAAAATCAACATACATAAATCAGTAGCATTTCTATACATGAACAACAAACTAGCTGAAAAATCAAGACAGCAATCCCTTTTACAATAACTACAAAAAACTAAAATATCAAAGAATAAGTTTAACCATGGAAGTGAAAACCCTCTACAAAAAAAGATTACAAAATACTGATGAAAAATCAGAGGATATAAACAAATGTAAAGACATTTCATGCCCATGGATCAGAAGAATTAATGTTGTAAAATTATCACACTATGCAAAGCAATCTACAGATTCAATGCAATCCCTATCAAAACACCAATGACATTCTTCACAGAAATAGAAAAAAAAATCTTAAAATTTGTGTGGAACCACAGAAGGTCCTGAAGAGCCAAAACAATTCTGAGCACAAAAGACAAAGTTACAAGGATCACACTATCAGACTTCAAAATATACTACAAAACTATAATAACTGAAACAGCAT